>NC_000002.12:119989618-120614618 GCF_000001405.40 Homo sapiens
AATTGAAGAAGATATAAATTGGAAATGTATCCCATATTCATGGATTGGAAAAATGGTTAAAATGCCTGTGTACTATCCAGAATACAGATTCAACACAATTTCTATGAAAATTCCAAAGGCATCATTCATAGAAATAGAAAAAATTCTAAAATGTGTATGGAACCAAGAAAGACCCTAAATAACCAACACAGTCTTAAGAAAGAACAATGTTGGGCCAGACACGGTGGCTCACACTTGTAATCCCAGCACTTTGGGAGGCCAAGGCAGGCAGATCACCTGAGGTCGGGAGTTCGAGACCAGCCTGACCAACATGGCGAAACCCCATCTCTACTAAAAATACAAAGTTAGCTGGGTGTGGTGGCACATGTCTGTAATCCCAGCTACTCGGGAGGCTGAGGCAGGAGAATTGCTTGAACCCGGGAGGCGGAGGTTGTGGTGAACCGAGATCACGCCATTGTACTCCAGCCTGGGCAAAAAGAGCAAAACTCCATCTCAAAAAAAAAAAAAAAGAACAATGTTGAGGCATCATTCTTCCTGATTTCAACTTATATTATAAGGCTGTCATCAAAATATTACGGTACTGATGTGAAAACAGACACATAGAACAATGGAGCAGAATAGACTCCAAAAATAAACCTTCACTGATATGGTTAAATGGTTTTTGGTAAGGATGCCAAGACCATCTTTTCAACAAATTAAGCTGGGAAAACTGAAAATCCACATGCAAAACAATGAAATTAGACCCTTCCACTATGCACAAAAATCAATTCAAAATTGAATGAATACTTAAACATAAGACCTGGAACTGTAAAAATCCTAGAAGAAAACATAGGAAAACTTCCTGACATTGGCCTTAACAATAATGTTTTTGGATACCACACCAAAAGGTCTGGCAACAAAAGCAAAAACAAGTGGGATCACATCAAACTAATAAGCTTCTGAATAGCAAAGGAAACAATTAACGAAATTAAAAGGTAACCCACACTTGGGACATATTTGCAAACCATATATCTTTTTTTTTTTTTTTTTTTTTTTTTTTGAGACAGAGTCTCGCTCTGTCACCGAGGCTGGAGTGCAATGGTGCAATCTCAGCTCACTACAACCTCTGCCTCCCAGGCAATTCAAGCAATTCTCCTGCCTCAGCTTCCCGAGTAGCTGGGACTAAGGCATGTTCCACCACTCCCAGCAAATTTTTGTATTTTTAGTAAAGACGGGGTTTCACCATGTTGGTCAGGCTGATCTCGATCTCCTGATGTCAGGTGATCTGCCTGCCTTGGCCTCCCAGAGTGCTAGGGTTACAGGCATGAGCCTGGCCTTGCAAACCATATATCTGATAAGGGGTTAATATCCAAAATATATAAAGAACTCACAACTAAATAGCAAAAATAAATAGCCCAATGGCATAAATAACCCAGTTATTAAATGGGCAAAGGACCTGAACATTTTTCCAAAGAAGGCATAAAAATGGCCAACAGGTATGTGAAAAGGTGCCCAATATCACTAATCGTGGAAATGCAAGTTAAAACCACAATGAGATACTACCTCACACTTATTAAGATAATCATTAAGTGTCAGTGAAGGTGTGGAGAAAAGGCAACGCTTGTACACTGTTGGTGGGAGTATAAATTGGTACAGCCATTATGGAAAACAGCATAGTTACATCGAAAAAAATAAACACGGAGCTACCATATGATCCAGATATGATAAAAGATAAGAGAGGAAGTATCTCTCTTCCGGGTATCTTCCGAAAAGGCAGTGAAATCAGTACATCATAAAGATAGCTGTTTTCATCCATTCAAGTACAGAAAGAGGCGGGGTGCTGTGGCTCACACCTGTAATCCCAGCACTTTGGGAGGCCGAGGCAGGTGGATCACCTGAGGCCAGGAGTTCAAGACCAGCCTGGCCAATATGGTGAAAACGCTCTCTCTACTAAAAATACAAAAATTAGCTGACCATGGTGGTGCATGCCTGTGATCCCAGCTACTCGGGAGTCTGAGACAGGAGAATCACGTGAACCTGGGCAGTGGAGGTTGCAGTGAGCTGAGATCGTGCCACTGCATTCCAGCCTGGTGACAGAGCAAGACTCCATCTAAAAAAAAAAAAAAGTACAGAAAGGGAAAAAAAAAGATCTCCGCACTCCCATGTTTTAGCAGCATTATTCAGAGAGTATAGCCCAGATATGGAAACAGCCTAAGTGTCTGTCGACAGATGAATGGATAAAGGAATTTGCAACACCATGGATAAACCTAGAGGACATTATGCTGGTTGGACTAAGCTAGACACAGAAGAATACTGCATAATTTTAATTATATGTGGAACCTTTAAAAGGCTACTAAACCGGGCACGATGGCTCATGCTTATATTCCCAGCACTTTGGGAGACTGAGGTGGGAGGATTACTTGAGCTCAGGAATGTGAGACCAGCCTGGGCAACATGGCAAGCCCCTGTCTCTACAAAAAAGTTTTAAAAATTAGCCTGGTGTGGTAGCATACACCTGTAGTCCCAGCTACTTGAGAGGCTGAAGTAGGAGCATCACTTGAGCCTGGGGTGTCAAGACTGTAGTGAGCCTTTTTGGTGCCACTGCACTCCAGTGTAGGTGACAGAGCAAGACCCTTTATGAAAAAATAAATTTAAAAATTTAGAAAGCTACTAAAAGATAAGAGAGGAAGAACTGATGTCCAATATGTTCAAAGAACTCTTAAAAGTCAACAGTAAGAAAACAGCCCAATCAAATTGAGCAAAGTATCTACACAGACATCCAAATAATATATACAGATGCCAAGTAAACATATGAAAGGGTGCCCAACCTCATAGGTCACTAGGGAATTTCAAATTAAAACAACAATGAAATGCCAACATACACCTATTAGAATGACCAAAATCCAAAGCACTGACAATATCAAATGCAGGTGAGGATGCTGAGCAATGGAAACTCTCATTCATAATTGAAAATGATACAGACCCTTTGGCATTTTCTTAAAAAATTAAACATACTCTTGCTACATAATCCAGTAACTGTGCTTCCTTGATATTTATCCAAATGAGTTAAAAACTGATATCTGGCCAGGTGCGGTGGTTCATGCCTGTAATCCCAGAACTTCGGGAGGCTGAGGCAGGCGGATCACCAGGTCAGGAGATCGAGACCCTCCTGGCCAACCACATCTCTACTAAAAATACAAAAATTAGCTGGGTGCGGTGGCACGCGCCTGTAGTCCCAGCTGCTTGGGAGGCTGAGGCAGGAGAAATGCTTGAACCCAGAAGGCAGAGGTTGCAGTGATCAGAGATTGTGCCATTGCACTCCAGCCTGGTAACAGAGCAAGACTCCATGTCCAAAAAAAAAAAAAAAAAAAAAAAAGATATCCACACAACAACATGCACACAAATGCAGCTATATTCATAACTGTCAAAAGTTGGAAGCAACAAAGATTTCTCTCAATAGGTAGTTGGATAAATTGTGGTGCATCCATACAACGTAACATTATCCAGCAATAAAAAGAAATCAGTTATTGAGTCACTAAAAGACATGGAAGAGCCTTAAATGCATATATTTTCAAAATTGTTAATGACCAAAACAAAGCATCTAAAACTATAGCTTCTGGAAGAACCACTCGTTCTTGCCCATCTTGTTCCTGTCTTGGAACTTGACCTTGGCCTCTCTTCGGGCCCTGCGTTTAAGAGCAGGATCTCTGAAGACATCGTTACTGACAACAGTTTTGTCCAAGGGGATATCCACAGAGTACCTTGTGGGCAGTAGATGATTTGATGTAGTTATAAACTTTCACAAAAGACTTGATGTTTGACCTCTTGGCTATCTTCTTGCCTATGGCAGCTGTCACTTTGCAGGGATAGTGGTCAATTCCAGCCACCAGAGCATGGCTGCAGAGGCGATCTGAGGTGCCATCATCAATGTTCTTCACAATGACGGCTTTGCATCCAGGGTAGTGTATGGCCAGGACAAACACCACTTTCCCAGGTTTTCATGAACTTGCTCATTTCAGCAGCAACCACTCAGACCTACAGCCTTTAAATACATATTAATTGCTAAGTGTAAAAAGTGGATCTGAAAAGCCTACATACACACTGTACTATACCAACTGTATGACATTCTAGAAAAAGGAAAACTATGGGGATACTATAATAAAAAGATCAGTGATAGGTGAGGAGGAAGACGGGGATGAATAGACAGAACACAGGATTTTTAGGACAGTGAACCTATCCTGTTCTCTACTGTAATGGTGGATACACATCATTATATATGTTCGTCAAAATCCATAGACTGTAGGCTGGGCGTGGTGGCTTATGCATGTAATCCCAGCACTTTGAGAGGCCAAGGTGGGTGGACCACCTGAGGTCAGGAGTTCAAGACCAGCCTGACCAACATGGTGAAACCCGTCTCTACTAAAAATACAAAAAAAATTAGCCAGGCGTGATGGCGCGCCTGTAATCCCAGCTATTCGGGAGGCTGAGGCAGGAGAATCGCTTGAACCCGGAAGGCGGGGGTTCAGTCGGCTGAGATCACCTCAATGCACTCCAGCCTGGGCAACAGAGGGAGACTCCATCTCAAAAAAAAAAAAAAAAAAAAAAATCCATAGCATGTGCAACACACAAAGAGTGAAACCTAAGGTAATTGATGGACTTTAATTAATAATGTGTCAATACTGGCTCATCAGTTGTGAGAAATGTACAGCAGTAATGCAAGATGTTAATAGAGAAAACTGTGGAGTAGAAGTTATATGGAAACTCTACTTTGTCCTCAATTTTTCTGTTAACCTCAAACTGCTCAAAAAAAATAAAGCCTATTATCAAAAATGTACAGGCAGCCCCACCCCCAACATTTCCCATCCTCTTCTCATGCTTTATTTGTGTACCTCACAGACTATATATTTTACTTATTTATTTTGGCTTACAGTCTAATTGTGTACTAGAATATCAGCTTTAGAAAGGTAGGGATGTTGTATTGCCCATTGCTGTGTCCCCAGTGCCTAGAACAGTGCCTGAAATATAACCCCTTAGATTTTTGGTGATTTTTTTAAAGCTAGTTCTGAAAGATTCATCAACTGTTTTATTTCAATGAATTGAAGAGTCTGACATAGAAAGGCATTTGTAAACAAACATGGAGAATATGATGAGATGTTTCTTTAATAGGCACCAGTAGGCCAATAGAGAAATCCACCAATAAAAAGTAAATGTAAGCTTTCTTTCTTTTTTTCTACAATGTTTTTACTTATTGGTGACTCACAGAACTTTCTTTTAAGAGACAGGGTCTTGCTGTGTCCCCAGGCTGGAGTGCAGTGACGCCATCATAGCTCACTGTAACCTCGAATTCCTGGGCTCAAGGAATCCTCCCACCTCAAGCTCCCATGTAGCTAGGTCTACAGGTGTGTGCCACAAAACCTGGCTAATATGTGTGTGTGTATATATATATACACACACATATGTGTATTAATACACACACACACACACACACACACACACACACATATATATATATATATTTTTTTTTTTTTTTTTTTTTTGTGGAGACGAGGTCTTGCCATGTTGCCCAGGCTGGTTTCAAACCCCTGCCTCAAGTGATCATTCCTGCCTCACCCTCCCAAAGTGCTGGGATTACAGGAGTGATCCACCATGTCTGGCCAGCTTTCTTTCTTTCTTTCTTTCTTTCTTTTTTGAGGAGTCTCGCTTTGTCGCCCAGGCTAAAGGACAGTGGCGCAGTCTCGGCTCACTGCAACCTCTGCCTCTCAAGTTCAAGTGATTCTTGTGCCTCAGCCTCCCCAGTAGCTGGGATTACAGGCACCCACCACCACGCTGGGCTAATTCTTGTATTTTTAGTAGCGACAAGATTTCACCATGATGGCCAGCCTGGTCTCGAACTCCAGGCTTCAAATGATCTGCCCACCTTGGCCTCCCAAAGTGCTGAGATTACAGGCGTGACAGGCGTGAGCCACTGTGCCTGGCCTGGCTAACTTGTTTTTGTTTTTTTTTTTTTTTTGGCACTCTGTCACCCAGGCTGGAGTGCAGTGGTGCAATCTCTACTCACTGCAACCTCAACCTCCTGGGTTCAAGCAATTCTCCCGCCTCAGCCTCCTAAGTAGCTGGGATTATAGGTGCGCACCACCACACCAAGCTAATTTTTGTAATTTTAGTAGAGACGGGGTTTCACCATGTTGGTCAGGTCTCCAACTCCTGACCTCGTGATCTGCTCGCCTCAGCCTCCCAAAGTGCTGGGACTACAGGCGTGAGTCACCGTGCCCGGCCGCAGCTTGCTGTCTTAAAGATCCATCATTAACTGTTTTCTTTCAGTGAATGGAAATGCTTGATGAATAAGATTTATTTATTTAGTTATTTATTTATTTGAGACAGAGTCTCACTCTGTCGCCCAGGCTGGAGTGCAGTGGCGCCATCTCGGCTCACTGCAAGCTCTGCCTAATTTTTTGTATTTTTAGTAGAGATGGGGTTTCACTGTGTTAGCCAGGATGGTCTCCATCTCCTCACCTCGTGATCCGCCCGCCTTGGCCTCCCAAAGTGCTGGGATTACAGGCGTGAGCCACCACACCCGGCATGAATAAGATACTTTCTAAGCAAAACTTTAGGTTATTAGAACCTTTTTTCTTTCCCCATTATGCACTATATTATATTGTGCCAATAACAATACCCAGCTTTAAAAGGGAAATGTAAGCATGCTTTCTTTAGGTTGCATCATAAACTGTTTTCTTTTAGTGACTGAAAGAGTTTGACACAGGAAGGCATTTTCAAAAGCAAACACTGAGAATGTGTTATCACAATATGTTTCCTTCTCCAATAGGCCCGTTTTTTTAAAAGCCTGTAGTGGAGATAAAATCCTAAGCAATATTCAGTATCCTAACTGGAGACAGAATCCTAAGCAATATTCAGTAAATTCAATATTAATCAAGGAAAGAAGAAGGAACCAGGAGCAGATAAATAGCAAGATGTCATATTGAAACCCAGTTATATTGATAATCATATTAAATATAAATAGTCTTTAAAAAAGCAGATCAGAGGTTGCTGGGGCTGGTGGTAAGCGGAGGGACGGTCCAAAAAGGAACACGAGGAATCTTTTGGCAGTGACACTGTTCTGTTTTGATCATGGTGGTTTTATGGGAATATAAAACTATCAAAAGTAACTCAATTGGCCGGGTGCGGTGGCTCACACCTGTAATCCCAGTGAGAGGTGACAGCGTGCTGGCCGCCCTCACAGCCCTCGCTCGCTCTGGGCGCCTCCTCTGCCTGGGCTCCCACTTTGGCGGCACTTGAGGAGCCCTTCAGCCCGCCGCTGCACTGTGGGAGCCCCTTCCGGGCTGGCCGAGGCCGGAGCCGGCTCCCTCAGCTTGCGGGGAGGTGTGGAGGGAGAGGCGCAGGCGGGAACTGGGGCTGCGCGCGGTGCTTGCGGGCCAGCGCGAGTTCTGGGTGGGTGTGGGCTCGGCGGGCCCCGCACTCGGAGCCGCCGGCCGGCCCTGCCGGCCCCGGGCAATGAGGAGCTTAGCACCCGGGCCAGAGGCTGCGGAGGGTGTGCTGGGTCTCCCAGCAGTGCCGGCCCAGCGCTGCGCTGCGCTCGATTTCTCGCCGGGCCTTAGCTGCCTTCCCGCGGGGCAGGGCTCGGGACCTGCAGCCCGCCATGCCTGAGCCTCCCACCCCGCTTCCGTGGGCTCCTGTGCAGCACCAGCCTCCCCAACGAGCGCTGCTGCCTGCTCCACGGCACCCAGTCCCATCGACCACGCAAGGGCTGAGAAGGGTGGGCGCAGGCACGGGATTAGCAGGCAGCTCCACCTGCAGCCCCAGTGCGAGATCCACTGAGTGAAGCCAGCTGGGCTCCTGAGTCTAGTGGGAACTTGGAGAACCTTTATGTCTAGCTAGGGGATTGTAAATACACCAATCGGCACTCTGTATCTAGCTCAAGGTTTGTAAACACACCAATCAGCACCCTGTGTCTAGCTCAGGGTTTGTGAATGCACCAATCGACCCTCTGTATCTAGCTAATCTAGTGGGGACCTGGAGAACTTTTGTGTCTAGCTCAGGGATTGTAAACGCACCAATCAGCTCCCTGTCAAAACAGACCACGCTGTTCTCTGTAAAATGGACCAATCAGCAGGATGTGGGTGGGGCCAGAAAAGAGAATAAAAGCAGGCTGCCCGCCCCCCTCCCCCAGCCAGCAGTGGCAAGCTTCCCGGGTCCCCTTCGACAATGTGAATGCTTTGTTCTTTCGTTTTTTGCAATAAATCTTACTGCTGCTCACTCTTTGGCTCCACACTGCCTTTATGAGCTGTAACACTCACGGCAAAGGTCTGCAGCTTCACTCCTGAAGCCAGGGAGACCACGAACCCTCCGGGAGGAACGAACAACTCCACACGCGCCGCCTTAAGAGCTGTAACACTCACCGCGAAGATTCGCAGCTTCACTCCTGAGCCAGTGAGACCATGAACCCCACCAGAAGGAAGAAAGTCCGAACACATCCGAACAGCAGAAGGAACAAACTCAGGGCACTCTGTCTTTAAGAACTGTAACACTCACCGCGTGGGTCCGCGGTTTCATTCTTGAAGTCAGTGAGACCAAGAACCCACCAATTCCGGACACACCAGCACTTTGGGAGGCCAAGGCAGGCAGATCACGAGGTCAGGAGTTCAAAACTAGCCTGGCCAACATGGCGAAACCCCGTCTCTACTAAAAATACAAAAATTATCTGGGCATGGTGATGGGCGCTTGTAATCCCAGCTACTCAGGAGGCTGAGGCAGGAGAATAGCTTGAACCCAGGAGGCGGAGGTTGCAGTGAGCCGAGATCATGCCATTGCACTCCAGCCTGGGCGACAAGAGTGAGACTTCGTCTCAAAAAAGAAAAGTAACTGAATTGTACACTTTAAATGGGTGCAGCTTATTGGAGGCAAATAATTACCGAGAAAATTTGCCTGCACATATTTGTTAAATTTATTTCAAGTATTTAATTTTTTTGATGGTTTTGTAACTGGTATTTTAAAATATCAAGTTTAAATGGTTTGTGTCTAGTATGTAGAAATATAATTGACGTGTTTATTAATCTTGTGCCCTGAAAACTTGCTGAAATCACTTATTAGTTCTAATTTCCATTTCATAGAGTCTTTAACATCTTTAGCATCTTGCTTTTGAATCCATATGCCCTTTTTTCCTGTTTCTTTCCTTATTTTATTCACTAGGACCTTCATTACAATTTTGAATAGAAGTGGCGAGAGTGGACATCCTTACTTTGTTCTACAGTTTAGAGGTAAAGTGTTCATTCTTTCACTGTCAAATGTAATATTAGCTGTAGGCGTTTTTTTAGACTTTCCTCTACCACGTTGAAGTAGTATCCTTCTAATGCTACTATCCTGAAAGTTTTCACCATAAATGGCTTCATATTCTGTCAAATGCAAAATCTGTACACAAAGCTATCAACATTATTGAGAGAAATTAAAGGAGACACAAATAAATGGCCTGGAAAACTCAATAGTGTTCAGATTGCAGTTGTCTCTAAACTGATGTATAGATTCAAAGTATCCCAATCAAAATCCAAGCAGTTTTTTTTTCCTAAAATTGACAAGCTGATTCTATGAACATTTAAAAATGTCTCAAAAAATCAGTTGGACGTGGTGGCAGGTGCCTGTAATCCCAGCTACTCAGGAGGCTGAGGCAGGAGAATTGCTTGAACCCAGGAGGCGGAGGTTGCAGTGAACAAAGTTCACACCCCTGCACTCCAGCCTGGGTGACAGAGCAAGACTTCGTCTTGAAAAATTTTTTTAAAAAAAGTAATAAATAAATAAAAATGTAAGGGAAGCTGTGGACAGTCTCCCCCAAAATATGTACATCACACATATAAAATTTTGCATAAAACATCAGGGATCTTGTGAATCTTTGGAAGCCTATCCGTTAGTCTCAGGTTAAGACTCTGATTCAGGCTGGATGGGATGGCTCACACCTATAATCCCAGTACTTTGGGAGGCCAAGGTGGGCGGATCACTTGAGGTCAAGAGTTTGAGATCAGCCTGGCCAACATGGTGAAACCCTGTCTCTACTAAAAATATAAAAATTAGCTGGGCATAGTGGTGCACACCTGTAGTCCCAGCTACTTGGGAGGCTGAGGCAGGAGAATCACTTGAACCCTGGAGGCAGAGGTTGCAGTGAGCTGAGATCGCACCACTGTACTCCAGCCTGGGTGACAGAGCGAGACTCCATCTCAAAAATAAAATAAAATAAAATAAAGACTCTGATTGTCCCAATAATTATGAAAGATATTTTATTATATAATAAATTCCCTGGCCAGGCGCGGAGGTCTCTTGCCTATAATCTCAACACTATGGGAGGCTGAGGTGGGAGGATTGCTTCAAGCCAGGAGTTCAATACCAGCATGGGCAACAAAGTGAGACCACAGTCTTTACAAAATAAAAATTTTAAAATAAAACAAATTAGCTGGAGGCAGTGGCATGTGCCTGTAGTCCCAGTTACTTGGGAGGCTGTGGTGAGAGGATCATTTGAGCCCAAGAGTTCAAAGCTGCAGTGAGCTAGTGCCACTAGTGAACTGCAGTGCCACTTGACTGCAGCCTGGGTGACAAAGCAAGGCTCTGTTTCTAAAATAATAAAATAGTAAAGTAAAATAAATAAATAAAATAAATTCCCTTACATATAAAGATTTCCCAAAGTTGTTCCTTTTATCTTTATGTTCATTCCTGTAGCTTTATAATAAAGTGAGTATTGATAGACAAGTAAGTCTGTGCTTTATTTTCTTGGTTTTTCTTATCCTTCCACAAAAAGCCACACCCCATAATAATATTTTTGAGATTTATTTATTGAAATTACATTAAACCTGTAGATTAATAAGGACATTTACACAAAATGAGGATCCTCTTACAAGAACATGTAACATCTTTGCAAGTATTCAAATCTTCTTTTATGTCCTTCAGTAATTTTCTTAAGTTTTAAATATTGTTTTTTTTGTAACTACTGAAAGTAGTGGTTGATATTATAAATGGAATTTTAAACTTATATTTCCCAATAAATTATTGTTCTGATAAAAAGGAAAACTTGATTTTTTAATATTTTCTTGAGTCTGGTAATGGCTTGTCAATTTTTTTTTTTTTTTGAGACGGAGTTTCACTCTTGTCTCCCAGGCTGGAGTGCGATGGCGTGATCTCCGCTTGCTGCAACCTCCCCGTCCTGTGTTTAAGTGATTCTCCTGCCTCAGACTCCAGAGTAGCTGAGATTACAGGCGAGTGCCACCACGCCCAGCTAATTTTTTATTTTTTTTTAGTAGAGATGGGGTTTCACCATGTTGGCCAGGCTGGTCTCGAACTCCTGACCTCAGCTGATCCACCCACCTCGGTGTTCCAAAGTGCAAGAATTACAAGCATGAGCCCCTGGGCCTGGCCTCTTTCAGCACTTTCAATATGTCATCCCTTTGCCCAATGGCCTCTGTGGTTACTGATGAGAAATCAGCCATTAATCTTACTGGGGGTGTCCTGTATGTAATGGGTCATGCTTCTCTTGCTGTTTTCTAAATTCTCTCTTTGTCTTTCGATAGTTTGATTATGACATACTCAGGTGTGGATGTCTTTGAATTTATTCTTCTCGGAGTTCAGTGAGTTTCTTGAACATGTATATTAATGTTTTCAACAAATTTGGCAAATTTCAGCCATTATTTCTTCAAATACTCTTTCTACTCTTTTTTTCTCTCCTCTCCTTTTGAGCATCTGATTGTACATATGTTGTTACACTTAATGTCTGTATTAGTTTTCTAAGGTTACTATAGCAGCGTTTCACAAACTACAGCCTTGAATGGTTTAAGATAGCAGAAATGTGTTTTTTCACTTTCCTGGAGGCTAGAAGTCCTAAATCAAGGTGTGGGGAGGGCCATGCTCTCTCGGAAGTATCCAGTAGATAATACTTCCTTGCCTGTTCTAGCTTCTTGGGTTCCATGACAATCCTGGGAATTTCTAACTACCAGATGCTTCACTTTAATCTCTGTCTCTGTCTGTCATATGGCTGCCTTCCCCTTGTTTTTATCTACATAGTCTTTTCTCTGGGGGTATCTGTCTCTTTGTCCAAAGTTCTCTATCTTGTAAGAACAGCAGTCATTTTGGATTAGAGTCTGCTCTAATGACCTGAAGTCATTGGACCTTAACTTGATTACATCTGTAAAGACCCTTTCTAAAGGGTCTTTTCCAGGGTCACATTGACAGATACTGGAGGTTAGTACTTCAGCATACCTTTGGGGGAATACAATTCAACTCCTAACAGTGTCCCACAGATCACTGAGGCTATGTTCATTTTTCTTCATTATTTTTCCTTTCTGTTCCTCAGACCGGATGGTCTTAATTTACCTACATTTAAGTTCACTGATTCTTTCTTCTGCCAGCTCAAATCTGCAAATGAGCTACTCTAGTGAATTCTTTATTTCAGTTATTGTACTTTTGCATATTCAGAATTACTATTTACTTCTTTTTGTATAATTTTTATCTATGTTCTCTGTTTAAGACGTCAGTCTTATAGTTTTCTTTAGTAATTTACATTTGTTTTCCTTGGTTGTTGTTTGTGTGTGTGTGTTTTGTTGTTTTGTTTTGAGACAGCATCTTGCTCTGTCTCCCAGGCTGGAGTGCAGTGGCATGATTATGGCTCGTCGCAACATTTACCTCCCACCATGCCTGGGTAACTTTTTTATTTTTTTTGTAGAGACAGGGTCTATCTATATTGACCAGGCTAGGCCTGAACTTCTAGGCTCAAGTGACCCCCCACCTTGGTTCCCAAAGTGCTGGGATTACAGGCCTGAGCCACCATGCCAGGCCCTCATTTGGTTTTTCAACCAAACAGCTGATTTAACGTCTTTGTCTAATAAGTCCAGTGTTTGGACTTCCTCTGGGACAGTTTCTATTGACTGGTTTTTGCCCTGTGTATGGGCTATAATTTCTTGCTCCTTGTCTAATGTTTTCTTTTTGAAAACTGGTCATTGAAATAATATAATGTGAAATGCACCATGGAATACTGTGCAGCCATAAAAAAGAATGAGTTCATGTCCTTTGCAGGGACATGGATGAAACTGGAAACCATCATTCTCAGCAAACTAACACAGGAACAGAAAACCAAACACCGCATGTTCTCACTCATAAGTGGGAGTTGAACAGTGAGAACACATGGACACAGGGAGGGGAACATCACACACGGGCCTGTCGGGGGGTGGGGTGCAGGGATAGGGAGAGCATGAGGACAAATACCTAATGCATGCTGGGCTTAAAACCTAGATGAAGGGTTGATGGGTGGATGGGTGCAGCAAACTACTATGGCACATGTATACCTATGTAACAAGCCTGCGTGTTCAGCATATGTATCCCAGAACTTAAAGTAAAATTAAAAAAAAAAGAACATAATGTGAAAACTTTGGCATTTAGAATCTCCCCTTCTCTAGGGTGTTTTGTTGTTGCTGTTTGTTGTTGTTGTTATTTGTTTGTTTCACAGCTTTCCTGAGCTAATTCTATGAAGTCTGTATTCTTTATTGTATGTAACTATGGAAGTCTTTGTTCAGTTATCTTAGTGATCACCCGATGACTGGATAGAGATTTCCCTAAATGCCTGGAAGCAGTAATTCTCCCAGTCTTCGCTAAAAGGCTTTATGTGTTTGCTGGGGCACACGTTATTTATTTATTTATTTATTTATTTATTTATTTATTTAGAGACAGAGTCTCACTCTGTCACCCAGGCTGGAATGCAGTGGCACAATGTCGGTTGACTGCAACCTCTGCTTCAAGGTATCCTCCTGCCTCAGCCTCCCGAGCGGCTGGGACCACAAACACAGACACATGCCACCATGCCTGGCTAATTTTTGTATTTTTGGTAGAGACAGGGTTTCACCATGTTGCCCAGGCTGGTCTCAAACTCCTGAGCTCAAGGGATCTGCCTGCCTTGGCCTCCCAAAGTGCTGGGATTACAGGCATGAGCCACTGCGCCGGCCTTTCAACATTTAGCCAGGTAATTTACAACTCTGGCTTAGCTTTTCACTTCCTGCTCACTAGGGCTTCAGGGTGTTCTCAGATCTTTCCTGACCATCTTTGTAGCACTGGTCACATTCATAGCCCTTTGCATGCAAGTGGCCTTCTAGATTCCCTTAAATATATCAGAGCTTTTCAAAGACCCTAAGGACTTCTCATCCCCAACTTTTGATTTTGAGATTATTTGTTGTTTTTGTTGGCCTATTATTTACTCAGCTGCCTCAGGCATCCATAATGTTGTCTTCAGCAAATACCCTGGAAAAAAGCGGTTTGTCCTGAATGAGCTTTGGTTGTGTTGTTGTTGTTGTTGTTGTTTGAGATAGAGTCTTGCTCAGTGGCCCAGGCTGAAGTGCAGAGGCGCGATCTCAGTTCATTGCAGCCTTCACTTCCTGGGTTCAATAGATTCTCGTGCCTCAGCCTCCTGAGTAGCTAGGACTACAGGCATGTGCCACCACACCTAGCTAATTTTGTATTTTTAGTAGAGACAGGGTTTCATCATGTTGGCCAGGCTGGTCTCAAGCTCCTGACCTCAAGTGATCTGCCCACCTCGGCCTCCCAAAGTGCTGGGATTACAGATGTGAGCCACTGTGCCAGGCCACCTGAATGAGCTTTGAATCACGTCAAATAAAGACAGTTTTGTCCATGGGGTTTTCTAGGGCACCACCAGACATCATGTAGTGACAGTTCTCTGGGAATGGGACTTTGAAGAAGCTGCTACTGTGTTTTACCTCCTCCAGGGGCTGCCAGGCTGCATTTTTTAAGGCTGTTGTGGAACTAGAAGGAGGGAGATTAGAATAGTGCAAGTTTAAATGCCCTAAAACTCACTGCTCTTATCAAGATTCAGCCATTTTTCCTGAATAAACATCTGCCAGATTGTTATATGTCTTTGGCTAATATGCAGAGTTCTGAAAAAACTGATTCTGAACATTTTTTACAGCCTTTTGTTGCTTCTATGGTGATGATTTTCAGAGATTTTTACTCTGCCATTTCCATCAACTTCTCTCAATACATTGTTTTTAGATACCTTATTTTTCAACATACTCACTGAACGGTATTCTGATTGACTATTGGCTGTTGCCAGGAAACCAAAACAATCCTCAGAGGATAAAGATTATAATGAGAAAATCCAGAGCCCTGTGAAGTAGTGTCTGCCTAAGTACCCAGCTTCATCTCCCACCACTCTTCCATTGTTCTCTGGCATTAACGGTGCTAAGAATAATGTCCCTAAACTGCACATTTTCCATCTTTGCATTACATTCTTTTAACTTTTTGAATTTATTTATTATTTATTATTATTTTTTTGAGACAGAGTCTCACTCTGTTGCCCAGGCTGGAGTGCAGAGGTGCGATCTCAGCTCACTGTAACCTCCGCCTCCCAGGTTTGAGTGGTTCTCCTGCCTCAGCCTCCTTAGTAGCTGGGATTACAGGCGCCCACCACCAGGCCTGGCTAATTTTTATGTTTTTAGTAGAGATGAGGTTTCCCCATGTTGGCCAGGCTGGTTTCGAACTCCTGACCTCAGGTGATCCACCCACCTCGGCCTCTCAAAGTGCTGAGATTACAGGCGTGAGCCATCACGCCCAGCTCATTCTTTCAACTTTTATCTCTATTTTATAAATGAGGAAATTGAGCTTCAGAGAGTTTAAGTGCCCTTCTGGAAGTTAAATAGCTAGTATATGGAGTGCAGAGACCAGAATGAAGGTCTGTCTAACTCTGAAGCCAAATTCAATATTCTTTGAGAGAAACTATTTTTAAAGGAACTATACAAATTTATATGTTTGAAAAAGTATTGTCATAACTTTAACCTGTACCTCATATTTCTCAAACACATTTTGGAAAATGGGCATTTAAAGTGTGATGAGAAAATTATTTCTTTAAAGGAAACTTGAGGTTTGAGTTATTTTTAACAAAACTCTAATAATCTCTAAACCCAGATTTTTTGTATCTGAAATTAATGTAACATTAAATAAAATCTTCTTTATGTATAGGAACAGGTTTAGAATAATAAGTTTTAAGATCTTGAAGAGATCTTAGAATCCTCTCTTCTAATTACCTCATTTTATTTTATTTTTTATTTTTGAGACAGTCTCGCTCAGTCACCCAGGCCGGGGTGCCGTGGTGCGATCTTGGCTCACTGCAATCTCTGCTTCTCGGGTTCAAGCGATTCTTGTGCCTCAGCCTCCCAAGTAGCTGGGACTACAGGCACCTGCCACCACGCCCGGCTAATTTTTTTGTATTTTTAGTACAGACGGGGTTTCGCCATGTTGGCCAGGCTGGTCTCGAACTCCTGACTTCAAGTGATCTGCCCGCCTCAACCTCTCAAAGTGCTGGAATTACAGGCGTGAGCCACTGCGCCCGGCCTAATTACCTCATTTTACACATGAGAAAACCGATGCCAGGAAAGATAATGCCTTGTCCAAATGAGTCAGTAGCAGGTGGTCGCCACTGATCTTTCTACCACAAGGTCTCCTAATACCTTCCCTGCCCCTGGTGTCAAGCAGTAGTCACAGGTATGGGAACAGTCACCTAAAGACCAAGTTACTCAATGTGTAGACCACTAATGTCCACTATCAACACACTGCAAGCTTGTTTGTAGGGCAGAATCTCAGGCCCCACCCCAGGCTTAAACCTTTTAATAAGATCCCCAGGTGACTCATATACATATTAACTTCTAGAAGCATTGAGCCTTGGCTCCTACCTTTTTCTTCCCCTGAGTCTCAGTCTCATCATGGTTTCACCAGTAGGCAAAACCAATGGTGAAATAGTTTCACTTCTGCCTCTCTATTACTCAGTATCATGAACTTGCCTGGAGCCATCAAAGCTTTTCTGATTTTTTTTTTCTTCCTAACAGTATAAATAAAGAGTATAGGCTACCGAGTAAGACACTGTTCCAGATAATCCTGAACAAAATGATGCATTAGGTCCTTTGCCCTGAGTAGCCAGAAGTAGGGGGAAAGCCTGGAGGCTTTGGAGAAAGAAATGACTTGTCTCCAACTCATCCTTCCATGTCTCTTCTCTGCATACTTCCAACCCCTGCCTTCCCCCATTCTGTTAGTGTGTCCTTCAATTAGCCAATGTGGCTAATCATTTAGTATGAATTAGTTTAAGGTCTTACTCCTCCCAGGAATATTTGCAAAGAAGGGAAGGGTGGAATTTCAAACATGCGATTCCGGCTCAGAAAAGATTTAGCTGGGTAAAAGGGAGCCACCAAATCACGTGAAAGTAGGCTTGGGCCGTGGCTCCATTTCAGGAGATCCTAGTCTTCCACTTGTAGCACAAAGGTTATCTTTGCTCCTAGGTCTGTAAAATTTGCATTGTCTTATATGTAGTATTGCATGATTTTGAAAACATGTTAGATGATTTACTTTGTGTAAGGCTCATAACTATTCTGTGGGGAAGCTGGCATCATCTTCATTTTACAGGACTTAAACTTGTTTGGGGCCTTTTAGCTTCCAAATCAAACTCCAGGCTCCTTGCAATATGCTAATAAAATTGTCTCTCTTATGGGCGTTTCTTTTTTTTCTTTTTTTTTTTTGAGATGAAGTTTCGCTTTCGTTGCTCAGGCTGGAGTGCAATGGCGCCATCTGGGCTCACCGCAACCTCCGCCTCCTGAGTTCAAGCGATTCTCCTGCCTCTGCCTCCCAAGTAGCTGGGATTACAGGCATGCACCAGCATGCCTGGCTAATTTTTATTTTTAGTAGATACAGGGGTTCTTCATGTTGGTCAGGCTGGTCTTGAACTCCTGACCTCAGGTGATCTGCCTGCCTCGGCCTCTCACAGTGCTGGGATTACAGACGTAAGCCACTGTGCCTGGCCATGGGAGTTTCTTATGACTGGTTTTAGTTTAGTTTAGTTTTGTTTTGTTTTGTTTTGAGACGGAGTGTTGCTCTGTTGCCAGGCTGGAGTGCAGTGGCGCTATCTTGGCTCAGACTCACCACAACCTCCGCCTCCCAGGTTCAAGCGATTCTCCTGCCTCAGCCTCCGGAGTAACTGCGACTACAGGCACGCACCACCGCACACGGCTAATTTTTGTATTTTTAGTAGAGACGGGGTTTCACCATGTTGGCCAGGATAGTCTCGATCTCTTGACCTCGTGATCCGCCCACCTCGGCCTCCCCAAAGTGCTGGAATTACAGACATGAGCCACAATGACCAGCGTGGTTTTGTTTGTTGATTTATTTTATTTGTACACATCTTTTAAATAGATAATGCTCTCCTAGATTCAGTGTTTGAGAAACAAATTCTTCATGATACTCACTCTTCTGAGGGTATTTTCTTTTCATGGCCCAATCTTGTTTCACCGGTACATTCGCTGCTTCCTCCCTACCATATCATCATGGCCATCACTGTTCTTTTGGAATGCAGGGCCACTTCAGTCTCCAAGAGAACTGATTCTTATGTCGGAATTCTCTCTAAGCCAATCTGTTCAGCATACTTTGACACGAATGAATGGCCTCACCAGGGTGGACCAGTTCAGAGAAGGCTGACTAAGGAAGCAAAGAGCCTGGAAATCAGAACAAGAGAAGATTTTGCAGGCTTGGGACAAGTGTCTTCAATGATTTAAAGGGTTGTGATGTGAAAGAGAGATTATGTTATTTCTTAGGGGTAGAGGTAGATTTACTGTGAAGATAAATCTGGTTTAAGCTTTAGGGCTATTGTGTGGCCTCCTTCCAAGACGCTGTACCTAATTTTGAATCTTTAAATTTGTGTTATTCCAACTAAAGACCTCTTCCCCCACCATCAAATTACAGTATATGAGTTACACAAAAACTGGATATACCCCTATCTGTGTGGAACCAGAGAGCAAACCAGGACCTAGGATAGAAGTGAAAATCTCACGTGAGGGTATTTGTTCAATATATTAGTTCAGTAAAAGAAAATCTTTCCATGGGCCAAGACAATGCCACCAGGAAGTGGGTTTTGGTAGGCACCTTCTTTTTTTTTTTTTTTGAGAGGAGTCTCACTCTGTTGCCAGGCTGGAGTGCAGTGGCGCGATCTCGGCTCACTGCACCTCCACCTCTGGTGTTCAATCGATTCTCCTACCTCAGCCTACCAAGTAGCTGGGATTACAGGCGCCCACTACCACGCCCAGCTAATTTTTGTATTTTTTTAGTAGAGACGGGGTTTCACCATGTTGGCCAGGCTGGTCTCAATCTCCTGACCTCGTGATCCACCCACCTCGGCCTCCCAAAGTGCTGGGATTACAGGCGTGAGCCGCCGTGCCAGGCTGGTAGGCACCTTCTATAGCTACCCACAGTTATTTGTCTCAGCAACATTCTCTCTTTGAGGCTAATAGAATTTGGATTTGTTCAGAAAGTTAAGGAGAGCCCTTGGTCTCCAGCTCCCAAGGGTGAATCCTGACTGGTCTAAGCCAGTCATGGTATTCTCTTTCCCTATGGCCTTTAATTGGTCTGAGTTAGGGCAGGTAGTGTAGTTCTGGCCGGAGACAGGGGGTGCTGGTACTTTCTTCTCTGAATTAAAAGACAAGGCTTCAGGTAAAGGTCTTTTTCCCCTTCCCTTTTATTCCTGAAACTCAAGAAAGCTGGAGATAAGCATCCGTCCTGTGGCCAGTATGCTAGAAGCATGAAAACCAAGGTCAACATGCTAAGGGTGGCAAAGCAGAAATGGTAAAGGGGTTTAGGATCCTTACAGCATTGTTGAGGAGCAGAACCAGTACTAATAGCTGCCTACCTCTAGATTACTTATGTGAGAAAAATAAACTCCTTATTTTTCAAATAACAGTTAAAATTTCCCATTACTTCCAGCCAAATGCATTTTTCCTTGATACAGCTATATTTAAGGAGAGGGCTTTCTCTGTCTCTGGCAGAAGTCAATTTTCTGGTGAATTTATCACGAAACGTGTGTTACAGAGGGTCCCTATGTCTAGAAGAGAGGATCTGGGGAGACAATGATTTGTTATTAGGAATAATTTCACATAATTAGAACATGAACAACTTTCTATGACTTGGGCCCTTAAGTTTCATCCTCCTTTCCTCAAGTCTTCATATTTCCTTTAGCCTATAACCATCTTTCTCAACAGATTTCTCTAACCTCATCCACAGCCTCCTTCAGTTCCACCTTTTTTTTTTCTGGAGATGGAGTCTTGGTCTGTCACTCAGCCTGGAGTGCAGTGGCGCCATCTCAGCTCATTGCAACCTCCGCCTCCTGGGTTCAAGTGATTCTCCTGCTTCAGCCTCCCGAGTAGCTGGGACTACAGGCACACACTGGCACGCCTGGCTAATTTTTGTATTTTTAGAAGAGATAGGGTTTCACCTTATTGGTCAGGCTGGTCTCGAACTCCCGACCTCAGGTGATCTACCCGCCTCGGCCTCCCAAAGTGCTGGGATTACAGGCATGAGCCACCGTGCCCAGCCCCAGTTCCATCTTTGATAGGAGATAGAAAAAAAGATTGAGCAGGATGGATGAAGAGGACACTGTTTTTCAAAACTGGTATGCTTTTCAACAATTTAGGAGAATAAGATATGTTTATAAGTATTGACAGAATTCACTTCCATTTCTGATCTGTAATCAGATAAACCAGAACTTTTCAAATGAGTAAACATCAGGTAAACATGGAAAGAGACAGTCTGGACAGGCTGAGGGGATGGCACTGAAGACCCTGCAGTTTTCCAACTGGCTAATCAGACCCCTGGGAAGAAGGAATGCTTTTCGGGGTACCTGGCCCAGGTGGGTTTGTTTGTTGTTTTTTGTTTTGTTTTGTTTTTAGACAGAGTTTCACTCGCATTGCCCAGGCTGGAGTGCAGTGCAGAGAAAGCAGCTCACTGAAACCTCCGCCTCCTGAATTCACGCGATTCTCCTGCCTCAGCCTCCTGAGTAGCTGGGACGGTTTTCACCATGTTGCTCAGGCCAATCTCGAATTCCTGAGCTAGAACTCTTGAGCCTTGGCCTTCCAAAATGCTGGGATTACAGGTGTCCAGGTGGTATTTTTTTAAATACTCTTTTTTTTTTTTTCAGACAGAGTCTCTGTCGTCCAGGCTGGAGTGCAATGGTGCAATCTCAGCTCACTGCAACCTCCACCTCCTGAGTTCAAAAGATTCTCCTGCCTCAGCCTCCCTAGTAGCTGGGATTACAAGCATGTGCCATCACACCCAGTTAATTTTTGTATTTTTAGTAGAGACGGGGTTTTACCATGTTGGTCAGGCTGGTCTCGAACTCCTGACCTCAAGTGATCCTCCTGCCTCGGCCTCCCAAAGTGCTGGGATTACAGGCATGAGCCACCACATTCGGTCTAAAGGACTTTATTATGAAAAATTTTAGATAGAATAGTTTAACGTCCCCATCACCCAGCCTCAGTTTATGGCCCATTCTTGTTTCATCTATACCATTGCTGCTTCCCCCTGCCATATCATTTCGTTTTTTTGTTGAGATAAAGATGCAAGATGACCAGCAACAATTCCTCCCATCCCTGAACACCCATGCTGCTCCTCTCATGAAGAGTGATGAAAATATTCCACAATTAGATTGTGGTTTGTGGTTCTACAACTCTGTGAAAATACCCAAAGCCATGGAAGTGTACACTTTAAGTGGGTGCATTATATCTCAATAAAGATGTTTTTAAAAGGTGGAGAAGGAAAATTTCTCTATTTTAATAATATTTAAAGAAAAAAAAAGAGGTAGAGTCTCTTTCATCTCCTTGAAACTGGGCGGCCTCTGTGATTTGCTTAAACCATTAACAGGCAGCAGAAGGGACGCTCCGTGACTGCTGGGCATAGCCCTTCATAGGCCTCAGAGCTTCTGTTTTCACTGTTTTGCCACACCAGCGGATCTGCAAGAGAGTAGCCCAGGCAGAACTCAGCTGTTCTTTGCAGCCACCCCAGCGGAGATGCCACACAGACCAGTGAAACCACCTTGGCAGCTCCAGCACCTGTTGAGCTGCCCAGCCAACACCACATGGGGCAGAGATGAGCTGCCAAGCCTGTCTACTACGTTTTGGGGTGGTGGAGGAGTGGGCAGTGCCAAATCCCGAGAAGAAGCTCAATGAGTATTTGTCTCTTTTCATTTCAGCAAGCAGAGGGTCCTCAAGGTAACACCTTCCAGTGGCTCCCCCACCTCTCTCAGAGCTCTAGCCAGGGCCCACAAGGCCCTACATCTTACCCCTTTCCTCTCTGACTGTCACCTCCTCTTCCTCTTGCTTCCTCACTTCTAGCCACACTGGACTTCCTTGAAAAGACAGACCTGTCCCCTTGCAGGGCCTTTTGCCCTTGCTGTTCCCTTCGGTTCTCCCCAGATGGCCACAGGGTTCCTCCCACACCTCCTCTAGGTCTTCATTCAAATGCTACCTTTTTTTTTTTTTTTGAGACTGAGTCTGGCTTTGTCGCCAGGCTGGAGTGCAGTGGCGTGATCTGGGCTCACTGCAACTTCCGCCTCCCGGGTTCGAGCGATTCCCCTGCCTCAGCCTCCTGAGTAGCTGGGACTACAGTCGGACGCCACCAGGCTCAGCTAATTTTTGTATTTTTAGTGGAGACGGAGTTTCACAGTGTTGGCCAGGCTGGTCTCGATCTCCTGACCTCGTGATCCGCCCGCCTCGGCCTCCCAAAGTGTTGGGATTACAGGAGTGAGCCACCGCGCCCAGCCAAATGCCACCTTCTTATTGTGACCTGCTATGTAAAATCGCAAACCCTCACTGCCTGTGGTTATTCCCTACTTGTACTTTTCTTTTTAGCATTTACCAATGTCTGACAGTATTTAATTTCACTAATTTATCTCGTTTATTTTATGTCTCGTTTATATTCCTGCTATAACGTAAACTCCGGGAAGGATTTTTGTCTGTCTTGGTTGTCTGTCGTATCTCGTGTCTAGAACACAGAACTCACAGTAAGTAGGCACTTCAATCAATTACCTGTAGAATGAACGGACTGAATGTCACCTTGTTAGAGTACCCTCCTGACCACACTCTGCTAAGCAGTAATCTTTTATTTCTCTTTCCCAGTTTTATTTTTCCTCATTTACACTTAATCACCTTGTGACACCTATTTGTTTACTGTTTCCCCAGTAGAGTGAAAGTCACTTTAACAGCAGAGATTTAAATGTATTTTAATCCCTACAAAGGAGAAAAAGGGAGGAAATACGTGACAGGCTCTCAATAAGTATTTGCGAAGGATTTAATCTCTTGAACGAATGGATGAATGAATCTAGCAGCCAGCTCCACCAGCCTCCTTCGTGATAGGACTAACTGGGGTCTGTCTGCGGACGGGCGCCTCCTCCGCGGGCGGAGGGCCGCAGCGGGAACTGGGTTTCGGCAGCGCCCCTTTAAACCAGCCGCGGACGCCCGGCTGCTGGCGCTAGTTCCAGCCCGGCCGGGCCCGGCCTCGCCGGTTTCTCTCCAGTCGCCGCGCCGGCCAATTTCCGGGGCGGTGTCATCGCCCGTTTAAGAGCGGAGCGCTCCGCCCTGGGGGCGGAGCTGGGAGGGAGCTTTAAGGGGTGGACGGGCGGGAGGTCGGGGTCCTCCGGGGATTAGAGCCGGTGGGCTCGTTGTGGGCGCCATTTCTCGGCGTCTACCGAGGAGCCGCCCCTTTCTCAGCCTTGCTCGGCTCTTCCCCGCTCTGGTCGCCGGGGCTGCGCCGTCCCCAGCTCAGGTAAGCGCGAGGCCCGGCGGCGGCGCCGCAGTACAGTCCGCTGCGCTCCTAGCCGAGTGGACCCTTCCTCGCCCGCGCCTGCGGTAGCGGCCTTGTCCCCGGGGAGGCGGGCGGGGGCCGCACCCAGACCCTAGGGCGGCCGGCCCCTCTCTCGTCGGGCCGGCAGGGCATTAATCCCGCCGGAGGGAGGGGCGGCGGCGGCCAATGAGGCAGGGCCGCCGAGTTTCGGTCGATACCGCGCGACGGGCCGGGGCGGAGGGCCCGGGGCAGCCGGGTTAATGTTTGCCGAGCGGACGCGCTCCCCGAGCCGCGGGTACCCCTCGCTGGTCCGCTGGGCTGCCGTCCAGCGGGAGAGACAAAAGTCGCAAGGGAAGGGGAAAAACGAACTGAGTTTGTGTCACTGTCTTGGTGGACTTTTCGAGCTAACCTGTATTTGAGAAAAACTTCAGTCTCTTGGGAAAGGAGAGGCAGGTGTGTTCCCATGAAAGACGAGGTCTGAAGGTCCCGCCCCGCCCCCACCCGGGACGGTTGTCGTGCTAATGATGGGTTCTTTGGTGTGTAAATGTTAATTGTGTCTGTGGTTACTCGAATTCTACCTAAGAGCGAGACCCAACTCTTAAAACGTTTGGCAATATTTTAGACTAATATTAAAAGTTTTTAAAGAATTACGGGGAAAATTCCCATAACCGTGTACATTTGTAATGTAACCCACAACTGCATTAACTCAGTTTCTAACATAACCCGTTGCTGAGCTCTAGTTAACCTTGTTGGATTATTTGTGCATGTAATATGCTGTGCAGGCTTTAGAAAATAGGTTAACATTATTCGAAAACGATATGCGTAACTGCTGTTGAATTACTCGCTTGCATTTTCTTTATTGGGAATACTGGGACAAAATATAGTGTTACCTTAAATGGCATTTGCTGTATGTTATATTGCTTTATCAAAAAGCAATTAACCAACCATATTGTGGCCACCAGTCATGTAAGAGTATACATATTTCATGACTAACTTTTGGGTTTTGGGTACTTTTTTTAACCAACTTCTGATAGGATTGCTTAAATTTGCATTTTATGATTCTAAAGGAAATCCTTCTAGTTAGGAACTAGAGTAGAAACTACTGTTTTTTGGAAGCCACATAAACCTACCATCCAAAAATTCCACTGTGTCATTCTAGTGTGTCAGGCGAGATGCGGGTTAAGCCAGCTGTTGGGCCAAAGTAGTGAACAAGCCAGACGAAGTCTTTGTCCTTGTGTGTGAGTGGG
Source organism: Homo sapiens (assembly GCF_000001405.40). Lineage (NCBI taxonomy): Eukaryota > Metazoa > Chordata > Mammalia > Primates > Hominidae > Homo > Homo sapiens. Next base: position 120,014,476 of record NC_000002.12, read on the forward strand.
GGAAGTAGTCAGTAAAAAAGATAATAATTAACAGATATTTAATTACAATTTCTTTGTTATAAAGAAAAGGCTAAGAGTACTGAAAGAGATGTCGAATTTAGACTCACAAGTCTGAGATTGCTTTTCTGAGAATAAGACATTTCAACTATAAGTCTGAAGTTAGTCCAGTGAAATGGGAGCGGGTGGAAGAGAGGTCAACTGGAAAAAGAGCAATCCAGAAAGGTGGAACAGCTAATGAAAAATGGTCCAGAATTAAAAAGACTCTCCGGCCGAGCAGCAAGAGTACAAGAGCAGAGCAAACAGAGGGGAGTAGGCTGACAGATGGGTCAGGCAAGTAGGAGGAGCTGCATCTAGGACCAGGGCCATTAAAGATTTTAGAACAGGGATCAGATTTGTGGTTGCCAAAAATCCAGTGGCTGCAACATGAAGAGCGCAATTGGAAGAGTGCAGGTGGGAGGGGAAAAGTGAGTATGAGAAAACTTTTTTCACAATCATTAAAAAAAAAAAAAACCCACAACTTTTAGTGATCCATTCATATTATTTTTTTTTTCCATTAAAAAAAATTAGGCCAGGCGCAGTGGCTCACGCCTGTAATCCCAGCACTTTGGGAGGCCGAGGCGGGCGGATCACGAGGTCAGGAGATGGAGACTATCCTGGCTAACACGGTGAAACCCCGCCTCTACTAAAAAAAATAACAAAAAATTAGCCGGTCGTAGCGGCGGGCACCTGTAGTCCCAGCTACTTGGGAGGCTGAGGCAGAAGAATGGCGTAAACCCGGGAGGCAGATCTTGCAGTGAGCCCAGATCGCGCCACTGCACTTCAGCCTGGGCAACAGAGCGAGACTCAAAAAAAAAAAAAAAATTAGGTGGGGTCTTGCTGTGTTGCCCAGGCAGGTCTTGAACTCCTGGCTTCCAACAGTTCCGCCTTAGCCTCCCAAAGTGCTGGGATTACAGACATGAGCCACTGTACCCAGCCATATATTCTTGTTGTGACTTCTGACATGCCCCTCTTCAGAGAGAATCTCAACAGTTTACGTGTGTGTCTGTTTAGCGTGTCTGTGTGTGTGCATGTATCCCATCTCCGTGTAGGATGAAACTCTCTTCAGTGTTCTGTGATTTGATTTTTCACTTAGAAATTTTGTCATATCTAAGTCAACTATTTATTTAAAACAACTGTATTATGGCTGGGCTTGGTGCCTCATGCGTGTAATCCCAGCACTTTGGGAGGCTGAGGTGGGAGGAATCCGATTCCCTGAGGCCAGGAGTTTGAGACAAACCTGGCTAAGTAGCAAGACCCTGTCTCTACAAAAAATCATTGAAAAAACGTTAGCCCGGTGGGATGGTATGTGCCCGTAGCCCTAGGTGGGAGAATCCCTTGAGCATGGTAGATGAAGGCCGCAGTGAGCCCTGGGTGCTAGAGTGAGACTGTCTCTAAAAAAAAAAAAAAAAAAACATAAAAATAAAACAACTGTATTGTATGCTGTTGTGTGTACCATAACTTGTTTAACTGTTTGCACATTGATGAACACATTTAAAATTTTCTTAAATCAGTTATGCTCCGAAAAATCCTGTTCCTACAACTTAAAGCACATGTGTGATTTTTTTTCTTTAGGTTATCCTTCCAGAAATAGAACTGTTGAGTAAGGAATATGCATGTTAAAATTTCTAGTATTGGTCCGGCGAGGTGGCTTACGCCTGTAATCCTAGCACTTTGGGAGGCCGAGGCGGGCGGATCACCTGAGGTCAGAAGTTTGAGACCAGCCTGGCCAACATGGTGAAACCCAGTATCTACTAAAAGCACAAAAATTAGCTGGGCGTGGTGGCTGGTACCTGTAATCCCTGCTACTCAGGAGGCCAAGGCAAGAGAATCTCTTGAACCCGGCAGGTGGAGGTTGCAGTGAGCCGAGATCGCGCCATTGCACTGCAACCTGGGGGACTAGGTTGAGACTGTCTCAAAAAAAAAAAGAATTAAAAAAATATTAATAGCATGGTCAAGTCTCCCTCCAAAAAAGGCCAACGTAGGAGGATTATTTTTTCTCACATTCTTTTTTACACTATCTTGAGTCTTTAAATGACAGACAATATCTTATTTTTTTTCATTTGGATTTTCTTGGATACTGTTAAAGGTGTTCGTTTTTATGAACATCTTTTAAATTATCTTTTAGGACTTTTTCGTATCTTGCTCTTTGTTCTTTTTTTGATGTAGAGTCTCAGTCTCACTCAGGTTGGAGTGCACTGGTGGGATATCATAAAATGTTTCTTGGGAGATATTGGTGGAGTTAAAAGGAATATGTAGGGATTCTGTGACACAGGATTTTAGAAATCTGGGATAACAAGTACAGTCTTAGGCAGCTGAAATGAGACTGGATAGCAAGTTCCAAAGGGAGAAATACCTGGAAAAAAAAATCTGGAGAAAGAGACTGGGACCAGGTATTATATATGAGTGTTTGGAACACTGGAAAGTTATCTAACTAAAATTTTAGTTATTTCCTTGGGATTAGTTTACCTAATTACGCAAGAGTATACATGTGTAAAATGTGTAGGCTAATCTTCAGTGTATAGACATTTTAATATGGTACTATCTTAAAAATCGGATTTTATCGGGTTTATAAATAAATCTAGTTGAAAAAGTCATTTTATCTGAAGGCTTCTCTTGAAAAACAGCATTCTCCTGAATTCTTTTGCTCCCTCTCCTGAGGCAATCATTTTCACATTTTAAATCAAATGCTCTTACTGCTAATTGTTGATTTTTAAATTCTAGTAATGACCTGTTGGCTTGCTGTTACGCATCATGAGGAATTAGCTCTTTCCATATCTGTATCCCCTACCTCTTATTATGTACCTCCTGTCTGTTGTGGTTATTGTTCGATCAGTATTTAGTATTTGACATTGAAATCATTAGCAGCTGAGTCATGTAGTGTATTGTGATTTACTTTTCCTTTTCTGCACAGCTTCTTGTTTTCTTTGGAATTAATAGTCTTTTTGGCTTATTTGTTGGCTTATGTGTACTTAAACTCTCTTTGTTGTGCAAATGAAACACATGAGGATAGCAAAGTGACTTTGATTTTGTGTTTCCATTTAGTGTGCTATGTTTTAAAACCTGTTTTAACTGTTTTGATTAACATTAATGTTCTTTATAGAGTTAAGGAAAAAAGCATTAAAGTACTTTGACATTAAAAAGATTTATGTTAAGTAGTTATTTAAAATCTGTATGTAATAGAATATTTGACAAAACTTAGGAAATTTGAATTATATCTGTATTTTAGCTGAAATAGGTGATTGTTTTTGTGTTTTTATTATGAATGCTCAGAAAAGAAATGGAACTTCTCAGGATTTTTTTTGAGACAGAATCTCCCTCTGCCACCCGGGCTGGAGTGCAGTGAGGCATCTCAGCTCACTGCAAGCTCCGCCTCCCGGGTTCACGCCATTCTCCTGCCTCAGCCTCCCCAGTAGCCGGGACTACAGGCACCCGCCACCACACCCGGCCAATTTTTTTTTTTTTTTTGAGACGGAGTCTTGCTCTGTCGCCCAGGCTGGAGTACCGTGGCGCCATCTCGGCTCACTGCAAGCTCCACCTCCCGGGTTCATGCCATTCTCCTGCCTCAGCCTCCCGGTAGCTGGGACTACAGGCGCCTGCTACCACGCCCGGCTAATTTTTTTTTGTATTTTTTTTTAGTAGAGACGGGGTTTCACCATGTTAGCCAGGATGGTCTCGATCTCCTGACCTCGTGATCCACCTGCCTTGGCCTCCCAAAGTGCTAGAATTACAGCCGTGAGCCACCGCGCCCGGCCACTTCTCAGAATTTTTATGATCATCAAAGGATACCTTAGTGTCTGACATCATCTTGGGATATACAAGATGTTGTACATATAATTTATCTATTTAGAAGACCTGATGAACTTCATGAATGTTTGCCTTCTCCTGCCAAATCAGTTCCTGATAAAATGGTCCGGTAAATTTAGAAAGCTCCAAACTGTGGCTGTGTCTTATACATACAAGTCTTTTAAAACTTTGAATTAAAGTAACCAGCTTTTTAAATTAATTAATTTACTTTTTAATTGACAAAAATTGTGTATATTTATCATTTATAATATGTCTTGAAATATTTATGAAAAGCCAGTTTTAATGATTTTTTTTTTCAAATTTACTTGACCAGGAGCCCTTTTTGTTTTTTATTTACTTATTTTTTGAGACAGGGTCTTGCTCTGTTGCCTGAGCTGGAATGCAGTGGCGCAATCCCAGCTCACTGCCGCTTTGACTGCCTGGGGTCAAGTGATCCTTCTGCCTCACAGCCCCTCAAGTAGCTGGGACCACAGGCATGCACCACCACACCTGGCTAATTTTATTTTTAGTAGTGATTAGTTCTCACTATGTTGCCCAGGCTGGTCTTGAACTCCTGGGCTCTAGCAGTCCTTCTGCCTAGGCCTCCCGAAGTGTTGAGATTGCAGGCGTGAGTCACTGCACCCAGCCCAGGTGTCCTTTTTAGTAGCATTTCTACTAATGTTCACAGGACTTGACTAAATAATGCCATTTGACTGACTGCAAGTTGTGGAGAATCTCATTTTTTTCCTGATGCCATCTTTTTCTCTCTGTTTTTATAGTGACAAAAATGCTGAGTTTCTTCCGTAGAACACTAGGGCGTCGGTCTATGCGTAAACATGCAGAGAAGGAACGACTCCGAGAAGCACAACGCGCCGCCACACATATTCCTGCAGCTGGAGATTCTAAGTCCATCATCACGTGTCGGGTGTCCCTTCTGGATGGTACTGATGTTAGTGTGGACTTGCCAGTAAGTAGGTCTTGCTGAGCTCCAAATTCTGTTTGCGATTACTGTCTTTGTTTGTTTGTTTAAAAGCTTTGTATTGGTAACTTCTGGATGGAAATAAGTAAAGGTATTATGGGTTAGTATAGATCAGGCACTGTAACATTCAGGTACATGGATCAGATAACCGTAGACCAAAAGTACTTGGATTGGTGGTATTTCTCTTTGGAATTAGTGGCGATTACCTGAAACATTTAAATGACAGGGCAGTTATTGGCATGAGTCTGTTTCATGTGTCTTTCTATGTGTTCTTTGTGATGGCAGCACATGATGTAGTCTAGTGGATTTCTGACAATCCTTGTTGAACCATTATTAAAACGTTGTGAATCTTTGAGAATAACAACACTTAAATGTGTACTGTAAGACTTTTAGCTTCTATGCACTTCTGTATTTTTTAAAACTCTCCTTACTTTCTTCTAAATAAATATTTCCCCACAATTTGGTTTACTTGCAGACATTAATGAGGTGAAGTGAGAAAAAGGACTTTCTTCATACCCCTCAGCTCTGACTGCCTGTCTCTTTGCTCCTGAAGTATTTTGCATTGTAGGTTTTTCATACACTGTAGTCTTTATCTCAAGACAGGCTGTTGTAATTATATTTGCATTTTGGATAGATTTTTTTTTTTTCAGAAATATATAATCATAACTCAGTGTGAAACAATCTGACATGTTTGAAAGGGGTTAGCTTATTTTTTTACAGGACTTTTTGGGTGGAGGAGGGGAAGAAAAGGTTGGCTTTTTGGTTTTGGGCAGTTGAATATTTTTCTGAGTTGCTTGCTAATACCAAATCTCTTTCTCATGTCTTTGTTCTGCATTCAAAGACTTAACGGTAAATTACATCATTTGATGTGAGCTTCATAGGATATTCCTTAATGTCTTTTCTCCCCACAGACTTTTTAGTACACACTCATCTACCCAAAATTCAATTTAAAAAGTCTCTTTGGGCAAAGTGATAGCCTACGTGCTGCTGTAATACATAATTGAATAAGCTCGGGAAGACCTTAAACTCACCAAGTGAGAGTATAAGGAATTGGAGAGTTTGTTTAAATGGATGTTCTGATTAACTTAATAATTTGGAATGTATTAGATATGTACATTATACATTTTAAAATATTAGAATATGATAAAATTAATCAAAGACTCAGGATTTCTTGAAGTGTTTTGAAGTCATCATTACGTGTATTTGTTATCTTTGTCTATAAGAATGTATATTTTTAGGGTTTTTGATTCTGGACAACTTGAAAGCATCTAAATTTTCTTCCTGTAAGTGCTTCTTGAGGGTTTATCAGACATTCCAACATGAGATATTTTGTGAGGATAGTTTTCATACTCATTTCTTATTTGATAGGAATCTTAAGAGTTTTGTTTACTATTTCATTAAAATATCATTGGATATGTGGTGAAAAGCCTGAGATTGCTGTGTAAGAGACTGGAAAGAAATTTCTTATTACCTAATGTTTGAAGTATGAAGTTTCAGGGTTGTTGATGGACAAGCTGATAGTAGGAGAGTAGAATTTGTAAAAAAAAAAAAAAGAGGTTTTTAAAAACGCAGTGCAGTATGGAGGAGAAACAACACTAGCTTTTAAAGTGGTGGAACAAATGGCTAGTTACTGATCTGGAATGGTTTCCTAAACTTTGTATGCTTAGCTGGGTGTATGTGATGCTTGATCAAATTTATAAACTAGCTGGTCTCTCATGGGGACAATTGTAGTGAAACAGCTGGAGATATAGATTGGACTTTTTGTGAAACAAGAACAGTTGTCAGCCAGGTGCAGTGGCTTATGCCTGTAATCCCAGCACTTTGGGAGGCTGAGGCAGACAGAACCCTTAGGCCAGGAGTTCGAGACCAGCCTGGCCAACATGGTGAAACCCATCTGTACTAAAAATACAAAAATTAACCGGGCGTGGTGGCATGCGCCTGTAGTCCCAGCTACTCAGGAGGCTGAGGCAGGAGAATCACTTGAACCTGGGAGGTGGAGATTGCAGTGAGCTGAGATCGCGCCACTGCACTCCAGTCTGGGTGACAGCAAGACTCCGTCTCAAAAAAAAAGAAAAAGGAACAATTGGGCCAGGTGCAGTGGCTCACGCCGGTAATCGCAGCACTTTGGGAGGCCGAGGTGGGCGGATCACAAGGTCAGGAGTTTGAGACCAGTCTGGCCAACATAGTGAAACCCCGTCTCTACTAAAAATACAAAATAGCTGGGTGTGGTGGCGGACGCCTGTAATCCCAGCTACTTGGGAGGCTGAGGCAGGAGAATCGCTTGAACCCAGGAGGCAGAGGTTGCAGCGAGCTGAATTCGCACCACTGCACTCCAGCCCGGGTGACAGTGCGAGACTCCATCTCAAAAAAAAGGAACAACTGTCTTTCCAATTCTGTAGGTGAAATCGTACTTATTAACCTAACTCTAGGTACGTGCATGGATATAAAGTGGTCATTGGCCTGTTTTACTAAATTGTCACTAAAGGAAAAAATAGTCCAGAAGAATAATAATTTCTAAAAAAGAAGAAATGATTTCCCCTTTTCAGATTTATTTTCTCAACCAGTCTACTGTGATTCTGGGAGAAGATTTAGAATTGATTTTAGAAATTGAATGAAGCACATACTCATTTCCCATTACGATAAGGGTCTAGGATAAGGGTCACTAGTGATTATAGTTAGCCGTCTTCTTCCTTTAAAGAAAAAAAATTAAATAGGGTGAGAAGGCCTTTCAGTGAATGACAAAGGTATCAGGTAGAAATTTCTATCTAATTTTTAAGTTTTTTCTTTGAAAATACGACAGTAAACTTGTTTAAGAGCTTAGTATTGGTAAATAGCTTTAATGTAAAACCCTTATAAGTTTTAAATTGGGAAATGTTTGGTCAATTAACCAATAGATAACAATTTTTTTTCCTTTTTTTAAATTGTACTTTAAGTTCTGGGATACATGTGCAGAACGTGCAGGTTTATTACATAGGTATACACGTGCCATCGTGGTTTGCTGTACACATCAACCCGTCATCTACATTAGGTATTTCTCCTAATACTATCCCTCCCCTAACCCCCCACCCCCCGACAGGCCCTGGTGTGTGATGTTCTCCTCCCTGTGTCTGTGTGTTCTCATTGTTCAGCTCCCACTTATGAGTGAGAACATGTGGTGTTTGGTTTTCTGTTCCTGTGTTAGTTTGCTGAGAATGATGGTTTCCAGCTTCATCTGTGTCCCTGCAAAGGACGTGAACTCATCCTTTTTATGGCTGCATAGTATTCCATGGGGTATATGTGCCACATTTTCTTTATCCAGTCTATCATTGATGGGCATTTGGGTTGGTTCCAAGTCTTTGCTATTGTGAATAGTGCTGCAGTAATCATACATGTGCATGTGTCTTTACAGTAAGATGATTTATAATTCTTTGGGTATATACCCAGTAATGGAATTGCTGAGTCAGGTGATATTTCTGGTTCTAGATCCTTGAGGAATTGCCACACTGTCTTCCACAATGGTTGAACTAATTTACACTCCCACTAACAGTGTAAAAGCATTCCTATTTCTCCACATCCTCTCCAGCACCTGTTGTTTCCTGACTTTATTGATGGCCATTCTAACTGGCATGAGATGGTATCTCATTGTGATTTTGATTTGCATTTCTCTAATGGCCAGTGATGATGAGCTTTTTTTCATATGTTTGTTGACTGCATAAATGTCTTTTTTTGAGAAGTGTCCATTCATATCCTTCACCCACTTTTTGATGGGGTTGTTTGTTTTTTTCTTGTAAATTTGTTTAAGTTCCTTGTAGATTCTGGATATTAGCCCTTTGTCAGATAGATAGATTGCAAAAACTTTCTCCCATTCTGTAGTTTGCCAGATGATAGTTTCTTTTGCTGGGCAAAATAAAAAGAAGCTCTTTAGTTTAATTAGATCCCATTTGTCAATTTTGGCTTTTGTGGCCATTGCTTTTGGTGATATAGTCATGAAGTCTTTGCCCATGCCTATGTCCTAAATGGTATTGCCTAGGTTTTTTTCTAGGGTTTTTATGGTTTTAGGTTTTATGTTTAAGTCTTTAATCCATCTTGAGTTAATTTTTGTGTAAGATGTTAAGGAAGGGGTCCAGTTTCAGTTTTCTGCATATGGCTAGCCAGTTTTCCCAATACCATTTATTAAATAGGGAATCGTTTCCCCATTCCTTGTTTTTGTCAGGTTTGTCAAAGATCAGGTGGTTGTAGATGTGTGGTGTTATTTCTGAGGCCTCTGTTCTTTTCCATTGGTCCGTATGTCTGTTTTGGTACCAGTACCATGCTGTTTTGGTTACTATAGCCTTATAGTATAGTTTGAAGTCAGGTAGTGTGATGCCTCAAGCTTTGTTCTTTTGCTTAGGATTGTCTTGGCTATACGGGCTCTTTTTCGGTTCCATATGAAATTTAAAGTAGTTTTTTCTAATTCTGTGAAGAAAGTCAGTGGTAGCTTGATGGGGATAGCATTGAATGTATAAATTACTGTGGGCAGTATGGCCATTTTCATGATATTGATTCTTCCTACCCATGAGCATGGAATGTTTTCCATTTGTTTGTGTCCTCTCTTATTTTGTTGAGCAATGGTTTGTAGTTCTCCTTGAAGAGGTCCTTCACATCTCTTGTGAGTTGTATTCCTAGGCATTTTATTCTCTTTGTAGCAGTTGTGAATGGGAGTTCACTCATGATTTGGCTGTTTGTCTATTATTTGTGTATAGGAAAGCTTGTGATTTTTGCACATTGATTTTGTATCCTGAGACTTTGTTGAAGTTGTTTATCAGCTTAAGGAGACTTTGGGCTGAGACAGTGGGGTTTTCTAGATATACAATCATGTCATCTGCAAACAGAGGCAATTTGACTTCCTCTCTTCCCATCTGAATACGCTTTATTTCTTTCTCTTGCTTGATTGCCCTGGCCAGAACTTCCAATACTATGTTGAATAGGAGTGGTGAGAGAGGGCATCCTTGTCTTGTGCCAGTTTTCAAAGGGAATGCTTCCAGTTTTTGCCCATTCAGTATGATATTGGCTGTGGGTTTGTCATAAAAAGCTCTTAAATTATTTTAAGATACGTTCCATCAATACCTAGTTTATTGAGTGTTTTTAGCATGAAGACTTGTTGAATTTTATCAAAGGTCTTTTCTGCATCTATTGAGATAATCATGTGGTTTTTTGTGTGTGTGTTTGTTTATTTTTTTGAGATGAAATCTCACTCTGTTGCCCAGGCTGGAGTGCAGTGGCGTGATCTCAGCTCACTGCAAGCTCTGCCTCCCAGGTTCATGCCATTCTGCTGCCTCAGCCTCCCGAGTAGCTGGGACTACAGGTGCCTGCCACCACACCCGGCTAATTCTGTTTTTGTATTTTAGTAGAGATGGGGTTTCACCGTGTTACCCAGGATGGTCTCGGTCTCCTGACCTCATGATCCGCCCACTTCGGCCTCCCAAAGTGCTGGAATTACAGGCGTGAGCCACCACGCCCGGCCAATCCTGTGGTTTTTGTCATTGGTTCTGTTTAGGTGATGGATTACGTTTATTGATTTGTGCATGTTGAACCAGCCTTGCATCCCAGGTATGAGGCCGACTTGATCATGGTGGATGAGCTTTTTGATGTGCCGCTGGATTCGGTTCGCCAGTATTTTATTGAGGATTTTCGCATCGATGTTCATCAGGGATATTAGCCTGAAATTTTCTTTTTTTGTTTTATCTCTGCCAAGTTTTGGTATCAGGATGATGCTGGCCTCATAAAATGAGTTAGAGTCCTTTTCTGTTATTTGGAATAGCTTCAGAAGGAATGGTACCGCTCCTCTTTGTACCTCTGGTAGAATTCGGCTGTGAATCCATCTGGTCCTGAGCTTTTTTTGATTGGTAGCCTATTAATTGCTGCCTCTATATCAGAACTTCTTGTTGGTCTATTCAGGGATTTGACTTCTTCCTGGTTTAGTCTTGGGAGGGTGTATGTGTCCAGGAATTTATCCATTTCTTCTAGATTTTGTAGTTGATTTGCATAGAGGTGTTCATAGTATTCTCTGATGGTAGTTTGTATTTCTGTGGGATCAGTGGTGATATCCTCTTTATTATTTTTCATTGTGTCTATTTGATTTTTTTTTCTTGCTTTCCATTTGCTTGGTAAATGTTCCTCCATCCCTTTATTTTGAGCCTATGTGTGTCTTTGCAGGTGAGATGGTGCTCCTGAATACAGCACACCAATTGGTCTTGACTCTTTATCCAATTTGCCAGTCTGTGTCTTGTAATTGGGGCATTTAGCCCATTTACATTTAAGGTTAATAGATAACAATTTTTATATACCTACTTTCTTGTACAGATGCTAAAGGCTTTAAATTATGTAAGACTGTATATAGTTATACTTTTAAATACATGAACACCATCCCATGTTCATGAATTTGAAGACTTAAGGTTGGTAGGATGGCAGTACACCTCAAATTGATTGATGCATTCAGTGCAGTCCCCATGAGAATTCCAGCTGACCTATAGTTGTAGAAATTTACAAGCTGATTCTAAAATTCTTAAGATATTGTAAGGAACTCTTAATAGCTAGAACAATATTGAAAAATAATAACTAAGAGGACACACACTTCCAATTCTAAGACTTACTACAAAGCAACAATAAGTTGGTGTGCGACTGGCACAAGGATAGACACATAGGTCTGTGGAACAGAATAGAGAACCCAGAAACAAACCCATGCGGTCATGGGTCAGATGATTTTTGACAAAGATGCCAAGATGTTAAAAAGAATAGTCTTTTTAACAAACGGTACTTGGGGAAGTGGGATTGCCATATGCAAAAGAATGAAATTGGGCTCTCACACTGTATGCAAAAATTAACTCAGAATAAAGACCTAAAAGTATGAGCTAAAACTATAAATCCTTAGAAAAAAATAGGCATAATTTTTGGAATTTTTTATTGATATATCGTAGTCGTACATATTTTGGGGGTACATAGTGCTATTTTGATGCATGTATATAATGTGTAAATGATCAAATCATGGTACATGAGATATCCATCACCTCAAACATTTAGGAGTAAATCTTTAGATCTTAGATTTGGCACCACTTTCTGTTTTTTTGTTTGTTTGTTTGTTTGTTTGTTTTTGATACGGAGTCTCACTCTATTGCTCAGGCTGGAGTGCAATGACGTGATCTCAGCTTACTGCGATCTCTGCCTCCTGGCTTCAAGCCAGTCTCCTGCCTCAGCCTCCGGAGTAGCTGGGATTACAGGCGCCTGCCACACACCTGGCTAATTTTTTGTATTTTTAGTAGAGACGGGATTTCACCATGTTTGCCAGGCTAGTCTTGAACTCCTGACCTCAATTGTTCCGCCTGCCTTGGACTCCCAAATTGTTGGGATTACAGGCGTGAGCCACTGCGCCCGGCCTGGCACCACTTTCTTACATATGATATAAAAAGCATGAGCAACTAAAGAAAAAGTAAATAAATTGGACTTCATCAAAATGAAAAATTTTTCATTTAGCCTTCAAAGGAGACCATCAAATAAGTTACAAGACTGTCACACAGAATAAGAGAAAGTATTTGCAAATTATATATCTGATAAGGAACTTGTATCTAGGCTATATAAAGAACACCCAATTTAAAAATGGGCAAAGGATCTCTATAGACATTTCTCCAAATAGGTTATATAAATGACCAGCAAGCACATGAAAAGAAGCTCAACATCATAAGTCATCACAGAAATGCAAAATAAAACCACAGTGAGATACAGCTTCACACCAACTAAGAAGGCTGAAATAAAGTCAGATAATATTAAGTGTTGGTAAGGATATGGACAAATCAGAACTCTCAGACCCTGCTGGTAGGAATGTAAAATGGCGCAGCTGCTTTGGATAATAGTGGGGCAGTTATTCATATAGTACCACCTGACCCAACAGTTACATTTCTAGGTATATCTCCAAGAGAATGGAAAACATATTGCACAAAAGCTTGTAACGGATGTTCATATCAGCATTATTCATAATAGTTAAAAAGTAGAAATAACCTGGATGCTCATCAATAGGTAAATGGATAAATAAAACCTGTAATATCCATATAATGGGATGTTATTTAGCCATAAAGGAAATGAAGCGTACTGCTAAAACGTAGATGAATTTTGAGAACATTATTCTGTTAAAAGAAGGCAGTCACAAAAGACCATGTGATTTCATTCATGTGAAATTCCAGAAGAGGGAGATCTGTAAGGGAAAGAAAATAGATTGTGCTTGCTTAGGGCAGCCTGAGTGAGTGGGAACTGACAGGGTGGTAGGGGTTGACAACTATAATATATGGACTTTCTTTTTTTTAGGGATGGTGTCTTGCTACGTTGTCCAGGCTGGATTTGAACTCTTAGGCTCAAGTGATGCACCACTCACCTCAGCCTCCCAAGTAGCTGGGACTACAGGCACATGCCACGGTGCCTGGCTTAGGGTTTCTTTTTGAGGTGATGAAAATGTTCTAAAATTGATTTTTGTGATGGTTGCATATATCTGTGAATATACTAAAATCCATTGAACTGTTTATTTTGAATGGGTGAAGGTATGTGACTTACAGCTCAGTGAAGCTATTTTTTTAAATTTCTTTAAATTTTTTAATTTTTTTGGAGATGGAGTTTCACTCTTGTTAGGCTGGAGTGCAGTGGTGCGATCTCGGCTCACTGCAACCTCCACCTCCTGGGTTCAAGCGATTCTACTGCCTCAGTCTTCCGAGTCACTGGGATTACAGGCGCCCACCACCACACCCAGCTAATTTTTGTTATTTTTAGTAGAGAAAGGGTTTCACCATATTGGCCAGGCTGGTCTTGAACTCCTGCCCTCAGGTGATCCACCCGCCTCGGCCTCCCAAAGTGCTGGGATTACAGGCGTGAGCCACCGCGCCCGGCCGGAAGTTATTTTTTTTTTTAAAAAGAATGCATTGATTTTTGTGTATTTGTATTTTATTCCACTCAAGATTTTTTAGTAGTAAGAAACATGACTGGGCATAGTGGTTCATGCCTGTAATCCCAGCACTTTTGAGAGGCCAGGGTGGGAGGATAGCTTGAGTCCAGGAGTTTGACTAGTCTGGGCAACACATGGGTACCCCGTTTCAAAAGAAAATAAAAGAAATTAGCCAGGTGTCATGGTGGACACTTGTGGCCCCAACTATTCAGAAGGCTGGAGGTGAGAGGATTGCTTGAGCCCAGGAGGTAGAGGCTGCAGTGGACTATGATCATCCCACTGCACTCCCGTGTGGGCAACAGAGAAAAAAACAACAAAAGAAAGATACATAGGTTTAATTTAGAGGTGATATGCTTGATTTGTTACAGAAGAAAAAATCATGCCTGGAGACTGCTACGGTAATACAGATACAAGATGATGAGGCTGCAGACTTACAGTGACAGTGAGGCTGCATAGGAAAGAGTGCCTGCTTAGTACATGGATATGGTTGGCGGGAGGGGAGTGAGGACTAGTGCTTACTACTTGGATATAGCGTGGGGAGGGAATAAAGATGAGTAAAATACAGTTCTAACTCTGATGGGAGGGGCGCATATCAATTATGTCAAAGATCATGAGAAGATAGTCTGCTGTCATGAAGAGAGAAAAAGGATGGAAGTGAAGCAAAGAGTTTTGGTGGGATGGTGTGTTTGAAAGCCAGATTTTAGAGGGCTAAAGGAATTATTGGAGACGGTCATATTTTTTGGACCTCTTACAGTCCCTTGCACATAGTAGGTGCTTAATATTGATTAGTTTGTGGAAGTGCCTGAAGGGAAAACGCAGGATTGCTATGAGATTTGGCAATAGATGGAAGGAAGGAGATAGCACGGCAGTTGGAGAATGGCTGGTTAGGGCAGATCTGAGTTTCTTTAAGTGAATAGGAAAAATGTTCCTCAGTAATTGCGGTTTTTGTTGTTGTTGTTGTTTCTGAGATGGAGTCTCACTCTGTTGCTCAGGTTGGAGTGCAGTGACATGATCTTGGCTCACTGCAACATCTGCCTCCCCAGTTCAAGCAGTTCTCCTGCCTCAGCCTCTCAAGTAGCTGGGATTACAGGTGGCCCACCACTATGCCCAGCTAATTTTTGTATTTTTAGTAGAGATTTTTAGTATTGTATATACAATATACAAATTTTGTATTTCGTATATTGGTCAGGCTGGCTTCGAGCTCCTGACCTGAAGTGATTCACCTGCCTCAACCTCCCAAAGTGCTGGGATTATAGGTAATTGGTTTTATATACATAGGTAGAGATGGGAGGAAGAACATTCTAGGAGAAATACCTTCTGCTGAGAAAGACGGAAAGCTGATGAAAAGATAATGCTGAAACAGCCTATAATACACCTGTTGTTGTTTTTGAGTTTTTATTTTTCTTCTCTTTAGGCTAAATCCTAAATTTTTTGTGGACTGTAAGTCCCCAAACTAATGCTTTCAGATCTTTACTTTTAAAACTGGAAGTTGTACTCCTTAACCTAAAACTCATTATTTATCTTATAGTACACTGTCCATTTAAATGCTATACTAAAACTATAGATAAAAATACTACCGCCTTTGTCATGCAGGCCTTGGAATCCCAGCCCTGCCTGCATGCATACACTCAGCTGCAAAGCGGTTCCACTCCTCTCACCTTAGGGTCAGCTCCTATTCCCACGATGCCCGTCAGCAGGAAGAAGCCAGAGTTATTGACGGCTTTTTCCAGTCTTCGTAGCCCACACCTTGAGAATAAGGTGCTATGAAACACAAAGGGAGGGATTGAAACCGCCTTGGCAAAATTATGACTGAGGAAATGATGACAGTGAAAGAAATCAGACCTAATTAAGTCCATCTTGCTTCTAACGTTTAAGCTGTCCTTGTTCATTCCTGGGCGTAGGCCTAACTAACTTCGGGAAGGAATTCAGTTCATGGTTTGGCTATGAAACAAGATTGGTAATAACCATTTCCCGAAAAGACCCCCTTCTTGCCTGGGGCCCAGCCTGGCTTTGCAGGACTAACAAATTAGCTACAAGATGAGAAATTACAGTTTAGGGGTCATGCAGCCTCTGGCTCCAAGAGTCTGAACTTCCCCAAATTGCTCCTGAGGATAACATCACTACTGTAAAACCTAAGATCCGTGCTTGAGATATTTTGCAGACCCTGCACTGGATGGATCAGCTGAGATCACCCAGATCGGTAATCTGGCTCAACCAGTTCTGCCATCCCATCTGGGAACAAGACAGCAAGAAAAACTCACTTTGACCCCTATGATTCCATCTTCAACCTGACCAGTCAGCATTCCCCTCTTCCCAAGCCCCTACCTGCCAAATTATCTTTATTTTATTTTATTGAGGCGGAGTCTGGCTCTGTTGCCCAGGCTGAAGTGCAGTGGTACAATCTTGGCTCACTACAACTCCCGCCTCCCGGGTTCAAGTGATTCTCCTGCCTCAGCCTCCCGAGTAGCTAGGATTACAGGCACATGCCACTATGCCCGGCTAATTTTTGTGTTTTTTACTAGAGATGAGGTCTCACCATATTGGCCAGGCTGGTCTCAAACTCTTGACCTCAGGTGATCTGCCTGCCTCAGCCTCCCAGAGTGCTGGAATTACAGGTGTGAGCCTCCGTGCCTGGCCTCAAATTATGTTTATTTTATTAATTAATTAATTTATTTAGAGACAGAGTTTCGCTGTCATTGCCCAGGCTGGAGTGCAGTGGTGTGATCTTGGCTCACTGCAGCCTCTGCCTCCCGGGTTCAAGTGATTCTCCTGCCTCAGCCTCCTGAGTAGCTGGGATTACAGGCGTCCGCCACCACACCCAGCTAATTTTTAGTAGAGACAGGGTTTCACTATGTTGGTCAGGCTGGTCTCAAACTCCTGACCTCAGGTGATCCACCCGCCTCGGCCTCCCAAAGTGCTGGGATTAAAGGCATGAGCCACCACGCCCAGCCCCAGCCTCCAATTATCAGTAAAAGCTCTGATCCCCTAATGCTCAGGCTGATTTGAGTAATAATAAAACTCCAGTCTCCCACACAACCAGCTCCGCTTGAATTACTCTTTCTCCATTGCAATTCCCCTGTCTTGATAAATTGGTTCTGTCTAGGCAGTGGGCAAGGTGAACCCATTGGGTGGTAACAATACCTTGATGAACTTAATCATTGCAAAGAGGAGGTGAAGTGAGGGCTGGATCTGAAAGAGGTGGTGACCTGAAATAAATTTGTTAGGTGGGGATAAAGAACATGAGTAGCAGGTACTGGTGTAGATACAGATGACTAATGAATTTGTAGTGGGCCAGAGCTTTGTGGGTCTGTTTTCACTTTCCTGTTTCCAGTTTGTTCATTTTCAATAGCTACAAGGTGAGAAAAACATTTTATTTTTAATTTATGAAAATAAACAAGACATTGAACCTGTAATCAAGATCTCACATCCATATTCTACACACTCTGACCATCCTGGACCTTCTTACTGTTGCCTAAACATGATAGACCCATTACAAGTCTATGCTGGCTTTACACTAATTAGAATTATGGGTACAAGATAGTACAGAGGAAGCAGGATTTATTCTCTGTGGGATTATTGGAAGGCAACACTGATATACTGATTCTTGAGAAACCAGAATCAAGAGTTCATTAGAAGGGCGCAGTGTGGTAACTCACATCTGTTATCCCAGCACCTTGGGAGGTTGGGGTAGGAGGATTGCTTGAGGCCAGGAGTTTGAGACCAGCCTGTCCAATGTAGCCAGACCTCCATCTCTACAAAAAAAATTTTTTTTAAAGTTCATTAGAGGCATAAAGGACGTTCTAAGCAGAAAGAAATGCATTTTGCAAGGGTTCAGAGGCATGACTTATTGGGGAGATTATAAGCAGATAAAAATGCTGAAATGGGCCAGGCGCGGTGGCTCACACCTGTAATCCCAGCACTTTGGGAGGCTGAGGTGGGCGTATCATGAGTTAAGGCGTTCCAGACCAGCCTGGCCAACAAGGCGAAACTCCGTCTCTACTAAAAATAGAAAAATTAGCTCAGCCTGGTGGGCGCCTGTAATCCCAGCTACTCAGGAGGCTGAGGCAGGAGAATTGCTTGAAACTGGAAGATGGAGGTTGCAGTGAGCCGAGATCATGCTACTGCACCCCAGCCTGGGCAACAAGAGTGAAACTTCGTCTCAAAAACAAACAAAAAAGCTGAAATGATAGAGGAAATAGGCTGTGATATGTAATAATAAGCAAGGAACAGCTAGGAAGGACTATTTTGTGCCTGGAGTTTGCACATTGATCTGTAAATGATGAGGAATGATTAAAGGATTTTAAAGAACAGAGTGACATTTCTGTGTGGCAGTTTTAGGCAGATCACAGTCCATTGGCAGCTTCTGTCACTTCGTCTTCTGACTCTTGCCTACAGTCTTTTCTTTCCTAAACCCTTCCTTAGACTGTCAAGATTTCAGATCTTTATTTTGTTTTTATCTAGGTTAACAGAATTCTGTTCACATTTCCAGGCCCGGTTTTGAATATAGAATCTTCTGAAGCCTTTAATACGTGAGGCAGAATGAACAACTCACCCTCATTTCTTTAGCATTTTGTTATACTGTAAGAGTAACATTCACATTTATTGTGTTTAAAGTAGTTGTTTGTAATTTTATATTTAGTTAAGAACCTTGTGATTGCTTGAGGGCAAATATAAGCATATTCATCTGTATAACTAACATCTAACACATAATAGGTGTCTGTCTAGGAATTGAATATTATGTCAAAAATGTTTTTTTCCTGTAATGAAAATTTTCCCGTATGTATTGTTAAGTGCGTAATGAAATTAAAAACTCTGAAAATATAGAATGGGACAGAACCAATTGATTTAGAACACCATTTCTAAGGTTGATACTAGCAGGTTGATAATTATTTCTCCAATTTTGATTGAGTCAGGTATTCACTCACCCAGAATAAGTATTATCATGACCATGCTTTCCATCTTATCAATGATAACATTTTATTTCTGGGTTAGAATCAGAAATCTTCCTGAAACCAGCATACTACAGTTACTGCATTTACTTGTTATCTGTGACTTATTTTCATGAAATGGTATAGTTTTTTCTCAGGAAGGCTAGACTCAATGAAGTTTTTTAAAAATTACATGCTATCTCTAAAAGTAAGATGTTCTGAGAAATTCTTTTTTGGGATATCAGAATTTTGTTATGAGGTTGGTGCAAAAGTAATTATGGGCCAGGCATGGTGGCTCATGCCTGTAATCCCAGCACTTTGGGAGGCCAAGGTGGGCAGATCACCTGAGGTCAGGAGCTGGAGACCAGCCTAGCCAACGTGGTGAAACCCCATCTCTATTAAAAATACAAAATTAGCCGGGCGTAGTAGCAGGCACCTGTAATCCCAGCTACTTGGGAGGCTGAGGCAAGATAATTGCTTGAACCTGGGGAGGTGGAGGTTGCAGTGAGCTGAGACCACGCCACTGCACTCCAGCCCAGGCAACAAGAGCGAAACTCCATCTCAAAAAAAAAAAAAAAAAAAAAGTAATTATGGTTTTTGCAATAGTTTTTAATGGCGAAAACCGCAATTACTTTTGTACCAACCTAAAATAGATTGTGCATTGTTGCCCAGGTGTGATGGCTCACGCTTATAATCCCAGCACTTTGGGAGGCTGAGGTGGGAGGATTGCTTGAGCCCAGGAGTTTGAGACCAGTCTGGGTAACATTATGAGAACTCTGTCTCTACAGAAAAAGTAAAATACTAGCCAGCTATGATGGTGCACACCTGTGGTCCCAGCTACTTGGGAGGCCAAGGTGGGAGGATTGCTTGAGCCCAGGAGGTTGAGGCTGCAGTGAGCCAAGATCCCACCACTGCACTCCAGCCTGGACAACAGAGTTGTCCTGTCTGAAAAAATAAAATCATGTATCGTTTACTTCAGGAACCTATAAATGTCTTGTGTTCACTATTGGTTGTCTTAGAACTAGCATCTGTTAAGGAGGAGTCAATGTATAACCTTGAAAAGGTTTTTGTTCTGAGGACGCAGCTGTCTAGCTGGCAGAAGCCCATTCTTTCTCACCTTAGAACACAACTGTTGTATTTCAATAGTCTAGCAAATGATGCTTTGGCAGAATAAGGAGGAGAGTTATTTTTAAAGCAATGCTTCCCTTTTGTCTTGAAGCAAATATAGAATGTTGATGGAATATGAAATTGATTCTAGAGCTATGCCTTAGAATGAAAGTAATGGAAACATATAAGTTTGGTACCAGATAGATGAATTCAGCAGAAGACTTGTGTGGCTTTCTGCTGTAGTGTAGAAATATTTTGTAGTGTAGAATAAAAATACTTGTAGTGTAGTGATTGCCATTAGCAAATTTTAGCACAGTTAAATTTGTTAGCTGGGCTCAGTGTGACCACGCCTATAACCCAGCACTTTGGGAGGCTGAGGCAGTCAAGACCAGACTGGGCAACATGGCAAAACCCTGTAAAAACAAAACAAAACAAAACAAAAAAAAAACCACACACACGAAAATTAGCCAGGCATCATGGTGCACACCTGTAGTCCCAGCAACTTGGGAGACTGAGCCGAAAGGATTCCTTAAGACCTGGAGGTCAAGGCTGTGGTGAGCCATGCATGCCGCTGCACTGTAACCTGGGTAACAGAGCGAGACCCCATCTCAAAATCAGTCAGTCAGTCAAACTGTTAGCAGTACTTTGTTGTTGTTACAAGCATTGTTTAAAACCAGTAGTTTTCTTTTTCATTTCCAATAATGACTTTCTCCTCCTTTTCCATTGTGTTGCTAGAACAAATATGTTGAAATATTCAGTTGGTTTGTTTTATTATTTAAACGCACATACACAGTTGGGAATTTTGCATTTGTTGTAATTTCTGCCTGGGATTTGTTTTCTCTAGGTAATTACATAGTTATGTCACTCAGTCTTTTTTCAAATCTCCCTTATTAAATGGGCCCCATGTAAACACCATTTCCCATAGTTACCTTGTTCTGTATAACCTTTATCACTCGCTAGCATAATATTTTCTTCCCTTGCTAGGATATAAGATTCTTCTAAAAAAATTTTTTTTAAAAATTTTTTGTAGAGATAGGGTCTTGCTATGTTATCCAGGCCAGTCTCGGAACGCCTGGTCTTAAGTGATCCTCCTGCCTTGGCTTCCCAAAGTGCTGGGATTGTAGGCATGAGCCACCATGCCTGGCTGTTTTTTTCTTTAATTGAATATGAGCTTCTTGAAGGCAGGGGCTTACCTGTTTTGTTTTCCTGTTTAGTTGCTTAGAACAGTGCCTGGCACATAGTAAGCGCTCTATTAATGTTTGTTCAATAAACCAACTTCAGTGATAGAGTGCCTGTAGTTCCAGCTACTCAGGAGGCTGAGGTGGGAGGATTGCTTAAGGCCACGAGTTTGAGGCTGTAGTGCAGTCTTCACACCTGTGAATAGCCACTGAATTCTGGCCTGGGCAACATGGTGAGACCCCCATCTCTTAAAAAAAATTGTTGAATAAATCAAATTAGGAATAGTATTTGAAACAGATCTTTAATTTTAAAAGAAATTCATCCCTGAAGGAAGTTAAGATCACTCCCAATCATAAATTTTTAATGAGAATTCTTGCCCTGTTTGGGACAAGATAATGAAGTAATAAGGGCTTCTAGTGTCCTAAGATTAACCCATGAATGATCATAAAACTTAAGACAGAAAAATTAGTCCCAGGTAAGGAGTGTTGATACTGGAGTGTGTGTGTGGTAATGGTGGCTGCAGTCTGGTTTAGGGGGCTGCTCCTGTGGCTGTGGAAGGATAATTGAGGTAAAAGGCAGTTTGGATGGAGGTCTTACCCCCTGTTCCAAATTTGTCTTGATAATTAGTATCTCTTTTAAGGGGTGTGATAGCAATAACTCAGACAGTGGGTGGAAGTGTCTTCAAGAATAAATCATAATAGCACTGCCTAAAAAGTTTCTCACCTCTAAAAATCCTTATCCTTAAAATTCCCTTACCTAAATTTCCTACCCTTCCTCCACCAAACTCTTAGAGAGCAGTGAATTATTATTATAGAAAATGCCTCCTTCCCAATGCTACTTTCATCTGTGGACAAAGAATGAATTATTAACCTGAGGGAGTTGTTTGTATAATGGAAAGTGATTAACTGTGATTTTCTCTTGTTAGGGCTCTCCTCCCTAGAATTCTTCTATTCCCCCAGGGGTTTCTCAGTGCTAAATGTTGCTGATACAGACTAGAGTCAGGCCTTTCTCTTGTTACACATAATCTAGAGAAAGTAACTCATGTTCCCAAATAAATATGTCCAAAATAAGGAGACAAATGAGCGCAAGCACCTCAAAAGGCAAGTAAAAGATAACAAACTGTGTGTATGTGTGTGTTTTCTTGTTTTATGTTGTTAATATCTTTGTGTATATAGTAGAAGCAAAGGCAGATGGAATAAAAAGAAAAGTCTAATAAATTTTCTAAAAGATATTAACAACATGAAACAAGAACAAAAACTTACTTAATAGGACCAAAGGAAAATACTAGGTATAAGAAGTATAATCTATAGAACACATTTGATGGGATGAAATTAGGATCAGTTAAGGTGAAGGAGAAATTAGTGAGTTGGAAGATCATATTTAGAATTCTTTCCATAAGAGGAAAGAAAGGATATAATATGAAGCATAAAATAAAAATTAAGAAATAAATGAAATTCAAAAGTAGGAGTTCCTTTTTCCCCTAAGATCAGGAACAAGATAAAGGTATCTGCTGTTGCCACTTTTGTTCAACATAGTACTGGAACTTCTGTCCAGAGCAGTTCAGCAGAAAAAAGAAATGCATCCAAATGGGAAGGGAAGAAATAAAATTATCTCTATTTAAGATGACATGATCTTATATGTAGAAAACCAAAGATTTTGCAGGAAAAAAAAACCTTATGGTGCTAATAAGTTAGCAATGATCTGAAAACAAAATTAAGAAAACCATTTCATTTATAATAGCATCTAAGAGAATAAAATGCTTAGGAATAAATTTAACCAAGGAGGCAAAAGACTTGCAGTATAAAACACTGCTGAGAGGAATGAAAGAACATGTAAATAAGAAGGAAGATATCCCACGTTCAAGAATTTGGAGACTTAATCTTGTTAAGAAGACAGTACTACCCAAAGTGATCCATAGATTAAATGCAATTCCTATCAAAATCCAAACGATGTTATTTGCAGAAATAGAAAAACCCATTCTAAAATCCATATGGAATCTGAAGGGAGCCAAAACAATCTTGAAAAGAAGAAGAAAGTTAGAGGACTCACAGTTCCTGATTTATTTCAAAAGTTACTACGAAACTACAGAATCAAAAACTGTGGGGCTGCGTGTGATGGCTCACACCTGTAATTCCAGTGCTTTGGGTGGCTAAGGCAGGAGGATTGCTTGAGACCAGGAGTTCAAGACCAGGCTGAGCAACATAGCCAGACCCCATCTCTACAAAAGAAAAAAAAAAGCAGTGTGTTACTGGCAATACAGACAGACATTGACCAATGGAATAGAATAGAGAGACTAGAAACAAACCCTTGTAAATATGGTAAAATGATTTTTGACAAGGGTGCCAAAACCACTCAGTGGAGAAAAGACAGTCTTTTCAACAAATGGTGATGAGAAAACTGGATACCCACATGGAAAAGAAAGAAGTCAGACCTTTTCCTTATACCATATACAAAAATTAATGTAAAGATGGCTCAAAGACATAGAGACCTAAAACTATAAAATTCATAGAAGAAAACAGGGAAAAAATCTTCATGACATTAGATATGGCAGTGATTTTGTAGGATATGATAACAAAAGCACAGGCAGCACAACAAATAAGTTGGACTTCATCAAAGCTTTTGTGTATTAAAGGACACTGCCAAGAGAGTAAAAAGACAACCCACAGAATGTGAGAAAATGTTTGCGAACCAGATATATGATAAGAGATTAATATCCAGAATATATAAAGAACTCCTACAACTCAGCAACAACAACCAAAAGCCAATTCGAAAATAGGCAAAGAACTTACACATTTCTCCAAAGAACATATATAAATGGCTAATAAGCACATTAAAATATTTTCAGCATCACTAATCAGAATGGAAATTTGAATCAGAGCCACGATGAGAGAGACTGATTCATACCTATCAAGTGGCTGGTTTTAAAAAGTAAAAGAGAAAGTAACAAATGTTGGCAAGGATGTGGAAGAACTGGAATTGTTATACACTTTCAGAGGGAATGTAAAATAGTGTTGCTGCTGTAGAAAACAGTTTGACAGTTTCTCAAAAAGTTAAACATACGGCTGGGTGCAGTGGCTCACTCCTGTAATCCCAGCACTTTGGGATGCTTGAGGCCAAGAGTTCAAGACCAGCCTGGCCAACATGGCAAAACCCTATCTCTACTAAAAATACAAAAATTAGCCTGGCATGGTTGTGCACCTTAGTCCCAGCTACTTGGAAGGCTGAGGCATGAGAATCGCTTGAAACCCGGGGGTGGAGATTGCAGTGAGCCTAGATGATGCCTTTGCACTCTTGCCTGGGCGACAGAGTGAGACTGTATCTCAGAAAAAATAAAAAATATATAAATAGTTAAACACAGAATTAGCATATGACCCAGCACTTTCACTCCTAGGTGTATACCAGGAAGAGTTGAAAGCAGGGACTCAAACAGATACTTACACACCAGTGTTCGTGGCAGCATTATTCCAAACTGAAAAGATGGAAAAATCCCAAATGTACATCAACACTTGAAGAAGTAAACAGAATGGTATTTATATGCAATGGAATATTTTTCAGCTTTAAAAAGGAAGGAAATTTTGATATATTTTGCAATACGGATGAACCTTAAAAATACTGTGAGTGAAATAAGCCAGAAACAAGAGGACAAATATTGTTATGATTCTACTTATGTGAGATACATGGAATAGGCAGATTCATAGAGACAGAAAGTAGGAGAGAGGGTGAGTGAAATAAGCCAGAAACAAGAGGACAAATACTGTTATGATTCTACTTATGTGAGATACATGGGATGGGCAAATTCTTAGAGACAGAAAGTATTAATGGGAGAGAAGTTACTAGGGGTAATGGTGAGGGCAAGTGGGGGATGATTTTTTTAATGGGTATAGTGTTTCTGATTGGAATAGTGACAGGTTCTGGAAATGGATAGTGGTGACAGTTGTACAACATGGTGAATATTTTCAATGGCACTGAATTTTATACTTAAAATAGTTAAAATGGCAAATTGTGTTATACTTTAAAAAAAGGAGAAGTGAGGCTGATGTCTGTGAAGTTGGGTCAGTGTACTCGAAATTCCCCATGTGGTTGGAGAACTTAGGCATTGAAAGTAATTTTGTGGCCAGGCGTGGTGGCTCACACCTGTAATCCCAGCACTTTGGGAGGCCAAGTTGGGCGGATCACCTGAGGTCGGGAGTTCGAGACCAGCCTGACCAACATGAAGAAATCCCATCTCTACTAAAAATACAAAATTAGGTGGGTGTGGTGGCGCATGCCTGTAATCCCAGCTACTCGGGAGGCTGAGGCAGGAGAATTGCTTGAACCCAGGAAGCGGAGGTTTCAGTGAGCTGAGATTGTGCCATTGCACTCCAGTCTGGGCAACAAGAGTGAAACTCTGTCTCAGGAAAAAAAAAAAAAAAAAAAGAAGAAAGTAATTTTATGAATAAGCTAGAAGAAGTTGTTTAAGAAGTGGGGTATCTGACTTACTGATCTCAGGTGACATTCCAGGTGAAATCTAGATCAGGTATGTATTCCTCAGTGAATTTGAACTTGGAAGGTAGAGCAAAATTCAAATTCTAGCGTTGTCATTGTTTTAAATGTAATTTTGTCATATTACTAAAGCTTTCTGAACTTTTGTCTGTGCTTTTTATATATATATATATACGTATTTAAATGGATAAGTAATATGTGCTAAAAAAAAGATGGCAGCACTGACGTAGGAAACTTAAAATGACAAAGGAGAAATATTTGAGAAAACAATAGAGGTTGACGTCTAGAATTAAAGAAATATGAAAGATCTCAGGTTGAAGAGGTCCATATAGAATACAATATGATTAAGAAAAACTCACACTTGTACACAGTACAGTGAAATTAAAGAGTCTAAAAGTGAACAAGTAACATTACGAAGAAAGAAAATTGAGATTGACATCACACTTACCAGTAGCAGTGTTGACTGCAAGAAGATAATGGAATAAATTTTTTTTGAGTATGGAGAAAGTATTGAAAGAAACTGTGAACCTTGACATTTCTACCCATCCAACTGTCATTCGAGTGAGGGCATGATTAAAATATTCTCAAATATAGAAGGCCAAAGCCTTAGAAGATAAGCCATACAAAAGCCACATGGGAAACATTTTTGGAGAAAGAACTCAAATGAGTATTTGCAAATCTAGCAGATGCTGCAGGACATGTAATGTACACATGTAAGGCATGTACATTTTTGAAATACCCAAGTAGAAGTTGTTGTCTTTAAAAAGTTAGCTAAGAATAAAAAAGAATAAATAGAAGTATGTCTATAAAACTTGATGGGAATTGGGTGGAGGGGAGATTAGAGGACATGAAGGCATGGTCAAGTTCTTGATGAAAGGAAATATAGATGACAGATTTACTTATCTAAAAAAGCAAAGGACAAGTTGAGATAATAAACTTGTCAGTTAAAAGGCAGAGATTGATATGATAAACCAACTATATGTTCATTTTTTAATAGGAAAATACTATAAATCACAATTTAGAATTCTACAGATGGGAGAGGCATGGATGAGCAGTTATGAAAATTGAGGATCCCAACAATGCTTTTGCTTATGTGGATTATACCTACCAATAGTTACAGTATTAGAAATTAAAACTGAAAAAATTTTAAGTATTTATTAACTGATTAATCAATAATTGTCTATTAATATAGCAACAACATACCCCTTTTATGTTAACGTAATATAAAACATATTATAAAAATAACTATTTTCTAAAACAACAAAGAGCTTAGAAAAGTGGCATTGTTTTAAGCACTTTTGCAAATCTGTTTAATGTCTGGTTTAATAGAAGGTACTTGGATTCTCTTATCTGCTTCCACGTTCACTGTGTTGCAATGTGTTGTTTTGTTTCAGGTATATAAGAAACCTAGGACCTCATGAATCTTTTGAAAGGGTCTTGGAAACCCTCGGTGATCATGAGACCACATTTTGAGAACTGCTTTTTCCATACAAAGTTTCTTTCCTATTTATTACCCTACTATTTGGTGTCTTCTGCATCATCACAGTACTTTTCTTATGCTCTCATATTCCCCGCACCTCCCAGTTTTATTATTTCTTACCTTACGTTCTCTTCCAGTTTGATTCTTCTGCATCAAGCCTTCATTGATTATTCTAGTTTCTGTCTCTTCTCTAAAATCTGTTTGCAAGTGTAGTTTCACATATTTTGTACTAAAGTACTCTTAAGTTTTTTGTATTTTCTTTGTCCAATGACATTATGGCCCTTTTAAAGTAGGGACTCTAAAAATTGATTACAACACAAGAATTTATCCATACACACACACAAATATTTGTATCTCAAAATAGGTAATTTTTGTTGGTTGATTGGAAGTAACACTCTCCAGGAAAACACATAAATCGCAAATTTGTTTTTGGCCTTAAGTGATTTATTAGAAAACTGTAATGTCTTATGCATTATCTGCCACATGCTAATACTTTTGGTATTGCAAGTCCTCCTTTCTTCAAGAGATCTTGTATAACTAAAACCTTCTTTTGTTCAGGCTTGTTGATCTTATAAACCACTTATTGATTTACTTATTATCTTGCCATTTCAGAAAAAAGCCAAAGGACAAGAGTTGTTTGATCAGATTATGTACCACCTGGACCTGATTGAAAGCGACTATTTTGGTCTGAGATTTATGGATTCAGCACAAGTAGCAGTGAGTAACTGTTTTTTGGAAGTTTTAGCATAAGGAGAAGAAACAGGAAATTTCAGATGATATACTAATTGCTATAAGGCTTCCTATTCTTGATGTGTTATTGTGATATAAAGCTTTGACACCGCTCCCTCCCCCCACCTCCTTGCTTTAGCATCACCTGAAGTACTTGTTTTAAAAAATGTGAGTTCTGGTCCTAATTTCCTAACCTGAATTACAAGAACAAAAGTTTTCAGGATGGGGCTCCAGAATCTTTGTTTTTAATAACTGTTGTCTGGATTGTTGGGCACACAAGAATTTGAGAAACACTGTGTACTGGAAAGAATGCTAGAATGGGAGTTTCATGGGCTCTTGGGTAAACAATAGTAGTTTTTAATTTGCAAATGAAGTTGAGTAGACTAGGATATCTCTAAGTTCCCTTTCAGATCTGTGATTCTGTATCTATAAATAGTGGTACTTCGACATGCATTTCTGACAAGAGAACAGCATACATAATGGAGTAGAAAGTTGGAGGCTATTCAAATAACTGATTACTATATTAGGATTTTACTGGAGGATGTTTGAAAGAAAGTGGCAGATGAAAACATTGGGAGGTGGTTTAGTGGTTATATCATTCAAACTGAATGCCCAAAGTATTAAATAATAAATTGGCAATATTTACTCTCAAATAATTGGGATTAGGTAGTCTTCAAGCAGGGAGGTTTTATTTTCCTTCAGGAAGTTTTTTGTAGAGATATGTAGGATTTGGAATGGGGAGAGATTGAAGTCAGGGAAAGTTATTACAAATACTTTAGGATAAAAGTAATATTAAGGCCTGGACAGTAGGAGGCAGAGGAAGAGACCACAGATGATAAGGATATCATGGCATTAAGCCTTTTTTTCTGGAAATGTGTGTGTGTGTGTGTGTGTGTGTGTGTGTGTGTGTGTGTGTGTGTGTGTGTTTAGAGGGGAACTCCCAGCTGACTTTATAAAGCATCTGGGCTAAGTTTACAGCTGTGAATAATTTTAGCTGTCATTTTTTCATGACAACCCTTCCCATCATGCCTCCAAATTAAGTAACCATGAGCATATGGCAGCAGGGTATTGGTTAGGCAAATTTTGGCGCATCCTTGAAATTAATACTATGCAGCTCATTAAAAATAGCGGTTTTGGGCCATGCATGGTGGCTCACACCTGTAATCCCAGCACTTTGGGAGACTGAACCGGGAGGATTACTTGAGGTCAGGAGTTTGATACCAGCCTGTCCAACATGGCAAAACCCTCTGTCTACTAAAAATACAAAAATTAGCTGGGCCTGGGCATGGTGGCGTGCCCCTGTAGTCCCAGCTACTCAGGAGGCTAAGGTGGGAGAATCGCTTGAACCCGGGAGGCAGAGGTTGCAGTGAGCCAAGATTGCGCCACTACACTCCAGCTTGGGTGACAGAGCGAGACCCTGTCTCAAAAAAAACAAAAAGATGATTTTTATTTAAAAAAAAAAAAAATTAGCTGGGCGTGGCGGTGCATGCCTCTAGTTCCAGATAGCTGGGAGACTGAGGCGAGAGGATCCCTTGAGCCCAGGAACTTAGAGTTGGAGGCTGCAGTGAGCTGTGATTGCACCACTACACTCCTAACCTGGGTGACAAAGTGTGAGACCCTATTTCTAAAACAAAATGGTGATTTTTAAGTATTAATATGCTAATTGATATGGAGTGGTAGAAGTAGTCATAAAGGATTATAAGGCAGTATAATTGAATTTTTCTATTTTTTAAAAAAATCTAGGCCAGGAGCAGTGGCTCATGCCTATAATCCCAGCACTTTGAGAGGCTGAGGAGGGAGGATAACTTGAGGCCATGAGTTTGAGACCAGCCTAGGCAATATTGCAAGACCCTGTCTCTACAAAAATAAAAAAATTAGCTAGGCATGGTGGTGCATGCCTATAGTCCTGGCTACTTGGGAGGTGGGAGGATCGCATGAGCCCAGGAGTTCAAGGTTGCAGTGAGCTGTGATCATGCCACTGCACTCTAGTCTGGGTAACAGAGCAAGACCCTGTCTCTTAAAAAAAAAAAAAAAAGGATATATGGCCATGCATATACATGAAAAAATTGTGAAACTATTTTTCATAGTTTCAGAGTTTCTAATCTCTTGGTGACATTAGTGTAGGAGATATTTCTTTTATTTTTCTTTCTAATGTTCTTAATTCTCTTTTATTAGACTAAATTCACTAATGGCAGGGAATTAGTCTTACGTACCTCTGTCCAGCAGGTAGTAGGCACACAAAACATTTGTTGAATTTAATTCTAGACTTCTGTTTAGTTTGATAAAATCTTGGTTGCCTATTAATTTTAATATCATTCAGCTTTCACTTCTAGAATAATAGTAAAGCCTTACAATCAGATGAATGAACAGATGATATTAAGGATAAACAATCTGTGACTTCCTGTTTTTTGAGGCAGTGTGAGGGAAAAGAAAGTAAAAGTATGCCAAAGTTAGGTTTGAGTTACTTAGTATTTAAGTAACTGTGGAAAGAAACATGCAGTCATTACTAAGTTGTATTATTAGCCCTTTGCTAATATTAGCAATTACTGAATTCCATATTGATTTTTTTCTCTCATTTGATACACATATAGTGCCTTTCTTGTCATAATAATAAATTTTTGGTAAAGCCAGGATTAGAATATTTAATCCCTACTCTTTAGTTCTAGTTTATTCCTTCCAGTAACCAGAAATCTAGGCATTAAAATTCAACTTATAGGCTTCTGTTTACTTCATTTTATTTTTGCTTCACTAAAACACTCTAAACTATGAGTTGAGCTGGAAGAAGAGTTAGTAGATTAAAGATATTAAAAATGAACTCCAGATAAGCTAAACTTTTCAAGTTCTTACTCACTTGATTCCATGAGTCTCATGACATAAACAATCAGCTTGTTGTGTGGCCATATTCAACCTCAGAATGAAATGAAACCAAAGTGGGGTGAAGGGAAGCGTAAAATGCGACCAAGGAATTACATGCTATAATTTCACCCTCAGCATATGGCATGTCCATATATGTAAGGTTAATGTGCCACATTTTAGTTTATTGGTCACTATAGATCAGTCCAAAACGTCTATGACTATAGAATTATGGAGTCATCATGGAGATAACCAAAATTAGTAAATCGATGAAGCCAAAGTTCACTTTTCTTCTTATATAGACATATAATCTGAGCCCTGTTTTTAAAATTGTTTACTTTTTATTAGACTGGGTTATTTTACGTTCATGTACACATATTTAATTTCATAGTTGAAACAATCTCATGTTTATAGAAAGTTGCAAGGATGGTATAAATAACCATGTTTCTGGGACCATGTGAGAGAGAGTTATAGTGAAGATGTCCCATCACACCTGAATTCTTTAGTGTATGTGTCCTGTAAGCAAGCACACTTCACAACTCAATACAGCCATCAAAACCAGGAAATTAACACAATGATAGTACCACCATCTTGTCTCCTTAGACTGTATTCAGATAATGTTAACTGTTCCTGGTATGTTTTTTATACCCAAAAGATCCCACAGAATCATGCTTTGCATTTTTTTCTT
Source organism: Homo sapiens (assembly GCF_000001405.40). Lineage (NCBI taxonomy): Eukaryota > Metazoa > Chordata > Mammalia > Primates > Hominidae > Homo > Homo sapiens. The sequence continues at coordinate 120,045,664 of NC_000002.12, forward strand.
TTTTTAAAATTTTTATTATTATACTTTAAGTTCTAGGATACATGTGCACAACATGCAGGTTTGTTACGTATGTATACATGTGACATTGGTATGCTGCATCCATAAACTTGTCATTTACATTAGGTATATCTCCTAATGCTATCCCTCCCCCGTCCCCCCCTCAATGACAGGCCCTGGTGTGTGATGCTCGCCTTCCCAAGTGTTCTCATTGTTCAGTTCCCACCTATGAGTGAGAACATATGTTGTTTGGTTTTCTGTCCTTGTGATAGTTTGCTGAGAATGATGGTTTCCTGCTTCATCCATGTTCCTACAAAGGACATGAACTCATCCTTTTTTATGGCTGCATAGTATTCCTTGGTGTATATGTGCCACATTTTCTTAATCAGTCTATCATTGATGGGGTTTGGGTTGGTTCCAAGTCTTTGCCATTGTGAATAGTGCCGCAGTAAACATACGTGTGCATGTGTCTTTATAGCAGCATGATGTATAATCCTTTGAGTATATACCCAGTAATGGGATGGCTGGGTCAAATGGTATTTCTAGTTCTAGATCCTTGAGGAATCCCCACACTGTCTTCCACAATGGTTGAACTAGTTTACAGTCCCACCAACAGTGTAAAATTGTTCCTATGTCTCCACTTCCTCTCCAGCACCTGTTGTTTCCTGACTTTTTAATGACGGTCATTCTAACTGGTGTGAGATGGTATCTCATTGTGGTTTTGATTTGCATTTCTCTGATGGCCAGTGATGATGAGCATTTTTTCATGTGTCTGTTGGCTGCATAAATGTGTTCTTTTGAGAAGTGTCTGTTCATACCTTTCGCCCACTTTTTGATGGGGTTGTTTTTTTTTTTTTCTTGTAAATTTGTTTGAGTTCTTTGTAGATTCTGGATATTAGCCCTTTGTCAGATGGGTGGATTGCAAAAATGTTCTCCCATTCTGTAGGTTGCCTGTTCACTCTGATGGTAGTTTCTTTTGCTGTGCAGAAGCTCTTTAGTTTAATTAGATCTCATTTGCCAATTTTGGCTTTTGTTGCCATTGCTTTTGGTGTTTTAGACATGAAGTCCTTGCCCATGCCTATATCCTGAATGGTATTGCCTAGGTTTTCTTCTAGGGTTTTTATGGTTTTTAGGTCTAACATTTAAGTCTTTAATCCATCTTGAATTAATTTTTGTATAAGGTGTAAGGAAGGGATCCAATTTTAGCTTTCTACATATGGCTAGCCAGTTTTCCCAGCACCATTTATTAAATAGGGAATCCTTTCCCTATTTCTTGTTTTTCTCAGGTTTGTCAAAGATCAGATGGTTGTAGATGTGTGGTATTATTTCTGAGGGCTCTGTTCTGTTCCATTGGTCTATGTCTCTGTTTTGGTACCAGTACCATGCTGTTTTGGTTACTGTAGCCTTGTAGTATGGTATGAAGTCAGGTAGCATGATGCCTTCAGCTTTGTTCTTTTTGCTTAGGATTGTCTTGGCTATATGGGCTCTTTTTTGGTTCCGTATGAACTTTAAAGTAGTTTTTTCCAATTCTGTGAAGAAAGTCATTGTTAGCTTGATGGGGACGGCATTGAATCTATAAATTGCCTTGGGCAGTATGGCTATTTTCACGATATTGATTCTTCCTATCCATGAGCATGGAATGTTCCTCCATTTGTTTGTGTCCTCTTTTATTTTGTTGAGCAGTGGTTTGTAGTTCTCCTTGAAGAGGTCCTTCACATCCCTTGTAAGTTGGATTCCTAGGTATTTTATTCTCTTTGAAGCAATTGTGAACGGGAGTTCACTCATGATTTGGCTCTCTGTTTGTCTGTGATTGGTGTATAGGAATGCTTGTGATTTTTGCACATTGATTTTGTATCCTGAGACTTTGCTGAAGTTCCTTATCAGCTTAAGGAGATTTTGGGCTGAGATGATGGGGTTTTCTAAATATACAATCATGTCATCTGCAAACAGGGACAATTTGACTTCCTCTTTTCCTAATTGAATAGCCTTTATTTCTTTCTCCTGCCTGATTGCCCTGGCCAGAACTTCCAACACTATGTTGAATAGGAGTGGTGAGAGAGGGCATCCCTGTCTTGTGCCAGTTTTCAAAGGGAATGCTTCCAGTTTTTGCCCATTCAGTGTGATACTGGCTGTGGGTTTGTCATAAACAGCTCTTATTATTTTGAGATACTTTCATCAATACCTAGTTTATTGGGAGTTTTTAGCACGAAGGGCTGTTGAATTTTATCAAAGGCCTTTTCTGCATCTATTGAGATAATCATGTGTTTTTTGTCTTTGCTTCTGTTTATATGATGGATTACGTTTATTGATTGGCATATGTTGAACCAGCCTTGCGATCCAGGGATGAAGCCCACTTGATCATGGTGGATAAGCTTTTTGATGTGCTCCTGGATTCGGTTTGCCAGTATTTTATTGAGGAGTTTTGCATTGATGTTCATCAGGGATATTGGTCTAAAATTCTTTTTTTGTTGTGTCTCTGCCAGGCTTTGGTATCAGGATGATGCTGGCCTCATAACATGAGTTAGGGAGGATTCCCTCTTTCTCTGTCAATTGGAATAGTTTCAGAGAGAATGGTACCAGCTCCTCTTTGTACCTCTGGTAGAATTCGGCTGTGAATCCGTCTGGTCCTGGGCTTTTTTTTGGTTGGTAGTCCATTAGTTATTGCCTCAATTTCAGAGCCTGTTATTGATCTATTCAGGGATTCAGCTTCTTCCTGGTTTAGTCTTGGGAGGGTGTATGTGTCCAGGAATTTATCCATGTTTTCTAGATTTTTTGTTTATTTGCGTAGAGGTGTTTATAGTATTCTCTGATGGTAGTTTGTATTTCTGTGGGATCAGTGGTGATATCCCCTTTATCATTTTTTATTGCGTCTATTTGATTCTTCTGTCTATTAGTCTTGCTAGCGGTCTGTCAATTTTGTTGATCTTTTAAAAAAAAACAGCTCCTGCATTGATTGATTTTTTTGAAGGGTTTTTTGTGTCTTTATCTCCTTCAGTTCTGCTCTGATCTTAGTTATTTCTTGCCTTCTGCTAGCTTTTTAATGTGTTTGCTCTTGCTTCTCTAGTTCTTTTAATTGTGATGTTAGGGTGTCAGTTTTAGATATTTCCTGCTTTCTCTTGTGGGCATTTAGTGCTATAAATTTTCCTCTACTTTATAGCTCTGGGACACTGCTTTAAATGGGTCCCAGAGATTCTGGTATGTTGTGTCTTTGTTCTCATTGATTTCAAAGAACATCTTTATTTGTGCCTTCATTTCGTTAGGTACCCAGTATTCATTCAGGAGCAGGTTGTTCAGTTTCTATGTAGTTGAGCGGTTTTGAGTTTCTTAATCCTGAGTTCTAGTTTGATTGCACTGTGGTCTGAGAGACAGTTTGTTATAATTTCTATTCCTTTACATTTGCCGAGGAGTGCTTTACTTCCAACTATGTGGTCAGTTTTGGAGTAAGTGTGATGTGGTGCTGAGAAGAATGTATATTCTGCTGATTTGGGGTGGAGAGTTCTGCAGATATCTATTAGGTCTGCATGGTGCAGAGCTGAGGTCAATTCCTGGATATCCTTGTTAACTTTCTGTCTTGTTGATCTGTCTGATGTTGACAGTGGGGTGTTAAAGTCTCCCATTATTATTGTGTGGGAGTCTAAGTCTCTTTGTAGGTCTCTAAGGACTTGCTTTATGTATCTGTGTTCTCCTGTATTGGGTACATGTATATTTAGGATAGTTAGCTCTTCTTGTTGAATTGATCCCTTTACCATTATGTAATGGCCTTCTTTGTCTCTTTTGATCTTTGTTAGTTTCAAGTCTGTTTTATCAGAGAGTAGGATTGCAACCCCTGCTTTTTTTTTGTTTTCCATTTGCTTGGTAGATCTTCCTCCATCCCTTTATTTTGAGCCTATGGACGTGTCTCTGCAGGTGAGATGGGTCTCCTGAATACAGTACACTGGGGGGTCTTGACTCTATCCAATTTGCCAGTCTGTGTCTTTTAATTGGAGCATTTAGCCCATTTACGTTTAAGGTTAATATTGCCATGTGTGAATTTGATCCTGTCATTGTGATGTTAGCTGGTTATTTTGCTCGTTAGTTGATGCAGTTTCTTCCTAGCATCGATGGTCTTTACAATTTGGCATGGTTTTGCAGTGGCTGGTACCAGTTGTTCCTTTCCGTGTTTAGTGCTTCCTTCAGGAGCTCTTGTAAGGCATGCCTCGTGGTGACAAAATCTCTCACCATTTGCTTGTCTGTAAAGGATTTTATTTCTCCTTCACTTATGAAGCTTAGTTTGGCTGGATATGAAATTCTGGGTTGAAAATTCTTTTCTTTAAGAATGTTGAATATTGGCCCCCACTGTCTTCTGGCTTGTAGAGTTTCTGCCAAGAGATCCACTGTTAGTCTGATGGGCTTCCCTTTGTGGGTAACCTGACCTTTCTCTCTGGCTGCCCTTAACATTTTTTCCTTCATTTCAACTTTGGTGAATCTGACAATTATATGTCTTGGAGTTGCTCTTCTCGAGGAGTATCTTTGTGGCGTTCTCTCTATTTCCTGAATTTGAATGTTGGCCTGCCTCGCTAGGTTGGGGAAGTTCTCCTGGATGATATCCTGCAGAGTGTTTTCCAGCTTGGTTCCATTCTCCCCTTCACTTTCAGGTACACCAATCAGACATAGATTTGGTCTTTTCATGTAGTCCCATATTTCTTGGAGGCTTTATTCATTTCTTTTTATCTTTTTTCTCTAAACTTCTCACTTCATTTCATTCATTTGATCTTCAATCACTGATACCCTTTCTTCCAGTTGATCAAATCAGCTACTGAAGCTTGTGCATGCATCACGTCATTCTCGTGCCATGGTTTTCAGCTCCATCAGGTCATTTAAGGACTTGTCTACACTAGTTATTCTAGTTAGCCATTCGTCTAATCTTTTTTCAAGGTTTTTAGCTTCTTTGTGATGGGTTCGAACATCCTCCTTTAGCTCGGAGAAGTTTGATCGTCTGAAGCCTACTTCTCGCAACTTGTCAAAGTCATTCTCCATCCAGCTTTGTTCCGTTTGTGGCGAGGAGCTGCGTTCCTTTGGAGGGGGAGAGGCGCTCTGATTTTTAGAATTTTTGGCTTTTCTGCTCTGGTTTCTCCCTATCTTTGTGGTTTTATCTACCTTTGGTCTTTGATGATGGTGACATACAGATGGGGTTTTGGTGTGGATGTCCTTTCTGTTTGTTAGTTTTCCTTCTAACAGTCAGGTCCCTCAGCTGCAGGTCTGTTGGAGTTTGCTGGAGGTCTACTACATACCCTGTTTGCCTGGGTATCACCAGCGGAGGCTGCAGAACAGTGAATATTGCTGAACAGCAAATGTTGCTGCCTGATCGTTCCTCTGGAAGCTTCGTCTTAGAGGGGTACCCAGCCTTGTGAGGTGTCAGTCTGCCCCTACTGGGAGGTGGCTCCCAGTTAGGCTACTCGGGGGTCAGGGACCCACTTGAGGCAGTCTGTCCATTCTCAGATCTCAAACAGTGTGCTGGGAGAATCACCACTCTCTTCAAAGCTGTCAGACAGGGACATTTAAGTCTGCAGAAGTTTCTGCTGCCGTTTATTCGGCTATGCCCTGCCCCCAGAGGTGGAGTCTACAGAGGCAGGCAGGCCTCCTTGAGCTGCGGTGGGCTCCACCCAGTTCAAGCTTCCTAGCAGCTTTGTTTACCTACTCAAGCCTCAGCAATGGTGGGTGCCCCTCCCCCAGCCTCGCTGCCACCTTGCAGTTTGATCTCAGACTACTGTGCTAGCAATGAGTGAGGATCTGTGAGCGTGGGACCCTCCGAGCCAGGCACAGGATATAATTTCCTGGTGTGCCGTTTGCTAAGACCGTTGGAAAAGCTCAGTATTAGGTTGAGAGTTATCTGATTTTTCCAGGTGCCGCCTGTATTAGGTTGGGAGTTACCTGATTTTCCAGGTGCCGCCTGTCACAGCTTCCCTTGGCTAGGAAAGGGAATTCCCTGACTCCTTGCGCTTCCCGGGTGAGGCGATGCCTCGCCCTGCTTTGGCTCTTGCTCAGTGGGCTGCACCCACTGTCCAACAAGCCCCAGTGAGATGAACCCAGTACCTCAGTTGGAAATGCAGAAATTACCTGTCTTCTCTCTACACTGGGTGATGTAGACTGGAGCTGTTCTTATTCGGCCATCTTGGAACCTCCTGCATTGTTTTGTTTTTTTTTTGAGACAGAGTCTTGCTCTGTCACCCAGGCTGGAGTGCAGTGACGTGGTCTTGGCTCACTGTAAGCTCCACCTCACAGGTTCAAGTGATTCTTCTGCTTCAGCCTCCTGAGTAGCTGGGACTGCAGGTGCACACCACCGTGCCTGGCTAATGTTTGTATTTTTAGTACAGACAGGGTTTCACCACATTGGCCAGGCTGGTCTTGAACTCCTGACCTCGTGATCTGCCCACCCTGGCCTCCCAAAGTGCTGGGACTACAGGTGTGAGCCACTGCACCTGGCCATGCTTTGCATTTAATTTTCATGTTTCTTTAGTTGCCTTTAACCTGGAGTACTGCGGTTTCCTTAGTCTTGCCTTGACTTTCATGACTTTGAAGCTTTTGAAGATACAGGACAGTTATTTTGTATATCGTCCCTCAATTTGGGTTTGTCTGATGTTCCCTTATAAAGTAGATTAATCTTGGCACCTTTGGCAGAAAAATAACCGAAGTGATTCTGTGTTTCGTTCTGTCCTATTGGGTGTCATGTACTTTCATTTGGTCCCATTACTAGTGATACTAAATTTGATCCCTTGATTAAGATGGTGTCTGCTAGGCCTCACCACTATGAAGTTATTCTTTTTTCCCTTTGTCATTAACTATTTTGTGGGCAGTTATGTTGAGACTTTTCCTCATCAAACTTTCTATTTATTTATGAACTAATAGATTCCTGTTTTAATTCAATGGGTTATATCTGTTACTATCATTTAATTTGTTGCTCAAATTTTCCCACGTATGGTCAATGGGAGCTGCTTCAAGATGGCTTCTATGTTCATTTGACATGGCCCCTTCATTCTTTGAGCTCTGCCTTACTTTCTGGCTTATGAAGGTATGCCATGTTCATCTTGCAGTGCCCTACTCCAGCCCTGGAATTAGCCAGTTCTCCAATGAGTCTTGTGACCAGATTTAGGGAATATGTGTTTATGTTTATTTCTCCATATCTCTCTCTCGAATACCATGAATACCATAACTTCAACACCCATAAATAATTGAAATTCCAGTCTAACACTACAGGGCTTCTTGTAGTTTTTTTTCTCTTTCCATATTTGTAGTTCTCTTCTATAGAAACCAGGCTATGATTATCACCAGTAGATTTACTATATTGATCACTCAGCATGTGTGGAACCAGTCTCTAGCCTCTCCCTGTGTACATGCTGGTCTTGCTCAGACAACCTAATTATTTCTGGACTGAGTTATTATTTTTTATTTTTATTTTTTGCTGTTTCTTTGATCTTGGATGGACTGAATTATTTGGAAAAAGGAAAGGATTGTGAAACTTGTCACCTTACAAATACACAGTGGAACGTAAAGCACTCCTTTGACAGTTGTATTGAAGAGTTATTACCTCAGAGATTTGGTTTGGAGTAGGAAGCTTAAAGAGAAGAGAGAAGGCATGCTTAAGTAAAAGAAGGAGTTGGTTTTAGTTAGCATGACGATGTCATTTTTTCTGTAAAGTAGGCCACTTAAAAAAAAGACAATTTACATACCATAAAGTTCACCATTTTAGATTGTACAATTCAGAGTTTTCAGTATATTTAGAATTGTTCAGCCATCATCACTAATTCCAGAACATTTTCATCACCCCCAAAGAAACCCTCTTACACGTTACCAGTCATTTCCCATTTACCCCTCCCCACAGCATCTGGCAAACGCTGTCTATGGATTGCCTATTTTGAAAATTTCATTTGAATGGAATCATGTAATAGGTGGCCTTTGGAATCTGGAAATGTACTTAGCATAATGTTTTCATGGTTCATCCGTGTTGTAGCATATCTTAGTGGTTGATTCCTTTTTATTGCTGAATAATATTCTATTGTATGAATATATCACATTTTATTTACTCATCCATTGATGGACATTTGGAGTATTTCTACTATTTGGCTGTTATGAATAATGCTGCTCTGAAGGCTGGGCATGGTGGTCTGTAATCCAAACACTTGGGGAGGCTGAGATGGGTGGATTGCTTGAGCCCAGGAGTTCGAGACCAGCCTGGGCAACTTGGCAAAACACTTGTCTCTACAATATACAAAAATTAGCCAGGTGCGGTGGTGTGTGCCTGTAGTTCCAGCTACTTGGGAGGCTCAGGTAGGAGGATTGCTTGTGCCAAACTTTTCCAGTGATGGCACCATTCCACACTCCCTACCAGCAGTGTATGAGGATTCCTGTTTCTCCACATCCTTGCCAACTTGTGATTTCCCCTTCTTTTTGTTTAGCCATCCTAGTTGGTATGAAATGGTGTCTCATTGTGGTTTCGATTTGCATTTCCCTAATGACTAATGATGTTGAGCATCTTTTCATGTGCTTGTTTGCCGTTTGTGTATCTTCTTTGGAGAAATGTCTATTCAGATCCTTTGCCTGATTTTTTAAAGTGTGTTATTTGCTTTTCTGCTGTTGAGTTGTAAGAGTTCTTTGTATTTTCTGGGTACTCAGCCCTAGTCAGATACATCTGCAAACTTTTTTCCCCTACTTTTCACTTTCTTGATAGTGTCCTTTGACAAAAGTTTTACATTGTGATGAAATCCAGTTTACCTACTTTGGTTGCTTATGCTGTTTGTGTTATATCTATCAAACGATTGCCTATTCTGAGGTCATAAAGATTTACACGTTTTCTTCTAAAAGTTTTTTTTTTTTTTGAGAAAGAGTCTCACTCTTCTCACTCCAGTCACCAGGCTGGAGTGCAGTGGTGCAATTTCGGCTCACTGCAACTCCGCCTCCCGGTTCGAGCAGTTCTCCTGCCTCAGCCTCCGAAGTACCTGGGACAACAGGCATCTGATTCATTTAGAGTTAATTTTTGTATATGCTATGAAGTTGGGGTCCACCTTCATTCTTTAGCATGTGAATATCCAGTGATCCTAACACCACTTGTTAAAATGACTTGAAGGGTCTTGTTGCATGCTTGTTGGAAATCTATTTACTATAGACTATAGATATGTGGGTTTATTTCTGGATTCCCTCTTCTGTTCCATTGATACATACATATATACACTTTTTTTTTTTTTTTTTTGAGACGGAGTTTCACTTTTGTTGCCCAGGCTGGAGTGCAATCATGCGAACTTGGCCCACCACGACCTCTGCCTCCCGGGTCCAAGTGATTCTCCTGCCTCAGCCTCCCAAGCAGCTGGGACTACAGGCATGCACCACCATGCCCAGCTAATTTTGCACCTTTAGCAGAGATGGGGTTTGTTCATGTTGGCAGGCTGGTCCCAAACTCGACCTCAGGCAATCCGCCTGCCTCGGCCTCCCAAAGTGCTGGAATTATAGGCGTGAGCCACCATGCCCGGCCTGTTCCATTGATCTTTATGTTGATCCTTATGCCAGTACCACAGTGTCTTGATTATGGTAACTTTGTAGTAAGTCTTAAAATTGGGAAGTGTGAGTTCTCCAGCTGTCTTCTTTTTTCAGTATTCTTTTGGTTATTCTGAGTCCCTTGCATTTCCGTATAAATCTTAGGGTCAGCTTATCCATTTATGCAAAAAAGGCAGTTGGAATTTTGGTAGGGATTGCACTGAATCTGTATATCAATTTGGGGAATATTGCCATTTTAACAATGTAGTCTTCTGATCCATGAACATGGAATGTCTTTCTCTGTATTAGGTTTTTAATTTTTTTTTTTTTTTTTTTTTTTTTGAGACAGAGTCTTGCTCTGTCAACCAGGCTGGAGTGCAGTGGTGTGATCTCGGCTCACTGGAACCTCTGCCTCCCGGGTTCACGCCATTCTCCTGCCTCAGCCTCCCTAGGTTTTTAATTTTTTAAAACAATGTTTTATAGTTTAAGTTTATAGAAGTCTCACTTCCTTGGTTAAATTTATTCCTAAGCATTTTATTCCTTTGGTACTATTTTAAATGGAATTGTTTTTATAATTTCATTTTTGGATTGTTCATTGTTAGCATATAGAACTGCAACTGATTTTTGTGTATTTATTTTGTATCCTGTAGTCTTGCTGAACGTGTTTATTAGTTTTAATGTGTTTTTATGTATAAGATCATGTCATCTGCAAAAAGATGGTTTTATGTCTTCCTTTAGAATCTGGATGTCTTGTGTTTTTTTCTTTCCTTTTCTTTCCTCAGTGCCCTGGCTAGAACCTTCAATAAAATGTTGAATAGAAGCAGTGGGAGTGGACACCCTTGACATATTCCTGATCTTAGTGGGGAAAATGTTCAGTCTTCTACCATCAAGTATGGTGTGGGAATTTTATAGATGCCCTTAATCAGATTGAGGGAAGGTCTTTTCTATTCCTAGTTCGTTGATGCTTTCATAATGAAAGGTCGTTGGGTTTTGTCAATTGCTTTTTCTGCATTTATTGAGAGGATGATGTGAAGTTTTTAAAAAATCTGTTTATATGGTATGTTATGTTGATTTTTTTTTTTTAATGTTGAACCAACCTTGAATTTTTGGGATAAATCCCACTTAGTCATGGTTTATAGTCTTTTTTTTTTTTGAGATGGAGTCTCGCTTTGTTGCCCAGGTTGGAGTGCAGTGGCGTGATCTCAGCTCACTGCAACATCTGCCTCCTGGTTCAAGCGATTCTCCTGCCTCAGCCTCCCAAGGAGCTGGGATGACAGGCATGCACCACTGTGCCCGGCTAGTTTTTGTATTTTTAGTAGAGATGGGATTTCGCCATGTTGTCCAGGCTGGTCTTGAACTCCTGTATGCAAGCGATCCTTTTGCCTCAGCCTCCCAAAGTGTTGGGATTACAGGTGTGAGCCACCACACCTGACCATTGGTTTGCCAGTATTTGATGATTATTTTGGTACTATATTCATAAAGGATATTAGTCTGTAGTTTTCTTGTGACTTTTTTTTTTTTTCTGGTTTGGGTGTAATGCTGGTCTTGTAGACGAGGTGGGAAAACCATCCCCCCTCTTGTATTTTTTTGGAAAATCTTGTGAAGGATTAGTGTTAATTCTTTCAACATTTGGTAGAATTTGTCATTGAAACCATCTGGTTCTGGGCTTTTGTTTGTGAGAAGTTTTTGATTATTGACTCATTCCTTTACTTGTTACAGGTGTATTCAGATTTTCTTTTCTTTCCATTTTGAGACAGGGTCTCACTTTGTCACCCAGGCTGGAGTGTAGTGACGCCATCACAGCTCACTGCGGCCTCAACCTCCCAGGCTCAAGGGATCCTCCCATGTCAGCCTCCTGAGTAGTGGGGGCTATAGGCACCCACCACGCCTGGCTAATTCTTTATTTTTTTGTAGAGATGGGGGCTCACCATGTTGCCCAGACTGGTCTTGATCTCCTGGATGCAAGTGATCCTCTTCAGCCTCGCAAAGTGCTGGGATTACAAGTGTGAGCTACCACGTCTGGCTGTGTTTTCTCTAAAGGCCACTTTAGAGAGTAAAAGGGGTACTTAATGAATGAGGGATTGGGATAGTAGGCATAAGCTGCCAGTATTATTCTGGTAAACCAGAATATATGGTCATCGTTGTTTTAGTGGACTGCAGAATACTACCCCATCGTCTATTTTAAAATCTAAATGTAATTTAATATCCTTTTATATAGTCCAGTGATGATCTTAAACTTAGAGTTATGAAATCTGTGGACTTACCCTAGAAAAATGCACATACACATAACGTTTTGTCTGTACATAGTAATTCAGATATCCCCCAAGCCCAACTATGAATTCTCCAATTTAGTAACCCTTCTTTAGCAAATGAATAACCTATAGCTTAAGGGAAGATGGATAATGGTATAAATCTGTGAGTTTTTCTGTTTAAATCTTTAAGACAGTTACGCCGTCAAACATTTATAATCTCTTTTTTTTTTTTTGCTGTTGGTACAACTTTGTTATTAAATCTCATTGTATAACTAAACAGATATTTTTATGGTAATATATTCTTTCTTGATGAAGGCTTAGGGAAACACTTTTTTTTTGCTGTCATAAAAATAGTACATGTAGCAAAGCCACCCATGACAGGAGCACTGCCAATATTAGTGGTTAAAAAAGTGACAATTTTGGGTAGTTTCTTGTATACAGGACTTTCCACAGTAGAAGTAATATATTTTTAATTTTGATATTGAGTGGTTTTAGGTTGGTACAATAAGACTTTGCAAAATAATTGGAGAGTTAACTGTACCGATTTCCTGGAGAACACATTTGATACATTTTGAAGGAACAATTTTCAGTCTTAAAATCACATGTTTACATGGACCAGGCAGGAGAGCAAAAGAAGGGAAGCAGGTTGGTGTGCACATTAAAGATTTTGCATGGTTATTTACTCCAAGAAGAAATATGGTTTCTCTCATTTAAAAAAAAATCTTGCTACATACTTGTTATGTTTTGTATTTTCCTTCATTTTATTTTATTTTTAAATAAAAGAAGCAGGGTTTTGCTGTCTGTGTCTGCCCAGGCTGGAGTGCAGTGGCATGATCAGAGCTCACTGTAGCCTTGATCCCCTGGGCTCAAGTGATCCACCCACCTCAGCCTCCCAAGTAGGTAGGACTACAGGTGTGCACCACCATGCCTGGCTAATTTAAAAAATAATAATTTTGTAGAGACTGCCCAGGCTGTTCTGGAACTCCTGGCCTCAAGTGATCCTCTTGCCTTGGCCCTCTAAGGTGTTGGGATTACAGGTGTGGGCCACTGTGCCCAGCCCTTTTCTCATTTTTGATAGGGATAGAGACAGAGAAATATAGATAGCGTGATGATAAATCATAGCTGATATCCAGCAGACTGTAGAGGATCAAAAAGGATTGGTGGAGGGGATGTGGTGAAGTGGGAAGCATTTTACATTTACCTGCAAAAGACAGTATATGGCAACTACCACCTAGCTCCAGGCATTTGCTGTTAAATAGGTTTGTTGTACCAGCATTGCTGGATCTTCAGGTATTTCAAGAAAAGCTGAAATCCAGATTTCAAGGCTAAATTGTCTATTTTTAAAAAGTTGTTAAACATATTTTTAAAAATAGCGTGGCTGATGGAGAAATCAAAGAAGATAAAAGTAAATGGAAAGACATTCTACATTGAATGGAAGACTCAACAAAGATACCAGTTCTCCCCAAATTGATATACAGGTTTAATGCAGTTTTTCTCAAAATTCCAGTAAGATCTTTTGTAGATATAGGTAAGATTATTCTAAAATTTATATGGAAAGACAGAGGACTACTAGAATGGCTAAAGTAATTTTAAAAAAGGGGAATAAAATGGGAGGAATCATGCTACCCAATTTCAAGACTTACTATATAGCTTTCATAATCAAGACTTTGTGGTATTGGCAAAGCGACAGACATGTAGATCAATGGAAAGAAATAGCCATACACAAATATGACCTCTGATTTTTGTCAAAGGTGCCAAAGTAATTCAGTGGAAGAATAGTCTTAATAATGGTGCTGGATTAGAACCTGTGGAAGAAGGAAAAACAAACAAACTAAAAAAAGTGCTGGAGCAGCTGGATATCTGTAAGACAGAAAAACCTTGACCTAAACCTTATACCTATACAAAAATTAACTCAAAATGGATAATGAGCCTGAATATAAAATATAAAACTATGAAACTTAGAGACAAATAAACAGGAGAAAATCTGTGGGACCTAGAGTTTAGAGAAGAGTTACTAGTAAACATGATACCAAAAGGATGATTTTTAAAAAAAAGATAAAATGGACTTCATAAAAAATTAAAAACTTTTGCTTTGGGAAAGACTCTGTTAATAGAACGAGAAGCTAAGCTACAGACTGGGAGAAAGTATTCGTATATCACACATCTGACCAGGAACTCGTGTCTAGCATATATACACAATGCCTAGCTGGGCGCAGTGGCTCACGCCTCTAATCTCATCACTTTGGGAGGCCAAGGCAAGAGGATCACTTGAGCTCAGGAGTTCAAGACTAGCCTGGACAACATAGTGAGACCTTGTCTCTACAAAAAAAAACAAAAAAAGTCTGCTGCTGTGGCTACTTGGGAGGCTGGGCAGGAGGATTGCTTAAGCCTGGGAGGTGGAGGCTGCTGTGAGTGTGACAGCCACTGCACCTCAAACCTGGGCGACAGAGCGAAACCGTGTCTCAACCAAAAACAAAACAAAACAAGCTCCTCAGCTCAACAATTAGAAAGCAAACAGTCTAATTCAAAAATGAACAAAAGACATGAAGAGACATTTCACCTGAGAGGATATACAGATGACAAATTCATGAAAAGATGTTAGACTAGCCATCAGGGAAGTGCCAATTAAGACCTCAGTGAGATGTTTTCACTACACATCTATCAAAACAGCTAAAGTACAACATGGTGACAACTCCAAATTTTGGTGAGAATGTGCAGAAATGGGATCTCTTATACATTGTTGTTGGGATTGTAAAGTGATATCGCTACTCTGGAAGATAATCTGGCAGTTTCTTTTAAAACTAAACATATACTTAAACCATATGACTAATCAGTTGTATGCCTGACCATTTATCCCAGAGAGATGAAGACTTACTTCCACACAAAAACCTGAGCATGATTGTTCATAGCATCTTTATTTGTAGTAGCAAAAAACTTGAAACAACCACAGTGTCCTACAGTAAGTGAATGATTAAACAGTGGCACAATCATACCATGTAATACTACTCAGCAATAAAAAGAAAAAACTATTGATACACACCAACTTGGATGGATTTCAGAGGGCATTATGCTGAATAGGAAATAAAGCCAGTATCAAAAGGTTATATATTATATGATTCTATGTATGTAACATTCTTGAAATGACACAATTATAGAGATTGAGATCAAATTAATGGTTGCTAAGGGTTAGGGATATTGGCGTTGGGGGAGTGGTGACTATAAATGAGTAATGTGAGAGAGTTCTTCGTGATAATGGAATATTTCTTTATCTTGATTGTGGTATTAGGATAGGAATCTAAATGTGATAAAATGACACAGAACTATACATGCACATTGTACCAATGTTGGTTTACTGATTCTAATATTGTACTGTAGTTATGTTAAAATGTAAGCATTGGCAGAAGTGTACACAGGACCGGGCCTCTTCTTACTATCATTCCAACTTTGTGTGAATCTCTAATTATTTCATAATAAAACCTTAAAAAATAAACATAGCATGGAACAAGCAAACCATGTCTCGGGAGCAAAATTTAATCCTCAAAAATATATATCTGTGCTTGGTGAAGTTTGAAAAGGTTATATATAGAGATTAGAATTTTAACTGGTTCAGGGAAGTTTTTTTTTTTTTTTTTTTTTTTTTTTGAGAAGGAGTCTCACTCTGTTGCCCAGGCTGGAGTGCAGTGGTGTGATCTCAGCTTACTACAGCCTCTGCCTTCCGGGTTCAAGCAATTCTTCTGTCTCAGCCCCTCGAGTAGCCAGGACTACAGGCACACACCACCATGCCTGGCTAATTTTTTGTATTTTTTTTTTTATTTTTTTTTTTTGAGACGGAGTCTCGCTCTGTCGCCCAGGCTGGAGTGCAGTGGCGGGATCTCGGCTCACTGCAAGCTCCGCCTCCCGGGTTCACGCCATTCTCCTGCCTCAGCCTCCCAAGTAGCTGGGACTACAGGCGCCCGCCACTACGCCCGGCTAATTTTTTTGTATTTTTAGTAGAGACGGGGTTTCACCGTTTTAGCCGGGATGGTCTCGATCTCCTGACCTCGTGATCCGCCCGCCTCGGCCTCCCAAAGTGCTGGGATTACAGGCGTGAGCCACCGCGCCCGGCCTTTTTTTTTAATAGAGACAGGGTTTCACCACGTTGGGTGGGCTGGTCTCGAGTTCTTGACCTCAGGTGATCTGCCCTCCTCGGCCTCCCAAAGTGTTGGGATGACAGGCATGAGCCACCACACCCGGCCTATTCAGTGAAGTTTTTAAAGAAAAATAAGTTAGTTAGATGGTAGGTATCATGCATCAGGTGTATCTTGTATAACGTGATACTGTATATTATGCTTTTAGAAAAGGGAAACGTAGATAGCATTTCTCATAAATACTTAAAGAATTTTAAGATGTCAGTATTAATTATGTTTTGTCTTTTTCTTAAATTGTTTGGAAAGCTTGTTTATGTTCTGTAATTTTTTTCAAAACTTCCTTGGTTCTTGATGTAAGCATGGGTAGACAGATGGTCCAACATGTGGCACCTGTGGAGAATAGAGCTGGTAGTTGCTCACTAGCTCTCCATTTTTTATTTTTTATACTGAATTTTGATTTTTTTGAGATCCCTAGATTAATAATATAAGCACTTCTAATAAAGAGAAGAAGATGACAAGGATGCCTACTATTACCATTGCTACTTAATTTCATAGTAGAAGTACCAGCAAATGCAGTTATGGAAGAGAAAATTATAAAGATTAGAAGGAAATAAAATTATCACTGGCAAATGATTGCATTGTATTCAGGGATTCAACTGAGAACACAATAGGATTCAGTAAGATAGTGGGAGGTGAAAAACATAGAAATAAATAACATGTTAAATGTATATATGTGTATATTGTAACACACATATTTGCTGAACAAGGAAGAACTAAAAAGTTGAAGGAGTAAGTCTAGAAAAGGATGACCTTGTTGAATTTTTCAGGAAAACTCCTGATCTTACTGCTGCCCAATAATGATTGTTTATAATTTATGGCTAATAATATTCTGAAGTTGATCATCTTTGTAAATCCTTGTCAGTATTCTGGATTTTAAAAAAATTAAAATAAATTAGAAGAAATGGAATCATCAGGTCAAAGAGAGAGAGTTTAAAGCTGTTTGATTATATTTACAAATTAAACTTATCAGTGTATGAAAGTAACAGTATGTTTTCTTTTATCTAGATAGTGTTGTTTTGTTTCAGTTAATATTTATTGCTACATTAGAAAATGCTGTATTATGAATATTCAATAATTCATTTAAAGAAATGTAGATCTAATTCATTTTATTTGTTCAATAATTATGGGGTTTGAGGCAATAGTTTTTTAATTTGATCCTCAGAAAAATCTCCTGTGAAGAATAAAAGGTTTAAGTGAGGTCTAGTGATTTCTAGAGACTGGATTTGAATTTATTATTTTGATTCTTAAGATATGGACTGAATACCACAGAGGATTCTGTTTAAAAATAGTGATGAGGAGTGTGGGAAATAAGATCATATAAGGCTCTGATGAACTTTTACTGGGTTCTAAAAATGTGTTTAGCTGTTTTAAAATAGAGGGTATTTTGAAGTGGTCAGAATGTGAGTTCGACTATATTGTAAATAGATACATGGTTGAACAAAATAAAATAAGTGGGCTGGGTGTGGTGGCTCACAGCTGTAATCCTAGCACTTTGGAAGGCTGAGGTGGGCAGATCATATGAGGTCAGGAGTTCAAGACTAGCCCGGCCAACCTGGTGAAAACCTGTCTCTACTAAAAATTAAAAAAAATTAGCCAGGTGTGGTGGCTCACGCCTGTAGTCCCAGCTACTTGAGAGGCTGAGACTTGAGAATTGCTTGAACTAGGGAGGCAGAGGTTGCAGTGAGTTGAGATCGCACCACTGCGCTCTAGCCTGGGCAACAGAGAAGACTTTGTCTCAAAAAAAAAAAAAAAAAAAAGTGAATTAAGTGTAAAAATGACCATCAAAACCTAGTGAGCTCCTATGCAATTTTGGCAGCATGCTGTCTCCCTTTTTAAAGTGTGTTTCCAAAATAGATTATGTACTTTATCTCTGGAAAGTGAATATATAACCTACATAACTCGTGAAAAAACTACCATATTACCCCTATAGAGTGTACTATGCTTATTACCTGGGTGGCAAAATAACCTGTATACCAAACCCCCATGACATGCGATTTACCTGTATAACAAACCTGCACATGTACCCCTGAATCTAAAATAAAGGTTAAAAAAAAATTCCTGGCCGGGTGCAGTGGCTCACGCCTGTAATCCCAATACTTTGTGAGGCCGAGAGGGGCGGATCACCTGAGGTCAGGAGTTCAAGTTCAGCCTACATGGCGAAACCCTGTCTCTATTAAAAATAATAAAAATTAGCCGGGCGTGGTGGCGGGCGCCTGTAATCCCAGCTACTCAGGAGTCTGAGGCAGGAGAATCGCTTGAACCCGGGAGGCGGAGGTTGCAGTGAGGCGAGATCGCGCCACTGCACTCCAGCCTGGGTGACGAGAGTGAAACTCCATCTCAAAAAAAAAAAGAAAAAAGAAACAAAAATCCTTAGAGCATGCTAATAATATGCAGAAAGGCACAGTGGAAGATATATTTTAATGGTGATACAAGTCTTCATTTGGAATGTCTTATAATACAGACTGTTAACTCAAAAAAAGTAGTCACTCAGGAAGTTTATAGTGGAATCTAGATCAAATTGAAGTGTTTTCAGTTAGAACACAGTAACGCTATGTATTCATCCTCTCTTTCCTTAGTATAGGTTTTTAACTTTTAAGATTATTCACAGTGTAAAAATTTGTTTTAAGATAATTCTTTAATTCAGAGCATAAACCTCTACTCACAGAAGTATCTTTTTGCAGAGGCAATTGGTTTGAAAGATGGTTAACATTTCTCTACTATAAGCTCTTTTGTCTTTGAGCAAGAGTAGTGGTGGTGCATTTCTTTATTAGAGACATGTAGGTTAAGTGATTAGAAGGCAGGAGTCATTGATTTGAAGAGCTGTTAACAGACCATATTTAACAATAGGGTCTGGGGTGAGGGTATGTATATGTTAGTGTTTTATGGACACTCCCTACCTGATTCTTTGTTTGGTTTACTTATGGCTGTTATGTTTGTGGTTACATATTATTTATATTTTAAGATACAAGTAGATAATTGTTCTTCCATGCCTAGTTCGATAGGATGCTAAGAAATGTGGCTTTCTACATCCTTTGATATATCTTTATCAATTAAACTTTAAAAGTGGGAAATAGAAGGGAAGTTGTCTCCTTTTTAAGGTACAGTGAAGAAAGAGAATCTTACTAGTAATCTATATCTGTGTGCTTTCACTTTTATCTTCTAGTGTAATATAAACTCAACTCCTAAAGACCCTGATTCAAGGAAAACACTATCAGTGCCTGTCTCTGAGGCCTGAATTTTCCAGGCCTCGGTCTTGGAATGTGGAGGAGATGAAAGAAAACAGACTTGAGAATATGCAAACATGAACCCAGACCTTTCCCAGAAGAACATCACCCAGAACTCCCACAGCTCCTAAATCTCACTTTAACATGTGTTTGATGCTTTATCTGAGTTTTGGGTCATCTTAAGGGAGTGCAGGTATTAGAAACTATTATATATAAGTAGAAAAGAGATGAAAATGCCTGCCTGGAAGATAACTATGATCCTTTTTCTCACTAGGGTGATTTTATGTTTATTTATGTACTTACATTTTAGAGATGGGGTCTTGTTCTGTCGCCCAGGCTGGAGTACAGTATCATAGTTCCCTTGAAGCCCCAAACTACTGGACTCAAGCAGCCCTCTCGCCTCAGCCTCCCAAATAACTGGGGGACTGTAGGCATATGCCACCATGCTCAGCTAATTAAAAAAAAATTTTTTTTTTTGGAGACCGGTCTTACTATGTTGCCCAGGTTGGTCTCAAACTCCTGGCCTCAAACGATGCCCCTGCCTTAGCCTCCTGAGTAGCTATGATTATAAGCAAGAGCTACTGTGACAAGTTAGACTAGAAAGGTATATTTGTGAGACTAGTCCTAAATAGTTTTAAACAGGGAGAAATTTAAGTTATAACTGTCTAAGAAAGACTTTAGATTGTTCTTTTTTTTTTTTTTTGAGATGGAGTCTCGCTCACTCTGTCACCCAGACTGGAGTGCAGTGGCGCAATCTTGGCTCACTGCAACCTCTGCCTCCTGGGTTCAAGCGACTCTCATGCCTCAGCCTCCCGAGTAGCTGGGATTACAGGCGCCTGCCACCACGCCCAGCTAATTTTTGTATTTTTAGTAGAGATGGGGTTTCACCATGTTGGCCAGGCTGGTCTGAAACTCCTGACCTCAGGTGATTGCCCGCTTTGGCCTCCCAAAGTGCTGGGATTGCAGGTGTGAGCCACCTTACCCGGCTGAGATTGTTCTTGAAATAGTGTTCTATTTTTTAAAAAATTGTTTTCTTTTTATATCCCTGAAAACTTATTCTGTCAAAATTTATATTTAGCCTATTAATTTTCAGTCCACTGATAATGTTCTTCACTCTGCCAACACACATGTGTGTGCACATACTCACACACTTGAAAAATTTTCTTCTTCCCTGTTTGAGGAAACTCTGGAAGGAATCAAGAGAAACCAGTAACATCTTGGGGAGGAGGAGTGCCTGTGTTATGGGGTGTGGGTAATAGGGGGCAGAGACTGGGGGGAACTGATGACCATATAGTTTTTAATATTACTAAAAAATTAAACCATTTGAATATATTACCTATATAAAACATTAAAATAAGGGGGTCCATGATTATTGCCTTAAGTAATATGTGTTCATTGTGGAGTAAGCGGATAATATAGGAAAGCACAAGGAAGAAAAAAAATCACTCGCAATTTCAACCAGCCGAGAGATAACATCTCTGTTACATTATTATTACAGATTATCTCTGTGAATGAAAATATGTATTTAATAGAAAATTGTATATCTTGACAAAACAATTTATAATGTCTAATAACCTGCCTTTTAAAATTTAACAATGTAAGTAATTTTTCAAATTCTTAAGTATTTGCTTTCATTATTTTTCGTGGATATATAGTGCTCTATTATATTAAAATGCTTTAACCAGTTCACTCTTGTTAGATACATAGGCTGTCCTAATTTTCTTTGATGAAATTTCTTGTAGGTAAATCTACACACATCCATAATGATTTCTAGGTGTAGAATTGCTGGGTTGAAGGCACATAGTTATTTTTGAGACATTATCTACTGTCTAGTCAGATTGCTTCCTGGAAGGGTTGTGCTCATTTGCACTCACTATGGTGGATGAGAGGCTACATGAAATAGTGCCCAGGTGACCAGCCATGGAATATAGGACAACTCCCAGTTCCATGGTTTTGGGGAGAAAATCTGGGGCATGAAAACTAGTTTTTTCTCTTACTCAGTATGTGATTTGCATCAGGCTGTAGTAGGTATTTGTGTCAGTTAAGTCTGGAATATTTGGATATTGGATTTCTGGGCTGGACAGTGATGGATGAACTGTTTACTGCTGTAGGTTGAAGAATTTTCTACTGAAAGAAAATTGAATTGTTTTTTGCTACTGGCAGGCCTAGTGTTCTGTTAATGGAAGGATGCAGACCGGAGCTGTTCCTATTCGGCCATCTTGCCAGCCTAGATTGAAAGATTAAAGATTGCTAGATTGAAATAGGCTTAAAAGTAGATGTCCAACTGAATTTATTAAAAGATGAGAGATGGCACAGTAGCCCGCGCACTTGAAATCTCAAGAAAATATTGCATAGCATTTAAAAAATATTTGCTGAACATTTTATTTAAACATGGAAAGGTATTTTGCTGCCACACTGATAGTTCAGTGAATTGCACTTTTGGATCTTGGAGAATGGAGAGAAGCAGCTAGGCAAATAATTGGCAAGAAAAGTAAACAGTTACAGTGCAGCTTTGTTTACCCACTCTGCCTATCTGCGTTTCTGAAATTGGATTCCTTGGCTCTGTGAACTAGTTAGCCTTCCTTTAGAGTGCTTGGAATTGAAAGCATGTCAGAGAGAACACAGTCACGTATATCTTAGTTGGATGTGTGTGTCCTGTCACTGTTAGGACTTGGTGGCATAAAGGAATTAATAATGAGAAGTGAGCTGGGAATGGTTTATCAGTGGAAATATCTGGAATAGGTTTTTAGGTCTATTTGTGTCATGGACATTTCGAAGTCTCATAGTCACAATGTTAACATTTTTTATTTGTGGAACAAAGACTTCTTTATTTAATAGATAGAACCTTGATTATGAGAAAGATCTAATTTTACTCTGAAGGTTCTTTTAAAGAGTACTACCTCTGAGGAGCATCTGTTTTGTAAAATTTGGGGGACATTGTTTCACCTAATTTTTGGTTATAATCTGCTAATAAATTTTACATTTTATTATAAGAATGAATCAGGCACTGGAATATGGGGATACTTTTTTCTCTAATTTTAACAGTTTTGCAAGAGTCATTTATTTGGGAAAAGTGAGGGAAATAAGGGCAAAATTTAGCATGTCATCCTTGTTACTGAGGGAGCAGAGGAAGTGTTTTAAGAAGTCACATGATGGCTGGCAAGATGGCCGAATAGGAACAGCTCCGGTCTGCAGCTGCCAGTGAGATCAACGTGGAAGGCGGGTGATTTCTGCATTTCCAACTGAGGTACCCAGCTCATCTCATTGGGGCTGGTTAGACAATGGGTGCAGCTCATGGAGGGCAAGCCGAAGCAGAGTAAGGCATCGCCTCATCCGGGAAGCACAAGGGGTCGGGGAACTCCCTCCCCTAGCCAAGAGAAGCCATGAGGGACTGTGCTGTGAGGAACGGTGCATTCCGGCCCAGATACTACGCTTTTCCCATGGTCTTCGCCACCTGCAGACCAGGAGATTCCCTCGGGTGCCTACGCCACAAGGGCCCTGGGTTTCAAGCACAAAACTGGGTGGCCGTTTGGGCAGGCAATGAGCTGGCTGCAGGAAGCCCAGGGGGCCAAGTGGTCTAGCTCAGTGGATCTCACTCCCATGGAGCCCAGCAAGCTAAGATCCACTAGCTTGAAATTCTTGCTGCCAGCACAGCAGTCTGAAGCCGACCTGGGACGCTCAGGCTTGGTGAGGGGAGGGGCGTCCGCCGTTACTGAGGCTTGAGTAGGCGGTTTTCCCCTCACAGTATAAACAAAGCCGCCAGGAAGTTCGGACTGGGCAGAGCCCATGTCATAATGACAGGATCAAATTCACACATATAATATTAACCTTAAATGTAAACGGGCTAAATGTCCCAATTAAAAGACACAGACTGGCAAGTTGGATAAAAAGTCAAGACACCTCGGTGTGCTGTATTTAGGAGACCCATCTCACGGACAAAGACACACGCAGGCTCAAAATAAAGGGAGGGAGGAATATTTACCAAGCAATTGGAACGTTAAAAAAAAAAGCAGGGGTTGGCCAGGCACAGTGGCTCACACTTGTAATCCCAGCACATTGGGAGGCCAAGGCGGGTGGTTCACCGGAGGCTGGGAGTTCGAGACCAGCCTGACCAACATGGAGTAACCCTGTCTCTACTAAAAATTCAAAAATTAGCCGGGTGAGGTTGCGCATGCCTGTAATCCCAGCTACTTGGGAGGCTGAGGCAAGAAAATCTCTTGAATCCAGGATGCAGAGACTGAGGTGAGCCAAGATCATGCCATTGCACTCCAGCCTGGGCAACAAGAGTGAAACTCTGTCTCAAAAAAAAAAAAAAAAAAAAAAAAAAAAAAAAAAAAAAAGCAGGGGTTGCAATCCTAGGCTCTGATAAAACAGACTTTAAACCAACAAAGATCAAAAAAGACAAAGAAGGGCATGGTAAAGGGATCAACGCAACAAGAAGAGCTAACCTAAATATATATGCACCCAAAATAGGAGCACCCAGATTCATAAAGCAAGTTCTTAGAGACCTACAAAGAGACTTAGACTCCCACACATTAATAGTGGGAGACTTTAACACCCCACTGTCAATATTAGAAAGATCAATGAGACAGAAAATTGACAAGGATATTTAGGACTTGAACTCAGCTCTGGACCAAGCAGACCTAATAGACATCTACAGAACTCTCCACCCCAGATCAGCAGAATATACATTCTTCTCATCACTACATCACACTTTAAAATTGACCACATAATTGGAAGTAAAACACTCCTCAGCAAATGTGAAAGAACAGAAGTCATAACAAACAGTCTCTCAGACCACAGTGCAATCAAATTAGAGCTCAGGATTAAAAAACTCACTCAGAATAGCACAACTACATGGGAACTGAACAACCTGGTCCTGAATGACTACTGGGTAAATAATGAAATTAAGGCAGAAATCAGTAAGTTCTTTGAAACCAATGAGATCAAAGACACAATATACCAGAATCTCTGGGACACAGCTAAGCAGTGTTTAGAGGGAAATTTATAGCACTAAATGCCCACAGGAGAAAGCAGGAAAGATCTAAAATCGACACCCTAACGTCACGATTAAAAGAACTAGAGAAGCAAGAGCAATCAAATTCAAAAGCTAGCAGAAGAAATAACTAACAACAGAGCAGAACTGAAGGAGATAGAAACATGAAAAACCCTTCAAAAAATCAATGAATCCAGGAGCTGATTTTTTGTAAAGAGCTCCTGAAGGAAGCTCTATTTTAACAAAATAGATAGACCACTAGCCAGGCTAATAAAGAAGAAAATAGAGAATAATCAAATAGACAATAAAAAATGATAAAATGGAAATCACCACTGATCCCACAGAAATACAAACTACCATCAGAAAATATTGTAAACACCTCTACACAAATAAACTAGAAAATTTAGAAGAAATGGATAAATTCCTGGACACATATACCCTCCCAAGACTAAACCAGGAAGAAGTCAAATCCTTGAATAGACCAACAACAAGTTCTGAAATTGAGGCAGTAATTAATAGCCTACCAATGAAAAAAAGCCCAGGACCAGACAGATTCACAGCCGAATTCTACCAGAGGTACAAAGAGGAGCTGGTACCATTCCTTCTGAAACTATTACAAACAATAGGAAAAGAGGGACGCCTCCCTAACTCATTTTATGAGGCCAGCATCATCCTGTTACCAAAACCTGGCAGAGACACAACAACAACAACAAAAGAAAATTTCAGGCCACTGTCCCTGATGAACATCAATGCGAAAATCCTCAATAAAATACCAGCAAACTGAATCCAGCGGCACATCAGAAAGCTCATCCACCACAATCAAATCAGCTTCATCCCTGGATTGCAAGGCTGGTTCAACATACGCAAATCAATAAACGTAATCCATCAGCTAAACAGAACCAATGACAAAAACCACATGATTATCTCAATAGATGCAGAAAAGGCCTTTGATAAAATTCAACAGCCCTTCATGTTAAAAACTCTCAATAAACTAGGTATTGATAGAAAACATCTCAAAATAATAAGAGCTATTTATGACAAACCCACAGCCAATATCATACTGAATGGGCAAAAGCTGGAAGCATTCCCTTTGAATACTGGCACAAAACAAGGATGCCGTCTCTCACCACTCCTATTCAGCATAGTATTGGAAGTTCTGGCCAGCGCAATCAGGCAAGAGAAAGAAATAAAGCATATTCATATGGGAAGAGAGGAAGTCAGATTGCCTCTGTTTGCAGATGACATGATTGTATATTTAGAAAACCCCATCATCTCAGCCCAAAATCTCCTTAAGCTGATAAGTAACTTCAGCAAAGTCTCAGGATACAAAGTCAATGTGCAAAAATCACAAGCATTCCTATACACCAATAACAGAGAGCCAAATCATGAGTGAACTCCCATTCACAATTGCTACAAAGAGAATAAAATACCTGGGAATACAACTCACAAGGGATGTGGAGGACCTCTTGAAGGAGAACTACAAACCACAGCTCAAGGAAGTAAGAGAGGACACAAACAAATGGAAAAACATTTCATGCTCATGGATAGGAAGAATCAATATCATGAAAATGGCCATACTGCTCAAAGTAATTTATAGATTCAGTGGTATCCCCATCAAGCTACCTGAAAAAGAGCCCGTATAGCCAAGACATTCCTAAGCAAAAAGAACGAAGCCGGAGGCATCACGCTACCTGACTTCAAACTATACTACAAGGCTACAGTAACCAAAACAACATGGTGCTGCTACTGAAACAGATATATAGACCTATGGAACAGAACAGAGGCGTCAGAATTAACAACACACATCCACAACCATCTTATCTTTGATAAACCTGACAAAAACAAGCAATAGGGAAAGGATTCCCTATTTAATAAATGGTGTTGGGAAAACTGGCTAGCCATATGCAGAAAACTGAACCTGGACCCTTCCTTACACCTTATACAGAAATTAACTCAAGATGGATTAAAGACTTAAACGTGTAAAACCTAAAACCATAAAAACCCTAGAAGAAAACCTAGGCAGTACCATGCAGGACATAGGCATGGGCAAAAACTTCAAACTAAAACACCAAAAGCAGTGGCCACAAAAGCCAGAATTGACAAATGGGATCTAATTAAACTAAAGAGCTTCTGCACAGTAAAAGAAACTATCATCAGAGCGAACAGGCAATGTACAAAATGTACAATGTACAGAAAATTTTTGCAATGTATCCATCTGGCAAAGAGCTAATATCCAGAATGTATAAGAAACTTAAACAAATTTTCCAGAAAAAAACAACCCCATCAAAAAGTGGGTGAAGGATATGAACAGACACTTCTCAAAAGCAGACATTTATATGGCCAGCAAACACATGAAAAAAAGCGCATCATCACTGGTTATTAGAGAAATGCAAATCAAAACCACAATGAGATACCATCTCACACCAGTTAGAATGGCCATTATTAAAAAGTCAGGAAACAACAGGTGCTGGAGAGGATGTGGAGAAATAGGAATGCTTTTTTTGGTGGGGGTGTAAATTGGTTCAACCATTGTGGAAGACAGTGTGGTGATTTCCTCAAAGATCTAGAACCAGAAATATCATTTGACCCAGCAATCCCATTACTGCGTATATACCCAAAGGATTATAAGTCATTCTACTATAAAGACACATGCACACATATGTTTATTGCAGCACTGTTCACAATAGCAAAGACTTGGAACCAACCCAAATGCCCATCAATGATAGACTGGATAAGGAAAATGTAGCACATATACACCATGGAATACTATGCAGCCATAAAATAGGATGAGTTCATGTCCTTTGCAGGGACATAGATGAAGCTGGAAACCATCATTCTTAGCAAACTAACACAGGAACAGAAAACCAAACACTGCATGTTCTTCCTCATAAGTGGGAGTTGAACAATGGTAACACATGGACACAGGGAGGGGAACATCACATACTGGCGCCTGTTGGGAGGGTGAGGGACTAGGGGAGGGATACCATTAGGAGAAATATCTAATGTAGATGATGTGTTGATGGGTGCAGCAAACCACCATGGCATGTGTATACTTACGTAACAAACCTGCACGTTCTGCACATGTATCCCAGAACTTAAAGTATTTAAAAAAAAAAAAAGTCATCTGTCAGGTTTTAGGTCGTTTTTGTTCACGTGTGTCATAAGCTTGCTATGGTGGATATTGGCTAGATACTCTTCCTTCTCACCTCTTTTCTCATTCACTTGGGTTTTTCTCTTGTGAAGTATTTCCTTGCGGTTATCAGTGTAGGCACAATGAAAAGTAACTTTTAGTAATTCATTCAAATTTTAAAGTTCTGTCATCTGCTTAACTAAATTTTTGTTTTTGTTTTTCAGCATTGGTTGGATGGTACAAAAAGCATCAAAAAGCAAGTAAAAAGTAAGTGCAGACAAAATTATTTGTGGGGGGGAAAGGAAATAGAATATATTAGAAATTCTGATTTCTAATAGGATGTAAGAAATCATGTTTCAGATGAGTTTTTTAGCATTTCCATTTTCTAGAAATTATTTTATTCTGATACACTGAGCTACTCCCCAAGTCATGTAGGCTTGATACTAATCTAGATTAAACTGCATTGGGGCTTAACTTTCCAGGAGAAAACCTTGCAGCTTGCAAATGGGATTGACTTTCCCCGAAATGCTTAATGGTTATTTTTTAATTAGTTGTGTTGGAATTTTCCTGTTTGGCATCTGCCCTAATATTGAAAGTATTTTGAGACTTTGTGATATTTTAAAATTAAGAAAAATGAAACAATTCACATAAAATGTTAGTGTCATTCAGAGAGAGAATACCATTGTTTATTCATTATCCAACTTGACTTTTTATCAGACTTATTAGGGCACCTCAACTCTTGTCTCAAAATAATGAGACCACTGAGATTATAGAAGTTAGTGAACTTGCTGAATTGTATTTGTGTGGGAAGATTCACCATGAGCAGTTAATAACATAGGCATTCTTCAGTGTAGCAGGTTTTCAGGGCTGTTAGGTTGCACAGTCAAGACTTTTATTTGATGCATTTGGCTCTGAACTGTTAGAATTAATCTATAGCTGTCTATTCTTGGGATGAGAGTTAATAGTAATATGATGGCTTGGTACATTAAAAAACAATCTAATTGAAGCCTATGATCTAACCTGCAATAATGCCATAAAAACCTCATCTTTTGTCTCACTTCAGTAGATTTTTGACCAGTTTTCTGGCTGAAAAGTATTATTTAAGTAGTTTATTTTATTAAAACCTTTTTTTTTTTTAAATGACAGTTGGTTCACCCTATTGTCTGCATCTTCGAGTTAAGTTTTATTCCTCAGAACCAAATAACCTTCGTGAGGAGCTAACCCGGTAAGAACACCATCTAGAATTGTGCCAGGGTTATTTTGATAGTTTTGAAAGACTGTCTTTATATTGTTTCCAATTTATAGCCAGCTAATAAAATGGATTCCTGTCCCCTGGTAACAAGACCTCAAATAATAGAATTTTATTCTGGGACGTGTTTTTTAAGTGTATGATTCTTTTCCTTTAGCATTTTCAAAATAAAGAGTTGGTTTCTTAGCATCCTCCAAAGGTGACTAGTGAGTTCTTTTTTTTAAGTATCACTCTCAACTCAGGAATGTTAACAGGATTCACATGTTTCAATACATTGCAATATTATATTTATTGATGTTGAAAATAATCTATCTTTGGCCACAGGGAGTTTATTCAAATTGGCGCCCAACTTTCTTTACTCATTGAAATGCCATTGATTAATGAAAAACATTAGATTCTGATTGGTTTGAATAGTTTTGAATAAACCTTATGTTGTATATACTTATTTTAATGTTATCCTGCCTCCTTTGTATTTATTCATGGTCTCTATTATAAATTCATTGCTCCATATACACATACTATTTATTAAATGAAAAAGTTGAGCTTTTGAGTTCCTTTAGAAGGGTTTCCTTTAGAACACCTTGACAATGAGATAGTAGCTATCATCTGTAGTTATATCCATGTCTGTATCCCTTCACATAACAAGTAGATGTCTCGCTCTGTCATCTAGGCTGGAGTGCAATGGCATGTTCTCAGTTCACCGCAACCTCTGTTCCCCCAGGTTCAAGCAGTTCTCATGCCTCAGCCTCCCAAATAGCTGGGATTACAGGCACGTGCTCACACCCCCAGCCAATTTGCGTATTTTAATAGAGACGGGGTTTCGCCATGTTGGCCAGGCTGGTCTTGAACTCCTGGCCTCAAGTGATCCACCCGCCTCGCCCTCCCAAAGTGCTAGGATTATAGGTGTGAGCCACTGCACCAGGCCTTTAATTAAGAATACTTCTAAGATCTAGTGTTAGATCAGTAGGGTGATTATAGTTTACAATTACGTATTTTACATTTCAGAATAGCTAGAAGAAAATAATTCAAATATTTCTAGCATAAAGAAGAGAAAAATATTTAAGGTGATGGATACCCCACGTATACTGACTTGATCCTTACAAATTATATGAATGTATTCAATTATTTCATGTATCCCCAAACTATGCACATCTTTTATACATTAATACAAGTAATTTTTAATGAAATAATACTTCTCAAGTTAGAAGTGTAAGATTTTTTTTCACAGTCGATTGTGCTGTTGGGTTAAATTTGTGCCTTTCATTTTTCTTAGGTATTTATTTGTTCTTCAGTTAAAACAAGATATTCTCAGTGGAAAGTGAGTATTAGTTATTTAAGGATAAATGCACATTTTCGTGAGTGGTTGAAAAATTATTTTGAAAATAAGTTTATAGTTGTAAAAAAGAAATGGTCAACATAAAACATGTATTATTTTCATTTGTCTTAAAATGAAGGTTATGAAATCAACTTGTCTAACAAACTTGTGTTTTGGTCTCAGATTAGACTGTCCCTTTGATACAGCAGTGCAATTGGCAGCTTATAATCTGCAAGGTAAGCAATTCTTATGTTGACTGTTAAGACTCAAGTATAATCTTTTTTGTGTGTGTTTTTAGTTAAAGAAGATTCTAATTATGTGCAAGAAAAGAAACAACACTGTTTTTGTATAAACTTGTATCAGGGTCCAACTCTGACTTTTACTTGTTTTAGAACATTGCCTTCTTTTTCTTCTCTTTCATGTAATTGCGCCCTTTCCACCTAAAGTGTTGAAACGTCATACTCTACCTGATAAGTCTGTAAATGCTAAGATTGGGCCTTCGGCTAACTTTTTCCTTAAAAGAAATGCAGTTATGTAGGAGTGAATTGTTGGTGAAGCCATATAGCTTAGCAGTCCTTTTGCTCCAAACCTACATTTTGTTCAGAAATAACCACAGATGAGTACATACATGTTTGTGCATTGTTCAGATTTTTCCCTGCTGCTTTCTCCCCCCGATTTTTTTTAGTTCCTTTCAGTTATTTCTTTAGGATTAATAATTTTAAAATTTTGGAAGACAGGGACTATATTTAGATTGGTATATGGGGTCATATTCAGTGTATATCAGTATATTCTTTTGTTTTGTTTTTTTTTGAGACAGGGTCTCACTCTTGTCCCCAGGCTAGAGGGCAGTTGCATGATTGTAGCTCTCTGAAGCCTTGAACTACTGGGCTCAAACGATCTTCCTGCCTGAGTAGCTGGGTCTACAGGCCATTAGGCCTGGCTAATTTTTGTACTTTTTTTTTTTTTTTTTTTTTTTTTTAGAGACGAGGTCTTGCTATGTTGCCTAGACTGGCCTGAAACCATCTTCCACCTCAGCCCTCCCAAAGTACTGTGACTATAAGCATGAACCACCACACCCAGCCTTAGTAATATTCTTAATAGATGCCAGTTAATTGTCTTTTAACGATTGCTAAATTTTTTCATTTATTCACTATAAGGTCAGAGGTATTTCTTTATGGAAGTCTAGAAAGCAGTTTTCAAAGGTTAAGTAAGCACTGAAGTGTGAATACATTAAGAGAAAGATATGTAATTAAAAATACACTACCAAAAATAAATATGAGATATATGTGTATGACTAATATGCCAGATTTACTTTTGGAGACTTGTCTGAGTATTATGAATTTTTGTAAGAAATTCCTAAGAATCTTTCTAATCTTAGCAGTTTTCATTAATGAAATGGTTTTTGAAGGATTTAGCAGGAAATACATATAACTTTTGAAACTTATGTTTATAGCTGAACTTGGTGACTATGATCTTGCTGAGCATAGTCCTGAACTTGTCTCAGAGTTCAGATTCGTGCCTATTCAGACTGAAGAGATGGAACTGGCTATTTTTGAGAAATGGAAGGAATACAGGTATCTGGCGTTTGACCATACTTTCTTTAAAATCACCACAACAGTTATTTCATATTCATTTTCTTCTGTTTCTATCCTTGGTATAGAATTTATTTTATATTTATTGTTACTTTAAAAATCATTGTTTTAAATTTCAGAGGTCAAACACCAGCACAGGCTGAAACCAATTATCTGAATAAAGCCAAATGGCTAGAAATGTATGGGGTTGATATGCATGTGGTCAAGGTAAGCATTGTGTTGTGATGCTTTTTTAAAAATTTATTCTTTGGAGGTTCGCAGTGACTGTGGAATTTTTCAGTATGAGGGAGGGCATGGAGTTTGCATAAGCTAGCACTGGGTACTTTGGATGTATGGTTAAAAAGTTTGAGATTAAATACCAAATGACTAGAATCTCACAGAAAGGTTCATTATAAGAAAGAAGAGAAGCAACCAACATCCCTAACAAGGTACTTGGTCCTTTTAAGCTGTTATTTTATTTTATTTTATTTTTTTGCTATAAAAAATTGTTTTAAGCTTTTGAGCCATTTGTTATCCTTTTTACTTCCTGTTATACGACTTACACTGAGTAGGCTCTGTTAAAATAATTCAGGATGCAAAGTTGAAGATTTATAGCTTAAAGACTTTGATAAACTTTAGAACAGCTTTGTAGTGATTTAAGTTATTTCTAGTTTAACTAGTAACATTTTTCCAGAAAGGCGGTTGTATTAGTTCATTCTCGCACTGCTATAAAGACATAAATTTATAAAGAGGTTCAATTGGCTCATGGTTTTGCAGGCTGTACAGGCTTCTCCCTCTCAGGAGGCCTCAGGAAACTTATAATCATTGGGCAACGTGAAGGGCAAACAGGCACATCTGTACATGGCTGGCAGGAGGGAGAGAGAGCAAAGAGGGAGGTGCTACACACTTTCAGACAACCAGATCTTGTGAGAACTCATTCACTATCATGAGAACAGCAAGGGGGAAGTCCGTCTCCATGATTCAGTCACCTCCCACCAGGCCCCTCCTCCAATACTGGGGATTACAATATGACACAAGATTTGGGTGTAGACATAGAGCCAAACCGTATCAGCAGTCTTTTCCAAAATACATGATTTAAGTGGTAAGTATAATATGGGAAGAATGTGGAAACAGCTTTGTTTGTAGTGGGAGTGTAACTACCCACTTTCAATGAAGATACACTTTAAAACTCTAGTGTTTCAATGACTAGAAATAAAAATATATGCATAAATTTTTCTGAGAATATTATTATGGATACTCTAATTGTTGAAAACATCTCATATATTAATATTAGCCTGTATATAATTAATACAATTCAATACAAAAATAAAATTTAAAAGTTGTGTCAATGTGAAACCTGTTTTGTACAAATAAAGCTAACACATTTTTCTCCCCTTAAATTAGGCTAGAGATGGGAATGACTATAGTTTGGGACTAACACCAACAGGAGTCCTTGTTTTTGAAGGAGATACCAAAATTGGCTTATTTTTTTGGTAAGCAAGAGTTATTGTCAAAGATACTTACTGTTGTTTTGGTTTTTAATGAGTAAATAAAGTTAATACATAAACAAGTTTGGAAATCAAATAGTTTTGAAAAACTTGTCAATGAAAGCAACTGTCTCCTGTCACACTATTACGCATCATTATTCCTACTCTCCAGAGGCAATTATTAAAACTCTTCTAGCTGTATTTCCCATTAGTTTCAAAGTATACCACAATCTATATCTTGATATAAATATTTATATTTTTATATGTATCAGATGTTCACATGGGCACTTTCTCCCTCCATGTAGTCATGTCATTGCTTTTAATATTTATTATTCCACAATCCCTTTACCCCCTATTGTGTAAGAGGAAGATACTAATATTTTTATCCCTTCTCTAAGCTGTGCTCCTTATACTGTTCCAGCTTTTATCGTTCATACTTTTAAATTACATTTATGTTTTACTTTTACATCAAGGATAGATTTTACTTGGATTTCTTGGCCATAATTGAGTCCATCAGATTTTGTCTGGTATTCTAAAAGCTGAGAATCAGGGTACTGTTTACAATAAGATGTCTCTATCAGAATAGTACAGAGCCTAGGTGTTTACTTTTGTACACTAGACAGGGACTGTTAGCGCAAAGACCTCTGGCATCAAACTCAAATTCTGACACATCCAGTTACTTTAAACATAGCCCACTACGTATATTTTTAGCCATTTCTGCTTTATATATCCCATGAAACTGCACCCTAACATCTACTGGCCATAGATAAGGCAAGCTCTGTAGATTAAAGGACCCCAAAACCACTGCTGCCTTTCTGAATTCTCTGACTCAGATCCCTCACACTTAACTGCTGAATGCCATCCCCTAGGCACTTAAGCCCCCTCTCAGGTTCCCCTCTTTACTGAGAGTTTCCTTGCCCTCCTCCCCATCTGGTGGTAGCCTTGCAGCTGCTGTCTCTGGAAGGTCACCTGCTATGAAGGACCACCCCTATCAGGCAACCCTTTCCAAACACTGCTCGATAAAGCCTGTTCTGTGGTACATTTTCTTGATCAGCTCGGAAGTCCTGGAACTCACAACTGGTATTACATTTCCTTTCTTTTTAGCTATTTGTTTTTGTTCTAGAGTTCTTGGCTTCCCCATCTCACATACCCCACACATCCCTTTAAATTACCTGCCTTTGTCTTCTCCTCAAGCTTTTTTAAGTTATCAAGGGTTACATTAAATGGTCCTTCTGTTCCCTGTGGAACTGTTTGCTGCACAGGTTGCTTTCCAGCTTTTATCTTGAGACTTCCCTTTCCTGTGTTCTCAGCTAGGGTCCTGCGTGGTCCTCCCATGGTTTCCTTTTTCTTTGTCCTCCCTGCCCCCGCTAACTGCCTAAGTAAAGAAAGTAACTGCCTAAGAAAAGTAATTTGTTTGAATGCTTAAATGCCTTAAAATGATTTTTTTGTCTTTTATTCTTTCTTGATAATTAGGCTGAGGATAGAATTTTAGGTTGAAAATTATTTCCCTCAAAAAATTGAAAGTAGTATTTCTTTTTTTTTTTTTATTATACTTTAAGTTCTAGGGTACATGTGCAAAGTGTGCAGGTTTGTTACGTATGTATACATGCGCCAAGTTGGTGTGCTGCACCGATTAACTCGTCATTTACATTAGGTATATCTCCTAATGCTATCCCTCCCCCTCCCCCAACCCCACGACAGGCCCCGGTGTGTGATGTTCCCCTTCCTGTGTCCAAGTGTTCTCATTGTTCAGTTCCCACCGACGACTGAGAACATGCGGTGTTTGGTTTTTTGTCCTTGCAATAGTTTGCTGAGAATGATGATTTCCAGCTTCATCCATGTCCCTACAAAGGATATGAACTCATCCTTTTTTATGGCTGCATAGTATTCCATGGTGTATATGTGCCACATTTTCTTAATCCAGTCTATCATTGATGGACATTGGGGTTGGTTCCAAGTCTTTGCTATTGTGAATAGTGCCGCAGTAAACATACGTGTGCATGTGTCTTTATAGCAGCATGATTTATAATCCTTTGGGTATATACCCAGTAATGGGATGGCTGGGTCAGATGGTATTTCTAGTTCTAGATCCTTGAGGAATCGCCACACTGTCTTCCATAATGGTTGCACTAGTTTACAGTCCCACCAACAGTGCAAAAGTGTTCCTGTGTCTCCACATTCTGTCCAGCACCTTCTGTTTCCTGACTTTTTAATGATGGCCATTCTAACTGGTGTGAGATGTATCTCATTGTGGTTTTGATTTGCATTTCTCTGATGGCCAGTGATGATGAGCATTTTTTCATGTGTCTGTTGGCTGCATAAATGTCTTCTTTTGCGAAATGTCTGTTCATATCCTTTGCCCACTTTTTGGTGGGGTTGTTTGTTTTTTTTTCTTGTAAATTTGTTTGAGTTCTTTGTAGATTCTAGATATTAGCACTTTGTCAGATGGGTAGATTGCAAAACTTTTCTCTCATTCTGTAGGTTGCCTGTTCACTCTGATGTAGTTTCTTTTGCTGTGCAGAAGCTCTTTAGTTTAATTAGATCCCATTTGTCAATTTTGGCTTTTGTTGCCATTGCTTTTGGTGTTTTAGACATGAAGTCTTTGCCCATGCCTATG
The DNA here is from genome assembly GCF_000001405.40 of Homo sapiens. NCBI lineage: Eukaryota > Metazoa > Chordata > Mammalia > Primates > Hominidae > Homo > Homo sapiens. Next base: position 120,081,193 of record NC_000002.12, read on the forward strand.
TCCTGAATGGTATTGCCTAGGTTTTCTTCTAGGGTTTTTATGGTTTTAGGTCTAACATTTAAGTCTTTAATCCATCTTGAATTGATTTTTGTATAAGGTGTAAGGAAGGGATCCAGTTTCAGCTTTCTACATACGGCTAGCCAGTTTTCCCGGCACCATTTATTAAATAGGGAATCCTTTCCCCATTTCTTGTTTTTGTCAGGTTTGTCAAAGATTGGATGGTTGTAGATGTGTGGTATTATTTCCGAGGGCTCTGTTCTGTTCCATTGGTCTATATCTCTGTTTTGGTACCAGTACCATGCTGTTTTGGTTACTGTAGCCTTGTAATATAGTTTGAAGTCAGGTAGCGTAATGCCTTCAGCTTTGTTCTTTTTGCTTAGGATTGTTTTGGCTATATGGGCTCTTTTTTGGTTCCGTATGAACTTTAAAGTAGTTTTTTCCAATTCTGTGAAGAAAGTCATTGTTAGCTTGATGGGGATGGCATTGAATCTATAAATTACCTTGGGCAGTATGGCTATTTTCATGATATTGATTCTTCCTATCCATGAGCATGGAATGTTCTTCCATTTGTTTGTGTCCTCTTTTATTTTGTTGAGCAGTGGTTTGTAGTCCTCCTTGAAGAGGTCCTTCACATCCCTTGTAAGTTGGATTCCTAGGTATTTTATTCTCTTTGAAGCAATTGTGAATGGGAGTTCACTCATGATTTGGCTCTCTGTTTGTCTGTTATTGGTGTATAAGAATGCTTGTGATTTTTGCACATTGATTTTGTATACTGAGACTTTGCTGAAGTTCCTTATCAGCTTAAGGAGATTTTGGGCTGAGATGATGGGGTTTTCTAAATATACAATCGTGTCATCTGTGAACAGGGACAGTTTGACTTCCTCTTTTCCTAATTGAATAGCCTTTATTTCTTTCTCCTGCCTGATTGCCCTGGCCAGAACTTCCAACACTATGTTGAATAGGAGTGGTGAGAGAGGGCATCCCTGTCTTGTGCCAGTTTTCAAAGGGAACGCTTCCAGTTTTTGCCCTTTCAGTATGATATTGGCTGTGGGTTTGTCATAAATAGCTCTTATTATTTTGAGATACATCCCATCAATACCTAATTTATTGAGAGTTTTTACCATGAAGGCTGTTGAATTTTATCAAAGGCTTTTTCTGCATCTATTGAGATAATCGTGGTTTTTGTCATTAGTTCTGTTTATATGCTGGATTACATTTATTGATTGGCATATGTTGAACCAGCCTTGCGTCCCAGGGATGAAGCCCACTTGATCTTGGGGGTAAGCTTTTTGATGTGCTCCTGGATTCGGTTTGCCAGTATTTTATTGAGGATTTTTGCATCGATGTTCATCAGGGATATTGGTCTAAAATTCTCTTTTTTTGTTGTGTCTCTGCCAGGCTTTGGTATAGGATGATGCTGGCCTCATAAAATGCGTTAGGGAAGATTCCCTCTTTTTCTATCAGTTAGAATAGTTTCAGAAGGAATGGTACCAGCTCCTCCTTGTACCTCTGGTAGAATTTGGCTATGAATCCATCTGGTCCTGGACTTTTTTTGGTTGGTAGACTATTAATTATTGCCTCAATTTTAGAGCCTGTTATTGGTCTATTCAGGGATTCAACTGCTTCCTGGTTTAGTCTTGGGAGGGTGTATGTGTCCAGGAATTTATCCGTCTATTCTAGATTTTTTGTTTATTTGCATAGAGGTGTTTATTGTATTCTCTGATGGTAGTTTGTATTTCTGTGGGATCGGTGGTAATATCCCCTTTATCATTTTTTATTGCTTCTATTTGATTCTTCTCTCTTGTCTTCTTTATTAGTCTTGCTAGCAGTCTATCAATTTTGTTGATCTTTTCAAAAAACAACCAGCTCCTGGATTGATTTTTTTGAAGGGTTTTTTGTGTCTCTATCTCCTTCAGTTCTGCTGTGATCTTAGTTATTTCCTGCCTTCTGCTAGCTTTTGAATGTGTTTGCCCTTGCTTCTCTAGTTCTTTTAATTGTGATGTTAGGGTGTCAGTTTTAGATCTTTCCTGCTTTCTCTTGTGGACATTTAGTGCTATAAATTTCCCCCTACACACTGCTTTAAATGTGTCCCAGAGATTGTGGTATGTTGTGTCTTTGTTCTCATTGGTTTCAAAGAACATCTTTATTTCTGCCTTCATTTCATTATGTACCCAGTAGTCATTCAGGAGCAAGTTGTTCATTTTCCATGTAGTTGAGTGGTTTTGAGTGTTTCTTAATCCTGAGTTCTAGTTTGATAGCACTGTGGTCTGAGAGACAGTTTGTTATAATTTCTGTTCTTTTACATTTGCTGAGGAGTGTTTTACTTCCAACTATGTGGTCAGTTTTGGAATAAGTGCAATGTGGTGCTGAGAAGAATGTATATTCTGCTGATTTGGGGTGGAGAGTTCTGTAGATGTCTTATTAGTTCCGCTTGATGCAGAGCTGAGTTCAATTCCTGGATATCCTTGTTAACTTTCTGTCTCGATCTGTCTAATGTTGACAGTGGGGTGTTAAAGTCTCCCACATTATTGTGTGGGAGTCTGAGTCTCTTTGTAGGTCTCTAAGCACTTGCTTTATGAATCTGGGTGCTCCTGTATTGGGTGCACATATATTTAGGATAGTTAGCTCTTCTTGTTGAATTGATCTCTTTACCATTATGTAATGGCCTTCTTTGTCTCTTTTGATCTTTGTTGGTTTCAGGTCTGTTTTATCAGAGACTAGGATTGCAACCTCTGCCTTTTTTTGTTTTCCATTTGCTTGGTAGATCTTCCTCCATCCCTTTATTTTGAGCCTATGTGTGTCTCTGCACGTGAGATGGGTCTCCTGAATACAGCACACTGGTGGGTCTTGACTCTTTATCCAATTTGCCAGTCTGTGTCTTTTAATTGGAGCATTTAGCCCATTTACATTTAAGGTTAATATTGTCATATGTGAATTTGATCCTGTCATTTGATCCTGTCACAGCTAACATGCTGTGATGTTAGCTGGTTATTTTGCTCATTAGTTGATGCAGTTTCTTCCTAGCATCGATGGTCTTTACAATTTGGCATGGTTTTGCAGTGGCTGGTACCAGTTGTTCCTTTCCGTGTTTAGTGCATCCTTCAGGAGCTCTTGTAAGGCATGCCTCGTGGTGACAAAATCTCTCAGCATTTGCTTGTCTGTAAACTATTTTATTTCTCCTTCACTTATGAAGCTTAGTTTGGTTGGATGTGAAATTCTGGGTTGAAAATTCTTTTCTCTAAGAATGTTGAGTATTGGCCCCTAGTCTCTTCTGGCTTGTAGAGTTTCTGCCGAGAGATCTGCTGTTAGTCTGATGGGCTTCCCTTTGTGGGTAACCCGACCTTTCTCTCTGGCTGCCCTTAACATTTTTTCCTTCATTTCCACTTTGGTGAATCTGACAATCATGTGTCTTGGAGTTGCTCTTCTGGAGGAGTATCTTTGTGGTGTTCTCTGTATTTCCTGAATTTGAATGTTGGCCTGCCTCGCTAAGTTGGGGAAGTTCTCCTGGATAATATCCTGCAGAGTGTTTTCCAACTTGGTTCCATTCTCCCCTTGACTTTCAGGTACACCAATCAGACGTAGATTTGGTCTCTTTACGTAGTCCCATATTTCTTGGAGGCTTTGTTCGTTCCTTTTTACTCTTTTTTTCTCTAAACTTCTCTTCTGACTTCATTTCATTCATTTGATCTTCAATCACTGATACCCTTTCTTCCAGTTGATCAAATCAGCTACTGAAGCTTGTGCATGCATCACGTCGTTCTCATGCCATGGTTTTCAGCTCCATCAGGTCATTTAAGGACTTGTCTACACTAGTTATTCTAGTTAGCCGTTTGTCTAATCTTTTTTCAAGGTTTTTAGCTTCTTTGTGATGGGTTCGAACTTCCTCCTTTAGCTCAGAGAAGTTTGATCATCTGAAGCCTTCTCTCAACTCGTCAAAGTGATTCTCCGTCCAGCTTTGTTCCATTGCTGGCGAGGAGCTATGTTCCTTTGGAGGGGAGAGGCGCTCTGATTTTTAGAATTTTCAGCTTTTCTGCTCTGTTTTTTCCCCGTCTTTGTGGTTTTATCTACCTTTGGTCTTTGATGATGGTGATGTACGGATGGGGTTTCGATGCGGATGTCCTTTCTGTTTGTTAGTTTTCCTTCCAACAGCTGCAGGTCTGTTGGAGTTTGCTGGAGGTCCACTCCAGACCCTGTTTGCCTGGGTATCACCAGTGGAGGCTGCAGAACAGCGAATATTGCTGAACAGCAAATGTTGCTGCCTGATTGTTCCTCTTGAAGCTTCGTCTCAGAGGGGTACCCAGCCGTGTGAGATGTCAGTGTGCCACTACTGGAGGGTGCCTCCCAGTTAGGCTACTTGGGGGTCAGGGACCCACTTGAGGAGGCAGTCTGTCCGTTCTCAGATCTCAAACTCCGTGCTGAGAGAACCACTGCTCTCGAAGGTAGTATTTCATTTAGTTTTGCATCTGGGTGTTCTTGCTAGGGACTCTCTGAGAGACTTGAGTTGAACACCTTTACGGTTGTCCCTTGATGCGTGAAGAACCTCAGGCAATTATCTTCCAATTTTTTGGGTGTTAAATCCCCTCATACCTCCAGCTTGTCCTGTGGGCAAATGTAACATGCTTCCTGGCCTAAGAATGCTTTAGGCAGAGAGATAAAGAAAGCTCCTTTTCTGCCTTTTTATAAGGTTGTCTTGAGAGTTAATTAATACTTGTAAAGCACTTAGAAGAATACTTAGGGCAGACCAGGTGGCTCACTCCTGTAATCCCCACCAAGGCAGGGGCTCACCTGAGGTCAGGAGTTCAAGACCAGCCTGGCCAACATGGTGAAAACCTGTCTCTACTAAAAATACTAAGATTAGCCAGGCATAGCATGGTGGCACGCACCTGTAATCCCAGCTACTCTGGAGGCTGAGGCAGGAGAATTGCTTGAACCTGGGAGGTGGAGGTTGTAGTGAGCCAAGATCACGCCACTGCACTCCAGCCTTTGTGACAGAGTGAGATTCTGTTTCCTTTCTTTTTCCTGCTATTATTTCTTCATTATTGTTTTAGTAAAGCTCTTGTAAAGTTATGTTTTACATCTATTTTATATGTTATATTTAAAGATTAGTCAATCGGAGTGTCACATTGTTTCGACATTCACAATTTATGGAAATACAGAGTTCAAATGTGTGGTAGGTGGTTTGGAATTTACAAGTAGGGAGATACAGTTGGAAAGCGGGCCATAAAGCGAGGTTAAAAAAATTAAGAAGTATTTCCTCTACCCAAAATTCCTGTTGAAAACAGAGTTGAGGCTGGTTGCAGTGGCTCACGTCTGAATTCCAACACTTTGGGAGACCAGGGTATGCGGATCACTTGAGCCCAGGAATTTGAGACCAGCCTGGGCAACGTAGCGAGATGCCGTCTCTACAAAGAATACAAAAATTAGCCTGGTGTGGTGTGGGAGTAAGGCTGAGGCAGGAGGATTACTGGAGCCTGGAAGTTCACGGCTGCAGTGAGCTGTGAACACACTACTGCAGTCCACCCTGTGTAATGGAGGGAGAACCTATCTCAAACAAACAAAAAGAGTTGAAAACCATCGTCAGTGTTTTTCTTTATGGCTGTTTTTTTTAAGCTTTATGGTCGTTCCTATGTCTAGTTCCTATGCTGCTGCTCTGCTTTAACACTGGAACAATTTTCCCTAGACCTAAAGAATCTCTTACACCATAATCGAGACCTATCAAATACATAGATTTCATTTTCCTTAACATTTTTAATGTCTGATATGTGCAACCTCAATTTTGTCTGAGATTTGCTTTTGAAATATGTACTGTGTTTTTCTGTTTCCTGTCTTTTGATGGGCATTGCAAGTTACGTTTACCGTCCTGTCAATTTTTAGTTCAGGAGTTAGATGGTTAAATGTATTTGAAATAAAAACAATTTTTTTCATATTTAGAGAACATTTGTTTGTAATTTGGCTTTTATTCTCTTATTATATTATAGGCCGAAGATAACCAGATTGGATTTTAAGAAGAATAAATTAACCTTGGTGGTTGTAGAAGATGATGATCAGGTAGGAATAAAATTATATTCTATTACTTGTGTAACAGTGACTGTATTATGTGGTAACTTATTTCTCTAAAAGAGGGAATGTACCTCATTGTTTTAAAGAGCCACAGAATGCAAACAGTATAATTAATGCTTTAAATAATTTCCTTACTTGGGTCATACCATGCTAAAAATATGGTTTTCTGCCCTTAGGATGAAAAATAATATAAAAGTGTCTTCTTGTTTCCTCATTGATCGTATATCTGAGGTGTATAAAAAATTACATTTAAGTGAGCCAGCCAGTCACCCAGGCTGGAGGGCAGTGGCACTGTCATAGCTCACTGTAACCTTCACCTTCTGGGCTCAAGTGATCCTCCTGCTCACTCAGCCTCCTGAGTAGCTGGGACTGCAGGCACATGCCACCACCACGCCTGGCTGATTTTTTCATTTATTTGTAGAGATGGGATCTCAGTATGTTGCCAAGGTTGCTCTCAAACTCTTGGCCTTAAGTAATCCTCCCATCTTAGCTTCTCAGCATGTTGAGATTACAGGAGTAAACCATTGTGGCAGACCAACTTTATCTCTTTATTAACTGATCAAAAAGATCTACCTAATAATAATAAAGCCTTTTGAATTAAAGATTACCTTTGTATCAGTTACAGTGTGGTTCTTAATTGATACATGCTTGGATGCAACTCACATGCATTGTTCTTAATGCAAGAAGCCAGATTTAAAAAATTATGTATTGAATGACTCCATTTATCTGATACTTTAGAAAAGGCAAGAAGAATTTTACTTTATGCAAATTAATAAATTTTAACATATGCATACAGATACAGATAAAAGCAGTTTGAGCAAAATGTTAACAGTTGTTGAGTCTAGACACTATGTATATGGGTATTCAGTTTTTCTGTATGTTTAAACATTTTTATAACGATGAAAATTTTTTTTTTGAATCCAGTTCTTTCATTTTCCTCTGCTCAGTAATTTGACTGCTATACTTTTCCTGTTTTAAACACACAATGGGATACTATGCAGCCATAAAAAAGAATGAGATCTTTTTTGCGGGACCATGGATGGAGCTGGAGGATATTATCCTTAGCAAAGTAATGCAAGAAGAGAAAACCAAATACTACATGCTCTTACTTACAAGTGGGAGCTAAATGATAAGAACTTATGAACACAAAGAAGGCAACAGCGGACACTGGGATCTACTTGAGTGGGGAGGGTGGGAAGAGGGAGAAGAGTAGAAAAGATAACTAACTGAAAGATAACTGGACTTAATACCTGGGTGATGAAATAACATGTGCAATAAACCACCATGACACGTGTTTACCTATGTAACAAACCTTCTCTTGTACCCCAAACCCAAAATAAAAGTTAAAAAATAAAAAAGAGTGCTGCTCTGAACACTAAGGTGTATGTATATTTAGCTTTTGTAGGTACTGCCAAACCTCTTTCCAAAGTATTTAATACGAGTTTATACTCCCACCAGCAATGTTATTGGTGTTTTTTTTCTTTTTTGCTAATGTTTGGAATTCTGTCTTTTTCATTGTAGCCATTCTTGTGGAGTAGAATGTGGTTTTAGTTTGTGTTCCCCTAATGACAACTCTGGTTTAGTACTTATCTGTGTAGTTATTGGATATGTGGATATCTTCTTTATGAAATGCCTACTCAAATCTTTTGCTTATTTTTCTATTAGGTCATGTGCCTTTTAGTCATTGAAAAAATTCTTTGTATGTTCTGGATATTAATTCTCTGTCAGATATTAGTGTTGCAAGTATCGTCTACTCCTTGTTTTGCCCTTTTTCCACCACTTTTATTTTTAGATGACATATAATAATTGTACATATTTATTGCATACAGAGTGATATTTTGATACATGTATACAATGTGTAATTATCAAATCAGGGTAATTAGCGTATCCATCTTTACTGTCTTAATAGTGTCTTTAAATAACCTGAAAAGTACCAAAAATTATAAAATAGATAACCATCTTATTAATGATCTAGATTTAACATTTTTTACATTTTGCTTCAGTTCTCTTTTAGAGAAAGATAAATACAATTATGTGCATGAATAAATAATACCAACTAAAGTCTAACCCCCTGACTACCTACCCCCTTTCTTCTGGTACCTGGTCACCAATTTTGGAGGGTATTATTCTCATATATATTTTGTAACTTTTTCCAAATATTAACTCATGTTAGAATTGTTTTAAAAACTTGCATAATTATATATATTTGCAGCTTGCCTGTTTTATCTAAACGTGTACCTATGTAGATCTAACATATATATATGCTATTGTGTAATATGAATAAACAATAGCACATTCATTCATTCATCATTTATTCATTTATCCCTCTGCATAATTTTTTACATATGCCTCTATTTACTTGACCATTTCTCTTTTTTTGGACGTTTAGGGTTTGTACCAAGTTTTACTATTATAAATGAGACTGAGGAAATATACATCTTCATATATAACTTTTGATGTTTAGGAAATAATTTTCCCCAGAGAGGCAGTATAACTTAGTTGTTAGAGGTGTATGTAGATTCTGGAGCAAGACTAATGTTTAAGTTCATTTCCGGTTTTCTTTCTTAATAGCTTTGTGATTTTGGGCTTAATTTCTTTGAGCCTCAGTTTCCTTATCTATGAAATGGGGCTAATGATAGTATCTACTCATTGAGATAATTTATGTGAAATCCTTAGAAAAATTTCTATATGAATGTTAACTATTATAATTAGACTCATGGCAGTGTGATTACTATGACAAAAATGTGAGCATTTTTAGGGCTGTTGATGCATACTGCCAGATCTGATATGATTCCTCAAATTATAATTATACAGTTATCCCAAATAATGGCAGATAAAATCTCATTTTATGTCTCTCTCACAAATGAGATCATGTAAGTAGAGGGGAATAACTCCTAGGAATAATTTTGTATTGGCTGATAAAATGAGCAACTTGATTTCAGCTCTGCCCTTATTATGTTGATACTATAAAGAGTGTCTGAATTTCAGGGAGCACACTAGATCCTTTATTCATGGATGTGTTTGTATCTCAGAAATAGGAGATAGGACTGTTTGAATTAGTAATCATCCTTTTATATATACTTTTCTTTTTCAGGGCAAAGAACAGGAACATACATTTGTCTTTAGACTGGATCATCCAAAAGCATGCAAACATTTATGGAAATGTGCTGTGGAGCATCATGCTTTCTTCCGCCTTCGAGGCCCCGTCCAAAAGAGTTCTCATCGATCAGGATTTATTCGACTAGGATCACGATTTAGATATAGGTTAATTTTAATTGCTGTTTTATCTGTCTTTCATTGCATACAGGCCAAAAAATTTAGGCCAATCTTCTCTTTTTTACAGATATGGTAACTAAGGTATAGAGGAATAAGGTGGTTTGCCAGAGTCTTCCATTGGCCAAAATAAAATAGAAAAAGTGGTATTGTTATTGGTTATAATTTCTTGAATAGATGCGTAAACAGTAATTGTATAATGGCTTTTATATCCCTCTGGATGTTTACTTTATATATTAACCCACTCCCAGTTTATCTATTTAACAAGAGTTTTATGGACTCTCCACCCACCACTGGATACCATATAGAAAAGGGTTTCTTGCACTGAATGGGATATTAGTCTGGATAACATTTGTGGTCCTTTATAAACCTGAAGGTCATTATTCTCATGACTCCTTGTTTGTTGTCATGAGTTAGAAATGTTTTGGTTTACTGCAGAGTGGATTATTGGTTGTGAGTTTTCTGCATGCCATGGAAATCAGTTAAAGAAGGAATGGATTGTACCAATAATGTGGCCAGTTGATTGTGTGGAGTTAATAGAAGTAGTACTGTAGTCTACTTATATTAAAAGTAAGGAGGCATTTTCTAAACAGAATTTAAATGGAAATCAAGGAGAATAAGACAGTAGTCTTAAAAAACATTTCTGGAAAATTATACTGAAAAGTGAATATCACAATTAGAAAAAGTAACTGAAAATATTCTTTTAATTACACACTTTGCACTGAGGAATGTAGATGGGAAAGAGAGGGAGTTTCCATAAAAGGACAGATATTTCAAACTTATTTAATGTGTACTTAGGTGATATGCATGCATATGAGAAAAATAAAACCAACATAATCTGTTGCATATTTCACAAAAGCCGAAAGAATGATATGGTAAAGAGAGAGATCGAGACTATTAGTAGCTGTTCCTGTGCGATGAAGTTTAGGATGATTCTTTTAAGGAGAACCTGAATGTGGACTGTCTTATTTGTGTGTGTTTATTACTGTAGACCTAAAATTTCCCTTACTTCTGTTATGCCTCATTTAGTGGGAAAACAGAGTATCAGACCACAAAAACCAATAAAGCAAGAAGATCAACATCCTTTGAAAGAAGGCCCAGCAAACGATATTCTAGACGAACTCTACAAATGAAAGGTGAAGTGCAACCCTCTTTCAAAGGATTATTTTTCCTTGGCAATTAATTATGTGCTGGTGTTGTTTCCATAAGAGGAAGTTACCTGAATCTCCTCCTCAGGTCTGTTCCAGTCAACTAAAGTACTTTTCTGGCAGAATCAATTTCATGGGATACACAGAGAAAAATTGCCTGTATTGTTAGCAGAGATTAAACTTTATGTTAATCCCAATTCAAATGATAGTCTGAGGTTATGTTCAGTTTTTGTATACAAAACTGTTTCTGTAGAGCAACATATTCTCTCCCTTTTTGACTTACAGATCTCATTCTAAAACATCCCTTAATCCCCTTAGGAATTTTTAAAAACATTTTTATTTATTTATTTATTTATTTATTTATTTATTTATTTTGAGATAGTCTCACTCTGTTGCTCAGGTTGGAGTGCAGTGGCATGATCTCAGCTCACTGCAACCTCCACCTCCCAGATTCAAGTGATTCTCATGTCTCAGCCACCTGAGTAGCTGGGATTACAGGCATGCGCCACCACTCCTGACTCATTTTTGTATTTTTAGTAGAGATGGGGTTTTGCCATGTTGGCTGGGCTGGTCTTGAACTCCTGACCTCAAGTGATCCACCCACCTTGGCCTCCCGAATCCTAAAAGGATTACAGGCATGCCTGGCCAAAACATTGTCTTGTGATGAATTTTTTTTAAGTAAAATTTATTTCATATTGTATTATAATATTAAGGATTGTATTAAATACCATTTTAAAATATATTCATCATTGTTATACATAGACATTTCCTAATTCATAATTGTTACTTGCTGATTAAGATCAGTTATATAAGAAAAAGCACTATTTACCTTGACAAATAAATTAAACCTTGTGTTTGGTTTTAAACTGAATTTGCATTAAAATGAATTTGCATTAAAATGCAAATTTAATTTTAAGTATTTCCACTGTCAGAGTCATCACCAGTTGTCCAAAAACAGCTGTAATGATCTGATGTTTGGCAGTATTGACTTTTTTATAAAAATGATTTATACTCATAAGTTTTGGTGTGGCTGTAAATTAAATATACAGCTATAAATGAATTGTGATGATTTTAAAACCCTAAGTTTCCTCTTGGTTTCCACTGATGATAATTCATAATCAGTCAGCTCACTCTGGAGGCTTACAGATTGGTTCTGTTTAAAAGGAGGAGATATATATGCATTGTATTGCTTTATTTGAAAAATGAAAATAATTGCCATTGTTGCCTCTATGGTGTGAATCCCAAAACACTTTGGTGAATTGAAGGTTTTTAGATTTATGGTTGGGGCCAAATGTGGTGGCTCACACCTTTAATCCCAGCACTTTGGGAGGCCAAGGTGGGAGGATTGCTTGAGCCCAAAAGCTCAACTCTTAGGAGTTTGAGACCAGCCTGGGCAACAGTAGTGAGACCCACCCCTATCTCTACAAAATCATGAAAGACCCTTTCTCAAAGAAATAAATTTATGGTTGTGAAACATGGCTTGTAAAGCAATTAGTTAAAGTTTTGCTTTGAATAGTGCAGCAGTTTATCATGTAAGATGAAACTAATGAGGTGTTATCTTTTTTCTTCTGTTAGCATGTGCTACAAAACCTGAAGAACTTAGGTAAGTAATGTTTTGCAACTTAGGAATTGGTATAGAATTTGGGATTTATGTAGTTGCTATCATTAAACAAATATTTAAGACCTATCAAAATGTCAAGTTGTCCGTAAAGCACCAGGGATATGTCAGGGAATAAATGAACATGTAATGCCAGATAAAAGTGACATGATGAAAAATTAAAGCAGTTTAAGGAAGTAAAGAATGGGGTCGAGGCAGATGAGCCATTCATAAAGAGAATGACATACCTTTGTTATTGGCAAGTGGCTGAGGATCTTAAGATAAATTATGATCCTTATACATAAGAAGCACAAAGGAGAAAGGTTGATTTGCAAATAGGCAATTTTCTTCCTGGGATAAATCCCACTTGGTTGTGGTGTATAGACCTTCTTTATGTTATATGTTGCTGGATTTCATTAGCCTGGTATGTTTTTGGATTTGTGTGTCTATTCATCAGAAATATTGGCCTGTAGTTTTCTTATAATGTCATTGTCTGGTTTTTTATGTAGGGTGGGTAATACTGGCTTTACAAAATAAGTTTGTATATGTTCCCTCCTCATCTATTTCTTGGGAAGAATTTGTAAATAATGGGTATTAATTATTTAAATGTATGGTAGAATTCACCATTAAAGCCATCTTTCTCTTTATGTGAATCTTAAAAATTCTTATGAGAGATCTGTTCAGATTTTCTTTTCTTCTCTTTTTTTTTGTTGGGGTGGGGGTAGGGGACGTGCAGGGCCTAGCTCTTTCACCCAGGCTGCAGTACAGCAGCTTGAGCATGGCTTGGCTCACTGCAGCCTCTCCCTCCTAGGCTCAAGTGATCATCCCACCTCTGCCTCCCAAGTAGCTGGGACTACAGGCACTTGCCATCATGCATGGCTAATTTTTAAATTTTTTGTAGAGATGGGGCCTCCCTGTATTGCCCAGGCTGGTCTCAAACTCCTGGGCTCAAGCAATCCTCCTGCCTCTGCCTCCCGTCTTGCTGGGATTACAGGCGTGAGCCACAGCACCAGGCCCTCCCGGATTCTCTTTTTCTTCTTGATTCAGTTTGGGAGTTTGTATCTTTCTAGAGTTTTATCTCTTTTATCTGTGGTATCTAGTTTGTGGGGATACAGTTTGTATTCCCTTTTCCTTTGTATTTCTAAAAGTTCCATAGTAATATCTCCTCCTTCCTTTCTGATTTTTAGTATTTTGAGTTTTTTTTTTTCTTGCAAAAAAAAAAACTAGTCTAGCAAAAGGTTTGTCAATTTTGTTGACGTTTTCAAATAGAAAAGCTTTTGGTTTCATTGATTTTTCTGTTTTTCTGTTTCATTAATTTTTGCTCTATATTATTTTTTCCTTCCACTTTAGGTTTAGTTTGCTGTTTTTCTAGTATTTAAGGTGGAAGATTAGGTTATCTGAGATCTTTATTTTTTAACATTTAAAGATATTAAATTTCCTTTCAAGCACTGCTTTAATTCAATAAGTTTTGCTATGTTGTGTTCTTGTTTTTTGGTTACCTCAATTTATTTTCTAACTTGTGATTTCTTCTTTGACTTGTTTGATTACTTAGGAGTGTGTTGCTAAATTTCCTTGTATTTGTGAATGTCAAAATTTTATTTTTTTCTAATTTTATTCCATAATGGGTAGAGGACATACTTTGTATGATTTCAATCCCTTTAAACTTATTGAGACTTTTTTTATGGCCCCTCCATATGAGTCACCCAGGAAAATAGTTTATGTGTACTTAAGAAGAGTATATATTTTGCTGTTTCTGAGTGGAGTGTTTCATAGATGTCTGTTAGTTTATTGTGTTCAGATCTTCTGTTTCATTGTTCATCTTTTGCCTAGTTTTAATCCGTTATTGAGAGTGGAGTATTGTAGTCTACAACTATTGTCTATTTCTTCCTTCAGTTCTTTCTGTTTTTGTTTCATGTATGTTGTGGATTTGGGGTAGGTATGTATGTGTTGTTAATTGTTATATTATCCTGATGGACTGTTCCTTTTTATCTCTAGTAACTTTTGTTTTAAAGTTGATTTTATTTGATGTAAATATTGCCAGTCCAGTTTTCATATGGTTGCTTTTCCATGATATAACCTTTTCATCAAGTCTGGAAGTTTTTACCCATTATTTCTCTAGATATTCTTTATGCTGTCTTTCTCTTCTCCTTCTGGAATTCTCATTAACATGTAAGTTGTTACACTTGATGGTGTCCTACAGGTCTCTGAGTCTGTTCGCTTCTCTTTATACTTTTTTTTTTTTAGACTACATAATCTCACTTGACCTGTCCTCAAGCTTACTGATTTTTTTTTTTAAACCACTTAAATGTTTGTTTCACTGGCGAGAGTATCTACTTTTGTTTTCAAATTACCATTCTGAAGGTCTTGCTTCTGATGGCTCCATTAATTAAATTTAATTAATTAATTAATTTTTTTTGAGACGGAGTCTTGCTCTATCGCTCAGGTTGGAGTGCAGTGGCATGATCTTGGCTCACTGCAACCTCCGCCTCCCAGGTTCAAGCGATTCTCCTGCCTCAGCCTCCCAAGTAGCTGGGATTACAGGCACGCACCACCATGCCCACCTAATTTTTTGGATTTTTAGTAGAGACAGGATTTCACCATGTTGGCCAGGCTGGTTTCGAACTCTTGACCTCATGTGATCCGCCTGTCTCGGCCTCCCAAAGTGCTAGGATTACAGGTGTGAACCACCACGCCCAGCCGGCTCCATTAATTTTAATATTACTTATTACAATGAGGCTATATCTGTGGTCTCATATAATGCTTAATAATTGGTATGTATTAGAGTCTCCTAGAATGCCTGTTAAAGATAAGATTCAGACCATACCCACAAATCTAATTTATTTTTGAATTTGTCTGTACTCTTATATGGCAGTTGTCTCACTAGACTTTTTTCAAAAGAAGTTGGTTATTTTTGGATATTGAGTATCATCAGCCTCACCTTGAAATGTCCATTTTTTTTTCACTTTGAAAGCTGTTAAAGCCAGTCCGTGATTAGTGATTGACTATAATAGCACTCCGCTTTCTGAACAAGGACTCCCCTCAAGTTTCTTTAGCTGTCAATAGGCTGTTGAAAATAAATAAATAAATATAACAGGGAGGAAGTGAAATTTCTGTGAAACTCTCTCCGTGAGATTTTTATTAGGTAAAAAAACAACATTTTGTGCCTTTTCTGTGCTGTATACTTTTATTTTTCTTGGATTTATTTATAAGCTATGTTTTTCAGAAAAGTAGAGTAATGGCTGGGAGCAGTGGCTCATGCCTGTAATCCTAACACTTTGGGAGGCCAAGGCAGGCAGATCACCTGAGGTCAGGAGTTTGAGACCAGCCAGACCAACGTGGCAAGACCCCATCTCTACTAAAAATACAAAAATCAGCTGGGCGTGGTGGTGCGCGCCTGTAATCCCAGCTACTCTGGAGGCTGAGACAGGAGAATTGCTTTAACCCTGGAGTCGGAGGTTGCACTGAGCCGAGACTGCGCCACTGCACTCTAGCCCGGGTGATAGAGCAAGACTCCATCTCAAATAATAAAAAGAAAAAGAAAAATGGAGTAATGTTTGAGATTTTTCTGTACCTTTGAAGCTATTTTGTTTATTTAATGTATTATGTCTTGCTTTCCTGAAAAGGAGGCTGGGATATGGAATATTAGAGCTTAAAGTAAAAAGTGAGTACCTGCTAAAGTTAGCAGAAATGTAAACAAAGTATTCAGCAATGGTACGTAGTTGAAAAATTAAGGCTTTTATTTGCAAAATAGGAGGTTTTTCTTTAAGATGTTCTGAAACACATTTCTGGTAAAATATGAATATATATAGTGCCTGTTTTGGAATTATGATTAATTTAACTTTAATGGCTAAATGTTGGTGTCTCTTCATTAGTGATGCTTTTGACTCTGGAAAACATAGCAGAAATGGTATATTTAAGGAATGGTTTTTTTTTAGACTAAGCTTTTAGAAATGAGATGTAGTGGGGGACCCAACTCTCCTGAAGGTTATTGAGCACCACCCATCGCAGTGCTTGAGAAAACCTGAGCTCAGACTGGCATGTTGTATGCCCTTTCACTCTTGCCCTTCCATTTCTGTTTGTATGAACAGTTTTGCTCTATTGAACCATGGAAAACAGTACTGTTTGAAAAGGCACAACTATTTGACCTGAAAATCTTCTCGACCTTGTATTCTGCAGTTTTGTAAAATGCCCATTTGAATAACAGATTTTTTAATTGGCTAATGTCAGTCATTTTTCTTGTACTGTTTTGGCTCTTAACTATTCTTGTGAGTCATGAATACTATAAAGTATTTAAGAGGTGATGTTTTAAAGGATAGTTGACATTTCAATTACTAGTACTTCTTATACAGGCTTAATATGCAGTCTTGAAGACAGGAAAGAGGAAAAGAAAAAATGGTAGAGGAAATCAAATGAGTAGAAGGTATACTATGTAAAAGCAAAAATGGTCAGTTATTGTATGTAGTCCTTTAAAAAGGGAAGCTTGAACTAGGTTAGTAATGAGAAATAATTCAGTAATTCCTTCATATTCATGGAAGTGAAAGAATGTATATAATTATCAGAAAATAATGCTTTCTGTATTTCATACAATTTAAAACAGGAAGCTATGGTTCAATTAACATCACTTATAAATATTTTGTTCTCATGTTAATCTTATTGATCACCTACTAAAGTTATTTCTAGTTAAAGGAAAAGCTTCAGAGAATAACCAAGGAACTGTGGACTAGTAGGTCTAACTTCTGTACCAAGCAGGCTGGGTGAGATTTCATTAAGACTTAGGATCATGGGTATTCTAGGAAGAGCAACATGGTTAGTAAAAAGAAATTGTGCCTGATGGGTATAATCTTTAAAATTGCCATGGCAGTGGATCTGCACTAAATTGTTTGTTTTGTGTGTGTGTGTGTGTGTGTGTGTGTGTGTGTTTTGGTGGGGTGGGGTTTTGTTGTTGTTGTTGTTTTTTGAGACAGGGTCTTGCCCTGTCACCCAGGCTGCAATGCAGTGGCATCATCATGGCTCACTGTAGCCTCAACCTCCTGGGATCAGGCAGTCCTCCTGCCTCAGCCTCCAAAGTATCTGAGACTACTACAGGCACGCACCCTCACACGTAGCTATTTTTTAATTTTTTGTAGAGTTGGAGGTCTGGCTCTGTTGCCCAGGCTGGTCTCAAAGTCCTAGGCTCAGGCAGTCCTCCTGCCTCGGCCCCTGAGAGTGCTAGGATTACAGGCATGAGCCACCATGCCTCACCAATAGTATTTCTTTGAAAGGTATTTTGTTGTTGTTGTAATCACTGTTATTTGTATTTTGCTAATATTAACTCATTTAGTTGTTCTAACAGTCTCATGCAAATGAGCAACCCAAGGTGTACAGAATAGACCTAGTGACACAGCTTGGCTTTGAACCCAGACAGTGATAGTGCAAGTTATAGTGACTCAACTTGTAATTGATCTGTAGTTCTTAAAAAAATAGAATATAAAATATGTTCACTCTTCATTCCCCAGCGTTTTAGCAGGGCCTCTCTTCATTCTTAGGTTCTTAACTGGTTGGCTTTCATTATCAGGTAGCGGTTTTTTGCTCTCACCTTGTTAGAAAGGCTTCTGGATCCTCTATTCAGAGGTTGTGTTTGAGAGCTTTGCCTGTTTCCTCTTAGTAGAATGACATGTTGGCTGGTTATAAAATAATATTCTTGATTACTGCTATGGGAGGCCTTTGCCAACCTGATAATTGGTAGTGATTTACTTTTAAATCTGCTCGGGGTACCCGAAGTATTCTTTCCTTATCCTTGAAGTTGAGTGGCTGAACAATAGGGGATCGATTGCATTTCATTTTCTGTCTCATTTTCCTGAAACACAGTGCTGTCGTTAAATCTGTAAATTATTTTCTCACTTTCAAGGAATTTTTTTATATTTTTGAATTATTTTTTACATTAGTTGAATTTCTTACTTCAGGGATACCATTTATCCTTGTTTTAGAATGTCTGACATTAGGAAACTTTTTTTCTCATTTTGTTGTGAGTTATAGTTCATCTTTGAGTTTTTATTTTACTGAATTTTTTTTTCTGTTGTTCTGTAGTTTCTGGGTTTTTTTTTTTGTATTATAGGTTGAGGGTTTTTTCAAGTGCTTTTTGTGGGAATGGCGGGGTGGGGATGGGTACAAACTGAACTGAAAATTTTTTTTTTTTGAGATGGAGTCTCGCCCTGTCGCCCAGGCCGGAGTGCAGTGGCACGATCTCAGCTCACTGCAAGCTCCACCTCCTGGGTTCACGCCATTCTCCTGCCTCAGCCTCCCAAGTAGCTGGGACTACAGGTGCCCGCCACCACACCCAGCTAATTTTTTGTATTTTTAGTAGAGACAGGGTTTCACCGTGTTAGCCAGGATGGTCTCGATCTCCTGGCCTCGTGATCGCCCACCTCAGCCTCCCAAAGTGCTGGGATTACAGGCGTGAGCCACCATGCCTGGCCTAAACTGAAAATTTTAGAACGTGTTTATAAGTCATTTGGAGAGGAAGGTGTACACAGAGAAGTTTCAAACTTTCTAAACCTTTTATACTAAGGCCTTTTGAGTTATAAAACGCTGAGTTGTTGCCGACACTGGAAAATCTTGAGGGTAGGAATATACAAAAGAAGTGACAGATAAGTTTATGTGGGATTGTGTTGCTGTCTTTGTTAGGCCATCCTTGATAGCTGTTGTCCAATGAATAAACAGTTGTGAAGTATACCTCTAAAGCATGATTAAAATATAGGTGTATGGAAACATCAAATGAGCAACTATAGAAAAGCAAGTATTTGCCTATAAGAACAAATGTTTTCAGGTATCTGACATTCTTAGTTTTAGGTACTAGCAGTAGTTTTATTCTTTATTTGAAACAAAACGTTAATATCTTTAAAATAAATATTTTATTAGTGTATGTGTTATCTTACAAAATGAAGTCCTGAAATTTCATATAGGGTTTTTAATTGATTTTTTTTTCCCATTACAGTGTTCACAATAATGTTTCGACCCAAAGTAATGGCTCCCAACAGGTAAGACAATACTAAGCTTCTAAAACACTGGATCACCCGTTAATTATGGTAACAGTAGTAGTATTGATTGGATTTTCATAGTGGTGTATGTAACCCTGCACAAATTATGTGCATTTTCTTTTCCTTTTCCCTTAAGTGGTTCAGTAATAACTTCCGGTTATTTTATTCTCTAAGATTTTGTAAAGGAAACCGGTGCTCTATAAAACATTTTATGTCTCTGTGAATCCAAGAACATAATTTAACTGACTACTAATATTTCATTCATTAACTATCTCTAAGGTGTATATAAAATTCAAGCATTTGTATACATTTTAATTGTTGGCTTTGTAAATAGTACTCCATTTTAGTATTTGTTGGTGAAGAGA
Source organism: Homo sapiens (assembly GCF_000001405.40). Lineage (NCBI taxonomy): Eukaryota > Metazoa > Chordata > Mammalia > Primates > Hominidae > Homo > Homo sapiens. The sequence continues at coordinate 120,100,652 of NC_000002.12, forward strand.
TCTGTTATCGAGGCAAAATAGATAATTTTTATAATTTTTGTCCAAAGGCTTGGGGGATGAGATCTGCTCTGCCTGTGAGTCCTTCCATTTCCTCTGCTCCTGTGCCAGTGGAGATAGAGAATCTTCCACAGAGTCCTGGAACAGACCAGCATGACAGGAAATGGTTTGTTAATTCCTTAAACTAAAATAAAATATTGCCTAGTTAATTGTATTTGGAATTCCAAGTCATAATCTTAAAGTACTTTAAATATGATTGAAAGCAAATTATTCATATTTGTGAGCTGGAAAGCTTATTATTAAATAATCATATTGAGATGGGGAAAATAAGGATGTTGGTGATAAAGGGAGTGCAGTTGTCTAAATGAAGACCATCAGACAGCTGTCCTTACTTATTATTTATTTGAAACAAAACGTTAATACATTTAAAATAAATCTGCCCTTATTAGCTTGATGTGGTAGTGGTGGATGATTCTCTGCTGAAAAAGACAGTAGAATATTTTCCCAGGTCCGTAAGGAAAGTATATCCACTACGTGTTATTCCACACAACATGATGCTACTTTGAATGTGTTTTTCTCATTAAAGACGAAGGGTAAAGTCAGAAGCAAAACATGATTAAAATCTGATAAAGCATGAGATACCCTAAGGAGACTGAGAGAGAATCTGATGACAGGAAAAAGATACTTTAATTATTTAGACTTCCAGGTTCTTTTTTTAGATTAATAGTAAATATACAAATATGGATACTTTGTGTCTTATTGGAGTTAATCACTTGAGTTTATCCTTTCCCAAATAAATATATGTGGCTTGGTGGGGGCTCCTTGGGGATTATTTGATTCAGTGGTCATGTTGGGTGTATCACCTGTTCAAGTTATTTGTCTGTTTGTGAAATGAATTTTGATAATTCATAGGATTTTTCTCTTTTTCTCTTGCTCTTAGTTTGTTTAGTACCTGAAATCTAATGCATTTCTGTGGTGATCTCAAGGTTTTGGTCAGCTTTCTGTGCAGCCAGTTCTTCCTTCATGGTGGTGGCTCAACAGTGGTTGGTGATTGTTTTCAGTCTTTGCTATGTAATTATTTTTCACTGTTATTTTGGCTTAACTAACTGCAGGGTGCCTTGCTCTTGATACTTGGGTGTATTTTTATTTCAGTTCCAAATAACTTGTGATTAGTTTATAAGATTGAGTTCCCTTCTCCCCTGGCCCCATTTTCTCCTTTTTATTTTCTTTCTACATGGGTATGTGGTGGTGATACTTTGTGTATATTTGTGTGCATCTGGGGACACACTTAAAAGTGTAAAGAGTGAGGCTTATAAATGTCAAATTTATTTTTGAAAGTCATTTTTAGAAAGTTTCTTCAATTTCTTATGGAAAACACAGCTCCTGTAAGCAGTTATGTTTTATCTCATTGATGTTACCACCAAGTTCTGTTTGCAAGGAAAAATAGTATTGAGACTTCAGCTATAAAGGAAGTGTCTTTGCCTATTATGTTAATATGGAGTGAGGGTCTGATTAGTTGGGATACTATATTACGACACTGAATCTTTGAGTTTTTCCATATGAATAGGTACATATTTAAACCTGTTTGATTTGATTTGTTAGGTACTACTTGGTTTCTTTGATGCATCCTTTAGAAAGAGCATTGAATTTATTAAATTTTAAGGAAAATGAAAAATTTGGAGCTGTGTGTTCTCCTTTCTTTATGTGGTTGTGCTGAGACCTCCTTTGCTGAAATAGAGTAAAGTGATGCTCTTTATAACATAATAAGCCTCAGTGTAGGTCAACAAGGGCATGGAACTGAATATAGAGCTGGCATGTTTTGGAGATAATGGACTCTCCCGCCTTAATTTCATATGTGTTCTGCATTTCATTCTTTTTTCTGCATGCTTTGATTCTTGTTAATGCTTTCAAAAGAATATAAAGCAGTCCTCCTTTAGAAAGTGATAAATGGTTAAAATTTGGAAATGCTTCCTATGTTTGAACAATTGGGCAGAATAATGGACCATTCTATTGCTTGCAGGTAACTTTCAACCAATTTAATCTACACCTACTCCCTGTTCAAGTCTTCAGCATTTTTTTGCTGGTATCTTTTAAATGACACCATTATTAGAGCAAATGATTTGGCATATCAGTGGCTTAGAATAATCAAGTATTTAAAATTTCACTTTTTGAGAAACAATTCATGTATTGTAAACCCATAAATCATTTGTAAGCAACAACAGAAACAAAACTGAATAGTGTTTAGAAAACCTTGCATTGGTAGGGGAGAACATAAACCTAATTTAGTTTTCTAAATTTTTAGAGACCATAACTTGAGGGTTGTGATTTTTGTGAGCCAGGTCTGATGAACAAATTGTATTTCAGTTAAAAGAAAGATGATTTTGTTATTAAAAAAGCCTTCCAATTTTGTTTTGAAAAATTATTTTAGTTAATTTATTTTCAGTTTCCCTAAGGGATAAAGGTGAAGATTAATGTTTTGGTTGAGTTAGAAAGATAACACTTATTAAAAATGTATTTTTGCACATATTTTATATTTGGGGTGGCATTTTCCTTTGTAGTTATTTTAAATATATGCTGCCCTTTCTGCCATGTCACAAGACTTTGATTTGCTTTCTTTCTACTGGAGGACTCTGATCAGTTCTGACCAAGAACTGCATGTATGCATGTTTCACTCTTAGAATTCTATAGGCCTTTTCTATAGCACTGTGATAAAAGGTGCCTAATATGCTTACTAAACTACTTCTTGGAGAGGGTGTATCATCTCATCACATTATCTGTACCTGTTGAATTTCATTTTGAGGTCTTGTGAACTTTGATTATATAAGGAGCGATGATTCTCTATTGCTAATTGGGAACATTGATGTAAAATTACATGGCCTCTGAAGGTAGATTTTTTATTTTTAGTGCTCTTTCTGAATTTTGTTTCCTGCATTTCAGTTCTGTGAAATCCCATAATTTGAGGAAGAATTTTCACAGTTTTCCTTTTCCATATATGCTTTTGTCCTTATGTAGAGTTCTTTTTTCAAATATTTGAAGTTAAGTAGATTATGAATATTTTTTTCTTCTGATTAAAACCCCTAACAACATTTCTGCTTTTAATATTAGTAACAACATCAGGGACAGATACAGAGTGTCTTGCTTTCTGAGAAATTTCTTCTTTAATTCACTTAGCTGACTCAGATTACTTACATGTATTTCCATATTGGTATTTTTCATTACATGTAACTTTGTGGATTTCCCCCACTTTGTTATTCTTGAATGTTATCATTGCATGGAGTAGATGCTGGTAACTACTCATAGCAGCAGTGCATGCTAGTCACATTACCTTTCCCCTTTATTGTCTCTTACACATCCATTTTCTCCTATTCCTATTGACTAACTGTGCTCCCCTCCCACTCCCCAACCATCCAGGCTCTCTGCTGCCAGCGACTGCTGTCAACGTGGTGGAAACCAGTGGAACACAAGGGCCTTGCCCCCACCCCAGACCGCACATAGAAACTACACTGACTTTGTTCATGAGCACAATGTGAAGAATGCAGGAATCCGTCATGATGTTCATTTTCCTGGCCATACAGCCATGACTGAGATATGAGTGTTGAGCCTCTTAGGCTTTGGGACTCTTTGTCATGCAAGTTGATGGTATACATTATCTGGTGTTTATAAAGGATTAATCACATTAGGAGTATTTGGGAGAATTTACAGTGAGTCACTAGTTGTTCAGTGCTGTTTGTAATTGAATTCTTCCATGAAAGGGACAAGGAATCAAGGAAGCCATATAGCATCAATGATAATGACAAATGTTTGTGTTGAAAAGAGTGTGTATACCATTGTGGTTTTGGAAGAGTTTTCAGACCTTAGTATGTTCACACATCACCAGACTGTATCTCAGGAGAAGGTTTGTGTTTGTGAACAAGGTGCCCATTATTCCCCCACCACATGCCATCCAAAGAGATCGAGGTTAAAAGAATCAGACACACTAAAAACACAGTGGAAGCATGTCTAGGCATAATATATCAGCCTTTTGAGATATTTATTAAAAACTTGTTCTTATACACTATTTTAATATGTCTAAAGTGACACATACCTTAATTTAAGTGCCTAAGATTTTAATTAATATAATTTTTAATTACAAACACTTTTACTTTTTAATAAACACGAATATTTTAACTTACCAAAAGATTTAGAGATCACATTAATAATGTGGCTCATGTATAGAGAAATCTGAATGGTTAGTTTTGAATGGTTAACTGATTAACATTCAGTTATCATAACAGTTAACCAGTGGTTAACTGAATGGTTACATTACTACTGAATGGTTCTATAAAATGAAAAACATATTTACTTTGTCTTTTCATTTGACTGGCTTTTCTCTTTCATCTCATACACCTGACAGATTACCCAGGTTTGCAACAGTCTCATAATCTGATCCTGTATAACCTTTAAAATAAAATTCTGAAGCCAAAACCATATGATTTTTAGATTGTATTACTATTTTTGATCCTTTTTAAACTTTAGAATTTCAAGCTCCTTGGTTTAATTAATAGAAGTGAATTAGCTGGAAAAAGTCCATTTCTGATAGGAAAACATGTTAAGGGAAGCATTTCTTCTGTCTTTTTTTAGTTTTCTTTTATATTTTAGAAAAATTTTCAAATTTTTAAACTATGTACATAGAAATTTATAGATATTTTATATTTCGAAGAGTTTATAATGCTTCAAGATAATGAAGCTTCATTATAAACAGCTTAACTCATTTAATGCATCCTGCTCACATAGAGGTTGGTTTTATATCTCAAATCCTTCCTGCCAGACAAAGATTAAGGTTTCAGAGGGCTTAATACTGGACTATTGGTTTAATACTGAATGGTTGGTTGCAGTTTGTCCATAGAAGACCTAAATAAGCAGAACTGACTAATATTTAAAGAATGAAATTTGTAGGCAGGTTTCAATCTGAGTTTAGTATAATTATGTGTAAGAGGATGGCCACTCAAAGTATTTAGCACATCCTCTAAATATAAATAGATCTGTATCTTAAATAGCCCGGCTCCCACCTCTTTAAGCCCATCATCGTTTAGCAAGCTTAAAAATGGCCACTAATGTATGGCCCTTATAGTTGTTTTAGACTTTACATAGCTCAGATGATAATTGCTAAGTATTGTCATGGCTGATTTTTTTTCTTAAAAGAGAGGAATTTGGATTATAACATTTTAAGCACAGAAGCTCTGGGTTGTGCCATTCAAGAAAAGGTTTCATGGGTATGTATATCATTAAAAAAAGTACTGTTTCTATAGTAAAAACCAAAGAGGCACAATGAAGTTGTAAGATTTGACTTCACTCACTTTAAAATTATTCTTAATCTGCAGGACATGCTCATATAATGCCCCATATATATCTTAGCAGATTGTAATTGAAGAGTAAGATCTTCAGTTCATATTGAAAGTGGCCATTTCTGTATTTATAATTTGAGTTAATCAGTACTGTTACATTTAAGGGAAGATTCACCTCATGATTTTTCTTTTGTTGAAAACCTTGTTGTAAAGAATTGATTTGCGAATTCCTGATGAGAGAAACTGGATTGGAGGGGTGTTAGGGATGGAGGCAGCGATAGGGGTGAGGAAAGTAAAGGGCTAAGGCTGGATGGTAGTAAAATTAAACTTGTCTATTTTATAGAAGTTCCCATATGCTTCAGAATTTCATATCAAATATTGCAAATACTTGTTCTTTTTACTGATATTTGCAAGATGGATATATATGTTGTTTCCAGAGCTCTCAGGTATTTATAAGTAGCTCAACCTAAATTAAATAAATTGTCACCAACCTATTTACACTCTACATTTTATTATGCCTAAAGAGTCAGTGATGATAAATTCGGAATTAGAGAAGTAATAACCTCCAGAAGCACCTTACTGGGTCACCATCCTTTTGATCAAAGGGTGTCATCAGTACAGAACTTAAGTATTATGTCATTTAATTTACAGTGCTTTGGCTAATTTTATTTAACTTAATTAATTTAACATCTTGAATTAGGTTGGTTACATTTTGACTGTTTTTACAGTCAAGGAAACTTGTAGAAACACAGCAAAGCTAGTGACCTTCACACTTTCACGCATGAACATAAATGAGCTCATAAGATCATCGTCTCTTTTTGTTGCGTTTCAAAGGCGTTTACCTATCTTGGAGTAAGATCTAACATTTCTGACCTTGATAGGATAATCATAGATAACATACTTTTAAATGAATTTACAGAGAAAAATAAATTTTATTTGTCCTACTATGTGTATAATATGTCTGTTTTGAAAAGCACCTAGTATACAAACACTAATATTGTAATACCAGTATAATTCAAATCATCTTTTTTTTTTTGGAGGGGAGTTTATTTAAAGTGTTGGCCAAAAAATGTTATTTATAACACTTGGTTGGATCTTTTTTTAAAAATTTCTTTTCATTGTTGTTCACTGTTCAAAAGGTACATCGCCAGGTTGGATCTTTTTATTTACTAATGTAAACTGAACAAGTTTGAAGGTGGTTGTCCCCTATTAGTTCATCGTGCCCCAGTGGTGGGAGCTATAGTTGTTTGAGCCATGGTACTGTCTTTGGTCAGGGCACACTCTTCATTTCTAAACCATGGTTCATTGCTTTGAGAGGCTGTTATTTTAGTGTTAGTCTTTGAATATTGGTTTGAAAATATTACAGTTACTATTTTTTATGATTGGTATTAGGACTTATGGATTTGCTAAAACAAAATCATCTTGTCTCAATAACGTTTTCTCTCTTTCCCACCACATTCTTCCTTCCTGAATTTTAATATGTGTTATACCACATCATCAGTTATATCTTGCTTTCCAGGATTGTTGTGAATGCTTGTATGTGAGATGCTTTTACATAAGGGCTAGGATTTGGAGATAATTCTGCGGTGGGGAAACAACTTTCTCTCCTTCCTTCTCCATGCCAGCCTCTTCCCCTACCCCCATGTATAAAATGTGATTTGTCAGATCCTTTCTAGATACTATGAATCGTGGATTTAGATATGGTAGTCTTCCTCTAACCCCCTTTTGCAGAACATAAACATTTCTCATCCTCTGTTCATACAATTTTTTACTTTAGTCACATGAAAACATTGTGAGAATGGAATCTTGTTCCATTAACGTTAACCTTGGTGGTGTAGAAATTAGGACATGAAGCATGTCACTTTCAGTGTAAAATATGTCAAGGAACTTCATTTCTTTCATCAATTCCTGACAATTGCTAATGTAGTAATGCACTTTAGTTGCTTTGAGCACTTTGGGCTGGTGAGAAGGGAAATACATAGTGTCTTTGTTAAAAGAATGAGTGAAGAGAAGAGAAAATTTTAAAAGAAATTGGTGAAAGGAAAATAACTTTGGCTTTTTTATTGTTATTTTTATACTGAAGTAGACAAACAATTGTTCCTGTTCTTCCTGAAGGAATTGTTGTCACAATTTTATTATTATTAGATAATTACCTAAGCTTCTGTGTTACAAGCTGTGGCCTCAGTTCTAGGTGGTGGTGCTTGAGTGAACATTTTACATTTTGTTCCTGACAGCTGGCCAGCATTGTGTTTATATTGGCATGGAAAAGAGATATCTGATTCAGAGAACAGTGTTTTCCAAGGATTGTGACTGAAGACTTCCTTAATGGTGTAATAATGTACCTCCTCATAAAAACAGGTTTGACAGCTGTAGCTCATTTTTTGTTGTTGAAGGAAGTTTTATTTGTTTTGTTTTTAACTACTTTTAATAAAGAATTGAGATCCAGTGTATGATTAAGATTTGTAAGAAATTGCAGATTCCTTAATAAAGCTCGCATCTACAGACATGACTAATCATTGATAATAATAAATGCAAAATATTTTAAATTATTAGGGGTAGAGTTAAAAAATGAAAAATAAAAGGTTATGATAATAGGAAGATGATTGCTGGCTTGATTTACCTTGTGGAACTAGTTAGAGGAGTATTCAGATAAATTGTGGAAAACATTAGAGGATGCAAAATACCACTGGAATTTATACCCATTAACAGAGAAGAGTTTCTTATTACAAAACTGTATTTGTAGCCCCACCAATAGCTTCAGGAATTATTTAATTATAAACTGTAGAAGTTTGGAGATAAGACCTGTGTTTAATAACTCGCATTAAATCTTTCTGGGGACATCATCAGCAAAACTCTTGGATAATTAGAAAGACCTGGGAAGATTGGGTTCTCTGGAATATCCAGGTTATCACTTTGAAATTTCACAATCATGTTGGAATAATAACATTAAAATATTTGAGTAGTAAAGGCATTGAATATCAGTCTGAGTCATCCACATTTGGTAAGGAGGCCTGGGGCATTTGTTGCAGTGAAAGATTTCAGGAGTCTTGTATTGATATCTCTTTTTTTGATTCATCTTATTTGTTGGACACCTACCAGAGTACCTCATTGGGTCTTCTTTATACACAGCCACTTATCATTATGCCTTTCCACATACCCTTGAATTTCTTGACCCTCTTCCTGTTGTATGCATCTGGTTAAATCCAACTCTGTATACTCTGCATATAGCTGGTGAATGTGAAATACACACAAAATTTTTGAGTGGTCTTTAAATTTTGACCACTAAGCTCAAGTGAGCCTTCAATGCTCCCTGATACCATATTACATTTCCTTAATCTATTTGTTCTCCTACAATGCTGGGCTGACTTTCTCCTCTTACAAACCACTTCCTCCTCTTACAAACCACTTCCTCCCTTCCTACTCTGTTCTCAGCTGATGACCTTGCTTCCTACTTTATTGAAAACATAAGCAATCAGAAGAGGTCTTCTCTGTACTCCCACCATTTTATCAGTGAACTTACCTGCATTTGGGAATTTGTTCCTTGCTTTCCCTGCTGTTACTCTAGGTGAACCATCCATACTCTAAGGCCCAGGTCCTCACTAGTCATTTAGATCCTCACCTCAAGTTACTCAAGACCATCATTTGAGCAATCCTCCGTTTTGTTCTACTGCATCGGTTTTCCCTTTCTACTGAAGTATTCTCATCAGAACAAAAACTTCCTAAGATAGCTCACATCATTTAAAAAAGAACTCCCTTGAATCTACCTCTTTTGGCAATTCCTCCATTTTTTTGTTTCACAGGTAGCAAAACTGTTTGCTTTGTAAGAATTGTCTATACTTGCTATCTCTTCTTTCTCTTAATCTCTTGAACCCATTCTAATCAAACATTGTCCCTGACACAGAGGACTGGGTATGATTGTGCAGATTGCATACTGTACAAGAGTGCCACATTTAGGAGAATGATGTTCACATAATTTATGACAGTGATTTTCCAGCAGATGGCACTAAGTGTCTTGTTCCGAAAAGATTAGTGTATTTGACAATTTTGCAAATTGGATGTGTCTTTTCAGAGGAGCATTGTTTTAATCCATATAAAGGCTCTGCCTTGAGTTAATAGTGTTATGCTACTACTCCACCAAAATAGCTTTATTAGATCACAAATGACCTGCATATTTCTAATCCCACAGTCCATCTTTTAGTCAGCTTAATTAGCATTCAGAAATCGCTCACTTCACGAAATTGTCATCACCTAGCTTAGAGATGTCACTATTTTTTATTGTCTTCTAACCTCCCTTCTAACACGCCATTGTCTTCTAACAAGCCATTGTTTTTAATCCCCTTTGCTAATGCCTACTTATCTCTCCAACCCCTAAACTCTGTTTAAGGAACTTTCCCGTAACAATTTATTCCCTTTGTAATATCATCCAGCATTATGGTTTTAAATGCTATCTATACACACTGGCAATTTCTCAGTTTATATCATCACCCTGAACTTTTAAATTTCCACACTTACATATCCAACTGCCTATCTGACATCTCTACTTAGGCATCTAATATAGGCATCTCATTTTAAATATTCTTTATTTTGAGGTAATGTTCAGCTTACAGAACAGTTTCAGGGATAGTACAGAAATTCCCACACCCTCCTGCCCTACCTTCCCCTATTTTTTTTTTTTTTTTTTTGAGACCAAGTCTCACTCTTGCCGAGGCTGGAGTGCAATGATGCAATCTCTGCTTACTGCAGCCTCCGCCTCCTGGGTTTCAGCAATTCTCCAGCCTCAGCTTCCGGAGTAGCTGGGACTACAGGAGTGCGCCACCATGCCCAGCTAATTTTTGTATTTTTTAGTAGAAACGGGGCTTCACCATGTTGGCCAGGCTGGTCTCAAACCCCTGGCCTCAAATGATCCTGATCTGCCCGCCTTGGCCTCCCAAAGTGCTGGGATTACAGGTGTGAGCCACCGCTCCTGGCCCCCTGTTGTTAACACTCCACATACATTCCATAACTTGTACCAATGTTAATTTCTTAGATTTTGTTTGTTTCACAAAACCTAAGAAATTAACATTGGTACAATACCACAAACTAAACTGGACCTTACTCAGGTTTCACTAGTCTTTCCACAAATTTTCCAGGATCTGACCCGAGATCCCATGTTACATTTAGTCCCCTTCAGCCTGTGACAGCCATTCCATGTTTTTCATGGTTGGCCAGATGCCTTGTGGAATATTTCTTGATTTGGGTTTGTGTGGTATTTTCACATGATTAGTTTGAGGCCACGGATTTGGGAGAAAATACTGCAGAAGTGATATTGGGCATCCCGAATTTAATATGTTCAAAATTGGACAAATATATCTCCTGACCCCTGCAGTTTTTCCCATCTTTGTGGTTTTTGTAGCTTCGTAAGTGGCAGTTCTCTTTTTCGTGTTGCTAAGCGTGTCTTGGGCTCTACTTTAGACCTGCTGAATCAGAAACACTGGAAGTGAGGTCCAGCAATCTGTTTCACATGCCCTCCTGGAGATTCTGATGCATACTGAAGTTTGAGAAGCACTGACTTAGACCAGAGCACCTTATAGTCATCTTGACTCCTCTTTGTCTCACACTCCAGATTTCTTTCAGAATCAGTAAATTCTGTCAGTTCTGTCTTCAAAATGTATCCAGGTCTACTGCTTGTTACCATCTTTACTGCTCCCATCCTGTTTCCATTTGTTGTCAGCCCTGCCCTCTTACCTGGCCTCCTTGCCATTGCCCTTGCTCCTCTACTGTCTGGTACTCCTTTCAGCAGCTGTAGTGATAACAGCAGATCATGTCATTTCTCTGCTTACACCTGCCAGCGTCCTTGTCTCGGAGTAAAACCTCAGATCCTCACATTGATAGAAACATGCTTTTTCCTCCCTTTATCTTCTATCAATCCTGACCTTGCTTACATCCAAAGACTCATCTTCTTATACTTGCTCAAACATACCAAGCATGTTCTCTCAGGATCTTTGTACTTTTACTGCTTCCTGAGTATTCCTCCCTTCAATCTCTTATGGTTCATTCCGGCACCATCAGGTTTCTTATTGGAGAAGCCTTTCCTGACCACTCTGAAATAATCATGTTCCCCGCCCCCTGCCCAGTCTTCTTTTTATTTCCTGTCTGCCTTACCCTGCTTTATTTTTTCTCACTCCTTTCATCTTAGTATGTGTTTGTTTGTCCTCTCTATACAGATAGTCCCTTATGATGATTCTTAGGATTTTTCAACTTTATGATGGGTTTATGAGAGTATTAAGTGCATTTTTGACTTACGATGGGTTTCTCAGGACATAACCCTATTGGGTAAGTCAGAGTGTCCGTTTTTCAACAGAATGTACGCTCCGTTAAGGGAGAGCATTTATTTTGTTTCCTTCTGTATCCTCAGACACTCCATATATATTATTTGATTGAATCAATGAATACCAAGCATGTCTTGGCACATCTGGTGATGCAGAAATAGTCAAAATACTGTTCTTGGCTTCAAGAAATTTATACTCAAACTGTGGAGATAAACAGTTTTACAAATAACTGATAAAGTGCTAAATCCAGCAAGCAAGAAGAGTAGAAGTGGTTGAAGTTAAGAAGGCTTCTTGGCATTTGCATCAGGTTTCCAGTGAAACAGAAAGGAGCTTTGAATGGATAAATCATTACGGGCCCAGGGACCTATAGGAAAAGAAAATTCTAAAGTAGCTAAGTGCAAGGTGTAGTCCAGGAATGATGAATCAGGTTTGAGTAAAGAGTATAGAATTTATGGGAAGGTATCGTGATAATAATAGCTAATACTTGAGTGCTTCTGTGCCAGACATTGTTCTGGAGGTACAGCAGTAAGTATTCACTCTAGCAAAGCATCCTCATTTAATCCTTATGAGGATCTATAAGGTATTCAGGCTAGTGAAGAAATGAAGGCACAGAACAATGAGGCTGGGCTTCAAACTCAAGACAGCTTAGTCCTAGAACCCAGCCTTGGCTACTGTACTGCCTCCATAACTCTGTAAAGGTTGTTGGGGTCCAGATTGTAGAGAGTAAAAAGGAATGTAATAATTCTATTTTAGGGGGCAGTGTGAAGAATGAATTCCAATTGGTGGAAGACTGGATTGTATTATAAAAATATGCTGCCTCCATTCTATGTAATTGTTAAAGAATCAGGTCAGTTTTCATGTACTTTTACTAGAGGATATCAGTGACACTGTTGAGTTTAAAACTTAAGTGTCTGAGGTTTGTTCCCATTTTTGTGAAAGCAACCAAATCATGTATATATTAGTAAGTGCACGCACACATGCAAGAACCTAACTAGATAAACAGGCTTTCAGAAAATGGGAGTGAGGGTAACATTGCTTTTCTTAGCTATCATTCACAACTTTAACAATAAATTACTCCAAATTATGGAAGGAGACAAGGAAAACTGCTTCAGTTTACACAGGCAAGTGTCCATGAAAAGTAAGGAAATAGGTAGAAGAAAGAATGTCTTTACATATTTCTTTATACATTCTTGAGAGATGGATATGAACTAAGACATTACCAAAGCCACAGATTAATAATATTATGTGTAACTACGTTTAAAAAAATTTAAGTGTATAATTCAGTGGGTTTAGTTTATTCACAAAGGTGTACAACCATCACCACTATTTAATTCCGTAACATTTTTATCCCCAAAAGAAACCTCTTTCCTATTAGCAGTTACTATCAATTATTCCTTCCTACTAGCCCCTGGCAAACACTAATTTACTTTGTGTTTCTATAGATTTGCCCATTCTGGAAATTTCCTAAAAGTAGAATCATACAGTGGGTGTTCTTTTGTGTCTGACTTTCACTTGGTATGGTGTTTTCAAGGTCATCTGTTTTAGCATGTATTAGTACTTGATTCCTTTTAATGGCTTAATAATATTCCCTTGTATGATGCCCAGTGTTTTATTTATCCATTGTCAGTTGATAGATATTTGAATTTCTGCTTTTTGTGAATGATGCTATGAACATTGAGGTGTAGGTTTTGTATGAACATGTGTTCTCAATTGTCATGGTTATATCCATAGGAGTGAAATTATTGGGTCATATAGTAACTCTATTTTTAACATGTTGAGGAACTGCCAAATTGTTTTTCAGAGTGGCCACACCATGTGGGTTCCAGTTTTTCCACATCTTCACCAACACTTACTATTGCCTGTCTTTTTTATTATAGGCATCCTAGTTGTGAAGTAGTGTATTGTGGAGCTGGATGATGTTGGTATATTTTGATCTGCTTATTGACTTTTTGCTTATCTTCTTTAGAGAAGTATCTACAGACAGTTTCCAACTTAATGGCTTGACTTAAGAGTTTTCAACTTATGATGGTGTGAAACTGTTGTAATTTTGACATAATGTTGAAATTTGAATTTTGATCTTTTCCTGGGCTGTAATATGTGGTACATAAGATATTGAACACTTTGTTTAAAAATAGGCTTTGTGTTAGATGATTTTGTCAAACTGCAGGCTAATGTAAGTGTTCTGAGCACAGTTAATGTAGGCTCGGGTAAGCTATAATGCTCTGTAGGTTTGCTGTATTAAGTGCATTTTCAATTTACATTATCAGGATATAACCCCATCATCAGTTGAAGAGCACCTGCATTTCATTCTTTGCCCATTTAAAAAATCTGGTTATTTGTCCTTTTATTATTGAATTGTGAGAGTTCTTTATATATTTAAGATATAAGTCCATTAGCAGATACATACTTTTGAAAATTTTTTTATTCTGTGCAGTATGGTTGGTTTTGGAGAATGTTCCGTTTGTACTTGAGATGAATGTATATTCTGTTAGTGGAGCATTCTGTGTATGCCTGTTCAGTCTTTGGTTTATGATACTGTTCATCTTCTGTTTATTTATTGATCAGAAGATAAACTTATCTAGTTTTTCTGCTCATAAAGTGAAAGAACTATTGTTGTCTATCTCTAAACTTCTGATTTAGCTTTATGTGTTTGGGTACTCTGGTTTTAGTTATATGTATGTTTATAATTGTAATATTTTCTTGATGATTTTCCTTTTGTCATTGTAAAATGTCCTTCTTTGTCTTTAGCAACAATTTTTATCTTACAGTTTCTTTTGCTTGATGTTAGTATAGCCACTTCATCCCTTTTTTCGTTAGTGTTTGGATGGTACATTTTTTCCTTTTTATTTCAGTCTTTTTGTGTGTTAGAATCTGAAGTGTATCCCTTCTAGACAGCATACAGTTGGATCATGTTTTTTAATTCATTTTGCCAATCTCTGTCTTTTAATTGGACAGTTTAACATTTACATTCAGTGTACTTACTGATAAGGAAGGACTTATGCTGTTTCATTTGTTTCTGTATGTCATGTCTTTTTTTGTTTCTCACTTCTTCCATTACTGCCTTTTGTGTTAAGTAGATATGTTCTGGTGTACCATTTCAGTTCTTTTTTCTTTCTCTTACTATTTTATTTATTTGTTTTTTGAGACGGAGTCTCACTCTGTCACCCAGCCGGGAGTGCAGTGGCACGATCTCGGCTCACTGCAACCTCCACCTCCTGCCTCAGCCTCCTGAGTAGCTGGGATTACAGGTGTCCACCACCATGCCTGGCTAATTTTTATTTTTTTATTTTTAGTAGAGACGGGGTTTCACCATGTTGGTCAGGCTGGTCTCGAACTCCTGACCTTGTGATCCGCCTGCCTCGGCCTCCCAAAGTGCTGGAATTACAGACATGAGCCACCATGCCTGGCCCTCTCTATTTTAAAACATTGTTTTCTTAATGGTTACCCTGGGGATTATAATTAACATTTTATGTTATGTTGTGATCTGATGTTATGTGATATGTTATGTTGTGTTATGTTACGTTACGTTACGTTATGTTATTTTTCGAGACAAGAGTCTTGCACTGTCACCCAGGCTGGAGTGCAGTGGCACGATCTCAACTCACTGCAACCTCTGCCTCCGAGGTTCAGGCGATTCTCATACCTCATCCTCCTAAGTAGCTGGGATTATAGGAATGCACCACCACACTCAGCTAATTTTTTGTATTTTTAGTAGAGACAGGGTTTTGCCATGTTGGTCATGCTGGTCTTGAACTTCTGGCCTCAAGTGACCTGCCCGCCTCAGCCTCCCAAAGTGCTGGGATTACAGGTATGAGCCATACTGCCCAGCCTACAATTAACATTTTAATTTAAAACAATCTAGTTTGGATTATTTGGACATTAAATACCAATTTAATGTCAGTAGTACATGTAAACTTTGCTTCTATAGAGCTTTGTCTCCCACTTTGTGCTGTTTTTCTCTTACAGAATATGTCTCTGTGCATTGTATGCCCATCAACATAGATTTAAAATTTAGAAAAAACATTTTTCCAGTATTCTCATCATTTCATCCAGCTTTCACAATGATTCTGCAGTGCGCTTTCCTTTTCCTATATGATTGAAGGAGGTAATTGAGTCTTCTGCACCAATCTGGTTCTTAACCTCAAATTTAGGAAGATTAGGAAAAGCCTTATACTGGAAACTTAAACATGAAAATAATGTTTCTTGCCAAAAGAAGGAAAATTTTCTTAAAAGTAATGATGAATGGCGTTTTGTTTTTTGAGATAGGGTCTTGCTCTCTCTTCCAGTCTGGAGTGCAGTGGTTTGATCATGGCTCACTGCAGCCTCAATCTCCTAGACTCAAGTAATCTCACTTCAGCCTCCCAAGTAGCTAGGACTATAGGCACATGCTACCACACCTGGCTAATTTTTTTATTTTTTTTTATTTTTTGTAGAGATACAGTCTCCTCTGTTGCTCAGGCTAGTCTTGAACTCCTGAGCTCAAGTGATCCTCCCACCTCAGCCTCCCAAAGTGTTGGGATTATAGGCATGAGCCACTATATCTACCTAAATGTAGTAAGTCTTTATGCTACTACTGAAAAAAAGAATGAATGTCAAAATACACTAGTGTGTTTGTGAAAACAGTACCAACTGGGAATTTGCGTAATATAAAAATCCAAAAGGATTTTTCCATTTAAAGCTTCTACTAGAAAATAATAAAAACATCTTGGATGTTACCCTTGAAAATATTTTTCATTTGCCCTTAATTTTAAAAATTTATTGTGAAATAAATATATAGAGAAAAGTTTATAAAAAATACAGTTCCAGTTTGAGTATCTTTCTTCAGGTTAAGAAATAGAAATTACCACTTCTTTAGAAGTTCTTCTGGTCTCTTAATCCAAATTCATGCCAACACTCTAACTCCCAAGTGAGTTGCCAGGGTTCATTGCCTTCCCCAATGCCTTATTCCTATCTCCCTTCTTCCCTGCGAGAAACCTGGCTTCTATTTGGTTAATATGTGCTAAACAGTTTCAGAATTGCTATACCCATGCCACTGTCAACAACAAATCTAAGTGACATTTAGTATTTCTTCATGGTTCTCCTTTTTAGACAGAGTATATAGTTGAAGTATTGCACTTCAAATTTACTTGGATTAGTACCCTTTCCTCCTCAGTGTGATTATGGTATTTATTTGGTCGTAGATGAATTTTAATTTTTCTAGATATTGCCTGACTCTCCTTCATTGAGGATTCTGCATTTGACCAGCAGAGTATGAGAGTGCTTCTACCTCTCATAGCCTCACTGACAAAGGATCAAGAAAGACTGGGATTTTTGCCAATCTGAAAAACAATATATGGTATCTAAGTGTGTGTTTTTTTCCTTAGAGCTTTATCGAGGTACACTTGGTGCAATAAAGTGCATCTTTAAAGTGTTTTGAGTTTGGACACAGACCCGTGAAACCAACACCATAATCAAGATTCATGATGAATATGTTCCACGTAGTTTTCATTTAAATCCCTCTCAGTAGCATATTTGTATGTTTAAGAGCCATTTGCATTTTTTCCATAAATTGCTTGTTCCTCTCCCCCTGCCCCCTCCCCATTTTTAAACAAGGCTGTTGGCCTTTTTCTTCTCTACTTTTAAGAAGCTTTTTTGTGGATAATTGGGATATTAACTCTGTGTATTTAAGCTGCAAAAATATATTTTCAGTTTTTCACTGTTTACTTTTAGTATTTTTCTGTGCGAAAGTTTTAAAAGTTTTTATATAAGCAGATTGATCCGTTTTTTCTTTAATAGTTTCTGGAATTTAATAGAGTTTTCCTCACTGCTACATTTTAGAGGAATTCAGCTATCCTTGCCTCCAGCACTGTATGGGTTAATTTTCTTACATTTGAATCTCAGATCCATTTTGAAACTTGGTTTAAGATAGGAGTAATGAAATCTAATTTTGTTATTTTCCAGATGGCTTTCCAATTATGTCAACCTCACTTTTCAAGAAATTCATCATGGTGCTGAGGCAACTGTATGTCCACATAGAAAAGAATAAAATTGTACCCCCGTCTCAGACCTAAATTTATTTATTTATTTATTTTTTCTTTAACTTTTATTTTAAGCTCAGGGGTACATGTGCAGAACGTGCAGGTTTGTTTACATAGGTAAATGTGTGCCATGGTGTTTTGCTGCACAGATCATACCATCACCTGGGTATTAAGCCAGCATCCATTAGCTATTCTTCCTGATGCTTTCCCTCCCCCACACCCCCGACAGGCCCCAGTGTGTGTTGTTCCCCCTTCCTTGTGTCCGTGTGTTTGCATCATTCAGCTCCCAGTTGTAAGTGAGAACATGTTTGGTTTTCTGTTCCTACATTAGTTTAATGGCTTCCAGTTCTATCCATGTCCCTGCAAAGGACGTGATCTCATTCCTTTTTATGACTGCGTAGTATTCCATGGTGTAAATGTGCAACATTTTCTTTATCCAGTCTGTCATTTATGGGCATTTAGATTGATTCCATGTCTTAGGTGCATAGTGCTGTGATGGACATATGCATGCATGTATTTCTACAATGGAAAGATATTCTTTTGGGTATATGCCCAGTAATGGGATCAGTGGGTCAAATGGTATTTCTGCCTCTAGGTCTTTGAGGAATTGCCACACTGTCTTCCACAGTGGTTGAACTAATTTACATTCCCACCAACAGTGTAAAACATTCCTTTTTCTCCACAACCTCACCAGCATCTGTTGTTTTTTGACTTTTTAATAATAGCCTTTCTCCATGGTGTGAGATGGTATCTCATTGTGGTTTTGATTTGCATTTCTCTAATGATCAGTGATGTTGAGATTTTTTTTTTATGTTTGTTGGCCGCATGTATGTCTTTTGAAAAGTGTCTGTTCATGTCCTTTGCCCACTTTTTAATGTGCTTTTTTTCTTGTAAATTTGTTTAAGTTCCTTGTAGCCTCTGGATATTACCTTTGTCAGATAGATATATTGCAAAAATCTTCTCCCATTCTGTAAGTTGTCTGTTCATTCTGCTGACAGTTTTTTTTTGTTTGTCTTTGTTTTTGTTTTTTGTTTTTGCTGTACAGAAGCTCTTTAGTTTAATTAGATCCCATTTGTCAATTTTTGCTTTTGTTGCAGTTGCTTTTGGCATTTTCATCATGAAATCTTTGCCAATGCCTCTGTCGTGAATGGTATTGCCTTGATTTTCTTCTAGGGTTTTTATAGTTTTCGGTTTTACATTTGAGTCTTTAATCCATCTTGAGTTAATTTTTGTATATGGTATAAGGAAGGGGTCCAGTTTCAGTTTTCTGCCTATAGCTAGGCAGTTATCCCAGCACTATTTATGAAATATGGAGTCCTTTCTCCATTTCTTTCTCTTTTTTTTTAACACATGCCAAAGATTTATTTAGTTAATTAAAGAGAGAATCAGCAAGACGGTGTAACGTATCCAAAGGAGAATTTAAAAACATACATAAATATAGGCGATCAGAAAAACCTGCAATGAATTTACAAAGAGATGGAAACAAGTCAATATCCACAATTAGCATAATCAAATACGTGTCTATTTGAGACAATTAATTTGCATTTCTTTGGGCAAAAGCACTTGCATGATTTTCAGCTCAATATAATTTACATAATAAATTATATTAAGCTCAAAGACAATAAAAAGCTAAGAAAACTCAGTAGAGTATGCTAGATGAGTAAGCATTTTTAATTTTAAAATCTTTCATAATTTTTCCTCTAAGATTCCATCTACATGACTATTTGACCAGTTTAGAATACAAATAAATATGCTCCACTGTATTTATTGTAACCTCTCATCTTGGATTTTTGAGGAAAAGAAAAACTTCAATTGTCTGAGATGGATATGATAAAAATATGTGACAGGGTGGTGGGCCCAGTGGCTCACACCTGTAATCCCAGCACTTTGGGAGGCTGAGGTGGGTAGATCACCTGAAGTCAGCAGTTCGAGACCAGCCTGGCCAACATGGTGAAACCCCATCTCTACTGAAAATATAAATAAAACTAGCCAGGCGTAGTGGCACGTGGCTGTAGTCCCGGCTACATGGGAGGCTGAGACAGGAGAATCGCTTGAACTCAGGAGGCAGAGGTTGCAGTGAGCTCAGATTGTGCCACTGCACTCCAGCCTGGGTGACAGAGCGACACTCAATCTCAAAAAAAAAAAAAAAAAAGGAACAAGAACAAGAAAAAAGAAAAAAAAGCTGTGGGCAAGTAGAAGCAGTTACCAAAAGTTTGCTAAAATGGAACATACACCCTAGGATTGTTTAATTCTAATCACAATTGATGTGAACATAGACATGTAAACAGGTGCTTTTTTTAAAAAAAACCTCTCATTAATAAAATTAGTATAAAGAAAGAAAGAAACAGACCATCTAGGCTGTTACACCTGGAAGCTCAAAAAAACCCATAAAGGTCTTCATATGGTATTGTTTGTGGTTAAAGACTAAAATAATGAGGGGATTGAGAACTGTAAGTTTTGAAAAACTGCAAGGGAAATGGGAAAGAGACTGTTCCAGCTTTTTCTTCTTATTGCTTCTTCAATTAAAATTATTTTAGGCCAGGTACAGTGGCTCACGCCTGCAATCCCAGCACCCTGGGAGGCCGAGGCGGGCAGCTCACCTGAAGTCAGGAGCTCGAGACCAGCCCGGCCAACATGGCGAAACCCCGTCTCCACTAAAAATACAAAAAATTACCTGGGAGTGGTGGCCGGCACCTGCAATCCCAGCCACTGGTGAGGATAAGGCAGGAGAATCGCCCAAACCCAGGAGGCAGAGGCCGCAGTGAGCCAAGATTGTGCCACTGCACTCCAGCCTGGGCAATAAGAGCAAAACTCCATCTAAAACATCTGTCCAATTGAGATGGTAAAGCCATTGAAGGGACTCTACTATGGTCTGAAAGTTTGTGCTGCACCCTTTCCCTCCAAAATTTATATATTTTTTATTATACTTAAGTTCTAGGGCACATGTGCACAACATGCATGTTTGATACGTAGGTATACTTGTGCCATGTTGGTTTGCTGCACCCATCAACACATCATTTACATTAGGTATTTCTCCTAATGCTATCCCTCCCCCACTCCCCCTCCCGACAGGCCCCAGTGTGTGGTGTTCCCTGCCTTGTGTCCAAGTGTTTTCATTGTTCAGTTCCCACCTATGAGTAAGAACATGCAGTGTTTGGTTTTCTGTCCTTGTGATAGTTTGCTGAGAATGATGGTTTCCAGCTTCATCCATGTCCCTGCAAAGGACATGAACTAATCCTTTTTTATGGCCGCATAGTATTCCATGGTGTATATGTGCCACCTTTTCTTAATCCAGTCTATCATTGATGGACATTTGGGTTGGTTCCAAGTCTTTGCTATTGCGATTAGTGCCACAATATACATATGTCTTTATAGTAGCATGATTTATAATCCTTTGGGTATATACCCAGTAATGGGATCTCTGGGTCAAATGGTATTTCTAGTTCTAGATCTTTGAGGAATCGCCACAATGGTTGAGCTAATTTACACTCCTACCAACAGTGTAAAAGCATTCCTATTTCTCCACATCCTCTCCAGCATCTGTTGTTTCCTGACTTTTTAATGATTGCCATTCTAACTGGTGTGAGATGGGATCTCATTGTGGTTTTGATTTGCATTTCTCTGATGGCCAGTGATGATGAGCATTTTTTCATGTGTCTGTTGGCTGCATAAATGTCTTCTTTTGAGAAGTGTCTGTTCATATCCTTTGCCCACTTTTTGATGGGGTTGTTTTTTTCTTGTAAATTTGTTTAAGTTCTTTGTAGATTCTGGATATTAGCCCTTTGTCAGATGGGTAGATTGCAAAAATGTTCTCCCATTCTGTAGGTTGCCTGTTCACTCTGATGGTAGTTTCTTTTGCCATGCAGAAGCTCTTTTATTTAATTAGGTCACATTTGTCAGTTTTGGCTTTTGTTGCCATTGCTTTTGGTGTTTTAGTCATGGATTCCTTGCCCATGCCTATATTCTGAATGGTATTGCCTAGGTTTTCTTCTATGGTTTTTATGGTTTTAGGTCTAACGTTTAAGTCTTTAATCCATCATAAATTAATTTTTGTATAAGGTGTAAGGAAGGGGTCCAGTTTCAGCTTTCTACATATGGCTAGCCAGTTTTCCCAGCACCGTTTATTAAACAGGGAATCCTTTCCCCATTTCTTGTTTTTGTCAGGTTTGTCAAAGATCAGATGGTTGTAGATGTGTGGTGTTATTTCTGAGGCCTCTGTTCTGTTCCATTGATCTATATCTCTGTTTTGGTACCAGTACCATGCTGTTTTGGTTACTGTAGCCTTGTAGTATAGTTTGAAGTCAGGTAGCATGATGCCTCCAGCTTTGTTCTTTTTGCTTAGGATTGTCTTGGCAATGTGGGCTCTTTTTTGGTTCCATATGAACTTTAAAGTAGTTTTTTCCAATTCTGGGTAGAAAGTCATTGTTAGCTTGATGGGGACGGCATTGAATCTATAAATTACCTTGGGCAGTATGGCCATTTTCACGATATTGATTCTTCCTATCCATGAGCATGGAATGTTCTTCCAGTTGTTTGTGTCCTCTTTTATTTCTGAGCAGTGGTTTGTAGTTCTCCTTGAAGAGGTCCTTCACATGCCTTTACCCAGGTATTTTATTCTCTTTGAAGCAATTGTGAATGGGAGTTCACTCATGATTTGGCTCTCTGTCTGTTATTGGTTTATAGGAATGCTTGTGATTTTTACACATTGATTTTTGTATCCTGAGACTTTGCTGAAGTTGCTTATCAGCTTAGGTGATTTTGGGCTCAGCAGTCCTTGAGCCCAGGATATGGTGGTCTGATTGTTGGTTGCACAGATATTTCTAATTCTTCCCTTCATTGCAGACAAAGTTTTGTTTTTTTTTCACTTGAAACTTTAAAACTCTAAACTTGTAAATAGAACTTTTTCAGCCTCTGTTCCTGTCTAGAAAACCTGGTCCCCTGGTTTCAAGTAGTGCATCTGACTGTTGTTCACCGCCTCCTCACATGAGGTGTTTTGGTTTTCATTTTCCCCAGTGCTGGATTTTTGACCCTGGTGCCTGTTTTCACTCTCAGCCCTTCACGTGCCCCCTCGCTTGAGCCACACTGCATTACAAGGAGTTGATCACTTGTTTTAGAAAGGGCTGAATATCCCACTTGACTTGTCTCTTAATTACTGTATTGATCCATATAAAGTCAACTTTTCCCCATTTCTAGCTCATCATTTATAGATATAAGAACCATCTTACTTGTAATCATTGAAACATACTTTAAATTACAAAAAGTCCACTTCTAATTTAACAATTTCCCCTTTCCCCATTCTCAAAATGTACAGTGGTGCAGTGGTGAATGGGGATGGGGAGTGTTCGTCCCTTTTTTTTTTTTTTTTTTTTTTTTTTTTGATACAGGGTCTCACTCCTGTTGCCCAGGCTAGAGTGTAGTGGCACAATCTCGCCTCACTGCAGCCTCCACCTCCCGAGTTCAGGTGATTCTCCCATCTCAGCCTCCTGAGTAGCTGGGACTACAGGCGTGTGCCACCATGCCCCGCTAATTTTTTTGTTTTCAGTAGAGATGGGGTTTTGCCATGTTGCCCAGGCTGGTCTCAAACTCCTGGACTCCAGCAATCCTCCCACCTCGGCCTCCCAAAGTGCCTGGATTACAGGCGTGAGCCACTGCACCTGGCCTGTTTGTTCTTTTAGTCTTTACTTTCTCCCCTTATTCTTGTGGTGCTCACATTGAGGGATGAAGAATAAAGAAGAGGAAAGGGGGCGAAGACTTACTTGGTTGGTTCTTTGGTAATCCAGTGATGGCGTATGTGCAAATGCTTGCTCTTTCGTGCTTCTCATTAGTGTGTTTTCTCAGAGGCCATCATAGAACCAGTCACTTCCCCAACACAGGCAATATACTTCATATTTCACCTCTTCCGAAACCGTTCTTCACTCCCCTCATTTCTGGCTCAGCTCCTGCCCACAAGTACCCTTTTACTATTTAGATCATCTGACCTTGGTACATTTTGGAGTTTCATTGATTGGGCTTAAAGTTGGACTTAACACTTGGCCCAGGGGAAGTACATGCATTCTTTTATTCCTCTCAACTTTTTATTTTGGAAAACTTCAGACCTACAGAAAAGTTGAATGAATGGTGGGTGAATAACCATATGCCCTTCCACTAGATTCACCAACTTAATATGTTATCATATTTGCTCGCATTTATTTCATTTTCTTGGCTGGCTAATGAGAATCCCAATGCAGACATGACGTTACTTCATTCCTATGTACTTTTGCATGAATCTCCAAAAATCAAAGATAGGTTTTTTTATGTTATACTCTGAAAATTTAACATTGATATGGTACTGTTACCTAATATACAGTACCTATTAAGATTTTCCCAAATGTTTCAATACCTTGTATAGCTGTTTTTCCTCCTGATCCAGCGTATAATAAAGATTTCAGTTCATTTTTCATGTTTCTTTAATCATGAACAGTTCCCCCAGCCTATTTTTTTTACCTTTCATAACGTTTGACTTTTTTTTAAAGGAGTCTACACCAGTTCTTTTGTAGAATGTCTCTCAACTTAGATTTGTGTGATTGTTTTTTCGTGATGAGATTGAGGTTAAACATTTTTACTAATGTTTTGTTAAGGTGATATCACCAGAGTTCTTTGTAAAAGTACTTTTTCCTGTGTAATCTGTGGAGTGTCATTTTAAGACCGAATGGATTTCTTATTCCCTAACAGTCTTTTACTCTGTAGTTTTAGCATTCATTGATAATTTTTGCCTGTATCCATTATTAACTTGATATTTGTAATATGGTGATGTTCTAATTCTGTCATTTCTTCTATAGAGAGAAGATGGTTTTCTTATGTAAAGAACAACTTTCCTTTTTTCTCCCACCATCAAAAGAAATAATTTATTGTCAGCATAGACTCATGTATTTTTTCAGTGTGTTATTATCTGTTTCTGTAATTATGCATTTTGTTGTGCAGCTTGTTCCAAACTCGTCCTCTAGGGAGTCTATGCATTCTTGCCCTGCCAAACAGTGGAAACACCGCTTGTCCAACTGCCGGCCTTTTCCCTCCATTGGTAAAGTTGGCCCCAGGCAACTTACTGAGTTTGGACCTCTCATTGCTAAGGGAGGCACTTAGCTCATGGGAAATATATTTACATATGCTCCCAAATGTGCAGATTCATATGTTGAATTTTCCTAAGAACACTCCCTGTGCCACCCACACCTGACATATGCCTGGTAGTTTCTGTGGCTCAGTAATCCCCCACCACAGAGTAAGATGCCTTTCTCCACTTTCAGAGGTTCTTTTAGAGCCTCCATTTACCTGATGTGATTTTACAATGCCCCATTCTCCTGGGGAAGTAAGGAGAAGAGTCACAGTTCTTTTTAGTCCTTTGAATTCTCTCACGGAATGCCTTTTGGGATTTTTTTGTCTTTTCTTTTATGGCCTGATGTGGTGCTCTAAGGCTCACTTTTAGTCCTGTGCAGGTCTTTAGAATATGAGATGTATTGGTTTGCTAGGACTACTGTTACAAGGTACCACAAACTGAACTTTGTCTCAGTAAGATGTTAGAAGTCGAAGGGCAAGGTGTTGGCAGGGTTGCTTTCTTTGAGGACTCTGAGAAAGACTCTATTCTGTGCCTCTGTCCTAGCTTCTGGTGGTTTGCTGGCAGTCTTTGGTGTTTCTTGGTTTGTAGATGCATCACCCTGATATCTGCCTTTGTCTTCACATAGCATTCTCCCTATGTGTATCTGTGTCCAAATTTCCCCATTTTATAAGAATATCAGTCATAGCGGATTAGCTGCCTACCCTACTGTAGTATCACCTCATCCTAACTTAACTATAACTTAATATAGTAAGTAATATATATATACGATATTAACTTATACTAATATATATACAGAGAGTTCCTTGTATGCTTTGGATAACTAGCCCCTTATCAGATACATGATTTGCAAAAATTTCCCCCCCAATTTGTGGCATTTCATTTTCATAATGGTTCTTTGACACTGAAACATTTATAGTTGTGATGAAGTTCATCTTCAGTTTTTCTTTTATGGATACTTTTGGTGTCATATCTAAGAATACTTTACCCACCCAAAGTCACAAAGATTTTTTTCTTCTATATTTGTTCTAAAGTTTTACAGTTTTTACTCTTAACACTTAGGTCGCTTATCCATTTTGATTCAATTTTTGTGTATAGTGTGAGGTAGGGTCTAAATGAATATTTTTGCCTGTGGATATCTGGTTGTCCTAGTACCATTTGTTAAAAAGCCTGTCTTTTCTCCTGATTTATCTTGTCAAAAAGCCTTATATTGTCAAAAGTTCCTTATATTCCATAATATAGACTCTCAATTCTGTTGTTGATTTACATGTCTGTCTTTGTGCCAGTATCAGCCTGTCTTGATTACTGTGGCTTTCTAGTAAGTTTTCAAATTCAATAGTGTACATTCATTTTTGAAATTGTTTTGGCTATTCTAGCTGCTTTGGCTTTCATAAATCTTAGGATTGGCTGGTCAATTCTACAAAAAAAATCCTGCTGGGATTTCGATAGTGAATACATTGAATTTACACATCAGTTTGGGGAGAAGCCATCTTCAATATTAAGTGTTCCAATCTGTGAACATTAAAAGTCTATTTATTTAGATCTCCTTTATAAATGATTTTCAGTGTACAAGTCATACATAGCCTTTATTAAATTTATTCCTAAGTTTCTATCCCTTTTGATGTTACTGTGAATGAAATTGTCTACATCAATTTCCTCATGAGTTTACTCATTTTTCATGTATAGATATACAATTGATTTTTCTTATATTGATCTTGTATTCTGCAACTTTGTGGAACTTATTTATTTAGGTTATTTATTTAACCTTACTTATTAAGGTTATTTTTTTCCCTTAGGTTTTCAGGTGGGAGGGCAGACCAGTCCCTTTCACTCCATTTTGGCTGGGAGGAGAAGTCTACTCAAAGGGTTGTGAGAAATGAATAAAACCATTTGAGATAAAAACTTTTCCATGAATCTTATTCCAACAAAGACCTTGTTAGTATAGTCCCTCAGTATCCATGGAGGATAGATTCCAGGACCTCCCTGAGATACCAAAATCCGCAGACGCGCAAGTGCCTTATATGAAATGGTGTCGTGTTTGCATGTAACCTACATGCATCTTCCCATATACTTTAAATCATCTGTAGATTACATAGAAAACCTAATACAATATAAATGCTATGTAAATAGTTGTTAAACTGTATTTTTAAATGTTTTTTTAATTTTTATTTTTGTTTTATTTTTGATTCATGGTTGCTTGAATTCACAGATGTGGTGGAAATTGCAGATACAGAGGGTGAGTAGTGTTTTAATTTTTCAAGTTAAATTTCTTGGTCTAAGTAAATTTTCTATTTCCATTGCAGCATTCCTCTGAATATTGATTTGCTGAATAGCCCAGACTTATTGGAAGCAACGATTGGTGATGTAATTGGGGCATCTGACACTATGGAAACATCCCAAGCACTGAATGACGTTAATGTAGCCACCAGGCTTCCGGGATTAGGGGAACCTGAAGTTGAATATGAGAGTAAGTAAATGTTCCATTATACATCAGTGATACCTTTTTATCTTCCTTTGAAATAAGATATTTAAATCAGCTTCTCCAATAATATTTTTTGTACTAGTTCAACTTTTAAATTTAATTCAGAAGAGTTATGCCCTCTTGCCTTTTTGACTTAAGGTAACACTGAAATATTTAAGATAACATAATTGAGGTCATTAAACTTGTGTGTCATTTATAAGACATTAAACATTTAAGAGTCTTCAAACTTGCTTTTTGCTTTTTTTCTAGAGTGGAAACATTTTCTAGGGCATAGGATTGAATGAATATTTGAACATCCCATTAGCTGTTAGAAAGTATTTTGTTATTAATGAGGATTATTATTGCCTAGGCCCACAAAAAGAAATAACACAGAAAGAATGGTGCTTTAAAACACACACACACACACACACACACACACACACACATTTTTGAAGGTTAAAAGGAGACAGTAAATCTCTCATTGAAAATGTCTATGTATTTGTGAGTTTAGTTTTATATGAAAGCATAACTTGTTTATAAACAGCAGTTTCCTGTTGAATCTCACTGTAATGCATGTTCATTTTAAAGCAGCTTGTATTTATTTGGCTCTTGACCATTTGATTTCTATTGGAGGCTAAAATTAGCCACCATCATTAAACAACTCAGAAAATTGCCCTAAGTATGCTGTTGTCTCTGAGACTGTAGAATACAATAATATTTAGTAATTTAGAAATAAATGTTAGTGAAAAGTCACACAGTGCTTCTGATTAATAGAACATGTTGAAGTATGACTGATAAGTGGTGCTAAAAATTTGTGTATTTCCTAAGAAATAACTACAAACAAATGTTCTGGTACATCATGGTTTTTTTTTTTTTTGACATCTAACGTGTTTAAATTGTGCTTGTTAGTCTCAGGTCAGAGAAATAATAATTTAACTTATTATATTGGTAATTTCAAAGTAATTTTGATTTTTTAAGGTAGTAGTCTGTTATTAGATTAAGAAAATATCCCCCATTACTATTTCTCATGTACTTTCTCTGTAGTAATTTATTTCGAATAGTCCAGTTTTGACAGCCTTGCCCTGGACTCCACTTCTTGTTAGCAATGCTTGCTCTTGTTCTCACTTATATGTGGGAGCTACACAGGGACATAAAGATGGGAACATTAGACACTGAGGATTCCTAAAGGAGGGATGGACTGGGAAAGGGCTGAAAAACTTCCTATTGGGTGCTGTGTTCACTTTCTGGGAGATGAGATCAGTAGAAGCCCAAACCATGGTACCACGTAATATACCCTTATAACAAACCTGCACATGTGCTCCCTGAATCTAAAATTAAAATTAGGCTGGATGTGGTGGCACATGTCTGCAATCCCAGCTACTCGGGAGGCTGAGACATGAGAATCGCTTGAACCTGGGAGGCAGAGGTTGCAGTGAGCTGAGATTGTGCCACTGAGCTCCAGCCTGGGCCACAGAGCAAGACTCTGTCTCAAAAAAAAAAAGAAAGAAAGAAAGAAAAAATTAAAAAAAGAAATTTGCTTTTCGTTTCTAGAAAGAATTGAGACCATAGCAAAGCCATCAGGATTTAGATTCAGCCAGAACCATGACTATCTTAATGCAGAGTATTTCCAGGGTTAAAAATAAAAACAGTCTCCTTTATAGAGATGGCAGTATTGATTTTATTTACATTCCACTTGATATCCATTACACTAATTCACAAAGTTTAATTTTTTCAGTGCTGTAATAGTGTTGTATTAGTATCACTTATTGAATACATACTTTTTGCAAAATATATTAGCTTAGGATTTACATGGTAAAATGAACTAGGAATGCTTAAAAAAAGATCAAATGAAATATAACTCTCCAAATATTTGGAAATCTGATATATCAAAGAATTTGTTTTATGGCACTTTATTGGTGAACCTTGGATGAGCAATTTGCAAGTATGGGGAAATAGACTGTACATCAGTAAGGGGAAGTTTTTTAACTGTTTATGCTGTATAATAGAAATAGGTTCCTGGCCAAGCACAGTGGCTCACGCCTGTAATCCCAGCACTTCGGGAGGCCAAGGCAGGCGGATCACCTGAGGTCAGCAGTTCGAGACCAGCCTGGCCAACATGGCAAAACCCAGTCTCTACTAAAAGTACAAAAATTAGCCGGCCATGGTGGCAGGCACCTGTAATCCCAGCTACTTAGGAGGCTGAGGCAGGAGAATCAGTTGAACCCGAGAGGCAGAGGTTGCAGTGAGCCGAGATGGCACCACTGTACTCCAGCCTGGGCAAGAGTGAGACTCCATCTCAAAAAAAAAAAAAAAAAAGGGTTCCTAAGAGTTAGTGAGCACCTCATTACAGAAAGTATTAAAGCGGAGCTTGAATGTTGTCAAGGTTGTGGCAGAGGAAATTCTTGCATAGTGTGGGAGTTTAGTTCATATGACCTAATCCATTCAGACTTATAACATTTGCTCAAAATCAATCAGTGAGAATAATTAGAACATTTTTATGTTAAGAGTTTAAGGTCATCAATCTTGATATCCAATTGTGTATTTTATTTTGGTTGTAATGTCAAAATCCTGATTCACATAGGTAAATAGTTACAAATGGTAACTAAAATAGCTTGTGCTGCATGGCAGGATGTTCCTTGGACAAAATAGTATAGCAGAAAAAGGTTTAACAACAACAAAAAGAGTATTCAGGATGGAGTAATTTGAAGCATAATAAAACCAGGAGATGGCAATTAAGTAAATGGACAGGAAAGATTTTGAGAAGACCAGTGTTGAATTACTGGTGCTCAGCTTTGGTTGTACTTAAAATCACCTGGAGAGTTTTAAAAACTACCAGTGCCAGAATCCTACCTGAAAAGATTTTGTTATAATTATTCTTGGGTGAGCCCTGGGAATGAGCGTTTCTTGAAAGCTCTCCAGCTGATTGTTAACGTGTATCCGGGGCCTCCACTCAGTTAATTGATGGCCACTTTTAGAAGATCCCTTTGACCCAGAGGATATGATTTCAAAGTTTCCCCCTCTTTTCTTCTTTCTGATCATATAGAAATTATTAGGCATTCAACCTTTTTTGTCAAGTTGACAGTGTAAAATTTTATGCACACATCAAATTAATCTCTGCAAAATAAGATTATTTCAGGACAGTTAATTTTAAAAGTCTTCATTTAAAGATGAATTGTGTTTAATGTATTATGTTTTCAGTGGTTAGAGGACTTTGTAATGTATTTTGCCACTAGGAAGAACATTATGAAGACAAAATGCTTGTCTTGCGTCACACCTGATGGTACCAATATATAATATGTTGAATCAGTGAACGAATAAATATATATTCTTCATTAGTTTGTTCCACATAAATTTAGTTTTAGGCAGTAGTCAGGGCCAACGAACAAAGATGGCAAAGTGTTGAGGTTAGACATGAGCCTGGGTTGTGGTTATGAAAGAAAAGGATCATGTCACAAGTGTTCTGTGCCTTTTGGGTCTCTTGGCTAGGTAAACCTTCTTAACCACACATGCTAGGGAGATTTCACATCTACTTGCTTTTTAGGAGTGCTGCAGATATAGGGTGGTGTTTCTACTTAGGATTAACTCTTATTCAAATTAATGGACAGATAGCTGGTTATGGAAAGAAAATATATTTATTTTGTGTTTATCTGGATTATTACTTTTAGTTGATGATAACTGATGTTGAGAAGACAAAACAAAACCATACCCTCACACAGCTAGCTGTGACAGCCTGGCAGACTGGGGTTATTTTGCCTTTTTTTTTTCTTTTCAGCATTAAAAGACACCTCAGAGAAGCTCAAACAGCTTGAGATGGAGAACAGTCCTTTGCTGTCCCCTCGATCCAACATCGATGTTAACATAAACAGCCAGGTATTCAGATTTCCCCTGTGTATACCTGTTACACATCTCCAGAGCTCCCAGAAATATTTTCTTTCCAAAGACAGTACTTTCTTTTTTCTTTAGCTGGGAAATCTGTCTGTGCTGAGTTCTTATAAACCTGTTTTCTCATTTTAAAGGGTGAAATATGTAGATGTTTAGGAGGGAAGGGGGAAACTTGCACAGCAAAGTGAATTGTAAGGTGATTTCATGATTTAAAAAAAAAAACACAGTCAAGATGAGTGTTAAACCTTTTATTTTGATTGACCCAGTCTAGTTGGAAGACTTGCTGAAGCCTTTTGAAATTACAGAAGGATTTGTTTTAAAGAGAGCTGCTCTGTGGTATAAACAAGAAAGAGAATAGAATTTCAGATGCTTTAACTTCATCTATCATTCCTTTCTCTCCCCTGTCCCCTTTGAATTTTTTTTGTTGTAGGGTGGGGGATACATACCAATTACACCAATCAAGCTTCAATTTATAGTTTGGCTATGATTTTCTTATTTCTATGTTAAGTAACTTATAGAAAGAGCTAAAATAAATTGAATGAGATGGAAATTTTATAATTAATCATATCAGCTACCAGATGGCCCCACTAAATGGAAGAGTTGATTTTAGGTAATGACCTGGAAATGGCCTTTTTTTTCCCTCTACATACAGACAACTGATAACATGACCAAGATGAATTTTGTTTTTGTTTTAAAGAGGAAAGGAGAACGGCTGACTCACGGTGTTCTTCCATTCTTGGATAACTAACTGGAATTCCTTTAGAGACCAGCAGAGAGTAGAAAGTGATTGTCTTCTGTCTCGCACTCGCACTGTTATGATTCAAACTGTCTTTCGGGATCCAAGCCTTTTTTTCCCCTTTCTTTCTAATACATTTTTTATTAGAAATAGCTGTTAGAAGGTGATTCAATTTCAGAAAGGCTTTCCATTTTCTTGACTTTTCAGTATTCTATCCCACTTGTCTGTTTGCTTTTACAGTGTCAGTTTTTTAAATATATCTCTGTAAAGTAGGGGAATGCAGGGCCAGAGACAGAAGGATAAATGGAAAACTTTAGATAAAAGCTTTAGATGATTAATAACTAATGGAAATTTAGTGGAGGACTGGAATGACCCTAAAGAATGAAGCCTGGTAACACTTGGGGGTAGGGAGGAGTGGGGGGCGGGGATTGTTGGCTGTGCTCAGAGTTCATGGAAATCTATTGAACAGCTACTTGTTTCTTTGTAAAATGTCCTGCTTATCTCACTATGATATAACTGATCCTCTGAGGCAGAGAGTCTGCTGCATTAGTTTTGAAGCCTTGAAAAGATGAGGAGGAGTGTGGGTTCAGGATAGGAGAGTAAAGGAGCACTTTAGGTGAAGGACAGAGTGCCATCAAAGAACTTTTAGGGGATCATATAGCTAGGAAGAATAACAATATTTAGTGAGGGTTTACTCTATGCCAGACAAGAATAGAAGGAAGGAGGGGATGGAGCAAGATGGCCAAATATAACCCTCCAGTGATCATCCCCCTTGCAGGAACACCAAATTAAATAGCTCTCCATACAAGAAAGCACCTTCATAAGAACCGGAAATCAGGTGAACCATCATAGTACCTGGTTTTAACATTATACCAAGGAAGGAGGCACTGAAGAGGGTAGGAAAGACAGTCTTGAATGGCTGATGCCACCCCTCCCCTATGGAGGAGTGTGGTGCTGAGAGAGAATCTGTGCTTGGGAGAGGGAGAGCACAGTGACTATGGCACTTTGTATTGGAACTCAGTGTTTGTTGGTCTGTCTGTCGGAATGGAAAGCAATGCAGGGCACAATTTCGCTGGTGCCCACAGAGGCTGCATTTAGAACAGCCCTAGCCAGAGAAGAATCTTCCATCCTAGCAATTGGAACCTGAGTTCCAGCTAGCCCACCGCTGTGGGCTAAAGTGCTGTAAGCTCCTAAATAAATTTGAAAGATAGTCTAGGCCACAAGGACTACAATTCCTGGGCACATCCTGGTACTGTGCTGGGCTCAGAGCCAGTGGACCTGGGGTACACATGACCTAGAGAGATACTAGCTGGAGGAGCCAAAGGAGTGCTTGCATCACCCTCTCCCAGTCCCAGGCAGTGCAGCTTACAGCTCTGGGAGAGACTTCTTCCACTTGAGGAAAGGTGAGGGAAGAGTAAAGAAGACTTTGTCTTGTAGCTTGGATACCAGTGTAGCCACAGTAAAACAAAGCACCAAGCAGAGTCCTAAAGCCTCCATTTCAGGCCCCACCTCCCAATGACATTTCTAGACATACCATGGGCCGGAAGGGAACCTGCTGTCTTGAGGGAAAGTATCCAGTCCTGGCAGGATCTGTCACCTGCTGACAAAAGAATCCTTGGGTCAGTGGTTTCCAGGCAGTACTTGTCATAGGCCTTGGGCAAGACCTGGTACCATGCTGGCTTCAGGTGTGACCCAGGGCATTTTCAGCTGTGGTGGCCATGGGGAGAGACACCTTCTGCTTGAGGAAAGGAGAGGGAAGAATAAAAAGAACTTTGTCTTGCAACTTGGGTAACAGCTCAGTCACAGTAAAATAAAGTACTGAGTAGATTCCTACAGTTCCCAACTCCAGGCCCTAGCTCCTTAGACGGCATTTCTGAACTAGCCCTGAGCCAGAAGAGAACCTGCAGTCTTACAGAGAAATGCACAAGTCTGGCTGGATTCACCACTTGCTGACGGAAGAACCTTTGGGCCTTGAATAAACATGAGTGTTGGCCAAACAATAGTCACCACATACCTCGGGTGAGACCCAGTACTTCACTGGCTTCACTGGCAGGTCTGACTCAGCACAGTGTCAGTGGGTAGCCACAGGGGTGCTTGTGTCGTTCCTCCCCCAACTGCATGCAGCTCACTGAGAAGAGAGAGACTTTATGGGAGAAAGTGAGGGAAGAGAACAAGAGACTCTGCCAGGTAATCCAGGGAATTCTCCCGGATCTTACCCAAGACTACCAAGGCTGTACCTTAACAAGCCTGCAAGAGTCACAGCCTTACTGGGCATGAGGTTCCCCCTAATGCAGATATGGCTGGAGTGACCAAAAACTTGTATCACAACATTCAGTTCCCTTTGAATAACTACAACGGCTTCTTAAGACAGATGGGTAGAAACAAGCCCAGACTGCAGAGATTACAATAAATACCCAACTCTTTAATGCCCAGACATAAACAAGCATCCAAGATCATCCAGGAAAACATGACCTCACCAAACAAACTAAATAAGGCATCAGTGACCAATCCCAGATTGACAGAGAGAGATATGTGACCTTTCAGGCAGATAATTCAAATAGCTGTTTTGAGGAAACTCAGTGAAATTCAAGATAACACAGAAAAGGAATTCAGAATTCTATCAGATAAATTTAACAAAGAGATTGAAATAATTTTTAAAAATTAGCAGGAATCCTAGAGCTGAAAAATTCAATTGACGTAATGAAGAATGCATCAGAGTCTTTCAACCACAGAATTGATCAAGCAGAAGAAAGAATTAGTGAGCTTGAAGACAGGCTGTTTGAAAATATAGTCAGAGGAGACAAGAAAAAAATGAAGCACTCCTAGAAGATCTAGAGTATAGCTTCAAAAGGACAAATCGAAGAGTTATTGGCCTTAAAGAAGAGGTAAAGAGATGTGGTAGAAAGTTTGTTCAAAGGGATAATAACAGAGAATGTCCCAAACCTAGAGAAAGATATCAATATTCAAGTACAAGAAGGATATAGAACGCCAAGCAGACTTAACCCAAATAGGACTACCTCAAGATATTGAATAATCAAACTCCCAAATGTCAATGTTAAAGAATCCTAAAAACAGCAAGATAAAAGAAACAAATAACATACAAGGGAAATGTCAGTGTTAAAGAATCCTAAAAGCAGCAAGAGAAAAGAAACAAACAACATACAAAGGTGCTTCAGTAAGTCGAAGCAGACTTTTCAGCAGACACCTCACAGGCCAGGAGAGAGTGGCATGACATATTTAAAGTGAAGTAAAAATTTTTATCCTAAAATAGTATATCCATGTTTGAAGATACCCTTCAAACATGAAGGAGAAATACTTTCCCAGACAAACAAAAGCTGAGGGATTTCACCAGACCTGTCTTATAAGAAATGCTGAAAGGAGTTCTTCAATCTGAAAGGAAAAGATGTTAATGAGCAATAAGATAATCATCTGATGGTACACAACTCACTGGTAATGGTATGTACACTAACAAATACGGCATATTATAACACTGAAATTGTTGTGTATAAACTATTCATATCTTTAGTAGGAAGGCTAAAAGACTATCAAAAATGTAACTACAACAACTTTTCTAGACATAATATAGTAAGCCATAAATAGAAACAACAAAAAGTTAAAAAGCTGGGGGTGGGGGTGGCGGTTTGAAGTTGAAGTATAGAGTTTTTATTAGTTTTCTCTTTGCTTGTTAATTTTTTTTTTTTTTTTACTATCAGTGTTGTCATCAGTTTAAAATAACATGTTACAAGATGGTATTTGCAAACCTCATGGTAACCTCAAATAAAAAAGCCTACAACAGATACACAAAGAAATAAAAAGCAAGAAATTTAAACATACCATCAGAGAAAAGCACCCTTCACAAAAAGGAAGGCAGGCAAGAAGGAAGAGAAGATCACAAAACAATCAGAAAACAGATTGAAATGGCAATAATAAATCCTTACTTATCAATAATAATATTGAATGTAAATGAACTAAACTCTCCAATCAAAACACAGAGTGGCTACATGGATTAAAAAAAAAAAAGCCCCCAATGATCAGCTGCCTACAAGATGCACATTTTACCTATAAAGACCCATAAAGACTGAAAATAAAGGGTTGGAAAAAGATATTCCATGCAAATGGAAACCAAAAAAGAGCAGGTTATTTATATTAGATAAAACTGATTTTGAGACAAAAACCATAAAAAGACAAAGAAGGTCATTATATATTGATAAATGGTCAATTGAGCAAGAGGATATAACATTATAAATAATATATGCACCTAAAACTGGAGTACCCAGATATGTAGAGCAGATATTATCAGAGCTACAGAGAGATACACCTCGGTACAATTCTAGCTGGAGAATTCACCCCACATTCAGCAGAGGATAGAAAATCCAGAAAAATTAACTCAAAAAATTGGATTTAATCAGTGTAGACCAATGGACCTAATAGAACATTTTATCTAGTGGCAGCAGAACATACATTCTTGTCCTCAGCGCACAGATTATTCTCAAGGATAGACCACATGTTAAGTCACAAAACAAGTCTGAACATTCAAAAAAACAAATCATTTCCAGTATCTTCTCTGACCACATGGAATAAAACTAGAAATCAATAACAAGAGAAACTTTGGAAACTATACAACCACATGGAAATCAAACAATATGCTTCCAAATGACCAGTGGGTCAATGAAGAAGTAAGGAAATTTTTTAATTTCTTGAAACAAATGAAAATGGAAACAAAACATACTAAAATCTATCGATACAGCGAAAGCAGTACTGAGGAAAGTTTATAGCAATAAGCACCTACATCACAAAAGTAGAACAATTTCAGATAAACAGCCTAATGATGCATCTTAAGGAACTAGAAAAGCAAGAGCAAACTAAACCCAAAATTAGTAGAAGAAAAGAAATAATAAAGATCAGAGCAGAAATAAAGGAAATTGAAACCAAAAAATACAAAAGATCAATAAAATAAAAAGTTGCTTTGTGAAAAGATAAACAAAATGGACAAACCTTTGGCCAGATTAAGAAAAAAGAGAAGACTCAAATAAATAAAATTGTAGATGAAAAAGGAGACTTATAACTGATACTGCAAAAATCAAAGGATCATTAAGGATTAGTATGAGCAACTATATGCCAATAAATTGGAAAACATTGAAGAAATGGATGAATTCCTAGACACATGCAGCCTACCAGGACTGAACCAAGAAGGAATCCAAAACCTGAATAGACCAATAACAAGTAACAAGATCGAAGCTGTAATAAAAAGTCTCCCAGCAAAGAAAAGCCCAGGACCTGATGGCTTCACTGCTGAATTTTACCAAATATTTAAAGAAGAACTAATACCTATCCTACTCAAACTATTCCAAAAAATAGAGGAGGAAAGAATATTTCCAAATTCATTTTATGAGATCAGTATTACCCTGATAACAAAACCAGACAAAGATACCTCAAAAAAGGAAAACTGTAGACCAGTATCTCTGATGAATACTGATGCAAAAATCTTCAATAAAATACTAGCAAACTGAATTCAACAACATATTAAAAAGATAAGTCATCACGTCCAAGTGGGATTTATCCCAGGATGTAATAAGGATGGGTTAGCACATGTAAATCAATCAAGGGTGATACATTATATCAGCAGAATGAAGGACAAAAACCATATGATCATTTCAATTGATGCTGAAAAAACATTTGATAAAGTTCAATATCCCTTTGTGATTAAGAAAAAAAAACTAAAAAAACTGGGTATAGATGGAACATACCTCAGCACACTAAAAGCCATGTTATGACAGACCCACAGCTAGTATCATGCCTGAAAGCCTCCTTTAAGATCTGGAAAAAGGCAAGGATGCCCACTTTCACTGCTGTTATTCAGTGTAGTACTGGAAGACCTAGCTAGAGCAATCAGACAAGAGAATGAAATAAAGGGCATCTAAATTGGAAAGGAAGAATTCAAATTATCATCAGATGATACTATTTTATATTTGGAAAAAACTAAAGAAAAAGAAAAACAATTAGAACTAATAAATTCAGTAAAGTGGCAGGATACAGATCAACATACAAAAATCAGTAGCATTTCTACATGCCAACAGCAAACAAACTGAAGAAAAAATCAGGAAAGTAATCCCATTTACAATAGCCACAAATAAAATGAAATACCTAAGAATAAAAATAATCAAAGAAGTGAAAGATTTCTGCAATGAAAACTACAAAATAATGGTATGAGATATCGAAGAGGACACAAAATTTGAAAGATATTCCATGTTCATGGATTAGAAGACTCAGTATTGATTCAATGTCCATACTTCCCAAAGCAGTTTGCCAATTCAATTTAATCCCTATCAAAATACCAATGATATTCTTCAAAGAAATAGAAAAAAATAATCTAAAATTTATATGGAACCACAAAAGACTCAGAATAGCCAAAGCCGTCCTGAGAAGAAAAAACGAAACTTTAGAACTCATAGTACCTGACTTCAAATTATACTACAGAGCTATAGTAACCAAAACTCATGGTATTAGCATAAAAACAGACACATAGACCAATGTAACAGAATAGAGAAGCCAGAAATAAATCCATACATCTGCAGTGAGCTTACTTTTGACAAAGGTGCCAAGAACATACACTGGGGAAAGGACAGTCTCTTCAATAAATGGTGCTAGGAAAACTGGATTTCCATATGCAGAAGAATGAAACTTCTATCTCTGCCATATACAAAAATCAAATGAAAATGGATTAAAGACTTAAATCTAAGGTCTCAAACTATGAAACCACTAAAAGAAAATATTGGAGCAACTCTCTAAAACATCAGTCTATGCAAAGATTTCTTGAATAATATCCCAAAAGCATAGGCAACCAAAGCAAAAATAGACAAATGAGATCACATCAAGTTAAAAAGTTCCTGCACAGCAAAGGAAACAATCAACAAAGTGAAGAGATGACCCACAGAATGGTAGAAAATATCTGCAAATTACCCATCTGACAATGGACTAATAACCAGAATATATAAAGAGCTCAGACAACTCAATAGGAAAAAAATCTGATAATCTGATTTTAAAATGGGCAAAAAATCTGAATAGACATTTCCCAAAAGAAGACATACAAATGGCAAACAAGTTTATGAAAAGGTGCTCAACATCACTGATCATCAGAGAAATGCCAATCAAAACTCCAGTGAGATATCATCTCACCCCAGTTATAATGGCTTTTATCCAAAAGACAGGCAATAATGAATGCTGACGAGGATGTGGAGAGAAAGGAACCCTTGTACACTGTTGGTGGGAATGTAAATTAGTACAGAAGTACAGAGTGCCTCAAAAACCCAAAAATGGAACGATCATATGATCCAGCAATCCTACTGCTAGATAATATGCCCAAAAGAAAGGAAATCAGTATATCGAAGAGATATCTGCACTCCCATGTTTATTGTGGCACTGTTCACAGTAGCCAAGATTTGGAATCAACCTAAATATCTATCAACAGATGAATAGATAAAGAAAATCTGGTACATATACACAATGAAGTACTATTCGGCCATAAAAAGAATGAGATACTATCATTTGCAACAACATGGATGGAACTGGAGGACACTATATTAAGAGAAGCCAGGCACAGAAAGACAAACTTGGTATGTTCTCATTTATGGGAGCCAAAAAACGAAGAATTAAACTTGCGGAGATAGATGGTTACCAGATGGGAAGGGTAGTATGGAGGGTGTGGGGAAAAGTGGGTATGGTTAATGGCTACAAAAGTATAGTTAGAGTGATAGAATGGGTAAGAGATAGCATTTGATAGCATAACAGGGTGACTACAGTCAATAACTTACTGTACATTTAAAAATAACGGTATAATTGGAATGTTTGTACACAAGAAATGATAAATGTTTGAGGTGATGGATACTCCATTTACCCTGATGTGATGATTACACATTGTATGCCTGTATCTACATATCTCGTGTACCCCATAAATGTATACAAGTACTATGTACCCATAAAAATAGAAAAGATTTTTTAAGAAAAGAAGGAAGAATTCAGTATTGTACTACTAATAAAGGACATGTGACTACCTTGCCTTAACTCTAGTCAACTTGAGTAGAAGTTGAGCCCCCCGATCTGAAAATTTAAAATTCAAAATGATCCAGAATCTAATACTTTTTGAGCACTGATGTGATGCACAAAGGACATGCTCATTGGAGCATTTTTTATTTTGGATTTTCGTATTTGGAATGCTCAACCAGTGTATAATGCATATATCCCAAAATCTGAAAAAATACAAAATCTGAAATACTTTTAGTCCCAAGCACTTTGGAAAAGGGATGCACAACCTGTATTGTGAAAAAGTTGATTCATGTTTTATTAATGTGATGCATTTTTAATAAAGGCTGATTTCTCTACCTCTGCTATCAACAGTTGTTGTTTGCTTAAGGAATGCAAATTAATCTTAATGTTGGCCTGACTAAAGTAATTTTAGGAAGAAAACCTACTGAAAATAAAATACGTCATTCTAAAGTAAAGCATGATTTGTTGGATGACTTGCCCTAAGAACTGAGAATGTCTTAGCCAGCAACCTAATCTTAAGGCTCAGACTAGCACTACTGACAGCAGAGTTGACAGTGTTGTAAGAGCCCATTGTAGAGAGATCACATCCGGCCTGCATTATGCAGGATTTATACAGTCACCTGACATGCCTTATGTACTGTTGGTTCAGTTCTAAAAATGTGTTTATTGCCTACTTTTTGTAAGATAAAATAAATACTGTGTGGAATTCGCAGACGAGTGGAATGACAAGTTCTTGACCCTCAGGAAACTTTAGCCCTGTCTAAATCCCACAGAAGTTAATATTGCAAATGGCCATCTCCAGTGACCACTTTCTTTCCCAGGTCTATTATGCTAATTGAATTTTCAGATGATAACAGCTGGGAAGTACAGTTTTTGAAAGACAAAATCAGGATCCATGAAGGCTTGGATAGATTGGAATGACAGACTGGGTTTAAGAACATAGACTTTGACAAATCATAAGTACAGGGCTAGGGTAGGGGACTAGAATATCACAGCAGCATGTATTTAAAAAGTAAGAATATGTAAATGAAGTATGAATCAGCTGCCAAAGAGTTATGTTGTCTTAATTCAAAGGGTTCAAAAGGGGAGGTTCAACTATTTTTTTCATTTCTGGATAGCACTCTAAAAATGATATAGAAAAGTGGCAGTTTGAGAAGAGAAGGATCTGTATGGTGAAGGGTCTTGAAACTAAGTTACAATTTGGGATTATTAGCTAGATGATTGCCACGTAGAAATCTCAGGAGAGAGCATGTTAACCATCTTTAGATATATGAAGAGCTATTATGTGAAAGAGGAATTAATGTGACTTGCTTTTTAATGGCCTCAGGGAAGAGTTAAGGTCAATGAATATGTTAGAGGTATGCAGATTTGACCTTAACACAGGAAAGTGTTTCCTAACAGTCATCTGACCAAGGAAGTAGCAAGTTTTCCAGTGTGTGATGTTTCTCAGGCTAAGACTAAAAATTACCCACCTCTTGAAGTATTTTGGTGGTTGGATGGACTCTTGTAACTTCCAACTTTGAGATGCCGTGATTCTAGGAGTTGTCAAGATTCTTCTCTTTCTTCATCCCTCCTCTCTGCAACTTAGTCTCTGTGCTTTCTTTTTTAAAAAAAAAAAAAAAAAAAAACAAGGTAAAATATACATATATAATTTACCATCTTGACCATTTTTAAGTGTATCGTTCAGTGGTAATAAATACATTTATATTATTTATTTGTCTCCTTCATTATCCCCTTCCAGACTTCGGTTTTCTCTTGACCTATGTCTGAAATCCTTTAGGATTTATGACCTATCAAGATCTATAGATTTTTGAATTACTTCCTTCCCCTTAATTTCCTAAGGCAATCCAGAATGTTCTTTATCTTCAAATTTTATTTCAGGAATCAGTTTTTCTTGTTCTTTGATGAGCAGTACTTTGTTTTAAAAGCATAAAGGAACAGAATCTCAACTGCATTCAGCGAGGACAGTGGGTGCAATTAAGGCATGTGTGAGCTTTAGCAACTAGTATTTTTGGGCTAAAAGATGAAAAGTAGGGCATGAAGTCTATTCTCTTGACCAGAGGTTGGCAGATTATTTTAGTAAATATTAGTAAATAGTAAAGGACCAGATAGTAAATATTTTAGTCTTGCAGAACCTCGTAGTCTCTTTCACAGCTACTTAGCTCTGCCAGTTGTAGCATGAAAGCGGCACAGAGGAATGAATATGGCTGAATTCCAGCAAACTGTGTTTATACAACAGGTGGTTGGCCAGATTTGCCCTTTGGGTTATAGTTTGCTACAATTTTAGGTTAGGCCCTACAGAGGCTGTTCCTTTTAAATCCAGAGCTCTTCACAGATAGATGACTTTAAGAATTGCTTATGCCTGAAATAAGATATGGCTGCTTAAGACACATGATTTCCTGATTGTCTGCAGATGAACTTTCATCAGTCTATTTCCTATTTCCATATAACTATAGTGCATCAGAGTTGATTATAGTATATTTTTAAAATATCTAGGAGGAAGTGGTGAAGTTGACTGAGAAATGCCTTAATAATGTCATTGAGAGCCCAGGATTGAATGTCATGAGAGTTCCTCCTGACTTCAAGAGTAACATTTTGAAGG
This sequence comes from Homo sapiens, assembly GCF_000001405.40. Taxonomy (NCBI): domain Eukaryota; kingdom Metazoa; phylum Chordata; class Mammalia; order Primates; family Hominidae; genus Homo; species Homo sapiens. The sequence goes on from NC_000002.12 coordinate 120,143,109, forward strand.
CTCAAGTAGAAGCAGTGCATAAGGTAAGCTGCCTTTGATAGATAGCCCTGGTGAAGTGAAATGAGCATGGGATGTAGAGAGTTGCCTTCCCCAACTCTAAATTCTAATCAAGCTAGATTAATGGTGCAGTCAGGGAGTTAAAAAATAAGAGTAAAGATGCTCAGGGGGATACGAAGGCTAAAAAAGCCAAATTTGTATAGAAGTGAGCCTTCAATGTTTGCCACTTTGATAGCCAGAAAGCCTTGTGATTTTTAAAGCCTTATTTCAGTATTAAATCTATGATTCTAGGTCTGTCTTTATCCATCCACTATTCCCCACAACCCATCTACCCTCAATTTGGCGATATGTTTATGTAATTAGCAAAAAGAGTGAGGTACAAGGTGAAGAGTTGGCTGTGCCATGGTGAAGGATGGAGGGGGTAGGGACTAGCTTCCATGAGAGATGCGGCAGCCTTGTTCTCAAAATCAGCTTTTCCTTGGCTCTCCGTGACTTTCAAACTTACATTCTGTCCTAAAACCAGGACAGAAGCCTGCCTCACTAAGTCAGTTGTCAACTAGGATTTCAAATTCACCTGTTATGGAGAAGATGCAGTTTACCCATCCTGTCCTCAGGTACAAGCCTTGAAGAGACCTGATTGGACTTTAGGAATATTGTTCATGTTCTTTTTCCATTTTCTCCCCAGAATATAAACATGTTTTACAACATATTTACATATAAAATAAATATAAAATATGATAGTATTGACTCTAGAATCTCATTTCTGTTCTACCACCTACTAGCTTTGTGACTTGGGCAAGTTAGTTGATTTCTCTGAGCCACAGTTTAATTATGTATAAAATAGGATAATGGTAGTACCTACCTTAAGCTGGGTTGTAAAGGTGAAATAAGATAATTAAAGGACATGGAATAGTGCCTGGCACATAATGAGCATTTAGAAAGTGTTGACCCTCAATAGTTATAGTAGCAGTAGTAGTAATAGTTATTATTTGCTATGGTCTGAATGGTTGCATACCCCCGCAAAATTTTTATGTTGAAACCTAATCCCCAAAGCCATGGTATTAACAGATGGGGCCTTTGGTAGAGCCCCCAAGAGTAGGATTAGTGCTCTTATAAAAGAGCCTGGAGGGAACTTATTTAACCCTTCAACCATGTGAGGATGCAGTGAGAAGGCGCCATCTATGAGGAATGGGCCCTCACCAAGCACTAATTCTGCCAGTGCCATAATCTTCTGTTTCTCAGCCCCCAGAACTGTGAGGAATAAATATTTGTTATTTATAGGCCACTCAGATTATGTTGTTTTGTTAGAACAGCCTGAATGGACTAAGAAATCATTACCTTACATTTCAGTTATCATTTTGGATCTTTCTTGACTTGAGGAATAGAGAAGTAACATGAGTAACCCTAAAGTAAAGGGATTTGATTTTATAGTGAAAAGACCTTCTCATGAAGAGAAATCCAGGATCAAATACCTTCATTGTGAAATCTACTAAACATTTATGGAAGAAATATTAGCAGTTCTACAAAGTTTTTCAAAAAGATAGAAGAGGAAGGAACACTTCCCAATTCATCTTATGAGACTAGTGTCACCCCAGTACCAAAACCAGAAAAAAAATACAAGAAACTACAGACCACTACTCCTCTTGAACATTAACTTAAAAGTTCTTAACAAAATATATTCAAAACTTTATAAGTAGGATCATACATCATGACCAAGTAGGGTTTATCTTGGGGAAAATGTTGGTTTATCATTCAAAACCCAAGATAGTTCACCATATTAAAAAATACATAAAATTGTCTCAATTCATGTAGAAAAGCATTTCACAAAATTCAACACCTGTTCATGATAAAAACTCTCAGCAAACTAGCAAAAGAATGAAACTCCTTCACTTTGATAAAGAGCATTTATGAACAAAATCTACAACATCATAATTAATGATGAAAGCCACATCCACTGAAATAGCTAAAATTAAACACTGACCATCCCTGTGCTGGTGATGATAGAGCTCCTGTGGTGCACATACATTGCTGGTAAGAACATAAAATTGTATAAACACTTTAAAAGAGTTTGGCAATGCATCAGACATACACATATCATCTAACCCGCAATTACATTCTTAGATATTTGCCCAAGAGAAATCAAAACTCAGGTTAACACAGATGTTAGTACATGAATGTTCCTAGCAGCTTTATATGAAATAGCTAAAAACAGATGATTGTGATGTATCTATACAATGAAATGTCTGAATAAAAAGGAATAAATTAGTGATTTGTACAACAACATGAGTGAATCTCAAAGACATCTCCATGCTGCTCTAAAGAAGCAGATGGAAAGGATAGGTACTGTGATTCCAATTATATGAAACTGTGTAAAGTATAGATCATCATTTACCTCAAATAAGGGTTTTTTCATGGGATTATGTGGGAAGCCTCAAGGGAATATTGAGGCGGGGAGTGGGGGAGATAGTAGAAATGTTACATGATGTTGGCTAAACACTTGTATGCCTTTAAAAAAATTTATTAAACTGTACTTTAAAAAAAATTGGTGCATTATTGATGCCAGGTGCGGTGCCTCATGCCTGTAATCCCACCACCTTGGGAGGCCCAGGCAGGTGGATTACTTGACATCAGGAGAGTTCAAGATTGACTGACCTACATGGTGAAACCATGTCTCTACTAAAAATACAAAAATTAGCCAGGTGTGGTGGCACATACCTGTAATCCCAGCTACTCGGGAGGCTGAGGCAGGAGAATCACTTGAACCTGGGAGGCAGAGGTTGCAGTGAGCTGAGATTGTACCACTGCACTCCAGCCTGGGGGACAGAGTGAGACTCAATCTCAAAAAAAAAATAAAAAATGGGTGCATTATTGAGAACCATCTAGTAAGATTGTGTGAATTTGTATACCAAATAAAAAAAGGAATCTTTGATTATTAATTTAGGTATGGGGTAAGATTGTACTAGGTACACTGCTGGTATTTCCATAGATAAGGTATGATTACCTCTTATTTTAATTAAAGCAAACTGATATTTCTGTTGTTACCAGAAAGAAATGTAAATTTCTTGTTACTTTAGTATCCTCAATAAAGATTTACTTTTTTTAATATTTCATTTTCTTAGGTTACAAAAGAAGATAGCTTATTAAGTCATAAAAATGCCAATGTTCAGGATGCTGCCACAAACAGGTACAGTTCTGGGTAGACTGAATTAAATTGATGTTCTTATCTATCTTTGTCTTTTTTTTCTTCTCAGTCTGTCACCACATGGTTTCAGGATGTCTGTCTGAAAGATAGCTTGAATTCACTCTATTGTATCCATTACAGACCACTTAGTACCTAGTTTTATATTATTTGAAGATGTTCCTAATTAGTCTCCCAACATTCCCATTTATCTTCAACTGATTCGAACCAACAGAGCAGAAACCGTCTTAAAGATATGTGTGATCTTTTCAGTCACCTGGTAAGGAGTGTGTATTATTCTCTTACAGTAAACTTTCATGTCATCCTGTTATCACAATGGCCTTGTTCTTATCAACTTACTTGCCATGGGTTCTCACAGTAATGTAGTTAACTTTCTTTGCTGCTCCCTCCAAGTCTCTTCTGCCCTTGCTCCCTTTAATGAGTATTTTGGCATTTATTTGTCTTGTTAGTTAGGCTTTTATTCCATGCTTTATGGCCATTGACTTTCTTCACCACTGTGAATCTAATGTTCTGTGCTTAGTGTTAAAAAATGTTGAGCAAATAAATGCTGTTTCTTTTTTTACTGTTCAAAACTGATTCAGTCAAGGAATATGATTGTGATTAATCATATTCAGTTCCAGATACCGCAGTCAACATGGCACCACACATAGTATGCATAGTGTATAGCACTTTATATTATAATAGTTAGTACTCAGCAAAAGTACTAATTGGTGATCAGGGTAAAGCTAGAATTACAACTTGACCTTGTAACTAATGCTAATTGCCAGGCACGGTGTCTCAGACCTGTAATCCCAGCACTTTCAGAGGTCAAGGCAGGAGGATCACTTGAGGCCAGCAGTTTGAGACTAGCCTGGGCAAGATAGTGAGATCCTGTCTCTACAATTAAAAATAAAAAATTAGCCGAGCATGGTGATCCACGCTGTAGGCCTAGCTCCTCAAAAGACTGAAGAGGGACAATCTCGTGAGCCCAGGAGTTTGAGGCTGCAGTGAGCTATGATCGCACCACTGCGCTTCATTCTGAGTGACAGAGTGAGACCCTGGTTTTTTTTCTAAGGGGCCAGGCCGTGGTGGCTCACGCCTGTAGTCCCAGCACTTTGGATCGCCTGAGGTCATGAATTCAAGACCAGCCTAGCCAACATGGTGAAACCCGTCTCTACTAAAAATACGAAAATTAGCTGGGCATGGTGGCGCACGCCTGTAATCCCAGCTACTGGGGAGGCCAAGACAGGAGAATTGCTTGAACCCAGGAGGCAGAGGTTGCAGTGAGCCGTGATCGTGCCACTGCACTCCAGCGTGGGCAACAGAGCGAAACTCTGTCTCAAAAAAAAAAAAAAAAAAAAAAGGAAAGAAAATTCTGATAACCACTGTTAGTAATAACATTTTTAGTACTATTGTTATTATTGAAGTCTTTCAGAATAAAATTTTTTGTTTGCCAGGAGAAGGGTAATGGGAACAGGACTGCCCAATGTTCATCAGAAGTTTCATTGAACTCTTGAAGCTGGAAAGAGCCTAGAGCATACATGCAGATTTATTTTTCTAAATGCCTGTTCATATTTTGAAGAATCTATTTTTCCCCTAGGATTTCAAATGCATCCTTTGAAATATACTAGGTTCTTATATAAACATGGGTGTATTTCTAGATCTTTTCCTTCTCTTTTAATCTATTTTCCCCATGCTATACAACACTGTTCTGTTTTACTGTACCTCCTTTTTGAAAATGCAGTATTTTAGGCACAGAGACACTATGGAGAAGTATATAATATACTGTATATAGTATACCTGTATACCAAATATCAAGCTTTGTCACATCTTAACATTTTACCATAATAGATTTAGATCATTTTTCTTTCTTTTTTTTACTGACATAATTCACATACCACAAAATTCACTCTTTAAAAATACACAATTCAGTAATTTTACAAAATTGTGCAACCATTACCACTATAATAAATTCTAGAACATTGTTTGAGAATGTTCTAGAAACACCATAGGTCTAGAAACTCCTTACCCTCACTCCTTACCCTTTCCAGACCTTAGGTAAGGTAGAAACCTTCATACTCACTATAATACTCATCCTAGTTCTCATATATACTCATCCTCATTCTACCTTACCTAAGGTCTTCATACTCACTAGGATGAGTATTATAGTGAGTATGAAGGTTTCTACCTTACCTAAAGTCTGCAAACACTTTACCCATTAGCAGTCACTCCATATTCTGCTTCTTGCCCAGCACCTGGCAACCACTAATCTACTTTGTCTCTGTGGATTTACCTACTCTGGACAGTTTATGTCAATGGAATTATACGTGTCCTTTTGTGTCTGGCTTCTTACATTCAACGTAATATTTTCCAGATTTGTCCATATTGTAGCATATGTTGGTACTTTGTCCCTCCTTATGGCTAAATAATATTTCATTATATAGATATACAACATTTATTTATCCATATATCAGTTGATGGACATTTGAATTGTTTCCACTCTTTAGCTATTGTGAACAAAGCTAGACGTGAATATTTGCATACAAATTTTTTTTTGTAAATATACTTTCAGTTCTCCTTAGTATATACCTAGGAGTAACACCATTTCTCCTCAGTCATATGGTAACTCTATATTTAACTTTCTTAAGAACTGCCAAATGTCTTCCAAAATGGCCGTAACATTTTTCATTCTTACCAGCAATGTATGAGGATTCCAATTTCTCCGTGTCATTGACAGTGCTTATTATTCTCCTTGTTTATTATACTCATCCTAGTGAGTATAAAGTGTGTCTCATCTCATTGTGGTTTGATTTGCATTTACCTAAGGACTAATGATGTTGAACATCCTTTCGTGTATGTCTATTTGGAGAAATGTCTATTCAGATCATTTATTTTTGTAGTAACAGCTTCATTGATAAATTTGATTCAAATACCACACAATTCATCCATTTAAAGTGTGCAATTCAATAGTTTTTGGTACATTTTTGTACATTTAGTACATTCTGTATTTAGTACATACAACCACCATCAGTAACAAATTTCAGAATATTTTCGTCACCTCAAAAAGAAATCCCCTGCTCTTTAACTGTAACCCCATCTACCCTGCACTGCCTTTCCCCTAACCCTGAGGAAGTACTTTTCTACTTTCTGTCTCTATAGATTTACCTATCTGGACATTTCATATAAATGATACTCTGTAATATGAGGTCTTTTGTGTCTGGCTTCTTTCACTTAGCATAATGTTTCCAGGGTCATCCATACTGTACTATTATGTATCAGGACTTTATTTCCTTTTATGGCTGTATAATATTTCATTGTATGGATATACCACAGTTTGTTTATTCATCTGTTGATAGACATTTAGATTGTTTCCACCTTTTGACTGTTAGGAATATTGCAGCTATGAATAGTCATGTACAATTTTGTGTTTGAACACCTGTTTTTCAGTTACACATCTAGAGTAGAATTCCGGAGTCATACGGTAATTCTGCTTTTAACCTTTTAAGGAACTGCCAAACTGTTTTCTACAACCACTGCACCATTTTCTATTTCTCCCAGTAATGAGTGAGGGTTTTTATTTCTTTACACTCTCATGGTATTTCACTGTACTTTTTTTTTTTTTTTTTTTTGAGACAGGGTCTTGCTCTGTCACCCAGGTTGGAGTGCAGTGGCACAAGCACAACTCATTGCAGCCTCAAACTTAGGCTCAAACGATCCTCCCACCTGAGCTTCCTTAGTAGCAGGGACTACAGGCACATGCCACCATGCTCGGCTAAGTTTTTTTTCATTTCTGGGAGAGACAAGGTGTCACTGTGTTGCCCAGGCTGGTCTTCGAACTCCTGAGCTCAAGCGAGCCTCCCATCCCAGCCTTCCAAAGTGCTGAAATTACAGGTGGGAGCCACCACACCCAGCCTCAGTGTACTTTTGATTTGCATTTCTCTAATGATTAAGAATGTTGGGGATTTTTTCATGTGTTTGTTGGCCATTCGTGTAACTTCTTTGGATAAATGTCTATTCAAGTCCTTTGCTCATTTTTTATTTTATTTTCTTATTTTTTAGAGACATTATTGCTCAATCACCCAGGCTGGAATGCAGTGGCACAATCATAGCTCACTGTAACCTTGAACTCCTGGGCTTAAGTGATCCTCCTGCCTCAGCCCTCTGAGTAGCTAGGATTACAGGCACACACCACCCTGCCCAGCTAATTTAAAAAAAAAAAGTTTATTTTATTTTATTTTTTTAGAGATGGGGTCTCACTAAGTTGCTCAGACTGGTCTCAAGCTCCTAGCCTCAGGCAATCCTCTTACCTTGGCCCTAAAAAGTGTTGGGATTACAGGTGTGACCTACTGTGCCTGCCCACCCCATTTATTTTTATTTCTTTTTTTTTTCTAATCCCATGACAGATTACCCATTTTTAAATTGGGTTTACTTTATTGTTGAATTGTAGGAGTCCTTGATTGAATATCAATTCTTAATACTAGACTCTTACCGAATACATGATTTGAAAATATTTTTTCCCATTCTGTGGATTGTCTTTTCACTTTCTTAGTGATCAGCCTTTTGATGCATAAAAATTCTTTGTTTTGACGAAGTCTAATTTATCTACTTTTCTTAGGTTGTCTGTGCTTTTAGTGTTTTATATAAGAAACCATTGTGAAATTCAAGATCATAATGATTAACAGTTGCATAGCTTTGGCTAGAACTTCCAGTATAGGAAACATATTTAGATCTTCTGTCTATTTTCAGTTAATTTTTTCAGCTGGGCATGGTGGCTTATGCCTGTAATCCAGGCTGATGTGGGAGTATTGCTTGAGCCCAGGAGTTCGAGACCACCCTGGCTAACACAGTGAAACCCTGTCTCTACTCAAAATACAAAAAATTAGCCGGGTGCCTGTAGTCCCAGCTACTCGGGAGGCTAAGGCAGGAGAATGGCGTGAACCTGGGAGGCGGAGCTTGCAGTGAGCCGAGATCACGCCACTGCACTCCAGCCTGGGCGACGGAGCGAGACTCCATCTCAAAAAATAATAATAATAATAATAATGCAGAAAAAAACCTATTAGATCTAATAAACTCAGCACAGTTGCAGAATACAAGATAAATACACAAAAATCAGTTGTATTTCTATACACTAGCAGTGAACAGTTTGAAAACAAAATTAACAACTATGTTACAACAGCATAAAAGATTTAAAAACCTAGGAAACAATTTAACCAAGGAGGCAAAAGACTTGTACACTGAAAACTACAAAACACCACTGACCTCATGATCCACCCACCTCGGCCTCCCAAAGTGCTGGGATTACAGGCAGGAGCCACTGCGTCTGGCCCTTTTTTTTTTTTTTTTTTTTTTAAAGACGGAGTCTTGCTCTTGTCACCCAGGCTGGAATGCAATGGCGCGATTTTGGTTCACTGCAGCCTCTGCCTCCTGGGTTCAAGCGATTCTCCTGCCTCACCCTCCTGAGTAGCTGGGATTACAGGCACCTGCCACCATGCCCAGCTAATTTTTGTATTTTTAGTAGAGATGGGGTTTTACCATGTTGGCCAGGCTAATCTTGAACTCCTGATCTCAGGTAATCGGCCCGCCTCGGCCTCCCAAAGTGCTGAGATGACAAGTGTGAGCCACCACACCCAGCTGGTTTTTTCTGCATTCTATAAGATTTTCTATATACATGATTATGGCATCTGTGAATAGCGATAGTTTTACTTCCTTATTTCCAGTTGGGAAGTTTTTATTTCTTTTTCTTACCTGATTGCTTTGGCTAGAACTTCCAGTACAGTGTTGAACAGAAGAGACAAAAACTGACATTCTTATTTTATTCCTGAAAGGGATAAAGGGAAAGCTTTCAGTCTTTCACCATTGAGTGTTGTGTGTATGTTTTTCATATATGCCCTTTACCATACTGTGGAAATTCCATTCTATTCTGTTTGTTTTTATCATGAAAAAGTGTTGCATTTTTGTTATATGCTTTTTCTGCATCAGTTGAGATGCTCATCAATTGAGATTTTTTCCTTCTTTCTGTTAATATGGTGTGGTTTTCTGATGTTGAACCACTCTTGTGAACTTCTAGAACAAATCCTACTTGGTCATGTTATATAAGCTTTTTAATATTCTTCTCGATGCAGTTTGATAACATTTTTTTTAGGACTTTTGTATATATATTCATCAGGGATATTGGTCTGTAGGTTTCTCCAACTCCTGGCCTTAAGCAGTACTTCTACCTCAGCCTCCCAAATTGCTGGGGATTATAGCTGTGAGCCACCATGCCTGGCTGGTTTGTAATTTTCTTACAATGTCTTTATTTGACTTTGGTGACAGGGCAATAGTGTTGGCCTCATAGCATGATTTAGGAAGTGTTCCTTCTTCTGCTGTGTTTTGGAAGAGATTGAGAAGGATTATTGTTAATTCTTTAAATATTTGGTAGAATTCACCAGTGAAGCTATGGTCCTGGGCTTTTCTTTGTTGGAAAGTTTTTGATTACTGATTCAATCTCTTTACTTGTTGTAAGTCTATTCAGATTTTCCATTTCGTCTTAAGTCAGTTTTGGTAATTTGTTTTCAGGAATGTTTGCATTTCACCTAGGTGATTTAATTTACTGGAGTAAATTGCTCATAGTATTTTCTTCAAATCCTTTTTATTTGTTTTTTACTGAGAGGTTTCACCCTTTTTAATTTCTGATATTAGTTGAATCTTTTCTTCCTCATAAGTCTAGCTAAATATTTGTCAATCTTGTTGATCTTTCAGTGGACTAACTTTTGGATTTAAGTTTTTCTTAAGTTCTTTGTTTTTCTAGTTCCTTAAGGTGTAAAGTTAGGTTATTGATTTTAAGATCTTATTTTTAAATGTAGGGATTTACAGCTATAAATTTTATTCTGAGCGTTGCTTTTGCTGCATTTCAAATATTTTGGTATTTTTTTCATTCATCTCAAATTATTTTCTAATTTCCCTTGTGATTTCTTCCTTTATTGTTTTTTGAGAATGTTTTATTTAATTTCTGTATTTATGAATTTTCCAGTTTTCCAATTAAGTTATTTATAATTTCATTCATTATGGTAAGAGAAGATATGTGGTATGACTTTAGTCTCTTTAAATGTATTGAGATTTGTTTTGTGGCCTAACACATGCAGTCTAGTAGAGAATGTTTTGTATGTTCTTGAGAAGAAGGTACATGTACATTCTGCAGTTATTAGGTGGAGTGTTCTATATATGTTCATTAGGGCTCATTGGTTTATATTATTGTTTAATTCTATTTCCTTATTGATCTTTTCTCTGGTTGTTCTACCCATAATGATGAATGGAAGTGAAATATTTAAATATCAAGTTACTATTATAGAATTGTCTATTTTCCCCCCTCAGTTCTTTACATATTTTGCTTCATATATTTGGGTCTCTGTTGATAGTTCTGTATATGTTTGTAATTGTTATATCTTCTTGATGGATTGAATCTTTTATCAATGTATAATGTGTCTCTTTGTCTTTTGTCCTTTATCTTTTGATTTGAAGTCTATTTGTCTGATATTAGTATAGCAACCACAGCTGTCTTTTGGTTACTATTTGCATTGAATATCTTTTTCTGTCTTTTCAGTTTCAATCTATTCACATCTTTGGATCATAGTGAGGCTTGTAGATAACATACAGATGGATCATTTTAAAAAATTCTTTCTGCCACTCTCTACCATCGTAATTTTACTTTAATCCACTTACATCTAAAGTGATTACTGATAAAGGACTTCTTCCATTGTAGTATTTGTTTTCTGTATGTCTTTTGTCAATTTTGTTCCTCAGTTTCTCCATTACTGTCTTCTTTGTTTAACGTTTTTTTTTTTCATGAGCATACCCCTTGATTTCCTTTGCATTTCCTTCCCTATATGTATTTATTTATTTATTTATTTTTTGAGACCAAGTTTCACTCTTGTTGCCCAGGCTGGAGGGCAGTGGCACAATCTTGGCTCACCGCAACCTCTGCTTCCCGGGTTCAAGCGATTCTCCTGCCTCAGCCTCCCGAGTAGTTGAGATCACAGGCATGCACCACCATGCCCGGCTAATTTTTTTTTTTGTATTTTTAGTAGAGACAGGGTTTCTCCATGTTGGTCAGGCTGGTCTCGAACTCCCGACCTCAGGTAATCTGCCCGCCTCAGCCTCCCAAAGTGCTGGGATTACAGGCATGAGCCACTGCACCCGGCCCCTTCCCTATATTTAAAAATTTATCCCTTAGTGGTTATTTTGGAATCAAATTAGCATCTTATACAGCCTAGTTTGAATTAATACTATATATAGCTTCAATACTCTGCAAAACCTTTGTTCTCCTGTATGTGTGTGTTTCTGCCCCTTTATTTTGTTATTGTCACAAATTACATGTTTATGGGCCAGGCGTGGTGGCTCACGCCTGTAATCCCAGCACTTTGGGAGGCTGAGGTGGGCAGATCACGAGGTCAGGAGATCAAAACCATCCTGGCTAACATGGTGAAACCCCGTCTCTGCTAAAAATACAAAATATTAGCCGGGCGTGGTGGCGGGTGCCTATAGTCCCAGCTACTCGGGAGGCTGAGGCAGGAGAATGGCGTGAACCTGGGAGGCGGAGCTTGCAGTGAGCCGAGATCGTGCCACTGCAGTCCAGCCTGGGCGACAGAGCAAGACTCCATATCAAAACAAAAAAAAAATTGCATATGTACACATTGTGGGCCTATTAAAGTTAATTTGTAATTGTTTTATGTATTTATCGTTTAAATAATAGTGGAATAAAAGAGAAGTTATACCCAAATTGTAAAATACTTACTTTTATGCTTACCTGTTTAATTACCTTTACCAGTAATTTTCTCTATTTTTCTTTATATGGTTTCGAGTTACTGGGTAGTATTCTTTTCTTTCAGCTTGAAGATTCCCTTTAGCATTTTATGTAAGGAATATCTACCTGTAAGAAACTTTCTTGGCTTTTGTTTATCTGAGAATGTCTTAATTTCGCCTTCATTCTTGAAGGTTAGTTTTGTTGAATATAGAATTCTTAGTTGACAGGGTACTTTCTTTCAGTGCTTTTAAATATGTCATCCCATTGCCTTCTGGTCTGCATGGTTTCTAATGAGAAGTTGGCTTTTACTCTTATGAGGATCCTTGTACATGATGAGTCGTTTCTGTCTTGCAACTTTCGAGAATCTCTCTTTGTTTTTGTCTTTTGACAGTTTAATTAATATGTCTGTTGGGGATCTCTTGAGTTTATCCTGTGGAGTTCATTGAGCTTCTTAGATGTGTAGATTCATGTCTTTTATCAAACCTATTGAATTTTCAAGTATTATTTATTCAAATAATCTTTCTATCCCTTTCTCTTCTCCTTATAGAACTCCTGTAATACGTATATTAATATGCTTGATTATGTCCCACAAGTTTCTCAAGCTCTGCTCATTTTTTTCATTATTTTTTCTTTCACCTCCTGATACTGAATAATCTCAGTTAACCTGTCTTTAAGTTCACTGACTATTCTGCCTGCTTGAATCTGCTATTGAAATCCTCTAGTGATTTTTTTATTAAAAAAAAAAAATGGAGACACAGAAGCTGGGCAGCCTCCATGGGGCTTCCACACACTGGGGCTTGCTTCCGGCCCCCAGCGACTCCAAGGGGATGAGTGAATTTAACTGGCAAGGAGCAATCTGCTGTCACCCTGGGCCTCTGGAATCCTGGCAGGAAGAGGCCCCACGACCACCACGGACACTCGAGTTGCAGGGAAAGCTGCTTAGAGAAGTGGTGGGGCAGCAAGCCAGCTGATGTGGAGCCCAGAGGGTTTGGTGCAGGAGCATCTATTGTGGAGCATGGCCAAGGACAGCCATCCCCCTAGGGTCAACTTGCTCCCATAGGAAACTTTAGCCCGAGGAGAACTATCAGACCTGAACTCTGCAGGGCGATCTTGTCCATCAGGTAGGGCTGCTCTGAACTGAGCACCCCTTGGTCTGATGGTCCCCCAGGACCCCAGCCTGGCCATACCTGCTTGCCGGGAAGCCTCTGGCGTCCTTGGAGCCAGCATCCTGGCTTTTGCACTGGCAGACTGTGCCTGACTTGCAGAGAGTTCCTGTAGGGCGGTCCCCACGGCCATGCACCAGCCTGCCCACTCCCTCCCCACACTTCAGCTTCCCCCTGGGGCTACAGCAGTGCCCCACATCGCTTTGCTAGCATGTGTGTGCATGGGCTGGCTTTGTTTCCTTGCCCCACCAGTGCACCTATGTCCATGCACCCTGCCCTGCCACTGCTGCAGCAGGAGGGCATGTCTCTCCCGTGTCCCATCAACTGCCACTGCAGTCACAACCTTGGCAAGCACAGGGCCAGCCAGCACTGTGGCAGGAGTGAAAATAGGCATGGAGAACAGCAGATTCTCCCCCATCACGAGCAACCACCCCTGCCTGCAGTGCACAGAGAAAGCACACAGACCTGTATTACATAACAGTAAAGGGTTCAGTTCAACAAGAAGAACTAACTATCCTAAATATATATGCACCCAATACAGGAGCACCCAGACTCGGAAAGCAAGTTCTTAGAGACCTTCAAATAGACTTATACTCCCACACAGTAATAGTGGGAGACGTCAACAGCCCACTGATAGTATTAGACACATCATCGAAGCAGAAAATCAACAAAGATATTCAGGGCCTGAATTCAGCACTGGGTCAAATGGACCTAATAGACATCTACAGAACTCTCCACCCCAAAATAACAATATACATTCCTCTCATCACTGCATGGCACATACTCTAAAGTTGATTACATAATCGAACATAGAGTATTCCTCAGCAAATGTAGAAGAACTGAAATCAGAACAGCCACTCTCTCAGACTACAGCACAATCAAATTAGAAATCAAAACTAAGAAATTCTCTCAAAACCATACAGTTACATGGAAATTAAATAACCTGCTCCTGAATGGCTTTTGGGTATATAATAAAAATAAGGCAGAAGTCAAGAAGTTACTTGTAGCTAGTGAGAACAAAGATATGACATACCAGAATCCCTGGGACACAGCTAAGGCAGTGTTAAGAGGGAAATTTATAGCACTAAATGCCCACATCAAAAAGTTAGAAAGATCTCAATTTAACAACCTAATATCACAACTAAAAGGACTGGAGAACCAAGAGAAAACCAACCCCAAAACTAACAGAAGATAAGAAAAAAAAAAATTAGAGCTGAACTGAAGGAGATCAAGACACAAAAAAACACTCAAAAAATGAGGCTGGGCATAGTGACTCAATGGCTGTAATCCCAGCAGTTAGGAAGGTGGAGGCAGACGGATCACTTGAGACCAGGTGTTCAAGACCAGCCTGACCAACATGGCAAAACTCCATCTCTACTAAAAATATAAAATTAGCTGGGCGGGGTGGCGCATGCCTGTTATCCCAGGTACTTCAGACGCTGAGGCACAAGAATAGATTGAACCTGGGAGGCGGAGGTTGCAGTGAGCCGAGATTGCAGCACTGCACTCCAACCTGGGAAACGGAGTGAGACCCTGTCTCAAAAAAAAAAAAAAAAAAATCCAAAAAAACCACAAAAGATCAATGAATCCAGGAGTTGCTTTTTTGAAAAAATAATAGACCGCTAGGTAGACTAATGAAGAAAAGAGAGAGGATCTAAATAAACACAATCAGAAACAACAAAGGGGATATTACCACTGACCCCATAGAAATACACATAACTATCAGAGAATATTACCAAACACCTCTATGCACATAAACTAGAAAATCTAGAAGAAATTAATAAATTCCTGGACACACACACTCTCCCAAGGCAGCCAGGAAGAAATTGAAACCTGAACAGACCAATAATGAGCTCCAAAATTGAATCAGTAGTAAACAGCCTACCAAACAAAAAAAGCCCAGGATTAGATGGATTCACAGTTGAATTCTACCCAATGTGCAAAGAAGTGCTGGTACCATTACTGCTGAAACTATTTCAAAAAATTGAGGAGGAGGGACTCCTCCATAACTCATTCTGTGAAGCCAGCATCATCCTGATACGAACACCTGGCAATGACACAACAAAGAAAGAAAACTTCAGGCCAGTATTCTTGATGAACATCAATGCAAAAGTCCTCAACAAAATACGGGCAAACTGAATCCAGCAGCACATCAGTCCACCACAATCAAATAGCTATACCCCTGGGATGCAAGGTTGGTTCAGCATATGAAAATCAATAAATGTGATTCATCACATAAACAGAAATAAAGACAAAAACCACATTATTATCTCAATAGATGCAGAAAAGGCTTTTGACAAAATTCAACACTGCTTCGGGTTAAAAACTCTCAATAAAAGAAGTATTCAAGGAACATACCTCAAAATAATAAAAGCCATCTCTGACAAACCCACAGCCAACATCATACTGAATGGGCAAAAGCTGGAAGCATTCCCCTTGAGAACTGGCACAAGACAAGGATGCCCTCTCTCACCACTCCTATTCAACATAGTATTGGAAGGCCTAGCCAGAGCAATCAGGCTGGAGAAAGAAATAAGGGGCATCCAAATAGGAAAAGAGGAAGTCAAATTATCTCTGTTTCCAGACGACATGATTCTATATCTAGAAAACCCCATAGTCTCAGCCTAAAAGCTCATTAAGCTGATAAACAACTTCAGCAAAGTCTAAGGATACAAAATCAGTGTACAAAAATCACTAGCATTCCTATACACCAACAATAGTCAAGCTGAGAGCCAAATCAGGAACGCAGTCCTATTCACAATTGCCATAAAAAGAATAAAATACCTAGGATTTTCTTGGTTTCCAGGGAAGTGAAGGATCTCTACAAGGATAACTACAAAACACTGCTTAAAGAAATCAGAGATGACACAGACTAATGGAAAAACATTCCATGCCCATGGATAGAATCAATATTGGCTGGGTGCAGTGGCTCACTCCTGTAATCCCAGCACTTTGGGAGGCCGAGGCGGGTGGATCACGAGGTCAGGAGATCGAGATCATCCTGGCTAACACAGTGAAACCCCGTCTCTACTAAAAAAAAAAAAAACAGCCGGGTGTGGTGGCAGGTGCCTGTAATCCCAGCTACTCGGGAGGCTGAGGCAGGAGAATGGAGTGAACCTGGGAGGTGGAGCTTGCAGCAAGCCGAGATCGCGCCACTGCACCCCAGCCTGGGTGAACCTAGGGAGACTCCATCTCAAAAAAAAAAAAAAAAAAAAGTGACAATCAATATCATTAAAATGGCCATATTGCCCAAAGCAATTTATAGATTCAATGCTATTTCTGTTAAACTACTGATAACATTCTTCACCGAACTAGAAGAAACTATTTAAAAATTCATATGGAACCAAAAAAAAGCCCAAATAGCCAAGGCAATCCTAAGGAAAAAGAAGTAGCTGGAGGCATTATGCTATCTGACTTCAAACTGTACTCCAGGGCTACAGTAACCAAAACTGCATGTTGCTGGTATAAAAACAGACACATAGACCAATGGAACAGAATAGAGAGCCCAGAAATAGTGCCACACACCTACAACTATCTGATCTTTGACAAAGCTGACAGAAACAAGCAATGGAGAAAGGCTTCCCTATTCAATAAATGGTGCTGGCAGACTGGATTTTTAAAATGTGGTATGTACACACCTTGAAATACTGTGCAGCCATAAAAAAGAATGAAATAGAATGAAATTGTGTCCTTTGCAGAAATATGGGTGGAGCTGGAGGCCATTATCCTTAGCAAACTAACACAGGAACAGAAAACCAAATACTGCGTAAAGTGGGAGCTAAATGATGAGAACACGTGGACACATAGAGGTGAAAAACAGACAGTGGAGCCTGTTAGAAAATAGAGCACAGGAGGAGGGAGAGGAGCACAAAAAATAACTAATGGGTACTAGGCTTAATACCTGGCTGACAGAATAATCTGTACAACAAATTCCAATGATACAAGTTTACCTGTATAACAAACCTGCACATGTACCTCTGAAGTTAAAAAAAAATTATACTTTTCGGCTTCAAAGTTAATTCCTTTTTATAATTTTTCTTAATATTCTATATTTGTTGGTACATTGTTTTCTTGGTTTCCTTTACTTCTTTGTCCACAGCTTCCTTTAACTTTTTAAAATATTGATGCACTATAGATGTACTTTGTTTCAGGGTACATGTGACAATACGTTAAGCACTTGGGCACTTAGGTCAGTTCCATATTTTGACTGTAGTGAGTAGAGCTGCAATGAGAATGAGAGGCAGATGTCTTTTTGATATATTGATTTTCTTTCTTTTGGATGTTTACCCATTAGTGGAATTGCTGAACCATATGGTCATTCTCTTTTTAGTTTTTGAGGAACCTCCATACTGTTCTTTAAAGTTGCTGTACTAATTTACATTCCCACCAGCAGCGTAAGAGGGTTACCCTTTCTATGGGTCCTCACCAGCATCTGTTATTGCCTATCTTTTTTATTAAAAAACCATTTTAACTGGAGCGAGATGATGTCTCATCATAGTTTGGATTTACATTTCCCTGATGATTTTGAGCATTTTTTCATATACCTTCCCCTACATGAATTTGTTGCACTTCTTTCCTAAGCCCTTTCTTTGAAAATCCTGCCTGTACCTGTACAGGTCCTACATGATGTGAATTTATCTTTTTCTTCCTAGTGCTGTGTTAAATGAGAATAATGTGCCCCTCCCCAAAGAGTCTCTTGAGACTCTGATGCTTATCACACCTGCCGACAGTGGTTCTGTTCTAAAGGTAAGAATACTTTTACTTCTTAAAATTTTTGCCAAAGACAGTTTTGAATTGAATCTTGCAGTATAACCAAGGGCATCTAGTGATTACTGAGTGACACTGGGACTTAAGATGTGAGAAGAGCAGCCGAGCACAGGGGCTCACACCTATAATTCCAGCACTTTGGGAGGCCGAGGCATGTGGACCACTTGAGCTCAGGAGTTCAAGACCAGCCTGGGCAACATGGCAAAACCTGTCTCTACCAATAATACAAAAAATAAGCTGGGCATGGTGGCATGTGCCTATGGTCCCAGCTTCTCAGGAGGCTGAGACAGAAGGATTGCTTGAGCCTGGGAGGTGGAGATTGCAGTGAACTGAGATCACACTACTGCACTCCAGCCTGAGTAATACAGTGAGACTGTCTCAAAAAAAAAAAAAAAAATGTGATAAAAGCATTGAGCCACAGTTCTCTAGGGAGAATCCTGTTGCCACACTACTCACAAGAGGATCTTAGGGTTTCTTCTCCAGTTTGTATGTACTTTGTTTATATTTTGGGGGTGGTTTTGAATGTTGGCTATGCTTTCACTCATTTCCTTTTAAGATACAGTGTTGCATGCAAATAGGGACTAAGTGCTTCTTAGATGAAAGAATTAAGGGATCTTTTTGAATTAGTAGTTTCATTTACTCTAGGGCATGGGTCCCCAATTCCTGTGCTTCGGACCGGTACTGGTCCATGGCCTGTTAGGAACTGGGCCACACAGCAGGAGGTGAGCTGCAGACAACCATTGTCGCCTGAGTTCCACCTCCTCTCAGATCAGCTGTGGTGTTAGATTCTCATAGGAGTGCAAACCCTACTGTGAACTGTGCACACGAGGGATCTAGGTTGCTCACTCCTTATAAGGATCTAATGCCTGATGATTTGAGGTGGAACAGTTTCATCTCAAAACCATACCCCACCCCCAAACCTGGTCCTTGGAAAAATTGTCTTCCACAAAACTGGTCCTTGGTGCCAAAAAGGTTGGGGACTGCTGCTCTAGGGAATGTAAGCTGTGTGAGAGACACCTGTTTTGTTCATTGCTGTATCCCTCAGGCTGGTCTCAAACTCCTGCCTTCAAGCAATTCTACTACCTTGGCCTCGCAAAGTGCTGGGATTATAGGCAGCCTAAGTGTCTCCAATAGTACCTGGTACATAATAGGCATGAAATATTTGTTGATTGACACAAACTTTTTGAAATAACAGGGACCTATCACTATCACTAATTGCACTGCAGCATAACCAGCTCATCCCAACTTCTGCCTTTTCTGTATCCACTCGCTAAACCCTTAACAATTCAGAAATCATAGAAACCCAGTTTATTGCCAATGAATGTTTTAATTTGCAAGTTAAATTAAAAATTGCCCTTGCATGAACACTTACCATTTGTCTTTTTTATTGCATAATGTACATCTGTTGTAATTTGCCAAATACCTCACAAAAAGGAAAAATTAAAGATCACTTGTATTCTCACTACTCAATGAAAGTGTATAGTTGGTATTTAGGTATATAAGTATCTTTCAGATTTTTAGGGTTAAAGAAAAAACCCAACCTAAAATATCTTCAATCAGGCATTTCTTTTCTGCTGATGAAAATCTGAAAAGATACATTGACTAATCATTGGAAATCATTAAGCAGAACCTGAGATGTTTTTGAAGCAGAGAAGGACATTTAGTTCAAAGATTTATTGCATATATAGTATGTACCAGACAACTTGTTAAGCATTAAAGATTCAAAAATGAATGAATGAAACATGGTCTCAGCTTAACTGCATATAGTCTAGTGGGAGAGAGAATCGTAATACATTGTGGTAGACTTGCACAAGCTGTTATGGTGCACTTAGTCCAGGCAGCAGGGTGGGAAGATGCGAGAGGAGAGAACAGTTTTTCATGTTTTTGTGATTTAAATTAAGTTGCACGTTGAAATATGAATAGGAGATTCTCCAAGACCTGAAGGCATATAAGCAGAAATGGAAATGTGTAAATGGGTGGCTAAGTGTGGTGGCTCATGCCTATAAGCCAGCACTTTGGGCCAAGGCGGTAAGATGGTTTGAGGCCAGGAGTTTGAGATGAGACTGGGCAACATAGGGAGACCCCGTCTCTACAAAAAATTTTTTAAAAATTAGCCAGGCATAGTTTGGCATGCCTGTAGTCCTATCTTCTTGGGCAGCTGATGTGGGAGGATAGTGTAAGCCCAGGAAATTCAGGCTGCAGTGAGCTATGATTGTACCATTACACTCCAGCCTGGGTGACAGAGCAAGACCGTGTCCCTCTGCCCCCCCCCCCCCCAAAAAAAGAAAGAAATGTATGAATGAAGGGCTCTTTTTTGTTGTGTGCTATGCCCTAGGTTCCTATTGTTTATTGCCAGATTGGCATTTTATCTTTTGTTGTTTTAAAATTCTCCCAGACCCCCTCCCTCACAGTAGAGAATTGTGTCCTTTATAAGGTACTTCAAATACTGGTTAAACAAAAAGTATTAACATTTATAGGGAGAGAGTTCATATTGTATTATTTTACAAACAGAAGCACCCATAAGTCTAGATAAAGGAGCATTTGGAATTTAGGCACCTCCTTTATCCAGTATCTCCTGTGCTGAACCTGTTACTGGTTTTTTTTTTTTTTTTTTAAGTTCAAAGTATGATATTACCATACAGAGTAGTACCATTCTCATCTAGTCTAAAAGTTAAAAGGCTGGGCACAGTGGCTCACACCTGTAATCCCGGTGCTTTGGGAGGCCAGGGTAGGAGGATCACTTGAACCCAGGAGTTCAAGACCGGCCTGGGCAACATAAGTGAGACCCTGTCTCTATAAAAAAAAAATTGGCTGGGCATGGTGGTGCACACCTGTAGTCCCAGCTACTTGGGAGGCTGAGGTGGGAGGATTGCTTGGGCCCAGCATTTTGGGGCTGCGGTGAGTTATGCTTGTGCCAGTGCACTTCAGCCTGGACAGGGCAAGATCTTGTCTCAAAACAACTTTTTTTTATTTTTTTGTATTTACTTTTTTTTTTTTTTTTTTTTGAGATGGAGTCTTGCTCTGTCGCCCAGGCTGGAGTGCAGTGGCGCGATCTCGGCTCACTGCAACCTCCACCTCCCGGGTTCATGCCATTCTCCTGCCTCAGCCTCTCGAGTAGCTGGGACTATAGGTGCCCGCAACCACGCCCAGCTAATTTTGTGTATTTTTAGTAGAGACGGAGTTTCACCGTGTTAGCCAGGAGTGCCCGGCTGTATTTACTTTTTTAAAATTTGTTTTGAGGCAGAATCTCACTCTGTCATCCAGGCTGGAGTACGGTGGTGTAATCTTGGCTCACTGCAGCCTCTGTCTCCTGGGCTCAAGTGATCTTCCCACCTCAGCCTCCTGAGTAGCTGGGACTACAGCTGAGTGCTACTGTGCCCAGCTTAGCTCAGTTTTTGTAAAGATGAGGTCTCACTATATTGCCCAGGCTGGTCTCAAACTCCTGGGCTCAAGGGATCCTCCCGCCTTGGCCTCTCAGAGCGCTAGGATTACAGGTGTGAGCCACTGCATCCAGCCAAAATAATTTTTTTGTAATTAAAAAGAAAAAGTTAAGAGCCAGAATAGTCATAACCCTACCCAAGTTTTGTCTTACCAAAGGAGAATAGCTATTTGAAAATTTACATAGCACTTCAGCTTTTTCACATCCTGATTGTAGTATAGGTTTCCCTCCATGCAGAAGTGGAATCATTAACAACCATGATTTATGAGTGTCCCTGTGTATTTAAAGGATTAACACTAATCAGGCCTGTGTCAGAATTATAAATTGAGAGGATATGGAAAAAACTTAACATCTGATGATAAAGGGGTCATTTAACAATTCTAGATTCCTGTCTTCCATAGGAAGCTACAGATGAATTGGATGCCTTGCTTGCATCTCTAACTGAGAATCTAATTGATCACACAGTTGCACCTCAGGTAAATATGCTTTAAAATAGTATGATGGAAAGAAATTTCTGTTTTGAAAAATGTTCCTGCTAGATTCCAGTTTTTTCCTTTTTAATAATTCAGTTAAACTTTTCATTTGATAAGAGTTTATGTTTTAATAACCACTTAGCATTGCCTCTCTGTCCTAAAATTTTACCACTTTGAATTTGTGTATCACTGTCTACAAATCACATGTCTCTATAAGCCTTTTATAATTCAACATCATATTAAATGAGAGAAAACATGGGGATAAAGCAGTTTCTTGAGACAATAAGGATATATTTAATTTTTTAAAAAGTTTTATAGAAAGATGAGAGCGTAAGAATGGCATTGAACATATCAATCATTATTACAGTCTGGAAGATACTGTATTAAGTATAGTTGTCCCTCAGTATCTGTGGGGGATTGGTTCCAGGACTCCCCTTGGATACCAAAATCCATGCATGCTTAAATCTCATATAAAATGGTGTAGTGTTTGCATATAACCTACACATATCCTCTAGTATATTTTAAATAATCTAGCTTACCTCTAATATCTAATGCAGTGTAAATGCTGGTAAACAGTTGTTATATTGTATTGTTTAGGAAATAATGACAAGAATAAAAGCCTGCACATGTTCAGTACAGACACAACCATCCTTTTTTTCCCTCCAAATATTTTCGATTTACAGTTGTTGAATCCACAGATGCACAACTCATGGATATGGAGGGCCAACTGAAACAGTTCCTTCCCTCCAGGGATGAGAGAGATAGAAATGACTAACTTTGCTGGACACGGTGGCTCACGCCTGTAATCCCAGCACTTTGGGAGGCCGAGGTGGGCAGATCACTTGAGGTCAGGAGTTCAAGACCAGCCTGGCCAACATGGTGAAACCCTGTCTCTACTGAAAATACAAAAATTAGCCGGGGGTGGTGGTGCACACCTGTAGCGCCAGCTACTCGGGAGGCTGAGGCAAGACAATTGCTGGAACCTGGGAGATGGAGCGTGCAGTGAGCCGAGATAGCACCATTGCACTCCAGTCTGGGCGACACAGTGAGACTCCGTCTCAAAAAAAAAAAAAAAAAAAAAAAAAAACAGAAATGACTAACTTTGTACCTTATGAGTGATATGACGAGAATTGCTGTAGGGGCTAGATGCCATCCTGAAGGCTTGGAAATACACATGATACTGAATGTTTGCATAGATCATTAATTCTCAAATTTTTGTGTATATCAGAATCCCTTGGAGGGGACGTTAACACACAAGATTGCTGGGCCCCACCTCCAAGTTTCTAATTTTGGTATATCTTGGGTGGGGTCTGAAAAGTTGTGTTTCTAACATGTTCCCAGGTGGTGCAGATGTGGTCTGGGAACCACCCGTTGGGAATGACCAGCTTAGATTAATAAACAAAGACTTTACCAAGGATAAGAATTAACTGCAAGTGTGGAAAAGTCTGTCAAACTATTTTTTGTTTACTATTATTTATGATATTTTTTCTCTCTTATTTCCTGCTGTTAACATGCATCTAAAAAGTATTGGTAGGAAAGTCAGATTTTGTGGGTTTTTTTTTTTTGAGATGGAGTCTTGCTTTTTTGCCAGGAGTAGCGTGATCTCAGCTCACTGCAACCTCCGCCTCCAAGCGATTCTCCTGCCTTGGCCTCCCGAGTAGCTGGGAGTACAGGCGCATGCCACCATGCCCAGCTAATTTTTGTATTTTTAGTAGAGGCAGGGTTTCACCATGTTGGCCAGGATGGTCTTGATCTCTTGACCTCATGATCTGCCCACCTCGCCCTCTCAAAATGCTGGGGTTACAGGCGTGCGCCACTGCGCCCAGCCTGTGTTTTTATTCTTTTGGTGGTTATCTAATTTACTAATACCTGGACTTACATTAGTTTTTTCTTATGAGTATGTAAGGCCACCAATGCAAGGACTAGTCTAAATTACTAGTAAAATGGGTGGGTTTCCTTAGTTTATAATTCTACACATAGATGACCTATAATAGAAAGTTAAACATATAAAAATAATGTATCAAAGGCCCTGTGAACCAGGAGCAATATGGGTGTTTTTATTGCGCTTTCTTCATGCATACATGATAATTAGAGAATGATCTGTATCTAAACAGATTATTTTTCTGTGTACTTTCTTGTTGCTCTTTATTTGGATTAGTCACAATCCATTGTTCAGGCTGCTACCAAGAAGGCTATCATTATTTGTAATTAATTAACTGAAATTTCAGAAAATAAAATGTTAAACTGAATACTGGGTGTGAGGTAGGGGCAGTCCTATTAAGTGAACTGAAAGTAGTAATAGATTCTTGAATGGTAAATTTTTAGATAAGAGATTCTCAAAATTATGACACTTTCTTAAGTGGTGAGGGATAGCATCTGTGTTGTATAACAGAAAAGGGTCTTGGATTTAGAAGTCCATGTCAGCTCAAGGAACACCATTAAGAATTAAGAATTGCCCTCCTAGAATGGATTTCATAATAGATGTAAGTAAGTATTATAAGTATGAAAATAAGTCAGTCTTTCCAAAAAGTAAATACATACATATAAAATTATTTCAGGTGTCTTCCACATCCATGATCACACCCCGGTGGATTGTTCCGGTAAGTTCATGTTATTTGTGATTTTTCTTCT
The DNA here is from genome assembly GCF_000001405.40 of Homo sapiens. Classification (NCBI taxonomy): domain Eukaryota; kingdom Metazoa; phylum Chordata; class Mammalia; order Primates; family Hominidae; genus Homo; species Homo sapiens. The sequence goes on from NC_000002.12 coordinate 120,167,539, forward strand.
GGCTACCCTTTCAGGGTAAGGCCTAAAGGATTACTAGGTTCTTTGTTTTTCCTTAAAAACATGAGGGTTGTTATCAAAGCCTTGTTAACTGAACTTAACTTAATGGCTTCAAGCTAGTGGCTTACCCTTTCTGGTTGTAAATGTTTGTCAGGATGCTGGCAGAAACAAAAGTAAAAGTCTCAGATGAAGAATAGTTAAGAAAAACAAAACAAACAGTCATAATTATCAAAACCATCTTCGTTAATCTCATAGTCATTAGTGAAGCTTGATTTGGAGCTGAAGTGCTGACCAGGCAGGTATTGTTACCCTGTATTTAGTTGTGTGTGTATCTCCCACAGCAGAGTGGTGCCATGTCTAATGGACTTGCGGGATGTGAAATGCTTTTGACAGGGAAGGAGGGACATGGTAATAAAGATGGAATCTCACTGATCTCTCCCCCAGCGCCATTCTTGGTAGATGCTGTGACCAGGTGAGAAAATTATTTCTCATTTGCAGTTCTTAGGCATCTGTTAGGAAGAAAAAAATAATAAAACTTATTATCTCTAAAGCAGCAATGTCAATTCTTCCCTAACTGAACTATATTGAAATGGGGCAAATCTTTTTTCTGTTTGTTATTTAGTGTAGTGGCTTTTTCTTGTCAGTAGCAATTTTCTACAAAACTGTATTAGCGTTTCTTTATCAAGTCTTTGCTAAAGATGTTAACAGGCTTATCTTTGTAATAGTTGTTTTAAAGTCAATTTGTATTGTTTCCCTTTACGCTTTACTATTTATTATGATTATGCCTACTGTAATAGTGATGAATGATGGTGCCCGTCAACACAGGTGAAGAGGTGCAGTATAAGTGGGTAAGTTAGGATACTCCTAGGGTGAGAGCCCTGAGATGCCTTTACCAATACATGTTGTGAGCTCATTTCAAGGCGTTGCTTGCTACAGACAGAAACTAGACTCAAAAACTAGAGCTTTTTGTTCAGCATCTGGTTCTTCAACTTTTGATTTGCTAGAACCATAACTGCACCTGTTTTACAAAAGATTTAGAATTGCCTTCACTCCTACCTCAGACCTTTTTTCTGAATATATCCCACATTTCACATATCCTCCTTGAAAATGTGGGTCGGTTGAAATACATGCTTTCCTAATTAGAGAAAGGTAGGATGAATTATTAGAGATCATTAACTTGAAAGAAATTCAGTTTAATTTCAAAATTGTCTCCACAGTGTTCAAAGTAGCATATTACTCAGCAAACAAACACTTATTGAATGTCTGTGATGTACCAGGCATTGACTGATATCTGACACTAAAGATAACAGTGAACAAGACAGATGAGAGACCTACATTTGGGAAGCTTACATCTAGTAAAAGAGTGCTTTATACAAATGTAATGGATTATTTTTCTAAGCATTTGTATGCCTAATAATGATCACTGTAAAAATAGAGCTGCACACAGAGAACCCGACGGTAATGCTTTGTAATTGAATTTACACAATAAAATGTGAGCTCTTAAGGACTTTCACATTAAAAATTACAGATGAAAGCAGAGCTTATCTCTTTCTTCCTAGAACTCATGGAAAGGAGTAATAAAGGGCTTAAAGACATAAAAATTACAAATAAACCAATGGAACAGAATAGAGTCTGGAAACAAACTCATATGTAATACAGTTTTCTGGTTTATGAAAAAAATGATGATGCAATGCTGTAAGGAAAGAATGGTCTTTCTTTTAGTAAATCAGCTGGACAGATTAGTTGTCCCTGTGGGGAAAAAATAATAATCTTGACCCAACTCCATACCATTCACAAAAATCCATTCTGGATGGATTGCAGATCTAAATATGAAACATCAGATAATAAACTTATAGAAGAAAACATGAGTGAACTTACTTGTGACCTTAGAATAGACAAAGATCTTTTAAACAGCTCACAAGGAGCTTTAGTCTTACAGGAAAAAAATCACTTGGATTATATCAAGAAATTTTGTTCATCAAAAAATGTAATTTCAAGATATTATGGAAGGGGAAGCCACAGAATAGGAGAAAACATTTGTTCTCCATCCCTCCTTCTGTCTCTCTCTCCCTCTCTCACCCCCTTCCCTTCTCCTTCCTCCGCAACCTCAGTCTTAACTTTGTATGGCAAAGGACCCACTCATATCTAGAATTTATAAAGAGTTCCTCCAAATAAGTAAGCTAAAGATGATAGCATAATAGAAAAATGGGCAAAAAGCTTGAATAGGCAGTTCACAAACCAATATCCAAATGGCCAGTAAGCATTCTAGACAGTGTGCAACTTGATTAGTCCGTGGGGAATGTAAATTCAAACTACCATGTCACAGTGCTACATTATCACCAGAATGGCTAAAATGAAAGACACATAGTACCAAGTTTTGGTGAAGATATGGGGCAACTGAAACTCTGTAAATTGGAGTAACCACATTGGAAATAGGTTTGGCAACATCTACTAAAGCTGAACATATTCAGTGATTCTATTTTTATATAAATACCCAATGGAACTGTGAATATATGTCCATCAAAAGACATGTACAAGAATTTTTATAGCACCTATATTCATAATAGTCCAAACTGAAAACCTTCCAACTGCACATTAGCAGTTGACTAGATAAATATTAGAAAAGAGCAGTGAAAATTAATAACTACAACTAAAATGTAGCAGTATAGATGAATCACATAAACATAATTGTATTAATTGTCTACTTCTGTGCAACAACTTACCACAAAACTTAGCAGCTTCAAACAATACACACTTATAATCTCATTTTCTGTGGCTCAGGAATCTGGATGTAGCTGAGCTGGGTTCTCTGCTTCAGGGTCTCTCACAGGCTACAGTCAAATATTGGCAAAGGCCAGGTTTTCATCTGAAGGCTCAATGGAAGGAGAGGCACCAGCCAGAGCTCTTGGCAGGATTCAGGATCTGAAGACCTGTTAGACTAAGGAACTCAGTTCCTAGCTGGTGATTGCCAAGAAGCTGCCCTCAGTCCTTACCATGTGGGCCTCTCCAAAGTAGTTCCTTACTTTATTCTAGCATGCAAACTGAGAAAGCAGTAGAGTCTGCTAGCAAGACAGAAGTCACAATCTTGTATAGTCTAATCACAGAAATAACATCCTTTTACCTTTGCTATATTCTGTTGTTGGTTAAAGTAAGTCACAAGTCCTTTCCACACCCAAGGGCTAGAGATTACATAGGAGTGTGAACAGCTGGAGATGGAGATCTTTGGGGTTCATCTTGGAGTTTCTCCACTGTAATAAGGATAAACAAAATCAAGTTCAAACAGGAGCACAACTCTATAATGGTTACCCTTGATGTGCTAGTGAATAGAAGAGAGCCCAAAAGCAGCTTTGGGAGTGCTAGTAGTGTTCCGTTTCATATTCTACATGCTGATTACAGAGGTGTATTCAATTTGCAAAAAGTTGTTCAAGCTGTAAACTCATGCCTTATGTGCTTTAATATATAGATGTTATAGTAATTTTTAAAAATGATGACTGGGTCCCACCCATCTCCACAGATTTAGATTTACTTTGCAGCGTTCTCTGTGTGATACTGTGTTTCAAAGGCATCAAATCATGAGGACAAAGAACAGGAAAGGAGACATCAGCAATTAAGAGACCTCAACAAGTTTTGGGAAGCAGCTAAATGATAAGTGGTAACCAGTTTAGCAGAGTGGAGTAAACTAAAATCTAAGCCTGAATAGGGGAGGGAGTAGAAACAAAATAAAAAGCAAGCCAGTTCACACTGCAGAACCCTGAAAAGGCAACGAAATTGTAGGTACCAGATACTTGTGAAGATGGGGTACAAAGTGGAGCTGAGAATATGGGGATTGGTTGAAAGTATTTATGCCCATTTCACTCATCTGCCATCCCACTACCCTTGCCCATTTTAGCATAATTCTGAAGTTTTCCCTCGGGAGGAGCCAGGCCAGAGAGGCTCTGGATCTTGGAATTTCCATTTGGAGTAAGGCTCTAGACTGAACACGGGAAGACTAACTCAAAGTCCACACACTGAAGGGTGAAATTTCCAACGTTCCTTCTTTTCTCAGTTTCCTGAATGCTGTTAGCTAAGTATAAATGTCTGAGTTGAAAAAGAGGCTTATTCTCTGGAGAAGCCAACCAACCAAAGAGAAAAAGGCCTGCACATACATTTTTGGATCCTCTGATGAAATTGCCAGGAATCTGCCAAATAATCACCAGGGAGCCCATTCGTTGATGAGTTTTGCCCATATATACACAGGTCCCAGACACATTCCAGAGCTTTTCTTTGAAATACAAAGAGAGCTAACGATTGTCAGATATGTGAGGAAAGACCAGAACAGGTAAACTGAAAAACAAGGAAATAAAGGCAATGTGAATTTTGACAAATAGAAGTAGGAAAAAAAGGCAATGTAAATAACAAAAGAAAAGGTCACAAAATCATAGTATCTGAATTTAGAGCGAAGATACTGTATCCATGCAACAATAACAGGAAACTTAAAAAAAAAAAAAGGAAAACAAGCATTTTTAGAAATTATTAACTATATTAAAAATGAAATCCAAAGAGTGTGTAAAAGATAAAATTGAGACAATCTCCCAAAATGTGTAGAATAGAAAGATGAAAACTGGGAGAGAAAAGAAAATTGGAGGATTGGCCTAGGACGTCCTATATATGAATCATAGGAGATCTAGAAAGATTACAGTCAATGGAAGGAGGAAATTGTCAAAGAAAGGAATCAAGCGTTCTCAGAACAGAGGACTTGAGTTTCTAGATTAAAGAGGTCTGTTGAGTACCCAGCACAGAGAATGAAAATAGACTACACCAAGGAGCATCATGAATCTTTAGGAGGTCAAAGTTAAGAGAGGATGTAAGTCTCCAGCAAAGGGGAAAAACGGAGTACGTACAAAGGATTGGTAATCAGAATGGCAGCAGACTTTACTGACAGCTGGAGATATTGGAGCAGTGTGCTTTCTGAATTCTGGAGGGCAATTTCTCACCCAGAGTTTTCCCAAACTATCAGTGAATTCCCAAACTATCAGTGAAGTGTGAGATTAGAATACATTTTTAGACATACAGTTTCCCTAAAATATATACTTTCCATGTAGCCTTCCTCAGGAAGCTACTGGAAGATGTGTTCCATCTAAAGTGGAAGATATGTTCCTCTTTTTTATCCAAAAAAGAAGTCATGGGACCCAGGAGGCAGTAGAGAGGTGCAGGGATTTACCCAGAGAAAGGTGAAGGGAGGTTCCAAGATGGTAGCTGCCCAGTGGGTCTAGAAAGGATCCTGTCCAGATTCAAAAAGGAGGATATAGAGTTGCAGAAAGGATTTTGCCAAGAAAAACACAAACAGGCTCCCCACCCTCCAGTTTTTAAAAAATTATATTACATGTCTGAATGTACTGAGAAGAGATCCATGGTTTACCTGAGAGGTTAGGGATAGATGAGAGATTTGTATAGAAAACTGAGAAGTACTCGGGAGGCTGAGGCAAGGAGATCGCTTAAGACCGGGAGTTCAAGACCAGCTTGGGCAACATACTGAGACTTCGTTTCTAAAAAACAACAACAACAAACCCACTAAGCCATCACGACAACAAAAAAATGAGGCAGTTATTCAGTCCAGGGAAAATAAAAGTTACATAAAACATGAAATATACTGATAGTTGTGAAAATATTTACATAATTACAACAAACACTGAATTTTAACATCATCAAAATTGGTCATATAGCTGTGCTGAAAAGATAAGAAGGCAGGATTGTGGGGCTGGGGAGAGGGTGGAAGAAAGGTAAGCCTTCACAGTCCATAGGAGGAAGTCATTGTATAAACACCTCACCCAGAACAGTCAGAACTTTGGGGGGTCGTGAGGCAGAATCTCTGGAGACAGGTTTGTTTAAACATTGGCTGCTGGGCTCCACCCTCATAGTCTGATTCGGTATATCTGGGGTGGGGTCTAAGAATTTGCATTTCTCCCAAATTCTAGAGACCCCACTTTGAGAACCAGGGACACAGAAAAGTGAAGGAAAATACCAGGAAAAGAATCAGTTGAAAGTGTTTGTCCCTCAAAGTAGGAATAGAGAGTGGTACAGGTGACTCTGTTTCATTTATAAATCTTGTTACCACTTTCAACATTTTAAGTTATGTCCTTTGTATTATGTACTTTGATATCGTTTTACATCTTTAAACTTTTTTTAGAGACAGTGTCTCTCTCCATTACCTGGGCTGGAGTGCAGTGTCATGATCATAGCTGACTGCAACCTCCAATTCCTGGGCTAAAACAACCCTCCTGCCTCAGCTTCCTGAGTAGCTGGGCTACAGGCATATACCACCCTCACCTGGCTATTTTTGTTGTTGTTGTTGTAAATACGTCATCTCACTTTGTTGCCCAGACTGGTCCCGAACTCCTGGTCTCAGTGGATTCTCCCACCTCACTAAGTGCTGGGATTGCAGGCGTGCGCCACCTTACCCAGCGTGTTTTCAGTTTTCATGAAACCAAATCAGATGTCGTTACTTCCTTGCATCTAAACTCACGCAGTTCACTGACAGCAGAAATTCACGAGCCCTCATGCAGAGCCCATGAGGGCTTCTTTTTCACACGGCTCTAACAAAATAGATTAACTGGTAGGAACACAGACACGGCCATGTAGGAATATGTAAAGAAACACAGGGCTGGGTGCAGAGGCTCATGCCTGTAATCGCAGCACTTTGGGAGGCTGAGGAGGGCAGATGGCTTGAGCCCAGAAGTTTGAGACCAGCCTGGGCAACATAGTGAAACCCCATCTCTACAGAAAAATACAAAAATTAGCCAGGCATGTTGGCACAGGCCTATAGTCCCAGCTACTTCTACTTTTGGGAGGCTGAGGTGGAAGGATCATTTGAGCCTGGGATGTTGAAGCTGCATTGAGCCATGATTATGCCACTGCACTCCAGCCTGGGCGACAGAGCAAGACCCCGTCTCACAGAAAAAAAAAAAGGAGCAGCAGCAGCAGAGAACAGCCTGAGTGTGTTGCCCTTGAGCTCAGCACAGCACTGTTCTTGATACTCATACTAACCCTGACTCATTAAGAAATGGTTAAGTGTGTGTTTAACATATTTGCTAAGAAGGGGAAATTGTGCTGTCTTTATATTTTATTTCAAAATGAAATAAGCAGTGTTTATCCAGAAATTTCCCTTCTATGGAATATCTCATTGCCAGGTTAGGTGTTACTACATATTGACTTAGGTCTGTAATCTGCTGTACCCTCAAAATGCTCTGTGTGGCACTAATGGAGACATGAATGTCCTCCTCCAAACCCCAGGGGTTCCCTGAGTAACCCATTCTCTCTTCCTTTCAGCTCTGGTCCCATTTTGGCAGAAGAAGCTGTCCTGAAGCAGAAGTGTTTACTGACCACTGAGCTCTGAGGGCCTGTAGCTGGAATACGCATCTCTCCAGCATTCCGTCCTGGGATCCGTTTCAGCTAGAATATGTTGGATTCAGGAGCTTGTCCATTATTTGTAGGTAAAAAAAGCTGCACGTAGATTTGACTTCAACTCCGTAAAAAAGACAGCTGTATTTTCCGTCCAACTGGAATTGTTGAATCACACTGCATAGCTGCCCAAAAGAGAGTGTTTGGTCTTGAACTTTCTATACTTTTATAAATGTTACAAATTCCCGAAAGAAGGGAATTTCTTTTTCTGGGGTTTCCTTCAAACTCTTGGCTCCACCTAGCGGTTCTATTTGTTCATAACAACTTCATAACAAGCCTGCCTCTGGTAGTCAACAGCCTTTTGAAAGCTATTTCCATCTAGTATCAGGGTGAGAGCATCCTTGATCTGGCTGCCTGTTAGAGAAATTGCACTTTTCCTGACTTACCTAGAAATCAAGAATTTAGGAAATTAATGTGGACACTATAAAGGCAGACTTAGGGCCAACTTTTTTTTTTTTTTACAATTATTACAACACTAAAGAGAAGTTTAGAATATAGAGAGTTTTTAAATGTCTCCCATTCTTTTGATTTCTTACTGTACTGGCTATCTTAATATTTCAAGTTTACATCAAGATAAACCCTGAGAAGAACTACGGAGAAATCAAATAAAATCCTGTCATATTTTTTTCACCCTGCCTTTCCACAGGAAGCACTCACAGGCACCACACACGTATCATGTAACTTATCAGTGGGGTGGGTTACTGTTGAAGAGACCCTGGGGCATTTACCTCAGGCATCTGCACTCCTCCGAGCCCGGTGGAGAATGCAGGCTGCTGTAGTCTCAGGTAATGAAGGCACAGCACAGCAGTACTCCACATTGTTTCCTATTTGGACATAGACTTCATTTCCTTTCAGTATAAGCTGAATAAATTTAGAGCTTTCAAACTGGAAAAAAAAATGAAACAAAACAAATACACCAAGACCAAAATAGGCAATAGGAACAGGGGTGAAGGGATGTTGTTTCTTAAATACCTACCATGTATGAAGCTATACACAGCATATACCGAAAGAACCTGCATTGCACTAGGAATTCTGTGTTAGTTTAAAAGAGATCTCTAAAACTTCCCCATCCCTTTGGGCCTGTACAAAGAAATTCTGGATGTTAAAATAATATATACTCATCACAGAAAAATAAAGTATAGCAATGTCCATCTGTAATTCTAATACCCAGAAATAACGCTATTTAGCTTTATAATTTTCGAATGAACAAGGTAAACCTCGGTTGCCATGGGGAAGAAGGATGATGTGGAAACCATATTGGTAAAGTTGTTAATCCCTCGTTATGGAGAACTGATCTTAAGCTATACCTCCTGGAATTTGCTTTCTAGTTTTCTGTCCTGCAATATGTATATAATTAAGCACTAATTTGTACTGCTTAGCATAAAAGAACATCCAGTCTTAGATCCTTAAAACTTCATGGATTGGACTTTCCTGGGCTCCTTATAACATAATCGTGTGTCCAGGCAAACGCACACTAGTGTCTGACTGGAAAGCTCAGGAATTTTAATCTTGCACTGTTTCCCAGGGAGCTGTAGTGATTGGAACCCACGTTTGCACAAAACATTTTTGCAGAAGGAAAGTCAACACTTCTTGCTGGCTGCCTCCCCTTAGCCATTATGCTAAAAACAGCTTCTGAGTTTCACTGGTGGGGCTCTTGCCAGTTCTTAATTATAGGACATATTTTCTCAAAGCTGAAGGTGACACCTAGAACCAGGGGCTTGACCCAGGACATGATGGAATGAGCATCAAATTTTCAGTGTCTTGGCAACCGTAGATGTCCTACAGGGTTACCGTTGTGCTGCTCACCACAGAGCAGCTGAGGCATTATGCCTTGGAAGACCTAAATCTCCCATCCAGTTCAGGAGGTGACAACATCCTTATTTTAAACTTCCTAAAATTAGGAATTAGGTAGTTGGACATAGTCTGTGACCTTTATGTCGTTGGATACCTGTATTCTTGACAGTTAGAATATTGGTAGGGACTTTGTTAAAATTCACTTGAATTTCAAGCTCAGAGGAAACTTTGTCTCATGCCCTGACATGAAGTGGCAAACACGGAAGTTCATACTTGAATGCTGAATTGGCCCCGACAGATTAAATGCGTGTTGGGGATTGGTTTCCTGTCATAGCTGCTGCTGCTGCCATGCGCAGAGCTGCTGTAACAGCTCTTCCTGTTCTGCTCCCCTGAGAACAGTGTGGTGGGGAGAGGCAGGGCTGAGGTGGTCTACGAATGTGGCAGGTAGGGAAGGGGAGATGTCTGTCTCTTGAGAAGAGAGAGGCATGTGTGCCGGCATCCTTGATGGGTTCAAAGAGAAAGGTTGGAGATGATAGTGGGTGAGAAGCAGGCTGGTGAGACTGGGCTGAGGTTGGAGAAGGGGCAGCCGGGGGCACTGCTGAGGGTTTGCCGTGCACGCCTCGGACGGAGCACGGTGGGGTGGCGGGGAGCAGATAGTGCTGCCTCCCTGCGGGCAGACAGGAGAGGAACCTCAACTCAGTCCATTTCATAGCCCTGATAGGGGAAGTGGGAGTTGACAGGATGGTTTAAAATAAGACGTGAAGGTTTCAGTTACCTGCTCTAGACTTTGCCTGAGAACTTGTAAATTAATCAGTGAGACCTAATTTGTGACATGTCAGTAGCATCATCTTTTGACACACAGGAGGTCATGGTCATTTCATTCCTACTCTTCAGGAGACACTGCTGAACAGAGGAATGATTCTGTTCCTTGTGTGCTTACTTCCTTAACATTTATACATTGTTTTAAGAAAAAACTTTTAAAAATATTTCTTATAGTCTCCTAACATTTGTCTCTAGCCTTTGCCTTTGTACAATCACAGATATCCTATGGAGATTTAAGGATGAAAGCCCTGAGTTGTTCTTGGGTTCTTGGATCTGGACTACTTGTTATCTTATGCTTCTCACTTCTGGCTAAAACTTGCACCTCTTCTTCTCTTAGCTAAGCCCCAAAATGAAGATTTCCTTCAGAAGTCTTGTTAGCAGAATTATTTATCAGTCACAGAGAGAAAAATCTGCTATTTTTCTAAGTAAGAGTCTCGAGAAGCAGAGTTTTTGTCTTGTCATTGAGAGGAGTCAGCAGTCTTGTTCTGTAAAGGACCAGAGATGGTAAATACTGTCCCACTCAGCTCTGCTGGCGCAGTACAGCAGCAGCAGCCCCAGCACAGCTGTGTTCCTGCGGAGTCCCCTTTACAAAGCCGCTGACCCCTGATGTGAAACTTTGTAGAGCAGCAGAGTGGCTGCGTGAAACGGGAGGCTGGCAGGTCCTCAGATAGGTTCTGCAGTGTTACCTGTCACTTGGAGGCAGCCAACACTTCTGGACATTGCATCCTTATTCACACATGTGGCAGCTGAACGAGGTGCTGTTGTGGGTGTCTCAGCTCTGAGGGTCTTTGTGAGCTCCCACTGTTGTGGGTGTCTCAGCTCTGAGGGTCTTTGTGAGCTCCCACTGTTGTGGGTGTCTCAGCTCTGAGGGTCTTTGTGAGTTCCCACCAACTTTTAATTATTCATGCCCTTGACCATGTGGTTGCTTGGAGACCTGGGGTCTTCTGCAGACTGAAGAAGACACATTTCTAGATTATTTGTCCTTTTTATCCTCTCAAAAATTTAAACACTGTACCTCTTCAGTGGTCAGAAGAAAGTTGGAAACTTTTCCTACATATTAGGCGTTAGTATGAGGACATTTGTTTGAATTATAGAAATTTGCCCTGAGCTGAACTGGGTTGTGTTAACACATTGGTAGAGCTATGATTCCTTCCCAGTTCTAAGAGATACGATCTGTAAGTCCCTATGTCACCACATTGCTTGAGATGATCATTCAGTTACTTGTCAGGATTTCTCCTCTTCAGAGAGATTTTTTTTTATAGCACAGATTCCTTTGCCCCTTTTATCTCCTTATCTGGATATGATAAGTGGTTATGAGGGTCTCACTAACTATTTTGTGTTTACCTTTTATATGTGTAAAACTTTGCAGTAGCATTTAAAGTGTAATTTATTTTTCTATCAAGTGCACTATTCATTTAGTGTGTTCCAGTTTTATATGACTTGTATTAGAAACACTGCACTGAGTTGTTTGTACACTGAAATGAGAACTCTAGATGTAACTCTATTCAAATAAACCTTCGTGAGACATTCATGTTTTTGTGCACTGTTTCTGTTTCTTGGAACTGTGATTCCTACATGCTGACCTCAACAGAGTTAGACCAGATCCACTGTTGGTACAAACCTGAGGAAGTGAGCAGAAGCAGCCGCACTGTTTTTAGGTTGATTTCCATGTTTTTGTGGTGTAAATTTGGGAGTAGGGGCATTTTCAAAGGTTGAAAACCTCATTGGTCATCCCCAGCATATCCTGGAAGGCACGGTGGTCATTCCAAGGACAGCATGGTGCAGTATCACCACAGCTTTGGACATCGGATCTGGGCTCTACTGCTTAATACCTCAGGTTTTTTGTCTGAAATGGCACATGAAGTGTGTGTCACAGCGTGTGGTAGAGTATGCAGGTGTTGACTTCTCCTTCTCTTGGCGCCCACCAGTCCCCAGCCTTCTCTGGGTTTGCACTGCACCATCCAGCGAGGAACAGTGCCACCTGGGTTGGTTTCAGGACTTCTGCTGGGCAGAGTCATACTGCACCATATGGGTGTTGGCAAAGCTGAGAAAAGTTGGAAGTCTTCTCTTTCCCTCTCCCCTCTGTTTTCTGCCTGGGAGAGAGGCCCAGTTGGGCCCTGGAAACTAAGGAGCTTTTCTCTGCTTTTTGGAGATGTATGGAGAGGGGCTGGAACCCAGATGCAATCACCTGTACCAGGAGCTCTTCTAAGAGGAAGTTTTTGGCAATAAGTAATGAAAGCCACCAATAAGTAGCGAAAACAACTCACTGGAGAGATAAGGACTGACAGGAAGATGGAGGATGGGCAGCAGTGGAGGTGGAGGGAGTGTGGATGGTGTCTCCACAGGTGCTGCCTTTAGAGGGCACCCTGGCCAGGCTGTGGTTCCCCAGAAGGAAGGGGAATGGATACTGGGCTACCAAAATAACCAAAAAATAAACCCATTGTGTCACCCAGAATGGGCTTTTGTGGCCAGCACCAGGCCTGGAGGGGCTAAGAGGGTACAGATCTCAGGTCACTAAGGTTATTGTCAGGCCCAAGAAAAAGAACTCACCATTAGTTTGGTGGCAGGGTGGTGAGTCAGAGTGATCTGTCTCTGGCCCCATCCTTGTCCCAGCAGATGTTCAGCCCACTGTGCTTAGATTCCCAGGCTCGTCCTGAGGAGAGACCAGCGGGGTGGCAGAGCAGCCCCTCCCCCACAGCAGGGAACCCTCTGCAGCCCAGGCTGGCGTATCCTTCACACTTGAAGTGCACCAGTCAAGGATAACAGTCAGCACATGCTCTCAAGCTAGCAAATCATGATGTTAGGGCAGGAATTGATTTTCAAGATTACCAGTCCCAGCCCCTCAGTATGTAGATAAGGTCAAGAGAGGGACAGGAACTTGCCCTAGGTCACATGGCTAGGGATGGAAATTCAAGTCTGTGCATCCAGGACATCTTCCCTCAGCACTGCTTGTCTTGGCTCCCTAAACTAGACTTGCAGCAAATAGTAGTCTGAATCTGCTATGTCCCCAAGGCCCTTCCAACCTGCATCCAGAATTTCCACAGGGGAAGTCAATCTATTCAAATCCTCATGGCTCCAAGCAGTACCTCCCCAAAGGAGAAGAAAACCATAACATGGATCTGGAGGGAGCTTCTGCCATCCTTCAGGGTTCCCGAGGGCCTGAAATAGCCCTTCCTCTTGCCTGGGTTGTAGCCGATACCCTTTACCTTGGAATGATCTTTCCGTTTACCTTGTGCTGTCCCCTTAAGAGCTCTGAGTACCATTTAGGTGGTGAATTCATAGGTATTCACGGGAAAGCTGCACCATCTCCCTGGAAACTCTCACTTGGTTTGCTGCTGATTCTTAATCTTGTTCCAGGTTAGGAACTCTTGCAAATACGGAAGCATGGCAGCTTTGCATGCAATTTCATGTGCTTGGCCATGCATGGTGGCTCACACCTGTAATCCCAGCACTTTGGAGAAGCCAAGGTGGGTGGATTTTTTGAGCCCAGGAGTTTGAGACCAGTCTGGGCAACATGGTGAAACCCTGTCTCTACAAAAAAATACAAAAATTAGCCAGGCATGCTGGTGAGCACCTATAGTCCCAGCTATTCAGGAGGCTGGGAGGATCGCTTGAGTCCAGGAGGTTGGGGCTGCAGTGAGCTGTAATCCACTGTACTGAAGCCTGGGCAATGGAGTGAGACCCTGTTTCAAAAAAAAAAAAAATTTCATGTACTCATTGATCCCCCAGGGATTCTCAGGTTGGAAGCCCTGCTCAGTGGACTAACAATGGGAATGTCAGGCCAAGGAGCTGTTGGGATGGAGTGGGCAGAGAAACAGGCAGGCCTCTGGGGCAGCTGGCAACTCCTCTTAGCTTTGGTGAGTAATAGACGCTCAAGAAACGCATGTTCGGTGAAGCCTTCAAAACATACAAAGTTCTCTGCCTAAAAGATTAAAGCACACAACACTTTTAGGCCAGCCATTTTATATGAATTAGTACTGAATTACAACATACTACACCCTGTTGGAACTCCATCCACCAATCCCTCTGCCTTATCCTTGTAAAATGGGGATGATTCTAATACTTCCTCACAGTGTGGGAAGTTAAATGAGTTAATACTGCAGAGTGCTTACAAGTAAAAGTGCTAACAAATGTTTCCAGTGTGAGTTCTTGCCATTATTTATGGTGATGGTGGTCTGTTCTTAGCCAATCTTAATTGCTTTGCGTTCTTCCCACCCACATGGTGAATTACCATCACTGGAGAGATCCAGCCACCATTTCTGAGGGCCTGGTCTCAGCTGCAGGAGGGAAAGCACCCACAGAGCAGATTCCTGGTCACAACTTCTTGGGTCCACCTCACCTCCAGGACTCAGTTGCCTGCTCTGTTTGTACTCCAGGGCTCCATGGCAGCTGTCTCATAGTCTCCACTCTGTCCCTCTTCAGGGGCCCCTCATACTCTAAGCAAATGACCTCATGTCTACCTTGCAGATTAAAGCAGAAAGCATCAGGCAGGAGCACTCTCAGCAGCCCTTCCTGTGTCTGCACCCACGTTTCCTCCTCCCTCCCTGTTTAAATGGACGTGCTCATTCCACAGCTTGTGCCCCGGGTCCCTGACCATCTCCCTTCTAAGGGGACTTACTCTGTGGATCTTTTTCCTATCTCCTGTATCTTTATGCTATGCTTCCCCTAAACACCGTTTCACTATAAAATTGAAACCTTTCCAAATATTTCCCCCCTTAAGACAGGCAATAGAAAGTTCTCTTTCTCACAGCTCCCTCTGGTGTCCTCCATGTTCTCTCCTTCACAGCCACACTTCCTGAATGGGTTACCCGCTGTCCTGAGTACAGCCACAGTACTCAGGCCTTCTTGGCCTGGCCTCATGACAGCATTCCATGTCCTCTTTTCAACCACCCCTCTTTTCTTGGTTTATTGGTTAGGAGAGGGTAGATTACACTGTAGTCATGACCTAGAAAATCTCAGTGGCTTACAAGGGTCAACAACGTCATTTGCAGGGCCTACTGCAAAATGAAAATGCAGAGCCCTATTTAAAAATTACTGAGGATTTCAAGATGGTGACAGCAGAGCATTAAACCAAACCCAGGACCCTTCTCAGTGACCGACATCCACAGAACCAGCTCTGCTTACGATGAAGTTCATTTCTCATGCCACATTTCAATTGCAAGTGACAAGAGGGCTTTCTGCTCAAAGCCACGTAGAGACCCACGTCAAGAGACTTGACGTGTATTTATGATCTCAGAGACAAGGAACCACACTTGGGCTTGTCATATTTTTGCCTACAAGTGACACACATCACAGTTGCTTGCATTTTACTGGCCAGAACAAATCACTCAGGTGTGTCTGAGTTCAAAAGGTGGGCAGGGCACTGACTATTTGGTGAAGTAATATAGCATCCTACATGTGGTTTAACACCAACTTTTCCTGGTTATTCTGCCAGTCTGACCACTACTTGGTATCCTTTGTCTGACTTTCCTCTTCTGCCTGTTCCTTCAAAGCTAGGGACCCTCCTTCTCGGTCCCACCTGTTCTCATTCTCGGTCCCACCTGTTCTCATTCCCACACTCCTGAAGCTTCACATCCATCCATGTGCTGGTGCCTCCTAAATCCCTGTTACCCAGATCTCTGCCTGGATTCCCATTCCTACCTAGTTCCATTTGGATTTCACAAAAGCACCTTAGACTCAGTATATCTTAAGCCAAACTTAAAAGTCTTCTGCCAAAGCCCCCCTCCCCTCCACCTGCCAAAATTGCTACTTCTCAGTGGCCTGATCTCATTGAACTATCTGAACTGACTTTGATTTGTGTTTCTCCTCCCCTGTCTGATCAGTCTTCAAATCCCACTGAGTCTGTCTCTGAAATACCTCCTTATCTCTGCAGCTACATCCCTTGAGTAAGTCAGCGTCTGGCCTGAGCTACTGCAGTTACCTTCCCATTGGTCTCCCTGCACTCAGCCAGTCCAATCCATTTTCCGATCTATAGCCAGAAATAGGTCATGATCCTCCTCTGCTTGAATTCCCTCAGTGGCTTCCCATTGCCTTGAAAACAGAACCCAGACTCTCTATGGCTTCCACGGCATGTTCTACAGCTCTCCCTCATGACTGGGCCTTTCCTCATTCTGCCAAGAACTTGGTTCTCCAAGGTATTACCTCGAGGGTCCTTGTTTTGGGGTCAGGTCACATGTCACTTCTCCAGATATCCCTCTGAGCACCCCAATATCAGCCTGTCCCTCTTTGCAATTGTTACTTGTTTAACTGTCTTCCTCAGTCATATAAGCTCATCCATTGCAGCATCTGGGTACCCAGCACGCTGTCTGCCATGCAGTTGGTGCTCACATATTTGTCAAATGAATGCTGAATTGATTAAGCACTCACTATGTTCCTCTTTGTTTCCTACTAGGAACTTAATTTAGGTTTCCCCATTTGGTACTCTTTATCAAAACATGTTAGGTGCTTACAAAGTGCCAGCAAGTCTTGCTGCCAGTAGGTGTTGGACCAGGATTTGAACAGGTCTGTTTGACTCTAATGCCTGAGTTCAGCATTTCTCAAACATCAGGCATTCACACATAAGTGACCAATCATCCTGGTTTCCCCTGGGCTGAGAGGGTTCCTGGGACATGGGACTTTCAACACACACAAAAACAGGAATGTCCAGGGCATACCCGGGACCATTTGTCACTCTATTCACCACCGTCACAATCTTTGCCACATGTGTGTTAGTTACTTAATGTTCATATTTTTATATTTTTGCTTTTTTTTTTTTTGAGACAGAGTCTCACTCTGTCGCCCAGGCTGGAGTGCAGTGGCGTGATCTCTGCTCACTGCAAGCTCTGCCTCCTGGGTTCATGCCATTCTCCTGCCTCAGCCTCCTGAGTAGCTGGGACTACAGGCGCCTGCCACCATGCCTGGCTAATTATTTTTTGTATTTTTAGTGTAGACGGGGTTTCACCATGTTAGCTAGGATGGTCTCGATCTCCTGACCTCGTGATCCGCCTGTCTCAGCCTCCCAAAGTGCTGGGATTATAGGCATGAGCCACCGCGCCCAGCCCATATTTTTATATTTTATCAACTTCCTTTCACATAGCCTCATCCTAAAATGTAAATTACAGCTTTTAATGGGCTATTTGTATTTTTTCTAATATGCATGTAAAAACAATTATTAAAATGAAAAATGTTTCATCTGTATATCACATGAAACCATCTCAAACATCCCCAGGGGTTGGCTTGCCACACTCTGGGAAACCCTGGCCAACCCATGCACTGCCCCAGGCCCATGAACTGTTTTTCCTTCCGGCTTCTGAGCTCTCCTGCAGAAGCACTGTGCTAGCCCCTCCTATAGCTGGAGTGTCAGCACTGTGCCTGCTATGATACGTAGGTTAGCTCTTTCAGTGGCCACAGCCACTCCACAAAGATGGTTATCACAAAGACATAGATGAGCAACCTAAACCTGGGGAGGGGGGGACAGTTGGTAAGCTGCTTGTCTGGGGCAACATGGATGGTGCTTATCATATTCAGTATATAAACCTGGGTCAGCCATGGTCTATCTCAGGCAAGGCCAGAAGCATGGGCATAGCTTCTTGGGCAGGCCTGGTTGATTTGGGCTAGCCTTGGAACTCTTCATCTGTCTTTTTCTCAAATATGATCTACAGCTGTTGTCCTGAGCTCTTTGACCTCTGCCTTGACACTTCCCATCAACTGAAAACTGCCTGCATTCACACCAGCCCTCTCCGCCAGGTCCATTTCTGGGCCACTACAGAAGGTCCTGCTTCCACTGAACCCACTCAGATAACCTGCTTTGCAGCTCAGCATAAGAGTATGTGCACATGGCTTCACAGTATTCTGTGACTTCCTCTCCTGTGCAGGGCCGGGTCTAGGGTAAAATAATTGAGATGCCTGGAGCACAAGATGGAAGAGGCTTCCAAGACATGCTAAGATTTTGAGAGAACAATCCTGTCACTGGCTTTGAGATGCTTCAGTCTAGTTTCCAGAGGTTCAGGGAAACTGGGGGTCTGGGAGGCGAAACTTATTAGCATAATGAAATATATTTTTCCTTCATTTTGTTGACATTTGCACTGATAGCACAAAAACAATGCTGGGTAAAACTGGACACCTTCAACATACCAGAATCTCTGGGACACATTCAAAGCAGTGTGTAGAGGGAAATTTGTAGCACTAAATGCCCACAAGAGAAAGCAGGAAAGATCTAAAATTGACACCCTAACATCACAATTAAAAGAACTAGAAAAGCAAGAGCAAACACATTCAAAAGCTAGCAGAAGGCAAGAAATAACTAAGATCAGAGCAAAACTGAAGGAAATAGAGACACAAAAAACACTTCAAAAAATTAATGAATCCAGGAGCTGGTTTTTTGAAAAGATCAACAAAATTTATAGACCACTAGCAAGACTATTAAAGAAGAAAAGAGAAAAGAATCAAATAGATGCAATAAAAAATGAGAAAAGGGATATCACCACTGATCCCACAGAAATACAAACTACCATCAGAGAATACTATAAACACCTCTACGCAAATAAACTAGAAAATCTAGAAGAAATGGATAAATTCCTCGACACATACATCCTCCCAAGACTAAACCAGGAAGAAGTTGAATCTCTGAATAGACCAATAACAGGCTCTAAAATTGAGGCAATAATCAACAGCTTACCAACCAAAAAAAGTCCAGGACCAGATGGATTCACAGCTGAATTCTACCAGAGGTACAAAGAGGAGCTGATACCATTCCTTCTGAAACTATTCCAATCAATAGAAAAAGAGGGAAACCTCCCTAACTCATTTTATGAGGCCAGCATCATCCTGATACCAAAGCCAGGCAGAGACACAACCAAAAAAGAGAATTTTAGACCAATATCCTTGATGAACATCGATGCAAAAATCCTCAATAAAATACTGGCAAACCGAATCCAGCAGCACATCAAAAACCTTATCCACCATGATCAAGTGGGCTTCATCCCTGGGATGCAAGGCTGGTTCAACATACACAAATCAATAAATGTAATCCAGCATATAAACAGAACCAAAGACAAAAACCACATGATTATCTCAACAGATGCAGAAAAGTCCTTTGACAAAATTCAACGCTTCATGCTAAAAACTCTCAATAAATTAGGTATCGATGGGACGTATCTCAAAATAATAGGAGCTATCTATGACAAACCCACAGCCAATATCATACTGAATGGGCAAAAACTGGAAGCATTCCCTTTGAAAACTGGCACAAGACAGGGATGCCCTCTCTCACCACTCCTATTCAACATAGTGATGGAGGTTCTGGCCAGGGCAATCAGGCAGGAGAAGGAAGTAAAGGGTATTCAATTAGGAAAAGAGGAAGTCAAATTGTCCCTGTTTGCAGATGACATGATTGTATATCTAGAAAACCCAATTGTCTCAGCCCAAAATCTCCTTAAGCTGATAAGCAACTTCAGCAAAGTCTCAGGATACAAAATCAATGTACAAAAATCACAAGCATTCTTATACACCAATAACAGACAAACAGAGAGCCAAATTATGAGTGAACTCCCATTCATAATTGCTTCAAAGAGAATAAAATACCTAGGAATCCAACTTACAAGGGATGTGAAGGACCTCTTCAAGGAGAACTACAAACCACTGCTCAATGAAATAAAAGAGGATACAAACAAATGGAAGAACATTCCATGCTCATGGGTAGGAAGAATCAACATCGTGAAAATGGCCATACTGCCCAAGGTAATTTATAGATTCAGTGCCATCCCCATCAAGCTACCAATGACTTTCTACACAGAATTGGAAAAAACTACTTTAAAGTTCATATGGAACCAAAAAAGAGCCCGCATCGCCAAGTCAGTCCTAAGCCAAAAGAACAAAGCTGGAGGCATCACGCTACCTGACTTCAAACTATATTACAAGGCTACAGTAACCAAAACAGCATGGTACTGGTACCAAAACAGAGATATAGACCAATGGAACAGAACAGAGCCCTCAGAAATAATGCCACATATCTACAACTATCTGACCTTTGACAAACCTGACAAAAACAAGAAATGAGGAAAGGATTCCCTATTTAATAAATGGTGCTGGGAAAACTGGCTAGCCATATGTAGAAAGCTGAAACTGGATCCCTTCCTTACACCTTATACAAAAATTAATTCAAGATGGATTAAAGACTTACATGTTAGACCTAAAACCATAAAAACCCTAGAAGAAAACCTAGGCAATACCATTCAGGACATAGGCATGGGCAAGGACTTCATGTCTAAAACACCAAAAGCAATGGCAACAAAAGCCAAAATTGACAAATGGGATCTAATTAAACTAAAGAGCTTCTGCACAGCAAAAGAAACTACCATCAGAGTGAACTGGCAACCTACAAAATGGGAGAAAATTTTCGCAACCTACTCATCTGACAAAGGGCTAATATCCAGAATCTACAGTGAACTCAAATAAATTTACAAGAAAAAAACAAACAACCACATCAAAAAGTGGGCGAAGGACATGAACAGACACTTCGCAAAAGAAGACATTTATGCAGCCAAAAAACACATGAAGAAATGCTCACCATCACTGGCCATCAGAGAAATGCAAATCAAAACCACAATGAGATACCATCTCACACCAGTTAGAATGGCAATCATTAAAAAGTCAGGAAACAACAGGTGCTGGAGAGGATGTGGAGAAATAGGAACACTTTTACACTGTTGGTGGGACTGTAAACTAGTTCAACCACTGTGGAAGTCAGTGTGGCGATTCCTCAGGGATCTAGAACTGGAAATACCATTTGACCCAGCCATCCCATTACTGGGTATATACCCAAAGGATTATAAATCATGCTGCTATAAAGACACATGCACACATATGTTTATTGCGGCACTATTCACAATAGCAAAGACTTGGAACCAACCTAAATGTCCAACAACGATAGACTGGATTAAGAAAATGTGGCACATATACACCATGGAATACTATGCAGCCATAAAAAATGAGGAGTTCATGTCCTTTGTAGGGACATGGATGAAGCTGGAAACCATCATTCTCAGCAAACTATCGCAAGGACAAAAAACCAAACACCGCATGTTCTCACTCATAGGTGGGAATTGAACAATGAGAACACATGGACACAGGAAGGGGAACATCACACACCGGGGACTGTTGTGGGGTGGCGGGAGGGGGGAGGGATAGCATTAGGAGATATACCTAATGCTAAATGAGGAGTTAATGGGTGCAGCACACCAACATGGCACATGTATACATACGTAACAAACCTGCAAGTTGTGCACATGTACCCTAAAACTTAAAGTATAATTATAATAAAATAAAATAAGAGAAAAAAAAAACATTTAAAAGACAAGCAAACAATGGGAAAATCCTCTAAGTCATATATACTATACTTAGCCCCTAGGTGCTGTGATGGAAGACATATAGGTACTGGTTCAATGTTTATATTAAGAGCTTCATAATATAATGTGAAAAAAATGAGTGTACTCAGATAAGATAACTGTGCATTCAAGAAAAAAAAAAAAAAACTGGGCACCTTGGCAAATCAAGAGCAATGGCACCAGGCTGTATGAGGAGTCCACTGCCATTTGGTGGGGGTTTTAGAGAGCCTGAAGTGAAGATTTGGAATTGGAAAAATGGAAACAGCTCTGAAAAACAGATTTTATGGAAATTGAGTCCAAAAGGGTCAAAACAGCTGCTCACAGAAGTGTGTGGAATTTTCACTCTGTTGTCACATTGCTTAAAAGGCCATAAAGCTAAAGATTTACTTGGCTTAATAAGGCTCTTCTTTCATCAGTTATTTCCTGGATGACATGGCCTTAGTATGACACACAAAGTTCCACTCCACTGGAGGGGGAGGCCCTTCCCTGGCCTGCATGTAGACACAGGTTGTGTAGGGATTTGGGGTTGCAGGGGGGGCGATGATCAGGCCATATTGAAACCTGGTGACTTGTGAAGGGAGGGCAGTCTTGGTAAAGTATCATAGAGGACAGACTTTGAAGCAAATGAGGATAGTGAAGTCCATAAAATAGAAACAATCTGAGATAGGCAAGCACCAAAAATAAACCTGAGTTCATAGCAGCCGTATTAACAATAGTTTAAAGGTCAGAATAGCCCACATGTCCATCACTGGATAAATGGATAAGCAAAATCTGATGTATCTGCAATGGACTATTATTCAGCCACAGAAAGGAATGAAGTACTGCTAAATGGTATGACATGGATAAGCCCTGAAAACATTATGCTATGTGAAACAAGCCAGGCACAAGAGGTCACATATCGTATGATTCCGATAATATGACATATGAAAAGTAGGCAAATCCATAGAGAAAGAAAAGCATATTACTGGTTCCCAGGAGCAGAAGGGTGGGGAATTTGGAACAAGTACTTAATGAGTCCCCTTTGGCGGTGATGAAAATGTGTTGGAACTTGATAGAGGTGATGGCTGTACAATACTGTGAATGTACTAAATGCCACTGAATTGTACACTTTTAAATAATTTATGTTTTGTGAATTTTACCTCAATAATACAAAAACACTGAAGTGAGAGCAAGGAAAATTACCAGGAAGAAAGGCAGACATTACATAATGATGAAAGAGTAAATTCACCAAGAAGACATAATCCCAAATGGGTATGCACTAAACAAAAGAGCTTCAGAATCCATGAAGCAAAAGCTGATAGAATTATAAAGAAAAATATACAGATTCTCAATTATAGTCAGAAATATCTTCAACACCCCTCTCAATATACAGAAAATCTGTAAGGATATAACAACTTGGACAATACTATCAATCATCCTGACCTAATTGACGTTTATAAAACACTTCACCTACTAGCACTATGATGCACATCATTTTCTAGTGCACATTGAAGATTTACCAAGATAGATTGTGTTCTGGGCCATGAAACAAGTCTCGATAACTTTTAAAAGATTCATATCGTGCAAAGTATATTATCTGACGATAATGGAATTAAACTAGAAATCAATGACAGAAAGGTATCAGGAACATCCTCTGGTATTTGGAAATGAAATAACCCACTTCTAAATTACTTACTGGTCAAAGAAGAAATTAAAAGGAAAATTAAAAGTATTTTGAAATGAATGAATATAAAAACATAAAAATCTCAAAATTTGCAAGCAGCAGCTAAAGTAGTACACAGAAGAAAACTTATGGCACTAAAGGCTTATATTAGGAAAGGTCTCAAATCAATGACCTCAATCCTTACCTTACGAAAACAGAAAAATGAGAAAAGTAATGAAATCCAAAATAAGCAGAAATAAGGGCACACTAAAGAGTAGAAATCAGTGAAAAAGAAAACAGAAAATTTATAGAGGAAATAAAAGTCGCCAAAGATGGTTCTTTGAGACCAATAAAATTCATAAGCCTCTCATGAGTTAAATCAGGAGAAAAAAAAAAGGAGAAGTCACAAATTACTAACATGAGGAATATGAGAGGTGATAGAACTACAGAATCATCAGACCTTAATAAGGATAGTTAGGGAGTACCATGAACCTTTTATGCCAATGCATTTGGCAACTTAGAATAAATAACATATTCCTTGAAAGACACAAAGTACCTGAGGGACTGATGTAAGGTGCTCATCTCTGTTTTACCTAACTTGGAATTCAGGCCAGAAGAGCAGTGAGCATCACTCAGAAATTCTTCAAGCAGAACTAACAACCCTCAGACACCTGGAGCCAAAGATAATAGTTGAAACACATAATAGACTGCCTGTGTCAAAACTGGGGAAAATTTCTTTGGGAAATTAGGACATTCAAGGCAGCTGTTTATACTGGGGAAGTTAGAAAGCCACACATGTGCCCAGGGCAAGACCCATGCTCAGAAAAGACCTAAATTTTCCCCTGGGGCTTATTCCTAGACATAGTGCAAGCCATAGTGCAAAGAAAATGCCCAAAATGTTAAAGGAGGGTCCTAGGACACAGTGAATTTGCAAGGCCTGGGAGAGATACTTTTACTTTTTGTCTGTTTGTTTTAGCTCCTGGCACTCAAAGAAATCTGTCAAAACACTAGCTGAACACAAGTGACCACACCCAACAAGAATTATTACAGTCTTTCCAATAATATTTTGAGCAAGTCACTAAACAAATGGACTACTATGTCCTTCACCAATTAAAAAAAAAAAAACAGAAAAACCTGAGCAAAGGGGAGAATTTGATATCCAGAGTTAATACATTATAATATTTCAATGTCCAGTTTTCAAGAAAAAAATCACAAGGCATACAAAGAGGAAAATATGGCACATTCAGAGGCAATAAATATACAACAGAAATCATCCCTGAGGAAGGCTAGATGTCAGAAATTCTAGACTTTCTTAAATATGCTCAAAGAGCTAAAGACATGGACAAAACACTAAAGGAAAACAGAACAACTATGTATACAAAATAAGAATATCAGTAAAGAGGTGGAAATAATAAAAAGGAACCAAACAAATGCTGGAACTGAAAAAGTACAGTAATTGAATGAAAATTCACTAGAGGGGTTTAATAGCAGATGTGAACAGACGAAAGAAAGAATCCGTGAACTTGAAGATAGGACAATTGAAATTATCACATCTGAGGAACAGCAAGAAAAAAGAATGAAGAAAAGTGAACAAATCCTAAGGGACCCATGGGACTCCATCAAGCAGACCAATATACAAATAGGAGTTCCTGGTTGGCCTGAAGGTAGTGATTCATCTCAAATGATTGTTCACAGTCAGTCACAGATTGAAATCCTTGTTCTACTTTTTCTTCCCTTCTCACTACTGTACTTGACTAGTCTTTTTGAAAAAAGAAAAAAACAAATAGGAATTCCAGAAAGAGGAGAGAGAGAAAGAGTCAAATAACATTTGAGGAAATAATGCCCATAATGCCCCAAATTTGATGAAAGACATAAACCTACAAACCCAAGAAGCTTAACAAACTCTGAGTAGGATAAACTCAATAAGACCACATCAGACACATTATAATCAAATTGCAACTGGATCCCTTCCTTACACCTTATACAAAAATCAATTCAAGATGGATTAAAGACTTAAACGTTGGACCTAAAACCATAAAAACCCTAAAAGAAAACCTAGGCAATACCATTCAGGACATAGGCATGGGCAAGGACTTCATGTCTAAAACACCAAAGGCAATGGCAACAAAAGCCAAAATTGACAAATGGGATCTAATTAAACTAAAGAGCTTTGCACAGCAAAAGAAACTACCATCGGAGTGAACTGGCAACCTACAAAATGGGAGAAAATTTTCGCAACTTACTCATCTGACAAAGGGCTAATATCCAGAATCTACAGTGAACTCAAATAAATTTACAAGAAAAAAACAAACAACCACATCAAAAAGTGGGCGAAGGACATGAACAGACACTTCGCAAAAGAAGACATTTATGCAGCCAAAAAACACATGAAGAAATGCTCACCATCACTGGCCATCAGAGAAATGCAAATCAAAACCACAATGAGATACCATCTCACACCAGTTAGAATGGCAATCATTAAAAAGTCAGGAAACAACAGGTGCTGGAGAGGATGTGGAGAAATAGGAACACTTTTACACTGTTGGTGGGACTGTAAACTAGTTCAACCACTGTGGAAGTCAGTGTTGCGATTCCTCAGGGATCTAGAACTAGAAATACCATTTGACCCAGCCATCCCATTACTGGGTATATACCCAAAGGACTATAAATCATGCTGCTATAAAGACACATGCACACGTATGTTTATTGCGGCATTATTCACAATAGCAAAGACTTGGAACCAACCCAAATGTCCAACAATGATAGACTGAATTAAGAAAATGTGGCACATATACACCATGGAATACTATGCAGCCATAAAAAATGATGAGTTCCTGTCCTTTGTAGGGACATGGATGAAATTGGAAATCATCATTCTCAGTAAACTATCACAAGGACAAAAAAACCAAACACTGCATGTTCTCACTCATAGGTGGGAATTGAATAATGAGAACACATGGACACAGGAAGGGGAACATCACACTCTGGGGACTGTTGTGGGGTGGGGGGAGGGGGGAGGGATAGCATTGGGAGATATACCTAATGCTAGATGACGAGTTAGTGGGTGCAGCGCACCAGCATGGCACATGTATACATATGTAACTAACCTGCACATTGTGCACATGTACCCTAAAACTTAAAGTATAATAATAATAATAAATAAATAAAAATAATCA
This sequence comes from Homo sapiens, assembly GCF_000001405.40. Lineage (NCBI taxonomy): Eukaryota > Metazoa > Chordata > Mammalia > Primates > Hominidae > Homo > Homo sapiens. The sequence continues at coordinate 120,193,770 of NC_000002.12, forward strand.
AATTGCCAAAAGCAAAAGACAAATGGAGAGTCTTTAATGCAGCAAGAGAGAAGTGACCCATTACACACATGTGAATAAGATTTATGGCCAATTTCTCATCAGAAACTATGGAGGCCAGAGATGGCAGTATGACATTTGAAGGGCTGAAAGAAAAAAAAAAACTGTCATCCATATAGAAGAATTCTATATCCATCAAAGCCGTCCTTCAAAAATGAGGAAGAAGTTAAGACATTTCCAGATAAAATTAGAGGGAGTTTGTTACCACTAGCCTTGCCCTACAAGAAATGCTAAAAGGAGTCCTTCAGATTAAAAGGAAAAGATGCTATATTAAAACATCACATTGTGCACTGTGAATATACAAAATTTGTATTCGTTAATTATACCTTAATAAAGCGGGGGACAGGGAGGAAAGATGCCAGACAGTTGCTTAAAGTCATATGAAGAAGTAAAGATCTCCAGTAAAGGTAAACATATGGGCAAATATAAAAGTAGGTATTATTATAACATTAGTTTGTAATTCCACTTTTTATTTCCTGTAGAATTTAAATGTATAAAAATAATTATAAATCAATACTGAGCACACAATATATAAACATGTTAATTGTGATGACAACAGCAGCATCATGAAGGAGGACAGAATGGAGCTCTCCAGGAGCCAAGTTTTTATATGCTATTAAAGTTAGGTTGGTATTAATTTAAAATAGACTGTTATAAATTGAGGATGCCAAATGTAATACCCATGCTAATCACAAAGAAAATATCTAAAAATTATACAAAAAAGTAAATGAGAAGGGAATCACATGGTTCACTACAAATAGTCAACCAAACATAAAAGAAGGCAGTAATGGAGGAAATGAAGGACAAAAAAATGTATAAGATATAACAAAACCAAATAGCAAAATGGCAGAATTAAGTTTTTCCTTATCAATAATTACTTTAAATAGCTTAAACTTTCCAGTCAAAAAGAAGATTGGCAGAATGGATAAAAAAAATGATTCAACTATATACTGTCTAAAGAGTCACTTTAGATTCAAAAATACAAATAGACTGAAATTGAAATGATAGGAAAAGATATTTCATGCAAATAGTAACCAAAAGAGAGCAGGGGTGGCTATACTAATACCAGAAAAAAATTGACTTTAAATGCAAATTGTTACAAGAGACAAAGACATTATATATTAATAAAATGGTTAATTCATTAAGAATGTATTAGTATAACAATTATAAACATATATGCCCCAAATAAGAGGTCACCCAAATATATGAAGCAACACTGACAGAATAATCGGGAGTAAAAAATTCTACAATAATAATTGGAGACTTCAATACTCTACTTTCAGTAATAGGGAGAATAACTGGACAGAATAGCAATAAGAAAACGCTACTTTCGGCCGGGCATGTTGGCTCATGCCTGTAATCCCAGCACTTTGAGCGGCTGAGGTGGGTGGATCACCTGAGGTCAGGAGTTCACAACCAGCCTGGCCAACACGATGAAACCCTGTCTCTACTAAAAATACAAAAAATAAGCTGGGAGTGGTGCGCATGCCTTAATCCCAGCTACTCAGGAGGCTGAGGCAGGAAAAACGCTTGAACCTGGGAAGCAGAGGTTGCAGTGAGCCGAGATCGCACCATTGCACTCCAGCCTGGGTGACAGAGCAAGACTGTCTCAAAAAAAAAAAAAAAAAACCCCAAAAAACTCTATTTTCAATAATAGAATATCTAGACAGAATAGCAATAAGGAAATAGAGGATGTGAACAACAAAATAGACCAATAGGACCTAACACACATATACAGAGCATTCCATTCAACAGCAGCAGAATGCACATTCTTAAGTACACATGGAATATTCTCCAAGGTAAACCATATAGTAGGCCATGCAGTTGACTGAATGTTCCCCCCAAATTCATATGTTGAAAGCTTAATCCCAGTGTGATGACATTTGGAGGCGAGGCCTTTGGGAGGTAATTAGGTCATGAGGGTGGAGCCCTCATAAATAGGATTAAGTGTCCTTATAAGAAGAGACCAGAGAGCTAGAGAGATAGCTAGCCCTCTTTCCATCATGTGAGGATACAATGAGAAGTTGGCAGTCAGTTTGCAACTTAGATGACCAGAATCCAATCTTGCTGGTACCTAGAGCTCAGATTTCTAGCCTCCAAACTGTGAGAAATAAATTTCTGTTGCATAAAAGCCACCCAGTCTATGGTCCTTTGTTATAGCAATTCAAACTGACTGTGACAGGCAAAAAAACAGTTCTCAGTAAATTTAAAAGTATTTAAATCAAGCCAGGCATTCATGCATGTAGTCCCAGCTACCTGGGAGACTGAGGTGGGAGGATTGCTTGAGCCCAGGAGTTTGAGGCTGCAGTGAGCTATGATTGTGCCACTGCACTCCAGTCTGGGTGATGGAGCAAGACGCTGTCTCTTAAAATTCTTTTTAAATACTGAAATAATATCTTCTCTGACCACAATTAATAAAGCTAAAATCAATAGAAGAAAAATTGGAAAATGTAAAAATATGTGGAAATTAAAACACTTTAAAATCAACCAGTCATCAAAGAAGAAATCACAAGGGAAATTAGAATTGCTGAGGGAAAGATATAGCTGTAAATGCCTACATTTAAAAAGAAGAAAGATCTCAAATCAATAACCTAACTCTATAGCTTGAAGCAGTAGGAAAAGAAGAAAAAACTGTACTTAAAGCTACCAGGAGGGAGGAAATAATGAGAATTAGAGTAGAGATAAATAAGAGAATAGAAAACCCAGCTGGGCGTGGTGGTTCACACCTGTAATCCCAGCACTTTGGGAGGCCTAGATGGGTGGATCACAAGGTCAGGAGATCAAGACCATCCTGGCTAACATGGTGAAACCCCATCTCTACTAAAAATACAAAAAAATTAGCTGGGCATGGTGGTGGGTGCCTGTAGTCCCAGCTACTTGGGAGGTTGAGGCAGGAGAATGGTGTGAACCCGGGAGGCGGAGCTTGCAGTGAGCCTAGATCGCACCACTGCACTCCAGCCTGGGTGACTGAGCAAGAATCCGTCTCAAAAAAAAAAAAAAAAAAAAAAGAAAAGAAAACAATAGAGGGAATCAACACAACCAAAGATTGGTTCTTTGAATAGATCAACAAAATTGGTAAACCTTTAGTTAGACTTAGTAAAAATGAGAGAAGACACAAATAACTGAAATCAGAAATGAAAGTGGGAACAGTAACAGTTCTATTACTACCAACCTAATTAAACAAAGGATTATAAGAGAATGCTACGAACAATTGTATGCCAACAAACTGGATAACCTAGATGAAATGGATAAAATCCTAGAAACACACAACTCCTCAAAAGTGTATCATGAAGAAAATCCTGGATAATCTGGATAGATCTATAACTAATAGGAGATTGAAACAATAAAGAAAAGAACAAAGAAAAGTCTAGGATCAGATGGTGTCACTGCTGAATTCTATCAAACATTTAAAGAAGAATTAACACCAGTCCTTCTAAAATCTTCCAAAAAAATAGAAGAGGAGGGAATACTTCCTAATTCATTCTATGAGGCCAACATTGCCCTGATACCAGAATCAGATAAAGAAAATCATAAGAAAATTACAGACCAATATCCCTTAAGAATATAGATACAGAAATCCTCATATGAATATTAGCAAACTGAAGCTGAGCACGGTGGCTCATGCCTGTAATCCCAGCACTTTGGGAGGCCAAGGCGGGCAGATCATGAGGTCAAGAGATCGAGACCATCTTGGCTAACACGGTGAAATCCCGTCCCTACTAAAAATACAAAAATTAGCCGGGCATGGTGGCGCACGCCTGTAGTCCCAGCTACTTGGGAGGCTGAGGCAGGAGAATCGCTTAAACCCAGGAGGCGGAGGTTGCAGTGAGCCGAGATCACACCATTGCACTCCAGCCTGGGTGACAGAGCAAGACTCTGTCTCAAAAAAAAAAAAAAAAAGAAATATTAGAAACTGAATCCAACAGCATATTAAAATGATCACACACAATGACTAAGTGGAATTTATCCAAGAATGCAAGGGTGGTTCAACATCAGAAACTTAATCAAAATAATACATCACATTAGTAGAATGAAAAAAAAAATCACAGAATCATCTCAATTGACACAGAAATGGCCTTTGACAAAAGCTAACACTGTTTCATGATAAAAACACTTAGAAGTCCAGGCACGGTGGCTCATGCCTGTAATCCCAGCACTTTAGGAGGCCAAGGCGGGCAGATCACTTGAGGTCAGAAGTTCGAGACCGGCCTGGCCAACATGGTGAAACCCCGTCTCTACTAAAAATACAAAAATTAGCCATGCATGGTGGCACATGCCTGTAATTCCAGCTTCTTGGGAGCCTGAGGCATGAGAATTCCTTGAACTTGGAGGTAGCAGTTGCAGTGATCTGAGACCACGACACTGCACTCCAGCCTGGGCAACAGAGTGAGACTGTGTCTCAAAAAACCAACCAACCAACCAAACAAGCAAACAAACAAAAAAACCCACTCAGAAAACGAGAAGTATATGGAAACTTCTTCAACATGGCAAAAGCCATATATGAAATACCTAGAGCTAACATCATACTCAATGGTGAAAGACTGAAAGATTTTTCTCTAAGATCAGGGTCAAAACAAAGATGTGCACTTTACCACTGCTATTCCACGATGTACTGGAAGTTCTTGCCAGAGCAATTAGACAAGAAAAAGAAATGAAGGGCATCCAAATTGGAGAGGAAGAAGTAAAACTCAATTCGCAGATGAAAACTCCCATATATAGAAAATCCCAAAGAATCTATAAGAAAGCCACTAGCACTAATAAATGAATTCATCAAAGTTCAAGGGTACAAGATCAACACACAAAAATCAATTGTGGTTCTATATATCTGCAAGGAACAATCTGCAAATGAAATTTAGAAAATAATTGTACTTAATAATACCATCTAAAAGAATAAAATACCTAGAAACAAATTTTACCCAAAAGATGACTTTAACCAAGAAGATGAAAACTTACACAGTGAAAAATTTTAAAAATGGCTAAAAGAAATTAAAGAAGACCTAATGAAATGGAAAGACATCATATGGTCATAGGAAGATTTGATATTGTTGTCAGTACTACCCAATGCTATCTACAGAGTCAATGCAATCCTACTCAAATACCAACAGCGTTTTTGCAGAAATAGAAAAACTGATCCTCAAATTCATTAAAAAAAAAAAATCCCCGCAAGGCATTAAAACACACACACACACACACACACACACACACACAAACTTGAAGTTGCCAAAACAATCTGTAAAGGCAGCACAAAGTCGGACTCACACTTCCCAATGTCAGAACTTACTACAAAGCTACAATAATCAAAACAGGTTTGGCATAAGGATATATGGTCCAATGGAACTGAGAGTCCAGAAATAAGCTCATATGTCTATGACTGATTTTTGACATGAGTGCCAAATGGTGAAAGAACTATCTTTTCAACAAGTGGTACTGTGACAACTGGATTTCCACTTGAAAAAGAATGAGGTTGGCCTCTCCCCTACATGGTTCATAAAATCATGTAAATAAAATATTCATAGAATTATTGATCAATGGATCAACAATCTAAATATAAGAACTAAACTTGAAACACCTGGAAGAAAGCATAGGGGTAAATCAGGTCCTTGGAGCTGGCAATGGGTTCCTACATATGACACCAAAAGCATGAGCAACACCAACAAAGAAAAATTGGGCTTTATCAAAATTAAAAACTTTTGTACATGAACGGACATTACCAAGAAAAGTTAAAAGACAAAGTACAGATGGGATAAAATATGCAAAATATATAATTGATAAGAGATGAATCTCCAAAATACATAAAGAACAACGCTCAACAAAAAAAGATAAACAATCCAATTAAAACACAGGCAAAGGTCTTGAATAGACATTTCTCTAAAGAAGATATGCAAATGGCCAATAAGCACATAAAAGATGTCAATATCCTTAATCATTAGGATAATACAAGTCAAAACCACAGTAATACAACTGCATCATCTACTAGGATAGCTATACATTTTATTTTATTTATTTTATTTTATTTATTTTATTTTATTTTATTTTTGAGATGGAGTCTTGCTCTGTCGCCAGGCTGGAGTGCAGTGGCGTGATCTCAGCTCACTGCAACCTCTGCCTCCCAGGTTTAAGGGACTCTCCTGCCTCAGCCTGCCACATAGCTGGCATTACAGGCACGCGCCACCAGGCCCAGCTAATTTTTTGAATTTTAGTAGAGATCGGGTTTTACCATGTTGGCCATCATGAGGTCTCGATCTCCTGACCTCATGATCCGCCCACCTCGGCCTCCCAAAGTGCTGGGATTATAGGCGTGAGCCACCAGGCCCAGCCGCTATACATTTTAAAAAAGGAAAATGTTGATGAAGACATGGAGAAATGGGAAACCTCATACATTGCTGGTAGTAATGTAAAATGGTGCAGGTGCAGCCAGTGTGGGAAAGAGTTTGGCAGTTCCCTAAAAAGCTAAACATAGAATTTCCATATGATTCAGCAATCCTCCCCCAAAGCATATGTTCACTAGAGTTTAAAACAAGGACTCAAACAGATACTTGTAAGTCAATGTTCACTGCAGCATTATTCATAATAACCAAAAGGTAAGAACAACCCAAATGTCCATTAATGGATGGATGGATAAATATACAATGGATATACCACATGTACATCCTACAATGTGTGTGAATCTTGAGGACATTATGCTAAGTGTGATAAACCTTATACGAAATGACAAATACTCTATTATTCCACGTGTCTGAAATATCTAGAATAGTGAAATTCATAGCGATGGAAAGTAGAATAGAGGTTACCAGGGGTTGGGGAAGGAAGGGAATGGGAAGTTGTTGTTTGATGGGAACCCAGTTTCTGTGTGGGATGATGAAAGGGTTTAGAAGTGGATAGTGCTGATAGTCGCACAACAATGTGAATAGAATCAATGCCACAGAATCATACGCTTAAAATGCTTAAAATGGCAAATTTCATAATTATATATATACACACACACACACATACACACATATACATATATACATGAGTGTGTATATATAAAACTACTCGGCCAGGCACGGTGGCTCATGCCTGTAATCCCAGCACTTTGGGAGGCTGAGGCGGTTGGATCACCTGAGGTCAGGAGTTCGAGACCAGCCTGGCCAACAGGGTGAAACCCCGTCTCTACTAAAAATACAAAAAATTAGCTGGGTGTGGTGGTGCTCACCTGTATTTCCAGCTACACGGGAGGCTGAGGCAGAAGAATTGCTTGAACCCCAGAGGCAGAGGTTGCAATGAGCCAAGATCATGCCATTGCACTCCAGTCTGGATGACAGAATGAGACTCCATCTCAAAAAAAAAAAAAAAAATACACACACACAAGCACGCTTACAATGGTATGTGACCCAGTTGAGGCCAGTGAGATGGGAGAAACTGGCTAAGGGCTTCGGGGGAACATTTCCTCATTCCTAGTGAGAGCTGATGGATGAGACGTGGTCTCTCCTGTTTCTCTGGACCTGGTCTCTGGAACTGCTGCAGCCATCTTGTGAACAGACTGAGAATTAAGCCAACAGGGGGCCACAGACAGATAGATGTGGGTACCTGAGGATGTCATGGAGCTACTGGACAGCCTAGGAAACATGGTGAGACCTGTGTCTACTAAAAATCAAAAGCATTAGCTGGGCATGGTGGCATGCACCTGTGGTCCCAGCTACTTGGGATACTGAGGTAGGGGAATTGCTTCAGCCTAGGAGGTTGAGGCTGCAGTGAGCCATGATCACATTGCTGCACTCCAGCCTGAGCGACAGAGCAAGATCCTATGAAAAACAAAAACAAAAAAATGCTACTGGACCAGCGGACTGCTATGAAGTCAGTCCTATCTGGGCTTTACAGTTTCATGAGATGATTTTCTTATTTAAAAAAAAAGGAAGTGTTGGAGGCAATTAATAAAGAGCTCGGCCGGGGGCGGTAGCTCACGCCTGTAATCCCAGCACTTTGGGAGGCCAAGGTGGGCGGATCACGAGGTCAAGAGATCGAGACCATCCTGGCCAACATGGTGAAACCCTGTGTCTACTAAAAATATAAATAAAACTAGCCAGGCGTGGTGGCACATGCCTGTAGTCTTAGCTACATGGGAGGCTGAGACATGGTCTCTCCTGTTGGGGAGAGGCTGAGGCAGGAGAATCGCTTGAACTCAGGAGGCGGAGGTTGCAGTGAGCTGAGATCACGCCACTGCACTCCAGTCTGGTGACAGAGCGAAACTCCGACTCAAAAAAATAAATAAAAATAAAGAACTCAAAAAGTCCAACTCTTTCCTTAAGCTTAAAATAGATAATTTAGAAAAAAACCTGAAAGATGAGAAATCTAAATGTTTAGACAAATTGGTCTGATGTCTGACCTTACCAGATCAAGAAGATGAATGAAAACCTCCTATTTCAAGTAGCTGCAACCAAAGCAACCTTCAAAATCCATCAAAAGAAAGAGCAAGTGCACTTTGAGAGGCTGAGATGGGCAGACCACCTGAGGTCAGGAGTTCAAGACCAGCCTGGCCAACAGGGTGAAACCCCGTCTCCACTAAAAATACAAAAATTAGCTGGGCGTGGTGGTGCATCCCTGTAGTCCCAGCTACTCGGGAGGCTGAGGCAGGAGAATTGCTTGAACCCAGGAGGCAGAGGTTGCCATGAGCCGAGGTCACACCACTGCACTCTAGCCTGGGCAACAGAGTAAGACTCTGTCTCAAAAAAAAAAAAAAAAAGCAAGTGTAGACAACATTAGAAGATGCTTTGGAGGCCAAGTTCTTTCTTCAGGGAAGCCTGGCACTGCCCTCTGGCAAGGCCAAAGAATGGAGAGGAAGAATGAGCAAGCTTACGCCCCAGAAGGAATGGCTAGGAGGTAGGAGCTTGGGTTTAGATGTATCGAAGGAGAGATGACCTAGAAAATGAACCAAAAGCAGTTTTAAAAAAATATGTGTAGGCTGGGCGCAGTGGCTCATGCCTGTAATCCCAGCACTTTGGGAGGCCAAGGCGGGCGGATCATGAGGTCAGGAGATTGAGACCATCCTGGCTAACACAGTGAAACCCCATCTCTACAAAAAATACAAACAAAATTAGCCGAGCGTGGTGGTGGGCGCCTGTAGTCCCAGCTACTCAGGAGACTGAGGCAGGAGAATGGCGTGAACCCAGGAGGTGGAGCTTGCAGTGAGCCGAGATCGCACCACTGCACTTCCAGCCTGGGCAACAGAGCGAGACTCCGTCAAAAAAAAAAAAAAGTGTTGATGTGGCTGAGTTATATACTTATTTGAAAACTCTTAGGGGAAAAAAAGAAACTCAAGGAATACTAAATTAACTGAAGCAGCTAAAATAATGGATTGCTTCAAGACCACGTGAAAAAAAATCTCCAAACCGAGAAATCCATACTGCAGTCAGAAAAGCACAGTTAGAAGGGGAGGGGCAGAAACAATTCTGGCAGAAACTTCAAGTCCTTTCTGAACTCGTGAAAAAGAAATGAATTTTCACCCAATACTCAGTCTTTCCAAAGCAGCAAGCAGTCCCTGCATTCCCAGAGTGACTTTGGGGGAAGTCAGAAATTGCACAAGTGATTATGGTAAAGACTGAAGAGTGTTCCAGAAAGAGGACCTATAGGGCACCCCGCGGATGAAGTGCAATTATGTAACTTCCTAGCGTGCACGTCATGGATCATTACAGGGACCCGGGCACCTGGACAGGGCTGAGTGGCTCTGGGGCACCTTGTTTCTCTAGGCTGCAGGAAGCCTCCAGGAGTGCCGCTGCTCAGCCCTCCACTGCAGGCACTGACCCGCCTCCCCTGGCTGAAGTGGGAAAGACTGAGGTTAGCCAAGGGTCTCTGTCCTGAACTTGCCTCAGTGACCAGGAAGTCAGTCCAGCCCCTCCAAGTCACAGGCAGCAGCAGGACTTCCTGCCTGGGCTTGTGTGGTGGGGAACACACAGCCTTTCCCTCCCTTTCCAGGTCCCAGCCATCACTTTCCCATGCTTTGCTTGTGCTTTTGAACTGAGCCCATCCTGTCACATAAAAACACATCAGGACGGCCTGTGAGCCCAAAGAGGGTACAGTAAGTCCCCCTGGGGTAGCACTGGGGTGAGGAGGGGCTGCTGCAGTTGGTCCAGGTCCCCACACCACTGCACTGAGCCAAGGTTCCATGATTCCAGCCTCCTGGTACTTCTGGGATGAGAGGGCCACTGGGAAACGAAGGTGCTCGGCCTGCGAGGGTGACAGTTTGTGTCTGCTCTAGAGAGGGTGGAAGGCAAAGATGTAGCCCCAGGGCTTGAGGGCAGCCAGGACCTGCCGCTGGGGGAGCTAAGGAGCCTCAGGCCACCCTGGGCTGGAGAGCCCAGGAGTTCTCAGCCATGGCTAACAGGTGGGTGACACGTTCTGGAGGACTGGGTTGTGCTGTCCAGGCCAGGCTCCTGCTGGTCAGAGGGCCAGCTCCGCTCATGGCCCCAGCCACAGCTCCCTCTGGCTGAAAAGGTGTATGTCCCTCTGGCAGAGACTGCACTGTCCAGGGAGAGGGAAGGTCTGGGCCATGCCAAGAAGGCACTGGGCTTTGTCTGCTGTGGGTGTGGAGCAGAGCTTTCTATTTCTGGCTGGCCTCTTGGGGGTAGAAGCAGTGAGCCCCAGGGTCCAGAGCCATGCTGGCTACAGCTCTGCACCCTCTGACCCCAGCCATGGGATGAGGTCCCCTGGTTGTGCCCAGCATGTATGTGTCCATGGTCCAGCAAGCACAGTGGCTCTGGCTGGCCTTTGTCTATCTCTGTGGCCTTGGAAACTTTGCCCTTCTACTGCCACTCCCAGCAGCTGCCCTGCTGTGGCTGCCCAGCCCAACTTCTCTGCCAAGGGGCTTCCGGGTGCTTCTCACTGCACCCATGCCGCGGCTGGCCACCAACTTCCCTTCTCTATGCTCCAGAGTCTCCACCTTTATCCCCTTTGGACAATCCAGAAGCTGGCTCAGGAGGATGGGCAGACACACTCATTCACCCATCCATTTTTTTCTTACATTTACAATATGCCAGGCCTATCAGGGACCCAGGGAAAACCAGCGCAGCCCAACCCTCAAGGAAGTCACAGTCCTGTGATGGAATCAGACGTAGAAACAGACCGTGCTGAGGCCGCAGGGTAAGGGCTATGACATGGAAGCCAGGGACTCCCCCGCCACCCATCCATCCCCATGAGATTGGAGGTGTCAAGGAAAGCCTCCTGAAGGAGGTGGCACTGTAACTAAGACTTGAAGGAAGAGCAGGAATTTTACCATCAGCTACAGACCTTCATAGAACCCCAAACAGAGAGATGGACTAGGGTGAGGACTGCAAGTTTAGCTTGGTCCTTGAAGGCATGGCCAGATTCTGGAAGCTGCCAGCATTCACAAAGGGGAGAGGCTGCTGAGAACCCCACGGAGGAAGAGTTCAGAGGGCATCTCCTCCCTCTGCTAACAGAAGCTCCCACTGCCACTGGCACCGAGTGGTGCTGGGGATGTATGTGATGGCGTTTTTCCATTCTGGTGCTTCCAGAGCTTCTGTGGACACGCTGCCGTCAGTCACTGACTCTCGGGGAAGGGACCAGTCGGGGGGTTTCTGGGTCAGCTGTGCATTCCTCTGTCAGGCAAGCCTCCCGCTCAGCGCTCTGTGACCCCACACTGCCATGAGGGATTCTTGGTAGCAGAAGGACCCTGGTCACCCTGCCCCGAAGTCTGGGAGAGAAGTCCTGAGAGGCAGCAGGGAGGCTCCCAGATGACCCTGGAGGGCAGTGGCTGTTCCAGTGGCTGAGAAAGTGTCCTCAGGCTGGCAGGAATCCTCCTGCTTTGGATTTAGGCCCGCTCATACTGGGCTAAGGTAGGGCTGATAGTGGGCAGGTTCTAGGGCAGCTGCCCTGTGACCCTTATTGCTGGGGTTGAATTGTGTTCCCTCCCCACCCCCAACAAAAGATGTATCCAAGTCCAGCCCCTGATACTTACATTTGTAACCTTGTTTGGAAATGGGGTCTTTATTGATATAATCAAGGTAAAATGAGGTCATACTGGATTCGTTTGGGCCCTACTTTAGAGACTGGTGTCTTTATAGGAGGAAGATTTGGACACAAATGCAGACATATGGGGGGAGAAGGCCATGTGAGGATGGAGGCAGAGATTGGAGTGTTGCAGCCACAAGGCAAGAATGACAAGGATTGCCAGAAGCCACCACAAACGAGGAGAGAGTGGGAGAGGATCCTCGTCCAGGGCCTGACAAGGAAGCAGGGCCTTGCTGACACCTTGATATTGGACTTTTACCCTCCAGAACTGTGGGAGAACAAACCTGTGTTCAGTCACCCAGTTTATGGTATTGCTGTGGCCGCTACAGGAGACCAACACACTGTATCCCTCCCTGGGTGAACTGCCTTTGGCTTGTGCCTCTGTCCCTTGTCCTAGCAGCCAGGGGTTGGGGGTGTGTCTATCAGTGAGTCACCTGGGGGCCCACACCCAGTGCTTGCTTCCCTTGCTTAGGAATCATTTGTTGATCACCTACCAGGCACCAGGCACAGTGGGGTTATAAACAGGCAGGGCCCAGCTGACACTCAGGCTCGGGGAGGAGAGCATGAGAAACCCAGTGATGTCTGTGGCCCACCCAGGGCAAGCCACTTGGGGGCGCCTGTGAGCAAGTGCAGGGATGCTCTGACCCACGGCATCATGGACCACCAGCGTGGCTGCACGCTGAGGGCGGGCACAGCTGCAGGGGATGCCTGTAAGGCTGGCAGGGGGAGCTTGGTGGGAAACCCTTGGGGTACTCCAGCCCCACTCAGGAACACTGGAGTTCAGCCTGGCTCCTCTGTGTCTCAGGCCGTCTTTGCTCACAATGGTGACCACGCTGGTGATTTCACAAAGTTCACCCCCCAAAGATGACCCTGGGAGAGGTCAGTGGCCTGTCCTGGGTCGCACAGCTCCCCTGTGGGTATTTAAACCCAGGCCTCATCCCCTGAGCAGAGAGCTCTTTTTCCCGGGACCTTTGCTGTCAAGGTGTGTTCTGGCTCTGGCTCTAGGATGGTGCCAGTGCATTCTGATAGCCACATCTGTGTGATTTCAAAGTGCCAGAGTGAATGGAGGGGAACAGCCAGTCTGCACCAGAGAACCGTACACCCTAGATTCTCTCACTCTGAAAGTGCTGACAACCATGGCAGCCACTTCCTCCAGAGCCGAAACAAGCCCCATGGCTGGACCTGGGAGCAGTCTTTGTTGGGGCAGGGGGCCACTGCCCACAGGGCTTGTAAGAATCTGAGGCTGCTCAGGGTGGGCTCAGGTTCCAGGTGACACCACACAGGAAGTAATAGGGCCTATGGGGAGACCCCCTTTCAGCTATTGAATGTGGGCTGTGACCAGGCGTAGTGGCTCATGCCTGTAATCCCAGCACTTTGGGAGGCCGAGGTGGGAGGATCACTTGAGCCTGGGAGTTCAAGACTAGCCTGGGCAACATAGGAAGATCCCGTCTCTACTGAAAATTAATACAAAAGAATAAAAAAAAAAAATGAATGCAGGCTGTCACCAGGGGGGCTGGCTGTGTTAGGCGCAGTGCAGGGGGAGAGGAAAGCCCTGCTGTGAGCGGAAGGGGAAGCCTGAGGCAAGGACCGAGGGCCCGGGGGCCTGGGGCGGGGCTGCTGCTGCCCTCTGTCCTCCTGGAGGTGGTCCCTCTGGAGGCCCCTTTGCCTCCCCACCAGGAAGTGCTCCTGAATTGTCCCCCGCCTCAGCACCTGGGTCACATCTCAGTCTCAGCTTGTGCTAAATTCCTCATTCTTCCTACCCTGCCCCCTCCACCTTATTAGATCCGCCACACACGTGGCTCAGACCTTCTTCCTCTGTGTGCTCACTGGCCCTGGAGCAGTCTTAGAAATTACCCTCCTGAATATAAAAGTTAGACATGCTCATTGTAGAAAAATGGTTCAATACAGAAAAGTCGAAAAATAAAGCACCGGTGTCACTTTGGCTTATTTTCTTCCAGACTTCTCTTTCCCACACACCTTAACAGAGTGTTTCAGGCCGCATTTCCCTCTTAGCCCCTGTCTTGCCTCCCCCAGCTCCACTTAGTATAATATTGAGTTTTCTTGGACTCAGTATTCAAAGAATTTACTCAATATTCAATATTCAAAGAATTTACCAAATTCTGTGTAAAACATCTTTTTAAAAGACTGCCTAGGCAGGGCACGGTGGCTCACACCTGTAATTCCAATGCTTTGGGAGGCCAAGGCAGAAGGATCACTTGAGTTTGAGACCAGCCTGTGCAACAAAGCAAGACCCTGTCTCTACAAAAAATGAAAAATAAAAATTTAACTGGGTATAGTGGTAAAGTCCCAGCTACTCAGTAGGCTGAGGTGGGAGGATCACTTGAGCCTGGGAGTTCAAGACCAGCCTGGACAACATAGAGACCTCGTCTCTACCAGAAAGACAAAAATTAGTCAGGCATGATGGCACATGCCTGTAGACCCAGCTACTTGGAAGGCTTAGGTGGGAGGATCATGAGCCCAGGAGGTTCCAGGCTGCAGTAAGCTATAACTGTGCCACTGCACTCCAGCCTGGGTGACAGAGCAAGACCCTGACTCAAAAACAAACAAACAAAAAATTCCAGCATATGTATGTATAATATATTTAACTAATCCCCAATTCCTGGGCATTTAGGTTCTTTTCCTTTTTTTTTTTTTTTTTTTTTTTTTTGGCAGTCCCCACTCTTCCCCTGCCATGCATGGAAGCCCTCAGCTTGGGAGCTCATCTTCCACACCGTCAGGTGGGAACCATGGCAGGCCTGCACCCTTGTGGCGGCTGCACCCCGTTTGCCAGGATTTGTCTGAGCCCTGACCTCAACCTAGGGGAATAAAGGAAGAGTCCCCAGGGGTTCTGCGGAGGGTTTTCCTCCCTGATTAAAGGAGATGCTTGGGTAAACTGTTCCCTTCTACTGGCCATCCCCTCATCTGTAGGGGACACCTGCAGCTGTGTCAGGTGACTTGGGCAGCTATCACCAACAACTGAGGATGAGGGTGACACGACAGAGAGGTGGGAGACAGCACTGAGACCCCTGGTGAATTGTTGAACAAGGGACCCTGCTCACTGGCCACTCTGCCTCTGGATTTCTTGTAACGTTCCTTATTGTTTAAGTCACTGTCAGTGATCTCCAAAGGTACCCTGACTGATGCGTTCATCGTCCATCTCTACTGTCCTGGGCCTGCCCATGCTGCGACACCCCATTTCTGCACCAAGCTCACCTCACACTCAAGCACTACCTCTTCCTCCTCCCTGGGGCAGCTGTCCACAGGTCCTGCTTGGTTCCAGGTGGTCCCTCCCATACTTGTATCACTGGATATCCCTCCAGTACTTGTATCACTGGAGGCTCACAGGCCTGGCTGCCCTCCTGAGGGCCGCACCTGTACCTTTTTCCTTTCTGGACAGGCCAGCCATGGACCCCTGGGTGGCCTGCATGAAATGTCTCAGCTTGTGCTAAATTCTGCCAATGGCCCTCAAACAGTTCTCCAGGGACCTCCCAGGCAAGGCCCTCCTTCCCACTAATGGCTTCTGCCTGATGCCTGTTGGGAGGATGGTAGCCATCAGGGACTATGCTAGACCAGACACCCTGGCCCTGTCTGGCCTCCCGAGGCTGAGACTTGGGTCTAGGTGGCCCCAGCTGATCCCTCAGCTATTGAGAGTGTGGTTAACACTTTCAGAGCCCCTGTGGGTCATAGCATGCACCCCTGGGCTAGAGCAGAGTCCAGTCTGGTTCTCAGGGTCAGCTGGGAGGCCAGGTTCAGGTGTCCCATCCAAGGGGATAAGAAGTGGGCAGGGAACAAGGACTGGATGTGAGGCTGAGCCCAGCTGGAACCCAGAGGAGAGCAGGGCAGGCCTTGAGTACAGCAAGGAGCCTTAAGTGATGTTCAAGACAGCAAGGGCCCCAACCAGGGAGTCCTGTCACTGAACAGGCTGCAGAGTGGGAGATGGGGTGGCGGGAGTGGCGGGCAGCTGGGTGGTGGGGGTTTGGGTGCTGAGGGGCAGCCCTGGCTGGATGTGTCACACTGGCCTGGAACCCTGGCCTGTTCTCACTGGTTACTGCTTACGGAGTGTGTAGGGGGCTGGCCTGGGAGGGTCTCAGGCTGGTGAACGAGTCTGAACTTCCCACACTACTGCCGGCACTGGGTTAAAGCCTGAAAGGGCCAGGTCAAAATGCCAGCATGGCCGTGAGGGATGGGACTTCTGCCATGCATGAGTGGCCAGTCATATTTCAGCTCTGCTGCCTAGGTCAAGAGGGGGCCAGTGTAGGAGGCTTGGTGTGGAGAGAAGAAGGAAGGCAGCTACACGTCCAAGAGGGCAGGCCTATGACAGGGCTGGGAGGGGACAAGAGACATGATGGAACATGTCGTCCAAGATCCTGTCCCAGAGTGTTGCTGATGCTCTGC
The DNA here is from genome assembly GCF_000001405.40 of Homo sapiens. NCBI lineage: Eukaryota > Metazoa > Chordata > Mammalia > Primates > Hominidae > Homo > Homo sapiens. Next base: position 120,210,225 of record NC_000002.12, read on the forward strand.
TGGAAGCACACGGCCCAGCTTCGAGGGCCCAGCATGGCCACACCGCAGGGTACCGGGGCTCCAGAGCCAGGGGCGAAGCAGGGGTACAGGCAGAGGGACTGGGAGGGAGCGAGAGAGCTGCTGCGGTGGAGGAAGGTTTCAAAACCCACTTCCACCCTCCCTTCCCTGCAGTGATGCTGTTTAACAAACAGGACATCCTGAAAACAGAGAAGGTGGCTGGTGAGCTTTGGGTGTGACTGTCCACCCGTTTCCCCGTGGTAGTCAGGATCAACTACCCCAGCCCACGGGAAAACCCCCACCTCCCCCTTTGACAGACCATCATGGGGAAAAGGCGTTGCCACTGCAAAACAAGGACAGAGGCTCATGGCCAGCTTCCAGGGGATCCCCCAGGCTCCTCTGAGCACGTCCATGTCTCGTGCTGAGATTAGATGGAAGATGCCAACAGGACCAGCAAAGGGTTCAGGCCCCCGAATGAAGGTGTGAGTTATCCTGCTGTGTTCAGTGACCTGACTAACCGAGGTGCTGCAGAGGACAAGGATCAGGAGTGGAGAGAGGCTGTCCTGTGCTATGTTGCAGAAATAAGGACAGTCACCTGTGTTTTTCCTTCCCTGCTAGGCCCTGAATAATTAACCTTTGAAGTTAAAGACTGAAGGGATCTATACCCCTCTGCAGTGAATGCCTCAACTAGACACTTTCACGTGATCCATTATTATCCTGTCATAAATTTATTCACCATTATTCAGTTAAAATTATCAAATTTCATTTATCATATTACCCCTGCACCAAAAATAGTCAAAACACAAAAGCATAAGACCCCCTGAGAATTAAAATGAACAAAAATCTATTCACCTCTTTTACTACCCCAACAATTCTAGGTCTACCCACAGTAATATTAATCATTCTATTTCCTGCCATGCTATTTCCAATTTCCAGTCATCTAATTAGTAATCGATTAACTTCCATTCAACAGTGATAATTCAACTTGCACTAAAACAAATAATAATTACCCATAACATTAAAGGATGAACCTGATCCCTTATACTGATATCCCTAATTATCTTCATTGCCTCAACCAACCTCCTCCAGCTTCTACCCCATTCATTTATATCAACTACCCAATTATCAATAAATCTAGGTATAGCAGTCCCCTGTGAGCAGGTGCAGTAATTACAGGCTTCCACTTTAAAACTAAAATCTCCTTAGCTCACTTTTTACCACAAGGCATACCTATGCCACTTATCCCTATACTAGTACTCATTGAAACCATTAGCCTATCCATTCACCGATAGCATTAGCTGTGCAATTAACAGCCAACATTACAGCCGACCACCTGCTAATACATTTAATCAGGGGACCCACACTGGTACTATCAACTATTAGTCTTCCCATAGCTTCAATTGCTTTCATTATTCTAATACTACTAACCATTCTCGAATTCACCATAGCCCTTATTCAGGCTTATGTCTTGACACTACTAGTAAGCCTTTATATGACAACACATAATGACCCACCAAACACATGCCTACCGTATAGTCAAACCCAGCCCCTGACGACTGACAGGAGCTCTCTCAGCTCTCCTAATAACATCTGGCCTGGCCATGTGATTTCACTTTAATTCTATCACTCTTTTAACCCTAGACCTACTAACCAACACACTAACGATACACCAATGATGACATGACATTATCCAAGAAAGTACATTTCAAGGCCACCATACAACAGTTGTCCAAAAAGGCCTCCAATAGGGAATAATTCTATTTATTATCTCAGAAATATTCTTCTTTGCTGGTTTCTTCTGGGCATTCTACCACTCTAGTCTAGCCCCGACTCCAGAATTAGGGGGACATTGACCTCCAACAGGCATTTTTCCCCTCAACTCCTTAGAAGTACCCCTCCTAAATACGTCTGTATTACTTGCATCAGGAGTTTCAATTACTTGGGCCCACCACAGCCTAACAGAAGGTAATCAAAAGCAAATAATTCAAGCATTCTCCATCACAGTCACCTTAGGTATTTCCTTCACCCTCCTACAAATCTCAGAATATTTTGAGACCGCTTTTACTCTTCACCCTCCTACAAATCTCAGAATATTTCGAGACCCCTTTTACTATCTCTTATGGAATCTACAGCTCAACATTCTCTTTTTTTTTTTTTTTTTTGAGAGGGAGTCTCACTGTGTTGCCCAGGCTGGAGTGCAGCGACGCAATCTCAGCTCACTGCAAGCTCCGCCTCCCGGGTTCACACCATTCTCCTGCCTCAGCCTCCCGAGTAGCTGGGACTACAGGTGCCCGCCACCACACCTTGCTAATCTTTTTGTATTTTTAGTAGAGACGGGGTTTCACTGTGTTAGCCAGTATGGTCTTGATCTCCTGACCTCGTGATCCACCTGCCTCAGCCTCCCAAAGTGCTGGGGTTACAGGTGTGAGCCACGGTGCCCGGCCCAACATTCTTTATAGTCACAGGTTTTCACGGACTTCATGTTATTATCAGATCAACATTTCTCACTATCTGCCTCCTCCGCCCATTAAAATTCCACTTTACATCCAACCACCACTTTGGCTTTGAAGCCGCTGCCTGATATTGACACTTCATAGATGTAGTAGGACTATTCTTATACGTCTCTTTCTACTGATGAGGATCCTACTCTTTTAGTATAAATAGTACCATTGACTTCCAAACAATTAGTTTCCATAGTATCCAAAAGAGAGTAATTAACCTGACACTAGCCCTAGTAACCGACACCTTAATGGCCCTATTACTACTAATAATTACATTTTGGCTCCCACAACTTAACATTTATATAGAAAAATATAGCCTCTATGAATGCGGATTTGACCCAATAACCTCCACCCACCTCCCCTTTTCCATAAAATTTTTCCTAGTAGCCATCACATTTCTCCTCTTTGACTTAGAAATCGCTCTACTACTGCTCCTACCATGAGCCCATCAAACAACCTGACACTAACAATCAGCACAGCCCTTCTACTAGTTATCATTTTAATCCTAGGCTTAACTTATGAATGAACCCAAAAAGGATTAGACTGAGTTGAATTGGTAAGTAGTTTAAGTCAAAATAAGTGATTTTGACGCATTAGATTATGATAGGCCATATTTGCCAAATGCCCTCTATTTATATCAATATTATATTGGCATATACCATAGCACTACTGGGAGTATTAGTCTATCGATCCCACCTAATATCATCCCTATTATGCCTAGAAGCCATCATACTATCAATATTTATCATAATTACTCTTACAACTTTAAATATACATTTCATTCTAGCATCCATAACACCCATCATCCTCCTAGTATTTGCTGCCTGTGAAGCCGCAGTTCTTGCCTTACTAGTTTCAATCTCTAACACATATGGTCTAGATTACGTACAAAACCTACACTTACTTCAATACTAAAAATTATTATTCCAACAATTATACTGTTACCAATAACATGATTCTCTAAAAATTCTATAATCTGAATCAACATGACTACCCACAGTCTACTCATCAGCCTCATTACCCTATTATTTGTTAATCAATTCAACGATAACTCACCCAACTTCTCATTAATCTTTTCTGACCCGCTGACATCCCCCCTTCTAATCTCAACAGCCTGACTACAAACTCCAGCAAGCCAATATCACCTGCCCAATGAATCACCCCCATGAAAAAAAGCTCTATATTTCTATATTGGTTTCCCTGCAGATTTTAATTATAGCATTCACAGCCACAGAACTAATTATATTTTATATCCTCTTTGAAGCTACACTAATTCCTACCCTGATTATCATCACCCGCTGAGGTAGGCAACCAGAGCGCCTCAATGCCAGCTCATATTTCCTATTTATACACTAGTAGGATCCGTCCCTCTACTTGTTACACTTGTCTACATTCAAAATACCTCAGTTTCACTAAATATTCTAGTAATGATATTTACCACCCAAGAACTATTAGCCTCCTGATCCAATAATCTTATATGACTAGCATGTATTATGGCTTTTATAGTGAAAATACCTCTATACGGACTTCACCTGTGACTCCCTAAAGCCCACGTAGAAGCCCCTATTGACGGCTCAATAGTACTTGCAGCAGTTCTCCTAAAGCTAGGCGGCTGTGGTGTAATATGGCTTACCCTTATCCTCAGCCCCCTAACAGAATATATAGCCTACCCATTCCTCATATTATCCCTATGAGGAATGGTTATGACAAGCTCTATTTGTCTACGACAAACCAATCTAAAATCACTTATTGCCTACTCCTGCATAAGCCATATAGCACTTGTTATCACAGCTATCCTCATCCAAAACCCTTGAAGCTTTACAGGTGCAGTCACCCTTATAATTGCCCACGGACTTACTTCATCCTTATTATTCTGCCTAGCAAATTTGAACTACGAGCAAATCCATACCCGAACCATATTACTTACCCGAGGCCTTCAAATACTGCTTCCACTAATAGCCTCTTGATGACTTCTAGCAAATCTCACTAACCTTGCCTTACCCCCTACCATTAATCTAGTAGGATAACTCTTTGTGACCATAGCTTCATTCTCCTGATCAAATATCACTATTATGTTTACAGGACTTAACATACTAATTACAGCCCTCTACTCCCTATATGTATTAATCATGATACAACAAGGGACACTCACATATTACATTGACAGTATTAAACCTTCCTTTACACGAGAAAATACATTAATATTTATACATGTCGCACCTATCCTTCTATTACCCTTAAAACCTAAAATTATTATGGGGTTTACATGCTGTAGCTATAGTATAACCGAAACCTTAGACTGTGGATCTAATAATAGAAGCCTGCAACTTATCTACCAAGAAATTACGCAAGGACAGCTAACTTGTGCCCCCATGCCTAACAACATGGCTTTCTCAACTTTTAAAGAATTAGAGTTGTCTATTGGTCTTAGGAACCAAAAACATTGGTGCAACTCCAAATAAAAGTAACAAATATGTATTTTTCCACTACTATAATAGCCCTAATCCCCTTAATCCTACCAACTATTATCACCTTAGTCAACCCCTGCAAAAAAGGTTCATACCCAAACTACGTAAAAATATCTATCGTATGCGCCTTCACCATTAGCCTCATCCCAACAATGTTTATATGTACAGACCAAGAAGTCATTATCTCAAACTGACATTCAATGACAATCCAAACTCTTAAACTCTCACTAAGCTTCAAACTACTTTTCCACAATATTTATCCCAGTAGCACTATTTGTTACCTGATCTGTTGTAGCATTATCAATATGATACATAAACTCAGACCCTAACAATCAATTTTTCAATTATTTACTTATTTTCCTCATCACAGTATTAATTCTGGTCACCACCAACAACCTCTTTCAACTCTTTTTTTTTTTTTTCCAGACGGAGTCTCGCTCTGTCGCCCAGGCTGGAGTGCAGTGGCGCGACACTCACTCACTGCAAGCTCCGCCTCCCGGGTTCCCGCCATTCTCCTGCCTCAGCCTCCCGAGTAGCTGGGACTACAGGCGCCCGCCACCACGCCAGGCTAATTTTTTTGTATTTTTAGTAGAGACGGGGTTTCACCGCGTTAGTCAGGATGGTCTCGATCTCCTGCATAAGCAGTGATCCGCCCGCCTCGGCCTCCCAAAGTGCTGGGATGACAGGCGTGAGCCACCGCGCCCGGCCCTTTCAACTCTTTATCGGATGAGAAGGCGTAGGAATCATGTCTTTCTAACTGGCTGATGATATGGCCGAGCAGATGCTAACAAAAGCAGGCCTCCAAGCAGTTCTGTACAACCGCATCGGCGATACTGGCTTTATTTTTAGCTATAGCATGATTTCTCTTATCCTCCAACACATGAGACTTTCAACAAGCGTTTACTCTAAACCCTATCCCCGACACCCTTCCATTACTTACTTAGCAGCAGCAGGAAAGTCAGCTAAATTCAACCTCCATCCCTGACTCCCATCCGCCATAGAAGGCCCAACCCCAGTCTCGGCCCTGCTCCACTCCAGCACTGTAGTTGTAGCAGTTTTCCTACTCATCCGTTTCTACTCTTTAATAGAAAATAACCTATTCATCCAAACCTTTACATTATGTCTAGGGGCTATTACCACCCTACTTACAGCAATCTGCCCTTCAGCGCCAGGGGAATGCCCGACAGCTACCTTCTCCCCCGTGACCGCCGGGCTCCGTATCCTGGGCGAGCCGCCCGGCTCCGGATAGCAGGAAACTGGGGAGGGCTCCGGCCTCGCCTCGTCAGCCCCGGAGCCTTCACCAATCCCGGGCCCGGAAAGACCACGCCCACTGCTGGCCCCGCCTAGCACCTGCGCAGGTGCAGTCTCCACCTCAAGCCAGCTGGGCCTTATGATAGTCAAAATTGGTATTAATCAGCCACACCTAGCATTCCTTCACATCTGCATCCACGCCTTTTAAAAAGCTATATTATTTATATGTTCAGGCTCCATTATCCATAACCTCAATGATGAACAAGATATCCGTAAAATAGGAGGACTATTCAAGACTTTACCCTTCACTTCCTCTTCCCTTATTATTGGCAGCCTTGCACCTACAGATATGCCTTTCCTCACAGGCTTTTACTCTAAAGACCTTATCATCGAAACCGCAAATACATCATACACCAACGCCTGAGCCCTTTCTATTACTCTTATTGCCACCTTTTTAACAGCTGTCTATAGTACCCGAATTATTTTCTTCACTCTAATAGGACAACCTCACTTCATAACTCTATTATTAATGAAAATAATCCCTTCCTAATTAACTCAATTAAGCACCTAACAATCGGCAGTATCTTTGCTGGATTCCTCATGACCAACAGTATTATTCCTGCTTCATCCCCCCCAAACAACTATACCACTTCACCTAAAGCTCACAGCCCTAGGTGTAACCACCTTAGGCCTCTTACTAGCAATAGAGCTCAAGCTCATAACTAATAATCTTAAACTAAAGTACCCATTACAGATATTTAACTTCTCCAATATGCTAGGTTTTTATTCAGCCACAATTCATCGTTCAACCCCCCACTCAAGCCTATTCAGGGGTTAGGCTAAAGGTTAAAGCACAGATTTTAATTCATTAAACTTCTATTTTCTTTATCCTCTCTTTCCCCCATGATAATATAGGACAGCAGTTCTCAAATGCTTTGGTCACAAGACCCCCTCACACTCTTGAAATGACCGAGGACCTCAACGGGCTTTTGTTTATGAGCTACGTCAACATTTAGCATCTTAGAAGTTAAAGCCAATAACTCTGAAAAACATTTATTCATCCATTTGAAGACTATACATCCATTACATGTTACCTTAAAAAAATTTTTAAACCTATATTTTCCAAAACAATATATTTCATCAGTAGGAGTGGCATCGTTTTACATTTTTGCAGATCCTTAAAGCCTGGCTTAACAGAAGGCTGCTGCATCCTCATAGCTGCTTCCGCCTTCGGTCTGTTGCAGTATGGTATCCTGACTGAAGAAAACCACGTGGGGTTGGGAAAGGAAGGACCTTGAGGACCCTCAGGGGTCCTTGGACCACACTGCCGAGGGCATGGTGTGGCAGCCGACTTTAACCCATACATTCTAGAACAGAGAGAGCCATGACCAAACCAGAGGGAGAGACACCTGCAGATATCCTGGGTTGCGGGCTGGAAGAAGTATTAACAGTTGATGAAGCAGCTTGGCATTGCCTCTCTTTTCTCCTAGGGAAGGGATAAACCACTGTCTTTTTGTGAGGCATGGTTGTGTTATGTCAGGTGGGAGCCTGATTTCTGAGGTGCGCGCATGGGAAGATGGGGGTGCATCAGATAGCCAAGGAAAGTGGTGTAGTGGACTTTTGTCATCTGAACACCCTTCCTTTTGGGAAAATCTTTTATCGAGTGAGTTCTGGCAGAGTCCTGCCCCCTCCTCCTCGAGACAAAGGAGCCAGATGCTCTCTCCTCGCATGTTCTGGAAGCTACAGAATGAACACATGCCTGAGGTTTGCCCAATCATATCCTCCCTCCTGGTACTTAACCTTAAGCTCATGGCAGACAGCTGAGGAAGTACTCGCAGCAGCAGGGGTGCAGCTGGAGGCTCCCTTTTTGTGGGTGTCATGCTGTCAGTGGTGGTGGCTGTGGCAAGTGCTGCATCTCCAGCAAATGGTCCCTGTGGTGCAGCCCTGCCTGGGTTTCCAGCCACACAACTTCCCGGATCCCTGTGAACTTGCTGGGCTTCATCCCATCTTTCCTGCCCGGCTGAATGACCTGTATCCCAACAGCTTCCTTCACTGAGTCAGGGCCCTGGCAGGGCCAGGTGGGGATGGCCTCCCTCACCGTCTGCTGCTTCTACCTACATGGCTGGGCTCCCTGCGCCCAGGCTTCGCCTTTCCAAAGCGCCTTGCATAGCCCTCCGGAGAAACTTTGGATTCCAGCACTTTCCTAAAACTGTCCCGTGTGGAGTACTCCGGCCTCACCACTGCTAACTGAGGGGCTGGAATGCAGGGTCTTTCTCATCTCACCTCAAATCCCCAACAGATCCCTTCTAATGGAAACAGCTTTTAAAAATTTCAGGATATTCGTAAAGCACACGGGAAACAAATCATGGATGATCTGCCACACATTTTGCGACTCCTTGAGAACCATTTTGTAATACTGAGGTCACGGAGTGACAGCCCCCTGTGTGGACTGTGCTTGTTCCTTGGCCATGCACTGCCTCACCCCACAGAGGTCAGGCATGGCCATGTGTTGTGGCCAACAGAAAGTGAGCAGGGGCTGTATTTGTGCTTGCAAGGTAGGGCTTGGCCTCCTGTGCTTCTGCCATGAGAAAGAACACGGCCCAAGGTAAGCTGCTGCTTCAACCAGGGACCCAGAATACGGGACATGTTGTGGAGCAGACGTGATCAGACCCCCAGCCTGGAGCATAACCTAGAAGCCAACTTGTAGACTACCCAAGAATGGGAATCTAGTTGTAGACCACTGAGATTTCTGATGCTGTTTTGCAGCAAAAGCTGACTGATACATCACAGGAGAAATAGTTACAGAATCTGACACATGCTGAATGCTGGATAATCAGTGTTTCATGGCAGTTAGGTAAATCCCAGGCACTGAAGTGCTCGCAGCCTCACAGATCGAACGACTTCCTACAACCTGTCACTTCTGTTTTTACCTAATGGTCCTGACAGCGGATGGCCTACCTGGTGAGAAAGCTTGTTTCCACACTAGATGCTGGCTTTCCAACACCAGATAGCTTGGGGGAAGAGGAAGTTAAGATGGGCTGGGGGGTTGTGGGGACCCCTCAGGTTTGGGAGTTTGCACCAGGTGCCAACAAGCTCCTGGCCTGAAACTGTAGCCAGGAGGGGCCAGTGGTCCCACTGCAGCCTCCAAACCTGCCTCCCAGTTCCTCCAGCACTGCCTGCCCATGCACCCCTAAATCTTACTGAAATGAAAATCCACGTCTTTGAGATATTCTTTAGGGGTGGAGGGGAGGCACTGGGCTCCTGAAAACAAAGATGAGCTTAAAGTTCTAGGTCACCCTGAGGCTAGCAGCATCCTTCCCTGCATTTTGCAAAAGCTGCACTGGGCTCTTTCCCTTTGTGGGTGCAGCTCACACTTCTCACCGTACAGGACACTTTGCATGGGCAGGGCTGTTTGCTCTCCACTGCATCCCCACTGCCTGGCACCATGCTTGGCTCGGGGTAGGTCTTCAAGAAATATTGAGAATATGAATGAATCAATGAATCCTTATTTATAAAAAGTTACACCCACTGCTGCTCAGGGCTGCCGGCTGGTGTAAACTGCCAGTGTGAGAGAGACAGAGCGAGCTCCCTCAGACAGCGAGCTCAATCCCAGCCAACTAAGCCCAGCTGTAGCTCCCTCAGGCATTCTGGCACTCAGGTTCCTAGAGCTGGCTTTTGTTGACAGCATGTGTACAGAGCATGTTATTTTAATGTTTTATATAGGGCAAAAATAGTGAATTTAGGGTTATGTGTTTTTCTCCAAACCCAACAAGTTTGCCTCATGGCCAGGGCAAAGTGTGTGGAGCCCATTTGAGATCATTTTTAGTAAGTTACTAATAAGAAAAGTGGACTCCATTCAGTCTTCTCTGCAGTAATAACACCTACACTCCTTTTTGTTTCGACCTCCTTTCGAAAGTATTTATTTGTTCTCAAACATTACTCTTGCAGGATCCAGCTTCTGCCCTGATTCCCTGGTGTACCACCAGCACCTAAAGAAACACTGTACCTGCCGGGTGCAGTGGTTCCCGCCTGTAATCCCAGCACTTTGGGAGGCCAAGGCGGGCAGATCACCTCAAGTCAGGAGTTTGAGACCAGCCTGACCAACATGGAGAAACCCTGTCTCTATTAAAAATACGAAATTAGCCAGGCGTGGTGGTGCATGCCTGTAATCCCAGCTACTCGCGAGGCTGAGGCAGAAGAATCGCTTGAACCGGGAGGCGGAGGCTGCGGCGAGCTGAGATCAAGATTGTGCCATTGCACTCCAGCCTGGGCAACAAGAGTGAAACTCTGTCTCAAAACAAAACAAAACAAACAAACAAAAAAACAAAAGAAAAGAAAAAAGAAACACTGTTCTTATCTACAAAGATAATTTGAACAGTTGTTTCCCTATTGCTGACAGATTAAAGTTTGGCCCTTAAAATGACACCTGCTTCTACTGACCACTTCCGGTTAAGGCCACTCTCTCCATCTTTCCAATGACAAGTAATGCTTCACACTACAGCCAACTAATAGTTTAAGATTCTTAGAAATGGACAAACCACTTGTTGCTTATTTCCACACAGTTACTACCTGTGTGGAAAAATTCAAGTTGCTAAATAACAGTGTCACTTTATGGCCTGGTACCACACTAGAGCCTGTCACAAGTTCCCAAGGGCAGTGGCCTCTTCCTCTACTAACGGGTACTACCAGAGACCTTGGTTACTAACACCTAAATATTAAGACCCATGGGATTTGCAGTCCCTACATTCATGCCTAGTACTTTGGTAAGATCCACACCAGGCACATACTGTTTTATGCAGTTTTCAAGGACATCTGCAATAGACACATATCTTCACACCTAAGCTTTAAAAAATACTTTAACGTAATAATGGTAATGCAGAGAACTAGAATTCAACATATTACACTGCTAAAATATTCATATAAATACTATATATGCATGGGTTCATTCCATTAGAAAAATTCACCTATCAGAATATTAAAGACCAGTATCAGCAAAGCCCAAGGAGAGAGTATTTTAACAGTAGGAACACTAAAAATATCAACTATGAGGTTTATAAACAAGTGGTGGGAAAGAGAACTTTTTACATTTGCTATTGTTATGACAGGCACAATCTGAAATACAATTTTAGATTAGCAGTGTATAAAAATACTTTTTAAACAATAGTTTTGATAGGTACAGTAGCATTTAAACAAACAGCTGTGTGGTTATTCCTTTTGAGGACCTACTAAAACAATTCGACTTACTGCCCCCAGCTACACCTGAAAGTGCGAACCTGGAAAGCAAGTCTCTTACCCAGGTACACATCACACACACCCACATACTGAAACCACCTCCATCTATGATGCATACTGATGAGGCGGTGATCTCAAACACGGCGTGAGACGAGTGTTTGAAGCCTGTTTCCATTTCCAGGTTTGGGATGAATGAACAAGAGGCGAAGGCCAAGTGGAGTCTGTGTGTGCCTGGGTCCTCTCTAGGAGTTTAATCTGGCATATCAATATTTAACTTGGGAGGGGGGGGAACGTATTTCCCAGGGCTCTGGGTTATAACTACTCTGGCCTTCTTTCCAAATATTGGAGCAATTTTCGGAGCTTCTGGAACTGATGTTTCTTCAGCATCTTCACTATCTTCGTGATGGAGATCATATGAAATGTTCCCATATTCTCTTAAAAATGGGAAAATTTCAAGCAGAAACTGACAGAAGTCTCTGCGAATGCCAAACCACCAATGATTGCCCCCCTTTCGCCTAAATGTTGTGGCCATTAAAGTTAGTAAGGAAAGCCAAAGGGGGACAAATATGGAGACGTAGGAGAATGTATTGTGGCCATCCAATCTGTGAACCAGCAGGACCTCAAAAGTGAGCAGAGGCACGACAATCGTTATCCAACTGATAGCCATGGTCACGTGTGTTCTCCGCTGCTCGGCAACCACATCCAGGGACCGCAGGAACAGGAGGGACCAGACGATGTAATAGAGGACGACCAGGCAAAGGAACGACATGAGGATCCACAGGGGCACAAACACCACCAGCCACGGCCAGTGAATAATCCTGTCCAGCTTTAGGGCGATGAAGATGAACTGCAGGATGTTGACCGAGCACAGGATCTCCAGCTCCAGCGACCTATCGTGTCGAAAGCCCCAGACGCAGGCAGCCACGGACACGGGGGACACGAAGAAGAGAGGCATGAAGACCAGCAGCCAGAAGTGGGTGCCCCTCTCCACCCTGTCGCAGACCAGGACTTCGAACATGAGCAGCAGCAGGTGGATGCCCACAGCGATCAGCATGGCTTTGAACTCCACACAGGCCTCTCCCTCGGTGCGGTAGCGAGGGTTGCGGGCCCAAACGCCCGCGCCCACGGAGGCGCCTGCGACGACTAGAAGCTTCCACAGCCATATGGGGGCAAAGACGGCCCAGTAGCTCCATTGGATGATGCCGTCCAGGCGGAGGGGCAGCAGCACCGAGAAGAGCAGCAGGCAGGTGTAGATGAGAAACTTACTGGGGTTGAAGTCCTGGAACAGGCCCCTGGGGTTCATGGCGGAGGCCGCCGCTTGCCTGCCCGGGCCTGCTCCCTCGCGACGCTCGGCGCTCGCGTCTCCGCGGCTTCTCCGGCCGCCGCCTCCCGGGCCCCGCCCAAGCCGGCTCCGCGTGGACGAATGCCGGGACGACCAGGAGGAGGTTCGGAGCGGCGAAGCGGAGAGGCCGGAACACGTGCACGCGCGGTCACGTGGCCCGGCCGGAAGCGCGCTGGGGTGTGGCGCGCGCGGGCACGGGCGGCGCGGCGGTTACAAACTGGGCGCTGCCTCGGTCCCGCCGCCGCCCGCGTTCACTCCGTACCCATCAAGAAGGCACCTAATGCGTGTGGGGCCCGAAGGGGCCTGGCGCGCTGCTGACTCCCCAAGCGGCCCGCGACCTTGGGCGGACGCTTCCAGGCGACTCCGGGAACATGGAGGCGGGAGTGAGCTCACATCCTCCCTGCCGGCCGGGGCGGGCCCTGCGGGGGCGGGGCCGGGTGGAGAGGGCGGGGCCTGGGCGTTGGCACCCTACCCATCTCTGCCGGGATCCTCGCCTCCCCGCGCTCGCCGCGGCTTCCCGGGAACCCGCCCGGGGCTAGAGCGCCCGCGGTGAGGCTCCAGCACCCCGCGCGCGCGAGCAGAGGCGGTGGCCGGGCTAGTGCGGGAGTTTGCGAGCGAGGGAGCGGGTGCCGGTAACTGAACGGATGCAAGGCGATGTGCATGAGCGCAGACCTGTGGGGGCCGGCGGCGGGTGTATCCCTGGCTCAAAGGAAAAGGCCCGCGCGTAGACTCAGGGCACGAGGTGGGGGGGCCTTACCTGGGATGAAGACTCGCGGGGCAGAACTCCGCCTGGTGGAGCAACGGACGTTTCTCAGGCTGCCTGCGAAGTGGCTGTGCAGAGATCCCAGGCGGCAGCGGCGCTCTTGTACCTGTCCCTCTCACTCCAGAGTGGAAGGTGCTGGTGAGGGTGTTAGACCCCACTCGGGAGGAAACTGGATCCAGACCAGGGTTGGGGGTTGCTTTCTGCCCCAGGTCACCCGGCAGGTTAACAGAGAATCGCGTCGCAGATACAGGGCTCCTACCTTCAAGTGTCTAGTCCTCATTTTGACTTATTTGGCCCTGTCTCTGTGTTATTCTCGCAAAACCATGTTTTCCTTTTCCTTTGGAAAAGGGTACTGGACCAGAGGTCAAGAGATTTGGGTTCTTGTCCAGGCCGTGCCACCCATCAGCTGAGAAACCTAGGCAAATTCACCTCTTTCTCTCTGGGCCTCAGTTTCCTGGTCTATGAAGTTGGGGGACAGACCTGGGTGGTGTCTAAGGGCAAGGCTGCAGCGGGTCTGTGATTTGGAGCACCCCTTTCGCCCTCTGGCCATCTGGGCAGACCCTGGAGGATTTCTGTCTTCCCCGCTGTCCCACTGCTCAGCAGAGCCCTGGCTGCCCTCACCAGTCTCTCCTAGTCCTCTTTTCCTGAAGTGGCTGTGGGATGTTGTCACGCAGGTCCTGGGCTCTGAAGTGGGACAGGCCATCAGAGGAACGCATGGCCTGTCAGGGCCTCCGCGGAGTGGCCCTCCCGCACCCTCACAGCACTGCCCCAGGCGGGCATGAGCAGGGTGTCCAGGTGTCGGGCGGACAGTCCCAGCCCCCGAGGCGCTCTCCACAACTTCACTTCAGCCACAGGCAATCTGTGGCCCTGGGGAAGGGAGTCCAGCTGAGTGAGCTTCACCAGTCCTCAGGCTCAGCCCTTAAGGCTGACTTCATAGATGTGTCTTCAGGGCCTCTTGTTTCTGGAGAGCCTTATCTCCCTCCATTCCTCCCCTAAACAGAGTTGCTCCAATCTGTCTGTTTTACACATTGGTCTTTTTTGTACTCTTTTCTCCCAAGAAGGATTTGTCAACTAAAAATTTGTAAAAGTGGAAAACCCCCTCACCAATCCAACCTCTTCATCTGTGAAATGGGCTTGGAAAAGCACACAGGATTGTTTTGAGGATTAGATGAATCAATACATGGAACTTTGCACTTTGCATTTAGAGACCTGCAAGTAATTGATTTGACCCCACTAGGAAAGCAGAGCCCGTGGAGGGGAGGCGCTGCCAGGAGCGCCCCCACCCTCCGGGAGCTGGTGGCAGAGTCAGGTCCTCTGGACCCTGCGAGAACAGTCAGAAGTCCTTCCCAATCACCTATGTAGTCAGATGAACTCAGGGCCTCTGCTGCCATCTTTGTGGCAAAGACAGAGCTCGGAGCTTATTTTCCCACCTTGAGCTCCTCATTCAGAACAAGTGCACCCTCTCCATCCAAGAAGCGGGTATCAAGGTGTCCTGTCACAGTGCAACAGTGGCTCTGCTGCACAGCTCCTGAGGGAGGGCAGACCCAGCTTCCAGGCTTGTGCCACAGGGTGAGGGATGCTGTCTGCCATCTGTCCCCAGCTGGCTTCCTTTGGCCTGCAGGCCTTGACCCCTCCCCCATCATGCCCTGGGCATCAGACACCCCTCCTTCACTGTTTTCCCTGATGCGGCCAGTCTCTCAGACACCCGCCTTTGTCTTTTATTTACCTGTAAAGCTAACATGGATTGTTTGCTATGTGCCAGGTGCTGGCGGCATAGCAGTCCCCAAGGCTGGTACACAAACCAAAGTGTGAATTCATTCACTTACAGGTGGTGTGTGTGGATGTGGTGTTCCAGGCCACCGGCACGGGCTGCTATCCCCCAGTCAGGGTGTGCGGGGGCACATGGCCCCAGAGGGCAGGGGCTGACATGGTTTGAAGGTCACTGTCCTAACGGTTGGGGAAGTCCTGGGATGTGTCCTAACCCCAGCCTCTTTCCCCTGCTTGGCATCCTCAGTCCCAACTTTCCTGTCTGAACTGTAAGGCTCTCCTGAGCTGATCCCGGCACACCTGGTGGCCAGGTCCCTTATGGTCCATGTACCAGCCCAGCCAGTCTGCTGCTTCCCCCTGAGTGTGGCCCACCCCGACATGGCCTCTGTCTCCTTCCTGGGCACCAAGACCCACGACAGGGCTTCAAGCCCTGAGAAACCTCGACCCCTGGTGGACCAGTGACCCTTCTCTCACCTCCCACAGCATCTGGGTGCCAGAGGTGGGGTAGGGGCAGGCGGGGACCTTGTTCCTATCCTGGGACTCATTTCCCTGGGTGTTGTCTGTTTGGCCTTCTGTCCTTTCATGAGATTTGAGCTCCAGACACCCAGCTAGCACTTATATCGTAGCAAATGTTTGAGAGACGTTGGCTGAATGAGTGAAGGAATGCATTTAACACTACTCATGACTGCGATGCTCCTGTCCCAGAGGAGATGCTCCTGTGGCCAGCGTGGCACCGATAGTGGGACCTGTGTCCTTTCATCACCAGCATCCTAGGCCCTGTTCCCTCCACTCTCCAGCCCAGGTGATCTTTCTTCCTCGGTAACCAATTGCCACAGGTGTATCAGTTTAAAGCAGCAGTCAGTTACTGTCCGCCATGAACTGAGAGTCAGAAGTCAGCATCATATGCCCAGCCAGTGCTCCGCTTGAGTCACAAGGCCAAGATCTCGGTGTGGGCACTCCGGCAGTGAACCTGCATTCGAGTTCTGTGTTGGCAGGATGCAGTTCCATCGAGTTGTGGGACTGAGGTTCCTGTTGCCTTGCCAGCCATGGGCCTCGGGGTTCATTCTCAGCCCCTTGTATTTCCTGACTTGTGGCCTCCTTCAAAGCCACCCGTGGTGGGTTAAGTCCTTATGTCTGGAGTCTCTCTTCTGCCTTCCTTGTTTTGAGGGCTTCTGTGATTACTTTGGGTTACTCAGCTAACCCAGGATCACCTCTCTATTTTAAGGTCAGCCTGTTAGTAACCCCAATTCCATCTGCAAATTCCTTAGAATTCTGCTCCGTACCAGCGGTCAGGCCCAGCTCGGCTCTTCCTGCCCCACAACAGCCACTGCTTAGCAAGAGCTGAGCTGGGTTTCCAGGGAGAGCGAACTCTTGCCTGGCACCCTCCACAGCAGACCAGGGTGACAGTGACACCTGGGCATGGTCCCAGTCAGAGCAGCTGGAAGCTGGTGGGAGTTAAGTTTTCCCTGTAGCCCTCTGGCTGCAGGACATGGGATGCCTTTGCTGAATGTCCTCTGAGGGGCTGGCTTGGGACAGGGGGATGACCTGCGCAGAAAGCCCAGGGAAAATTTCCCTTTTGGCCGGATTTGTGGATTTGCTCATATCAACTTCTTCACAAGGAATCCACAGCCCACCTGGCCCTTGTGCCAGCCTCATTGCCCACCATTACCCCTTGGCCCCAGTCTCTAAATGAAGAGCACGCTGTCACCTCTACAATAGCCTCCTCCCATCTCCCTGCCCCCCCCCACTGCCAGCACACACATACCAGTGCAGTAGTATGCCCGTGGGCATGGACTTGAGTCACCCCAGCCCAGGTGCGAGTCCAGACTCTGTGAACTTGACAGATGACTTAGTTTCCAGCCCCGATCTGTGAAATGGAGATAACCTCCCAAAACTGTGACAGCAAAAGGAAACAATGTAGGAAACCTACAATGCCTCCATTATTTCCCCCCAGTGGTGGCTGTTAACTGCCTCTCAGCAGCAGATTGTGTGTCCCCTCCCTCGGGTCCCACAGGGTATCATCCTGTTTGCTCATCTGACTCTCTGGACTCCCTGTGACTTTCTCAAGGACAGGGACCCATCTCTTATCTCTGTTAGCAGTTTCCAGCACAGGCTCGTACATGGTAAGTGAATCTGGAAAGTGCATGCGGGCAGGAAGACAGGAGCTGATGTGACATCTCCTGTGGGCTGAGCAGCGAGCACGGGAACCTTCCTGAGACAAAGCAGCTTGTCTGAAGCTCACAGGTCCCAGTGTTACAGGGAGGTGCTGACAGTTCCCAGTGTTACAGGGAGGTGCTGCTGGGCTCGCATGAGGACCTCCTGGAGCGTGACAGCCCCTCACGCTCGCACGTGGCTTAATATTTCAAAGCACGATATCATCTGGAGCTGACTTCAGAGACAGAGGTGGCAAAGCACTAACCTCATTTGACAGATGGGGAAACAGGCCCAAGACCCACAACCATGGTTCTCTGCTAACTCTGCAGCTGCATACTTTCCACAGGGCCCTGCTGTTGGCCAGGTGGGCGTCCCTGCCCTGTTTATCAGCTCAGTCCAGTGAGAATGGCTCCCTGAAGAGCCAGACTCTGGCTGGGACCCCTTGAGACTTAGGCTCCTGTTTTAGCAGCTTTTTCCTTCCTTAACCCGTGTATTCATTTAACAAATACATATCAAGCATCTTCCCTGTGCCCCAGGTCCTTGTCCTGGATACACATGTAGCAATGAACTCTTCAGGTGGCTTCTCCTGTGCTGGTCCCTTCTCAGTTCAGGTGTCACCTCCTTCAGGGTCACCTCCTTGACTACCCCACCCAAAGTCATTCTCTCACTTGCGTCTCCTTATTTCTCCTTTTTTTATATGGTCACTTTAGAAAAAGCTGGAAAACGCAGACTCGTTTAAAGAAAGAAAATGCTGTAGTCTTAGCACCTACAGAAGATCACTGTGAACATTTTACTGTGTTTTTCCTTCCAGTCGGTCTACTCGGCAAAGAGATGTCATCCTCCACATACCCATTTGATTCTGCTTTTTTACTTATGGTTAATTCTAAAACTCACTTCACATTTTAACGTCTCTGGATCTTGCACTGTACAGTGGCTGATGTTTTACAGGCACTGTCAGCTGGTGTTAACATTCAGTTCTTTCTAGAGGTGGTTGTATTTGTTTCTGCCAGTCACCTGGGGGCACTGCCAACTTGACATAACCTTAAACTTAAATTCAGTTACAGCATTTGCTTGAGGTGTTTCCAGACCATATGTTTGTGCAAATTCAGACTCAAACCAGCATGAGTACTGGCTTGTGCACGTCCTCAGGGGCAGTTTTGTTCCCTCCCTGCATCCGGGTCCATGGCTGGGACACTGGCTCTTTCTGCCTGACGAGGCTGTTTATCATTCTCCTCCCACCAAAGAAATAGCCCTTTAGGATCCCAGCTTTACTTAGACGTCCCTTATTAAATAACCATTCTGGGTATTTTTTTCTTCCTTAAAGGTACGTGAAATGGTGGTGTGTTCTCTAATCAACAGTGTCTTAAATGTGATGAAATGCCATAGATAGAAACACTTCTCAGATTTCCATAAACATGTGAGCATGTTTTCAGTGGCCCCACAATATTACATTAAGGGTAGTGCAATACTTTACTCACCCATTGCATTGTGTATTTGAGTTAGTTTCATTCTTTTATGAAATGAAGGGACTGCGCTCTATCTTACGGCTTCTTTGCATCCAGATTGTTTTTAAGGGTAGATTCTCAGACACAGACATGCCATGGTGAAGGAATGAATACAGTAGTCCCCCCTTATCTGAGGTTTATCTTTCCAAGTTTTCATTTACCTGCAGTACACCGAGGTTTGAAAATATTAAATGGAAAATTCCAGAAATAACTCCTAAATTTTAAATGACACTCTGTTCTGAGTAGCGTGACAAAATCTTGCTCCATCTAGCCTGGGACGTGACCCCTCTCTTTGTCCAGCATCTTCACACCGGGCGTGCTCCCTGGGCGATCACATCAGCTGCCGCCAGATCACTGTCCCTCTGTTCAGGTCACCCGTGTTTGACTTAATAATGGCTCCAAAGCACAAGAGTACTGTGCCTAATTTACAAATTAAACTCTATCGTAGGTGTGTATGCACAGGGAAATACATAGTGTGTATAGGGGTTTGGTACTATCTGCGGCTTTGGGCATCTACTGGGGGTCTTGGAACATATCCCCTATGGATAAGGGGGGACAACTTCATTCTAAAGACCCTTGACACATAAAGCCTAGTGTGTCTTTTTTTTTCCTTTTTTTTTTTTTTTTTTTTTTTAGATGGAGTCACTCTGTCACCCAGGCTGGAGTGCAGTGGACTGATCTCGGCTCACTGCAATCTCCACTTCCTGAGTTCAAGCAATTCTCCTGCCTCAGCCTCCTGAGTAGCTGGGTGGTACAGGTGCACCACTATGCCTAGCTAATTTTTGTATTTTTAGTAGAGATGGGGTTTCACCATCTTAGCCAGGTTGGTCTCAAACTCCTGACCTCAGGTCATCTGTCAGCCTTGGCCTCCCAAAGTGCTGGGATTCCAGGCGTGAGCCACTGTGCCCAGCCTTTTATTCTGTTTTCTGTGTTATCTTTGAGGAAATGGAGTCAGTGCCACCCCGAGTTGTGGTGTGAGTCTGCTTGTATTGATAGCAGCTGGCAGAGCTTATTTAGAAAACTCCACAGGGTTGAAGAATTAAAGAGGCTGAAATCAAAGGTAGACTCAAGTATAGGGCTGTATAATATTAAAAGTCAACTAAAAACAGGGCTAGTGTTGACATGTTTGTGAGTGTGCAAATGCAGAAGTCAGGGTTTTCCGCGTCAGATCACAGCCTTCAAATGTTATGAACAACACAGTGAGCATTGGGATCATTTAATTTGAGGCATTCACATATAATTAAATATAATTAATTCAAACTAATATTTTGTGGAGGTGAGTGGGAAGCTTCCTGAATTATGGAATTAGGCAATCCAGGTATCAATTGTACTTAAGTTGACATTACTAAAATATTTTCAAAAGTTTTCATGTACAATTTAAGTTTTTTCCCCAGTCTTATTTGCACTCTTAATTTACTCAGCAAAACATTTTTTTCTTGGACAAAGGTCATTCCCAGCCCGGCTCTCACCTGGCTTTGTCATAAATTCCAAGAGAGTGTGATGTGGACAAATGATGTGCTTCCTGCGTCAGAAACAGACGTTTGTAAAATTGTAATCCTAATTTCACTCTGGGTTGCCTTTCATTCTTCCATTGCCAGGTGCAAAGCAGCAAAAAAGTAAAATAAAATAAATGCCTCTGCACGCCACTGAGAGCCAGGCCCTGGAGTTACCCCATGAACAGTGTGGGGCTCCTGACTTAAAGGGGCATCCAGCAGTATAGCAGGCAGCACGGCCTGATGACTCGGGCCACAGGAGCATGGCCCTCCCCTGTCAAAGCTGACTTCTCGTTTCTCAGGACAAAATCCATACGCTTTACCGTGCCCTTCAAGGCCCTGGCTGACCGGCCGTGGCCCATCTCCCTGGCCTCACCTCACTGCCCATGGGGCTCCTATGGCCACCTCAGCTTCTTTCTGCTCCTCAGACTCCCAGACTGGAGCCGTTGCTGCCTCAGGGTGTTGCTTTATGTGTTTTCACAGATGCCTTTAGGGGAGATAGACCTAAAAGAGTCTGGGCAACATGCACAGCCTCCAAGCAGTTCACTCATCACTCAGCTACTATGGCCAGACTGCCTGCTAGTGCCCGGTAGGTGCCAGGCCCTGGGGAAGGAAGCAATGCCCTGTGGCCCTTGTTCCCAAGGACCGAGCACTTTTCCACGCAGTTAAGGTGCACAAACACAAAACACCGAATAACGCTGAAAGAGCCCAAGAGAGGACCAGAGGTCACTGGGCTGAATATGATGAAAAGTCAACTAAAAACCAGAAAAAAAAAAAAAAAAACATTGGAAATAAGCTATAGGGCAGCGATCAGGGAGAAGCTTGTGCTCTGAGCTGCAACAGAACCCCAAGGAGACCACTATCAAGAGGGTGCCCTGGTGTAGTTAAGCATGGGCCAAAGAAGGGACCACCTGGGTTCAAACTTGGCCTTGTCATTTCAGCAGCTGTGTGTCCTTGACCAAATGGCTCAGCCTCTCTGAGTCTAGGTTTTCTCATCTGTACAATGGGGATAATAATATCTACTTCACAGGATAGAGGTGAGATAATAGAGATACAGGCCTGGCACATTCAGTAGATGCCCGCATGGGCACGTACTCCCCTCCCACGCCCCACCCTGTGCTGGTGTAGAAGAGAGTGCCCAGGAAGATCTGTGCTCGAGTCAGCTGGGCATAACTAAGGACACCTTAAATTGTGTAACCAGGTGACAGGCACCTCATTCATTCTCCACCCTGGGGCTGGTTCTGCTTTATAAATTAAGGGGGCCAGGGTGGCCCAGAGGTCCCCAGATGCAGGTCCAAATGCAGCATTGCTGGCTACATACAGGCAGATTCTGGGGCCTCACCCCGAGAATCTTGGTGATTCAGACTCACCAAGTCAGAATCCTTGCGGGTGAGGCTCGGAAACCATTTTTGTAAGTCTTCCCAGGTGATTCCAAGTACAGCCAGGTCTTCGCACCCACACAGCCAGACGGCCCCTGAAAAGCTTTCTCAGCCTTTGCAGTCTGTTTCTGGCCGCATCAAATGTGCTGAGCAGTGTGGGTTTGGTTCAGTGTTCATCCCCCACTTTCATCAGAGACAGGGGGCTTCTCTTGGTCCTCACTCATGGGAGGAAGCCGCAAGCGGAGACGACTAAGTGGAGAAATAAATCTCTAGCAGCTGCCTGCTGCCCTGCTCTGGAGGTTGTCTGCGAGGAGGAGAAACGGCTAACTTCCAAGAACTGGGGTGCTTTCTCCCCACCTATCAGCTGAATCGAAACTGAAAATATGCCTCCGAGGCTGGAGATCCGTGACAGGCTTGAAACCTTGACAAGCCAACCCTTCTCATGTGGCTGCTTTCCACCTAAGAAAGAAAATGAAACTCCTCGGAGTTCCTGCTGGTTTTAGATTTTTCTCTGGTACAAACAAAAATTATTTACTGTCACTGAGGTTCTTTCCAGATTACCCCAAACAGCCATAACTTTCCCAGCTTTATCTGGGGGGTATTTGGTGTGGTGAATTGCTGTTCATATAGTGAATTCCTATTGCATATCCAGCGTTACTAGATTTCCCCCGTGAAGACAGGTCATCTCTTGAGCTCTGAGTGCTCTTACAGAGCAGGGGGGTTGAAGAAAGAGGTTCTCCCTGATGGTTTCTGAGTGGGTGCTTTAAAAAGCTCAGTAAGAGCCTGGCACAGTGGCTCATGCCTATAATCCCAGCACTTTGGGAGGCCAAGGTGGGTGGATCACCTGAGGTCAGGAGTTCGAGACCAGCCTGGCCAACATGGTGAAACCCCGTCTCTACTAAAAATACAAAAATTAGTTGAGCATGGTGGTGCATGCCTGTAATGCCAGCTACTCAGGAGGCTGAGGCTGGAGAATCACTTGAACCTGGGAGGCAGAGGTTGTAGTGAGCCAAAATTGTGCCATTGTACTCCAGCATGAGCAACGAGCGAAACGCCATCTAAACAAAACAAAACAAAACACCTCAGTAAGAGTGGAAGTGGTTTACGACTATTGATGCCACAACAACAGATACATCAGCAAAAGGAAACTTCAGGAACAATATGGTCGGGATGGAGGTGTTGGACGTTGTTTTTTCTTTTAATTAACAAAAAAACAGGAACACATTTAGTAGTAAACAGAGGGCCCAGTTTTCTCTTTTTGGTCTGAAAGGGGCTTCAAAAAATTGTATTCAGTGTTAAATAGAATAACAATGGCAATGAAGATAGTGAGAAGCGCTACCATCTGTTTAGCATGATGTCCGCGTGGGGACTGGGGGAGAGATTTGCTCCCATTACGGGGGAGACTGAGGCTCAGAAGGGTCAAGTGCCTGGCCTAGGCACCTCGTCCTGTTAGAGGAGGGCACAGCTGCCTGCTGCCCCTCCTTCCCCATCTCTGCCTCTCTAATCTTCCTTGAGGAAGATTCCATCAGAGGTTTTAGTTACATATTCCTACACCATGCCTGGAACATAGTAGGTACTCAATAAATCCAACTTTTCCTGAGTTAGTGGTGAGGAAAAGCTGGACTCAGGATCAGGCTGCCTGTGAAGTCTGGCCTGTAGCTTGCCAGCTGTCCCAGCTTCAGGGTCCTCACACCCAGATGTGTGTGTAGTAACAGAGCACTTCTTGCCTGCAACAGTGCCTGGTTCCCAGTGTATGCCAGTTGACTGATCCGTATTATTATTTTATCTTAAGAGGACTTCCAGCCTCCAGAACTGTTGATGAATAAATGTTTGCTGTTTAAGCTACCAGTGTGTGATACTTTGTTATGGCAGCTTGAACAGACCAGAATATTTAGAAAATAATTATTTAAAAAGGACCTTTTTTTTTTTTTGAGTTGGAGTCTCGCTCTGTCGCCCAGGCTGGAGTGCAGTGGTGCAGTCTCAGCTCACTGCACGCTCCACCTCCTGGGTTCACGCCATTCTCCTGCCTCAGCCTCCCGAGTAGCTGGGACTACAGGTGCATGCCACCACGCCCGGCTAATTTTGTTTTTGTATTTTTAGTAGAGACGGGGTTTCACTGTGTTAGCCAGGATGGTCTCGATCTCCTGACCTCATGATCCGCCCACCTCGGCCTCCCAAAGTGCTGGGATTACAGGCGTGAGCCACCGCGCCTGGCCTAAAAAGAACTTCTAAGCAGACATTTGATAGAGCACTGACATGGGTGGACGTTCATTCTGACCCATCTCTGTGCTGCGGTGGAGGCAGGCTGCTCTGGGAATGGCCGTGTGCAGGATTGCTGATGCCCGGGGTGGGGTGCCCTCCTGTTTAGAGAGGGGTGCTGTTACAGCAGTCAGGCTCTCTTTGATCTTTACCCATTGGTCTGCAGACTCCCCGTTAACCCTGGCAATGCTTCGCCATCTTATCTGCCCCCTTTCTTTCTTGGATTAAAAAGAGGCCCTAGGCAATACCATTCAGGACATAGGCATGGGCAAAGACTTCATGACTAAAACACCAAAAGCAATGGCCACAAAAGCCAAAATTGACAAATGGGATCTAATTAAACTAAAGAGCTTCTGCACAGCAAAAGAAACTATCATCAGAGTGAACAGACAACCTACAGAATGGGAGAAAATTTTTGCAATCTATCCATCTGACAAAGGGCTAATATCCAGAATCTATAAGGAACTTTAACAAGTTTATAAGAAAAAAGCAACCCCACTCAAAAAATGGGCAAAAGATATGAATGGACACTTCTCAAAAGAAGACATTTTTGCAGCCAACAAACATATGAAAAAAAGCTCATCATTAGAGAAATGGTCATTAGAGAAATGCAAATCAAAACCATAATGAGATACCATCTCATGCTAGTTAGAATGGTGATCATTAAAAAGTCAGGCAACAACAGATGCTGGAGAGGATGTGGAAAAATAGGCATGCTTTTACACTGTTGGTGGGAGTGTAAACCAGTTCAACCATTGTGAAAGACAGTGTGGCGATTCCTCAAGGATCTAGAACAAGAAATACCATTTGACCCAACAATGCCATTACTGGGTATATAACAAAAGGATTATCAATTATTCTACTATAAAGACGCATGCACACGTATGTTTATTGCAGCACTGTTCACAATAACAAAGACTTGGAACCAACCCAAATGCCCATCAATGATAGACTGGATAAAGAAAACATGGCACATATACACCATGGAATACTATACAGCCATCAAAAAGGATGACTTCATGTCCTTTGCAGGGACATGGATGAAGCTGGAAACCATCATTCTCAGCAAACTAACACAGGAACAGAAAACCAAACACTGCTTGTTCTCCCTCATAAGTGGGAGTTGAACAGTGAGAGCACATGAACACAGGGAGGGGAACATCACACACTGGGGCCTGCCAGGGGGTTGGGGGTTAGGGGAGGGATAGCATTAGGAGAAATACGTAATGTAGATGACGGGTTGATGGGTGCAGCAAACCACCATGGCTCTTGTATACCTATGTAACAAACCTGCATGTTCTGCACATGTATCTCAGAACTTAAAGTATAATAATAAAAAAAAAAAAGGGAGAAAAAAAAAAAAAAGAAAGAGGCCTTCTGGAAGTTGTGTTCTAACCCCTGTGAAGATCAGTGTTTTGCATGTAGCTTTGGAGATGCGATGGGAGTGTGAAAAGTCACTTACTGTTTGGGTCTGTGCTAAGAGCCCACCCACTTCGTGCCAGTGGAGCACCTCCTGCAGCATTCCACAAGGAGTGCCGTCTCTAGATAGCATGTGAGAGGGTGGGCAGCACGGGTCAGTGTGGAGACCCAGGTGCCATGTCCCCACCTGCAAGACTGGATTCTAGCTTTTATTTTGTCCCAACCCCTCATTTGGACACAGCTGGATTCCTCTCTTAAGATAAAATAATAATACGGATCACTTAATAATAATACGGATCCCAGTGGCATACACTGGGAACCAGGCACTGTTGCAGGCAAGAAGTGCTCTGTTACTGCACACACGTGTGGGTGTGAGGACCCTGAGGCTGGGAGAGCTGGCAGGCTACAGGCCAGGCTTCACAGGCAGCCTGATCCTGAGTCCAGCTTTTCCTCACCACTAACTCAGGAAAAGTTGGATTTATTGAGTACCTACTATGTTCCAGGCATGGTGTAGGAATATGTAAGTAAAACCTCTGATGGAATCTTCCTCAAGGAAGATTAGAGAGGCAGAGATGGGGAAGGAGGGGCGTCAGGCAGCTGTGCCCTCCTGTATCAGAACGAGGGGCTGTCGGGCCAGGCTGAGGAGGACAGAGGCTGCAGAACCCCAGAGAGTCTCAGCTCTCCAGCCCAGGTGCAGCTGCCCCTTGGGCAGACAGCCTGGAACACATCTGCTCATTAGTAGCCTACCCAGGCAGCTGGCCGAGCGCCTGTCCCTGAAGGCCTCCCTGAGCTCAGAGGCTCCCGAGCCCTGGCACTGTGGGTGCAATCCCCAGAGCTGCTTTCCCAGGCTCGTTGCACAGGCAAGTGCAGCCCAGGTGTCTGACAACTTTGGCTTCAGCGTCATGGCCTCCACATCGAAGCCGTTGTGGGACACCCAGGAGTCTGAGCTCAGCAGTGAGCTCGGAGCTTGAGCTTGAGCTTGGGTTGCAGAATCCAAAAATCAATTAATGTGGGGCTTGGGGGGAAATCTGTCTGACCGGTGGTTTGGCAAAATCTTCAATCACTGTGAGACAGAAGATGTGTGCTGCGTGCTGTGGCTATGGTGCGCATGGCTGCAGCTGCTGCCAAATAGGAAAGGCCCCCACAGTGCCTCCATCCCCCAGCCCTGCCTTTCCTCCCAAGTGCAGTGGGGGTGTCTTGAGGCGAGGGGCTCTCTAGGCACTATGCCTCCTCCATAGTCCTCCAGACCCCCTTTACTTGAAGACTAAGCAACTAGCCCTTTGGCAGTCAGTTCTAAGGGTGAGGGGCCTGAAGTGTCAGCAAGGGTCAGAGCCAGGCGCCTGGCAGAGGCTGGAGGGGCAGAGGCAATGGTGATGGGAGCCAGTGAGGCCAGAGCATGAGCCAAATCTCCCCTCTGATCATTTTGGACCAAGTGCAGTGAGCATGAGTTGGAGGTGTCCTCAAATTGCAATCCTCTGGGGTCTTCCTCTGTCTCTTCTTTTCGGGTGAGTTTGGCAGCGGATGTGAGGAAGGTGCTCTTCATCAGTCGCTGGGTTCATGAATGGTCCTCATTTCCTGAATCCTTCTGGATCATTCTCTGAATTCAGCAGGGGCATGTCTCCCTGGGCTGACGGGTGGGGCTCCAGGTGCATCTGGCTGCAGCACTCTGGGAGGGGGCCCGAGGTGCATGCAGATCTTGAGTGGGTCTCAGAGAAAGAGACACACAGGCCCCACATGCGTGTGCACACGCACACATGGGCATGAATGTGGGTACGAGGCATGTGTGCTCCACACGCTGACTTCACTGGGAACACTGACCCCAGCTGCAGAGAGACCGGAGCAAGGGCTGAGGGAGGCAGAGTGAAGGAGCGCTCATCCCTGGGAGGGCGCCTGGGAGGAGAAGTGAGTCATTGACCAGTGGTCATGGTGAGTTTGCCTTACGGAGCCATCTCTGGAGCCTGAGGTCACAGGGTCTCTGGAACTGGCCCTTCAAGTTCCTGGGAAGGGTTTTGACAGGGAAGTCGTCCACAAGGGCTTTCCCCCACTGGAACACTGCCTAGCCTTCTCAGAAACGCCCCATGTCTGTGGCAGGCTTGGTGTTCCTCCTGCCATTCCAGGCTTTCTGCTGCCCCTCCCCTCCCCTCCCCTCCCTTCCCCTCCCCTCTCCTCTCCTTTCCTTTCCTTTTTTTAAATAGAGATGGGGTCTCCTCATGTTTTCCAAACTGGTCGCAAACTCCTGGGCTCAAGCAGTCCTCCCACCTTGGCCTCCCAAAGTGCTGGGATTACAGGTGTGAGTCACCTTGCCCAGTAATTTGTGTAAGCATATACCTTGGATTCTCTACTAAACCGCCTAGTCTTGCCAGTCACTTCCTAGTCTTTCCTGCCTCCTGGCCTTCCTTTATCTCAGTCCCCTGCTGCCTGGAATGCTCTAATTCTCTCTCTTTCTCTCCCTCTTTTGTGTTTGTCAGAATCCTCATTGTTTTTTAAGCCCACTCAAGCCTCAAGCTCCACCTCTCCCAGGAAACATGGGGGCCTACTTTAGTCGAAGAAGACTCTTAGCTCTGAAGTTCTTTGAAATCATCTCTTCGCCTGAGGCTTCAGTTTCCTTACCTGTAAAAATGAGACAATACCATGTCATGGTTTGTTGTGAACATTCCCTGTGATGACCTTCATAACAGTGGCCAGCACGCAGTAGGTTCTCAGTGAAATCCTCATTCCTTTCCTGCTTTACGCCAGGCACAAAAATACAGATGTGAGGTGCACCCCTGGCTTCTCAGGAGGGAGCAGGGCTGGGGTGGAGGAGGCCTGGGTGAGGGGTTCCATACCTACCCAGGGAAGGGAAGGGATGGCAGGAAGCCTTTGAGAAGACCTGCTACTGGGCTGGGTTTGAAGGACAGTTAGAGGCCATCAGGAGCACCCGAGGAGCAGGAGTACGGTGAGGCAGTGGGGCAGGAGGAGGACAGGCTGGGAAGATGGGAGACAGGTGGTGGGAGGGGCTGGGTGCGGGGCACTGTCGGGGGCAGCCGGAGAGAAGACGAGAGCCTGGACTTTATGAAGAGGTGAGGAAGTCACTGAAGGAGTTGAGGGCGGAGGCAACAAGTGGGAGAGGCTGAGCCAGGAGAGGCGGCTCAGTGGCCTGCAAGGGTGGGTGGGGACCAGTGGAAGGCAGCCCTGACTCAGGCTTAGTCAGAGGTCCTGGTCCAAGGTCCCCTGCCCGCTCCCCGCTCCCCGCTGCAGCCTCACAGTGCCCTTCCTGGAATAAAAGGTGGAAAATGAGAGTTTGCTGTTTGGGGCTGCCATTCAACTTGCCTGGGCAGGGAGGATGATGGCTGAGGGCCGCCAGCATCCACGGCCCTGCTCAGTCCCCATCTCCTTGCACCCACTGTGGTAACCAAGCTCCCCACCCTGACACCTGGCTTGTCTTTTCTGGGGTGGTTTCTCCCTCAGGGACTTCGCTCCTCTGTTCAGTCTCCGCCATTTGCACAGCCCCTCAGCTGAGTCGGTTTCAAGTGAGCAGAGCACACAGGGGCTTTGAACACCAGCCATGCCGGGCTGGGGAGGAGGGCAGGGAGGAGGAGTGTGGCAAAGGCAGCCACGTGCTCCACGTGTTCCTCTGGATGCCCCCGCTCCTCCTGGCGCCCCGTGAGGGTCTGTGTTGGTCCCTGTTGTGCCCTGATCCCCAGCACCATGCCTGGGGAACCGTTAAATGAATGCTTATTGAACGCCAGGGTCACTGTCTCCAAGTCTCAGGTGTATCGCAGGTGCACAGTACCTGCCTCCGCCTTGGATGCCTCTACCCCACCACAGTAGTATAATTGCCCAGGATGTGGGGCAGGGGCAGAGCGACAAGGGTTGGGGGAGATGACTCTCTCAGCCCTCCCCTCAGCAAGCCCTCTGCCAGAGTCTCACTCTGTCCTCCTCCGTGCATTCCGAGAGGTAAGCGCGACTAGGAGTGTGGGCCCAGGTGACCTACGACTGTTCGCGGGGGATGGGGCCGTCAGGAGGGGCGTGGCCTCCACTCCATGCCTCTGAAATGTGCTGGCCTCTGTCTGGAAATTGCTCATTTTTCTTACCACTGAGCTTGGCAGTCATTGGGGAATTTCTGGAGGGAGGGGGGATCCTGGAAGGAAACTACCGTGGGACCTGTTGTTTCCCCAGAAGCTCAAACACAAAGAGAGGATGGAGTGGAGGTGGTGCTGCAGAGGGGGCTGTTTTTTCCCTTAAGAACAAGCTGCCTCCTGTCGGAAAAAGGAAGGCCGTTATCCTTTCATCTCATGTTTTTTTCCTCCAACCCCGGGTCTCTGTGTGGGATTTCAGCAGCGGGAGAGCGGGTGGCAGGAGGAGGTCTCTGCATGAAACAGCGGCAGTCAGGTGGGTGCCCGCCCTCGGTGTGGATTGCACTTCGAAGCCCCACAGTGACCTTGTGACTTGCCTGTTGTTATCCTCATTTGCCAAAGGAAGCTCAGAGAGGTAAACAGACTTGCCTGGGGTCACACAGCATGTACTCATGGAGCTGCTACTTTTTTATTTTTATTTTTATTTTTTTTTGAGACAGGGTCTCCCTCTGTCACCCAGGCTGGAGTGCAGTGGCGTGATCTTGGTTCACTGCAACCTCCACCTCCCAGATTCAAGTGGTCCTCCCACCTCAGTCTCTTGAGTAGCTGGGACTACAGGTGCATGCCACCACATCTGGCTATTTTTTTTTCTTTTTTGTATTTTGTATTTTGTAGAGACAGGGTTTCACCATGTTGCTCAGGCTGGTCTCGAACTCCTGGGCTCAAGGATCCGCCTGCCTTGGCCTCCCAAAGTGCTGGGATCACAGGTGTGAGCCACCGCACCTGGCAGGAGCTGCTATTTGAACCCAGGTCTGTGTGGTGCCAAAGTGATGTTAAAGCTTCCCCCTGGATGGGAAGAATGGCAGGCCTACACAGGCCTGCTATCCCCAGTCTTATTCTAGATCATGCCAGGCCTTCCCTCCATCAGAGCTTACTGTTTCCATGACCTCCTGGGTGTCTTTCCTCTCATGCCTTCTCCTGCATGTGCTGCTGAGTCAGTGTGAGGTTGGCTTCTGGGCACCTGGGTGAGTGTGTGGGGACTTGGGGAGACAGCATCTGGTGGGATTTCAGGCTGCCACATACTCAGCCTTTGGGTAGACAGAGAGAGCTGGGTTTTGGGGGACCGGAGGCCTACTGCTAGGAACTGGGAACAGAAGCAAAGTCGGTGCCTACAGCTGGAAAGGAGGCAGCAGTCACAAGGACCCCAGATCCACTGTCACGGGGTGTGCGTTTGTCCTTAGTCCTGTGGGAGCTGACGGACGGGTTAACTTGGATGCACCAGCAGAAAGCCACAAGGCTGAGACTGCCCAGTGGCGAAAATCATGCACCATGTGTCTGGGCCCCTGCCTCCCACTCTCCCAGAAGGGCTCATCCTCGAGCCTGCCCAAGGGGAGAACAGAGGTGGCCCTGGCTGTAAATAATCCCCAAGAGCCACAAGGCCCAAGGTCCCCTGCAGGGAGAGAAACAGCCTGTTTGCCTCCTAGGAGCCAGAAAGCTCAGGAGAGAATCTAGTTCACAGGGTGAAGATCCATGGAGTGCCTGCTATGAGCGGGGCTCGAAGGTGTGTGGGTCCAAAGAGGAAGGAAACAGCCTCCTCACACCCTCAGGATGGCTGCTATTAAAAGAGCAGAGAGGGCCAGGCATGGTGGCTCATGCCTGTAATCCCAGCACTTTGGGTGGCCAAGGTGGGCGGATCACCTGAGGTCAGGAGTTCGAGACCAGCCTGGCCAACATGGCAAAACCCCGCTGCTACTAAAAATATAAAAATTATCTGGGCATGGTGGTGTGCACCTGTAATCCCAGCTACTTGGCAGGCTGAGGCAGGAGAATCACTTGAACCCAGGAAGTGGAGGTTGCAGTGAGCTGAGATCGTGCCATTGTACTCCAGCCTGGGCAACAAGAGCGAAACTCCATCTCAAAAAAAACAAAAAAACAAAACAAAACAAAAAAACAGAGAAGAGCAAGTGTTGGAGGACATGGAGAAATTGGAACCTTTGTGCACTGCGGGTGGGAATGCGTAATGGTGCAGTTGCTATGGAAAACAATATGATGGTTCCTCAAAAAATGAAGCAGAATTAACATAAGATCTGGCAGTTCCACTTCTGAGTGTATACCCGACAGAATTGAAAGCAGAGTCTCAGATATATTTGCACACCCACATTCACAGCAACATTCTCACGATAGGCCAGAGGTGGAAGCAACCCCAGTGTCCATGGGCAGGTGAGTGGATAAACAGAGTGTGGCACACGTGATGGAATGATCCCTCAGCTTCAACAAGGAAGGAAGGACAGGCCATAACACAGGTGAACCTTGAGGACATTATGCTAAGTGGAATAAGCCAGTCATGAAAAGACAAATACTGTATGATTCCACTGAAACCTGGTACCTGGAGTCGTCAAATTCACAGAGACAGAAAGTAGATTGGTGGTTGCCAGGGGCTGGGGGCAGAGGAGGGAAGGGCAGTGAGTGTTCAATGGGTGTAGTGTTTAGACTTCTAGGGATGGATGGTGATGATGGCTGCACGACACTGGGAATTTACTTCATACCACTGAACTATACACTTAACAGCTAAGATGGTGACTTTTATATCATATATATTTTACCACAATTAAAAATAATTTTAGGCCAGGCGCAGTGGCTCACGCCTATAATCCCTTTGGGGGCTGATGCCTATAATCACTTTGGGAGGCTGAGGCGGGTTGATCACGAGGTCAGGAGATCGAGACCATCCTGGTTAACATGGTGAAACCCCGTCTCTACTAAAAATACAAAAACAAAATTAGCCGGGCGTGGTGGCAGGCGCCTGTTGTCCCAGCAACTTGGGAGGCTGAGTTGGGAGAATGGCGTGAACCAGGGAGGCAGAGCTTGCCGTGAGCTGAGATCGCACCACTGCACTCCAGCCTGGGCGACAGAGCAAGACTGCATCTCAAAAAATAGTAATAATAATAATAATTTTAAAATTAAAACAAAACAAAAAATAAAGTGGCCTGGTGTAGTAGCTCATGCCTATAATCCCAGCACTTTGGGAGGCCGAGGTGGGAGGATCACTTGAGGCCATGAGTTCGAGACTAGCCTGGGCAACACAGCAAGACCACCATCTCTGTTTTTTTAAAAAGTAAATAAAAAAATAAACAAAATGGACGCGGACTAACTGGCTTCCAGGGGCCAAATTGGCATGGTGCCCTTGGCATTGTATTATGTAATCTTTCCATCAACCTCTGTGAGAGAGAGCTCCCTTCGTTCTGATGCAGAAACCAAGGCTCAGAGGCATGCCTTTTCTCGCCCAAGGCTTTCACTGGTCTTTATGTCTCAGGTGAGCACTGATTTGGTGCATTGTGCTGGGCTGTAGCATTGGCACTCCGTCTGCCAGGGCTTCTGATTTCAGCTGGGGCCCCTCATGCACTCAAAACAAGAGAAGAGGACAAGGGCCATGTAATTGGTCGTGAAAATGCGTGGACAGATCAGGGAGGCCTGAGTCATCAAGAAGGCTTCTTAGAGGAGGAAGTGGGAGAAGTCCAGAGGCTATGGCTGGGCCACCACTCTCGCCCCAGCCCTTACCAGGACTCTGCTGGGTGGGAACAGGCTGTGTGGGATTCCTCAGGAGAAGGGCACATGCCACTGGAGCCATGGGGAGGAGCAGGGCCTGGGGAGCACCTCCCTCCATCCTCCTGGTGCAGGAGAGCTGCCACACACTGTCTCATTGGAGTCCCCAGCTGTCCTCACTGGGGGATCTTTTCACACCTGGGGAGGGAGTCCTTCTGCCTGAGAGCTGTGTCTTGGGCCTGCCACTCTGGCCTCCTCTCTCAGCAGCTGGGGGATTTGATGCTGTTGGTGGGTGTGGGCCCCTGAGATTTGCCCACCTGGAGATTCCTGGGCTTGGGTAGGGTTGTCAGATTTTGCAAATAAAAATACAACATGCCCAGTTAAATTTGAATTTCAGATATAAAAATGCATCATTCTTCATATAAGTATGGCCCCTGTATTGCATCGGTATTTCATGTGGCAAGTCTAGTCTTAGGGCTGTGTCCATTAGAGAAGGGGCAGTGGATGATGCTCTGGGTGTTCCAGGGCCTGCCACAGACATTGGCTGTATTAGTCTGTTCTCACACTACTATAAAGAACTACCCGAGACTGGGTAATTTATGAAGAAAAGAGGTTTAATTGACTCGCAGTTCCACAGGCTGTACAGGAACTATGGCTGGGGAGGCCTTGGGAAACTTACAATCATGGCAGGAAGTGAAGGGGAAGCAGGCACATCTTCACATGGCAACAGGAGACAGAGAGAAAAGGGGGAAGAGCAACACACTTGCAAACAACCAGATCTCGTGAAAACTCACTATCATGAGAACAGCAAGGGGGAAATCTGCACCCATGATTCAATCACCTCCTACCAGATCTCAACCCCAATATGGAGATTGCAATTCCACATGAGATTTGGGTGGGGACACAGAGCCAAACCATATCATTGGACATCCAGGCCCAGGCCCAGGCTCAGGCCCAGCCCGTCCCGGCTCTGCCGAGACACATGAGGCAGCCTTGGTTGGAGCTGCCGCTCAGCTCAGTGGGAGCTGACCAGGCAGGTAGCAGGGGCTCATCATTACCTGCTGTGATGGCTCACAGCCTCTGTTCCTGCCAGTGTGCTGTGTGTCTCGCAGAGCCTCAGCGGGAGACTGGCACTGTCAGTAAGCTGGGGTCAGTAAGCTGAGCTCTGCATGGGCCTCCCCCATCTCCTGCCTGTGTCACCAAGGCCTCCTGAATAGCACCCCTTCATCCTTGAGTCTCCTAATCACCCTTCTAGCCATTCCCTCATCCATCCATCCATCCATCCATCCATTTATCTGTCCATCCGTCCATGGACAGATACTTGTTAAGACCTACTGTGGGCCAGATGCTGTGGCAGCCACTTTGATGTATAACACCCCAGCTGCTAGGAGGGATGAAAAGAATTCACAGATATGACCTCTGGTTAGCCAGAGGACCCAATTTCCCATGCTCAGGCATCAGGTGATCTGGGGAGAGATTGTCCAGAGGCAACCTTTAGACACCAGCCACTCTAGGAAAGTTCCTGGAAGTAGCTTCAGGCTGTGATACAGTGGGAGCAGGAGCGCTGGGAGGCCAGGAGTCCCAAAAGTCAGGGAGCTGAGCTGGTTCTGCCAAAGGTGTGTGAGATGCTTCCCCCAGTGTTCTCTGTCTCTTTCGTCAGCCCTGGTGCCGAGTGCCCACTCAGGAAGAGGGAGAGCCGTGGGACCTTCGAGCCACGCTTATCTGGCTGCTGGTGCCTGGCACAGCTCCTGCAGATAGCAGAGGCTCAGCATGGGCTCGTTGACTGACTGTCACTTTATAGATGAGAACACAAAGGTCCAGAGAGTGGAGGTAACCTGTTAGAGGTCACACAGCTTTGCAGCATGGGTGGGAAGGTGGTGGACTGGGACAGGGAGCACGGATATGGTTGTCAGGCATTCTTGCTTTCAGGCTTGGTCTGCCTCTCACCAGCTGCGTGATTTTGGAAAGACATTGAACTCTCAACCTGATAGGCCTCACCTGTAAAGAGGACGTCACAGCTCCCTCTCAGGCTGTGAGATCCTGAACTGCTGAGGGGAGGGGAGGAGTGCTCTGCAATGTCACTTGAGAGAGTCCTCATGGCCACACCTGCCCTAAACAAGCCCCTCAGGGCCTGCCGAGCCCTGGGCCTCTTCTACCTGTCTGGGGTCAAGGCAGGGAGCAGTGGGCCCCAGCAGCAGACAGCAGGAATCGGACCTCCTGCTAGTTGGCCTTCCTGGCGCCCTGCAGGAACCAGGAGGCCTTGCTCCGGGGTGTGTACAGCTGCCTGGAGAGCTTTCTGTGATTTATGGCCTGAGTGCCAAGGCTGGATTTACTGCCTGCACGGGTTGTGCAAGGAGGCCCCTCCCCCGGGGCAGGGTGTGGAGGGGAGGGAGCCCTGAGCCCCTGCCTCTGGAGCTTTCCCAGTGGGGACCAGGCCTTGGTGGGGACCTGCCAGAGATGCTGCCTTCCCACTGTGGAGCCCACCCCAATGTCATTGCTGCTTTATTTTCGTTCCTGTCTGCCAGAGTTCTTCTTAGCCATGGTAAAAAATTAAAACCCGATAGAAAATAGGGAATCGCCCTTTGATCCCCACCCCAGAGATGCGCATTTTAATGGTTTGGTGGTCTTACCTCCTGGTGGAGCGAGGGTCTGGGGCCTTCTCAGGTATGTCCTTTTACCCCCCGACACCACCCCGCATTCCTCGAGCCTCTGACCCTTTGGCCTTGCCCTGCTCTCTAGCAGATGCGGGGAAGGAATGGGGCTGTCTATAAAAAAATCCACAGTTTAAAAAATGCTGCTCATAAAAATTCACCAGGGCGGGGTTTGGCATTTGTGGGTGGGACAGAGTGACAGAGGCTGCATGGTGCTTTGGTGAGGGGCCAGTCCCAGTCCTGGGGTGGCCCATGGCACTGCCCCTCCTGAGGGCTGGAGGAGGAAGGGGGATGGGCTTGGGAGACAGAGGGGCATCCACTTGCCCTTTGAAGTGCACCCCATCCCTGCCCCCATCCTAGAATCAGCCTCCAACAGTAAGCAGTGACTAAAGGGCCCTGAGGCCTCTGTGACCTCTTGACTCTCTGAGACCGGGGGTCTCCTCTATGAAGTGAGAATTGCTGTGAGGGGCCAGGAGAGCACAGCCGAACGTCTAACAGTGCCAAGCCCACCACCAACATCCTTTCCTTCCTCCTCCCCCTTCCTAACTCGGGTCTTCATGTCCTCTTTGTCTGTCTGTCCAGCCATCCAGAGCTAGCTGGCTGCTAGCGTCATGTGCATCTGCAGATCAGGAGCACCCCTGGGCCAAGGACCTGGATCCGCCTGGGTGCGGTCAGCATGTAGGATAGGTGGGCTGCAGTGTGGCTGTGGTTCCCCAGGGAAGGGCAGGTGTCTGTGACTGGACCTTCAGGTGCTCTGCCGTTTAAAGGGCAGCAGAGGTCACGGGGACTGTGAGGGAGAGCCTGTGGCTGAGTGCAGTCCCCGCTGCGTCTGGTGTGGAGGCAGCATCCAAGGAAGCCCTTGTGATGCTGTCAAGAGGACAGCTTAGCTGGGGAGGGAGGGAGGGGCTGAGCAGGGTCCTGTCATGCCCTTGGATGAGGTTGGCTTCCTGGTAGGCTGCAAATCATATTTCACTTTGGAAAGAGCTCAGCGCGGAATCTAGACACTTGAATCTCATTTTATCTCGCAATGGAGTACTTCGCAGCTGTCACCCCGTGGCGGCTTTTATCTGGTTACCTGGAGGTCGGTACCAGATCTGCAGCTGTTGTTCCCGTGCAGGTTGTGGGAAGCCCAGAGCATGCGTCTGCGGGAAGAGGGAAGGGGGAGGACACGAGAGGACATGCAGTGGGGATGAGCAATAGTGAGGAAGGCGTATGTCTCAGTTACAAGACAGACTTGACTTCACTTCTGGGAGATAACTCTTTGTAAACTATGACAGCAGAAAGATAAGTCCAGCTAATTAAATAATTTAAAATTGAAATTGAGATGCATGGGTTTTTTTCCTAATGTGTTTCCCAAGTAGCTTTGTTCCTGTTGGAAGATGAAAGCTTCTCCTTTAGCAAATGACTTGGGCCTCTGACTTTCTAAGAGAGCAATTCCCAGGAACATCTGGTGAGTGCCTGCTGGCTGGCTGGGCTGTAGGGACCACCTTGAGAGATGGTGATGGGGAAAGAGAAGCCCTCAATACCACACTTAGGGAAAAGTGGTTTTTAAAGTCCCTCGTAAAGTCCTGACTTACCACAGTTTAGTGGCAATGACTTACCACAGTTTAGTGACAATGACTAAACTGAGAAACAGAGTCAAGCGTTTGAATATGTTTGGGAATCAGTAAAGGGCAAGAGCTTTTTTTGGTAGCTGCCTGCAAAAGGCTGCAAGGAAAGGAAGGCTCAGGGCTACTGCTTAGGCGCTCCACGAGGGTTCCCGCGACGCATTGCCCTTACCTGGTGCTTTGCATGAGAACTCAGGAGTCTGAGCTTTTTTTGGATGAGGGGTAGATCCCTCCATCCTAGTGATGTGAATTAAAGATCTTAGGTCCTCCTCTAAAGACCTCCCACAGCCTGGAACTTCAGGTTTTCATCAAGTGCCCAGGACGGAATGGGAATGGAGCTGTAACTAGCCATTTATTCCTGCACGGGAATGAGCCTGTGCAACCCATGCCTGAGAACAGGACCAGACAGCAGGAAGTGAGGCGAGAACCTCTGGGCAGTGAGGGGTGGTGAAACGCAGAGGGGAAAGCTGAGAGAAGGGCCGAGGGCAAGCTCCTCTTGCTGTGGCTGCTTGGAATAGTGTCTGTCCAGAATCATCAGCAGGTGAGAATGGCTGTTCCCCCATCTGTAGATTGGCAGCCTTTTTTCTTTTCTAATTGATGCGGTTACCAAAGATCAAATGCCCCCAGGGATGCCCACAGAAGCTTGCCGGGCCTCTTTCTAATAATACGGTCTATGAATACACTCCTGCCAGCTCATGGAAGCAAGTCTCCACTGCTGGCTGATGTTCTGGGAAATCCATACCCTCCCCCATTTCCTTCCTGGCTTTTGAGTACCCATGTCCCTGGTGTCAAAGCACCTCTAGGGATCTAAACTTCAAACCTTGCCTCTGGTTCCTCTGGGGTTTGGCAGGAAGACTGTTCTGTTTGGTCTTCAGCTCTCTTCAGCTCTCTTGCTCCCTTCCTCCTGCAATCTCTCCAAATCTCTGATCTGAGAGCTGATTACCCTGTCTAGGACCCCACTGTGCGTGGACCCCCGGAACAGCATCCTAACCTCGGTTCCACATCCAACCCTCACAGCCCAATCTCCCCACCACAGCCAGAGTAATGTTTTTTCTTTTTTCTGACAGCTTCTTGCTGTGTCGTCCAGGCTAGGGTGCAGTGGCACGATCTCAGCTCATTGCAACCTCTGCCTCCTGGGCTCAGCCTCCGCCTCCTGGACTCACTCAATCTCCTACCTCAGCCTCCCTGGTAGCTGGCACCAGAGGTGTGCACCACTGTCTGGCTAATTTTTTTATTTTTTATAGAAATGGGGTCTCGCCATGTTGCCCAGGCTGTTCTTGAACTCCTGACCCCAGGAGATTCACCCTCCTTGGCCTCTCAAAGTGCTGGGATTATAGGCATGAGTTACCATGCCTGACCCAGAGTAATCTTTTTAAAACCAAAATCAAAGCATGTCAGCCTCCTGTTTGAACCTTGTGTTAGTCTTTTTTTTTTTTTTTTTTAAGACGGAGTCTTGCTCTGTTGCCCAGGCTGGAGTGCAGTGGCATGATCTTGGCTCACTGCAACTTCTGCCTCCTGGGTTCAAGCAACTCTCTTCTCAGCCTCCCGAGTAGCTGGGATTACAGGCATCTGCCACCACGCCTGGCTAATTTTTTTGTATTTTTAGTAGAGATGGGGTTTCACCATGTTGGCCAGGCTGGTCTCAAACTCCTGACCTCATGATCCACCCACCTTCACCTCCTAAAGTGCTGGAATTACAGGCGTGAGCCACCGCGCCCGTCCGTGTTAGTCCATTTTGTGTTGCTATAAAGAAATACCTGAGACTGGGTAATTGATAAAGAAAAGAGGCTTAATTATTAATTAGCTCATGTTTCTGTAGGCTGTACAGGAGGCATAGCACTGGCATCTGTTCCTGGGGAGGCTTCAGGAAGCTTCCAGTCATGGCGGAAGGCATAGTGGGAGCAGGTGCATCTCATACTGAGAGCGGGGATAAGAATAGGCGGGGAGGTGCCACGCACTCTTAAACAACCAGACCTTGTGTGAACTCAGAGCAAGAACTCACTCATTGCCAAGGAGTAGCACTAAGCCATTCATGAGGGATCTGTCCCTATGATCAAAACAGCCCCCCACCAGGCCCCGCCTCCAACAGTGGGGATTACATTTCAACATGAGATTTGGAGGGGACACACATCCAAACCATATCAAACCTCTTCAGCAGTTTCTACCGCACTAGGAGTAAATTTCAAACTCCTCTGTATAACCGAGAAGCCCCTGCATCATCTGGCTCTTGCCTCCCCTTCCAGCCCTGTGTGACTCACTTTCCCCTGCTCACCATTCCAGGCCTCCTGGCCATTCTCAGCAGTACCAAGCTTTCTTCTGCCTCAGGACTTTGCACAGGCTTATGCCTCTGCCTGAAATACTCTCCTGTCCTTCCTCCTACCCCCATCTTTTGCTAAGATTGATTTTTCTCATCCTTGAGGTCCTAGCTTAAATGTCACTTCCCAAGAGAGATCTTTTTTGACCACCCAGTCTAAAATAATTTGTAATGACATAATTTGTAATTTTTGGGGTGCTTGTCTGTTTACTGGCCTCTTCTCTGTCCTTTTGTGTGAGTTGTTCACCTTGCATCCGTCAGAGCAGGCTAAGCTATGTGCAGTAACAAACAACTCCCACATCGTAGTGTCTTCAAACCATAAGGGCTTATTTCTCAGTCATTCTAAATGTCCATCACAGGTTGGTAGGGGGCCTGTGCTCATTGTAGAAACCCTGGCTGATGGAGCAGTCACATTTCCTAACATTCTCAGTAGCCATACCAAGGACAAGAGAGCTCTGGAGGGTCTTATATTGGCAATTAATTTCTCCAGCCTAGAAATGATTATGTGTCATTTCTGCTCACAAGTGATCGGTTAGAGCTAGTCACATGGCTCCACCCAACTACAGGGCTAGGAAGTTTCCAGTGCTCACAAGAGAGGAGTAGAAATGTTTGTCAGACAGCACTAAAGACTCCCACAGTAATCAATAAATACTTTAGAAGGATGGAGTGTCTAGAATGCTCTTTCCATGGCAGCAGTCGTTTACAGCATCCTTAAGGAGTCCTGCTGGGGATCTTGTATTTCTGCTGCTCAAGCCCCTGGCTCTGCTGGGAGTCAGAGTTCTGGTAGGGAAACTCAGCAGACAAGAGGTCCCCTGAGACCTGGAATGAGCCACCTTAGAGGCAGCTGAGGCTGGTGGCCTCTTGGTTCCCTTCTCCCGTTGGGACACGTTTCCCCTATTGGTGTCCTGTGTGAGACAGCCCCGCCAAAAGGGTCCTGCCACTCCTCTCTGAATATACTGCACAGCTCAGGGTCTGGCATGTCCAGGATCTGAATAGATGATCCTGCTGGAGGAGTCCCAGTAGGACCCCTCCGAGTTCTAGGCAGGCAGAGAATGAAAGCAGCATTTCTCAGAAAGCCCTGTGCATCCTGTTACCAATGCAAAGGAATGGCACTTCAGCACCCCAGAAAAGGTGGGGAAACCTCCTGCATCTGCTGTGGGTCCTAGGGGATGGGGGGCAGGTGGGAACAGTAGAATCCTGGCCTGTGGCCTGATTTCTGACCCTGTTCCCTCAACTATCATACCCTTTTCACTTGGGTAGGCTGCTGCAGCTGCTCTCCTCTCTATACTTGCATTTGACAAAGGGTACCACCACAGCAGGCCCTTTCCACCAGGCTGCACGCGGTCACACTTGATACAGATGGGCTTTGGGAGATAAGGCTGTACCAGATTGGTGATCACACACTTGACTGTACATCGTGGCCTCTGGTGGCAATCACTAATGTAAGCTCACATTCCTGAGGCACTCACCAAGTTCCTAGCACTGTACTGAGAGCTCTATGTGGACTTGCATGTACATCTTCTTACCTATAGCATGGAGGTGCTGCTATTGGGCAGCTGGTGAAACTAAAGCCCACAGAAGTAGTTTCCTAATTAAGTAACTGCTAGTCACAAGGTAGAGCCCTCCTTTAATCCTATGCTTCCAGACTCCAAACCTGTGCACTTAACTGTTACTCCGTAAGAAAAGGTTTGGGTCTGATTCCTCTTCTAGGTTATAAATACTAGGGAGCTTCCTCTTTGAGAAGCCTCCTACCCCATCTCCTTACTGTACCTAGCAAAGTGTCTGTCATACGATTAGCACTCAATAAAAGTTTTAAATGTGAATGAGAATGGTAAAAACAGAATACTTAGTAGGCTAACACTAGGATATTCTTCTGATTGCACTTTTTTGTTAAGTTGGTCACTTAAGACTAAGGTAAAGCTTCTGTGCTTTTTGATATAGATGCTGATGGAGGGACTGGATCTGGTAGATACATAGCAATCTAATCATGGCCCAAAGCCTCCAATATAGTATACACATGCATCCTAACTTACAATGATCAACAATGAAAGAATTAATTACACTGTGCTAGCAGCCATGGATATCACATTGCATAAGAGATAGTTCCCTCCCTTAGAGATAAGAGGCAGACGTTTAAACTGTCAGTTGCGATGGCTTGTGACTCTCATGAGGTCTGCGTAGGGGTCAGCACGGTCACAAAACCTGTGGAGGAGGAGGTGGTTAGGAAGGAAAATCCACCGAGATGAAGCTGTACTGGATACAAAATCACACGTTCCTGGGCTTTGGCAGGGAGCTTGCCCACTGCACTTCCTGCCTCGAGGCTATGGCTGGGGTGGGATTCTGGCCCTTGTAGGCGGCCTGGGTCCAGTCTCCGCCATGCACTCACTAACTCCATTACTGCTAATGGGATGTCATCAGCGAAGCGAGTGGTGGCGGCAGGTGGAGTCCCGCCCCAAGACCCCCGGGCGGCATCCCCATCGCCGCGCTCCAGCACTCTTCGCCACCTCGTAATTTTCTTCTGTTTCTGTATGATCAGGTCTGTCCTTCGCTTTTGCTTTCCATTACTTCGTCCTAGCCCTGGCCTGAATCCCACAACTGGCGCCCCACCTTGTGCACCCGCACCCGCCCTCAATACCGGCGGGCAGCTCCTCCACTGCCGCAGGGTTACCAGCTGCGTGTCCGAGGGGCAGAGAGAGAAACAGAGGGGGACGGGGCAGGCGCGCTGGGCCCGCCCCCCCGTGCCTGGGGCAGCTTCTCATTGGTGAAACCTCCTCCCCGGCCGCCCGCTGCTTGGAAAATCAGCCTCGGATTGGCTGACAGCCCCCCGACGGGCGTGGCTTCCGAGGAGAGGGCAAGAACGGAAGCGAGGGCGCGCTCTCGAGAGGAGGGGTTGCCTAGGCGACGCCGGAGGCGCGCTCGGGGGGTGGGAAAGCGAGCCCGGCAGCTCAATGACAAATCGGTGGAGGACGGCTGGGGTCCGGCCCCGGGAGGGGGCGGGGCGCGTTTAAGAGCTGCGGGCCGGGTGCGGACGGCGGAGGCGGCGGGACTGGTCCCTGGTAAGGGCGCGGCGCCCGCGGGCCCCGGGCGGGGTGGGGCGCGGGCTGGGGAGTGGGGTACGCCGCACGCCCGCAGCCTCTTGCTCCCTCCGTGCCGGGCTGTGGCCGGGCGGCGGCAGGACATGTCGCGCCCCGAGGCCGGCGGAGGGCGACGCCCCGGCAGCGGCCCCGCTCCGCTCCGGGAGGACTCCCTGGGGGAGTCTCGGCTTCCTGGGCTGCCTGGGGCTGAGGAAGTGGGGGCGGCCTCCGCCTCTCCCTTGTAGCCGCGGTTCCTTCCCTATCCCGCAGATGGCTCTGCTTCCACTTCCTGCCGCGGGCCTCCCGCTCGGGACCGTCCACTTCCTCAGTCCTCCGGCCGCGGCTTGGGCAGGGTCAGGGCTGGGAAGTGTTGCAAAAACTTAACTGCCCTCGGAACTTGCACGCGCCGTGAACTGGGCGGTGTTCCTAAAGGGCTTCGGTTTGCTGGTTTTGTTTTGGTCCTGTCTTGCAAATGAGCATAAAGTTGTTTCTCCCCCAGCCTCCTCCCCTTTCCTTTCTGATAGGGGCCAGCGGCGAAGGGGCTTCTAAGGGGAAGCGCCTGGACTGGGCATCGCCGTCCCGGTTCTTGCCGCCTGTGGGAGTGTGAGGTTAACCGTGCTCGGTGCAGGGTTGCGGGGCGCGGAGCTTGCTGCGTCCACACTGCTTGTGTGAGCAGTGTCCTCTCTGTGCTCATTTCCAACGAGAAACGTTGGAACTTTGGTGTTCTTATCAGGTGAGTCTTCGGGAGAGAAGTGCTTGTGCCTGGCGGACTGAATGAATTGGCCGTGGAAGAGACTTGGCTGATTGCTCATCTGGGTTACCTGTGACTCATCTTCAGCCCTTGTAGAACAGTGCACTTTCTGCTCTGTCCTGGTTTCCTAACCTCATTTCTTCTGAAGTTTTGGGGATGGATGGTGGGCATGGAGTATCAGAGGGGATAGTGAATCTTTTAGAGGTGTCAATGACTGATGTTCCAAGCAGAGCCATAAGATTGTTGGATGTCAAAGCTCAGAACCGGTCAAGGCTCAGAATGCTCCTTAAACCTGGAGCAATAGAAGCACAGTATCGAAGTTCCC
This sequence comes from Homo sapiens, assembly GCF_000001405.40. NCBI lineage: Eukaryota > Metazoa > Chordata > Mammalia > Primates > Hominidae > Homo > Homo sapiens. Next base: position 120,254,075 of record NC_000002.12, read on the forward strand.
AGAAATGGGCCGACCATGAAAGGTAGCACTGCATATTGGGAAAAACAGGAGGGGTGAGTTTGAAGACCTGGGTTTGATGCAGGTTCTGAGAGTTTACCGGTGTTGTGATGTGGAGCACGATCTTTCCCCCTCTGAGCTCCAGAGTCAGCAACTGTAGAAGGGTGATGATAGTTATCCTAATTGTTAGGATTAAACGAAATAGGAGCGGGGGAGAAGAAGGCCAGGGAGACATATCCTTTGTGCGTGGCTTTAGTTGTCAGCCGGTCTGCTTTATTCTGACCACATCTGGGGCTTTCCTTCCTTGCCCATTCACATTGCTTCCCATTGGAAACAGCACTCTTATCGGAGATCTCAGCCAGATTTCCCTCTGCCCGAGGAATAGAACATTTTCCCAGGATTGTGTGTGGAAAATAGTGTAAGTTATTAGATATCTTTTGGGAACTTGGGACCTAGACCATAAGGATAAACAGGATTTAGAGTCTTCCACGGCATATGAAGAGATTTTGGTAGAAGATGAGGGTAGAAAAGTTCTAAATTCTTGCCTTGACTGAAGATGGCTTGAGATTCCATGAAAAATTTTAAGCCTGAGAATTGAGATAATCCTTTTTTTGTTTGTTTTTGGGGGCAGAGTCTTGCGCTATTTCCCAGGCTGGAGTGGAGTGGTGTGATCACCGCTCACTGCAGCCCCCACCTCCCAGGCTCAGGTGAGTCTCCCACCTCAGCCTCCCGAGTAGCTTGGTACAGTCTTGCACCACCATGCCAAGCTAATTTTTGTATTTTTTGTAGAGATGGGGTTTCACCATGTTGCCCAGGCTGGTCTCGAACTGCTGGGCTCAAGCCATCCTACCACCTTGGCCTCTCAAAGTGCTGGGGATCACAGGTGTGAGCCACCCCGTCTGGCAGGGATAATTCTTTCTTCCAAATCACGTAATCCTACTATGCCTCTTTGCATTTAGTTGCTAAATTCTTACCCCCCTCATGTAACTTATGGAAGTTAGAAACATCATTAGAGACCTTTCTTGAAAGCTAAATTTGGAGACAATGTAAGACTAGAGTGCGAAGAGATCTAGGTGAACTCTGTAGTTTTCCAGTGTAACTTGTCTCCAGATGGTATACAGGAGTCCCACTTTTCCTTGGCTCCAGTTACTGCTAAACAGCCCCTGCTCTAGACATGCAAGACGCTTGGTTTTTTTTTCGTTTTGTTTTTTTAAATGAATGTATGTTCTGAATGTTATCGCAAAGAGAGCCGAGCACAGAGGAAAAGGAACTCTTCCTTCATCACATGGCGGAGTAGTTAAGGAGGAGAAAAACTAACAGTTACTGAGCATCAGCTGTCTGCTTGGCACAGACCACTGATCCAAGCCATACCAGTTAAATATGTGGCCTTGGAGATTTGACCATGGGCTGTCTCCTTTAGCTCCTCAGTTCTTTTGGTACCTAGGAATATAAATATTGGTGTATGTGTACATATATTCTTAGATATTCCAAAAAGCAGAGGGGCCAGTAGGCAAGAGGGTTGATGAGTCTTGGATAGGTGACAGTGGAAAGAAAGATGAAGAGGATGTGGAAGTGAGTGTCAAAGAGGGACGGTATATGTGCTTACTAGAAGCAATTGCAAAATTCTAGCCAGGTCTCAATTTCAAGTTTGTCACTTTAAAAAAAGTAGCTGCTTATAATTTTCCTTAGTGTTCTCCTGGCTGTTTTTGTTTTTGGTGATGGTGGCTAGTTGTTTTTTAGTTGAAATCTAAATGCAGAAAAGAAAAATGCCATTAATTGATAATTACCAATATATTGTTTTCATTGTTGCTTTTGTCAGTGCTTTGTGGGCATTTTTTATATATAGCATTGTTCCAAGCTATACGGCATGAGATGAAGGAAATATAGTAGTTTGGTCCTGCGTGCCTGGCTGCCTGTAAAGTTTGCCTACCTTTTGAATGAGTTTTCTGTTGCTGCATAACAAATTTCCCCAAACTTAGCAGCTTAAAACAACAGACATTTATGATCTCACACAGTTTCTGAAGTTGAAATCTGGGGACAGCTTGGCTGGGTGCTTCTGGCTCATGGTCTCTCCTGAGGTTGCAGTCATCTGAAGCTCGACTGGGACCAGAGGATCTGTTTCCAAAATGGCACGTTCACATGGCTGTTGGCTGGAGGCCTCAGTTCTACACCATGTGGGCCTATGCACAGGGCTTTTCACAACATAGCTTTTCTCCCCAGAGCAAGTGATCTGACGGGGGTGGGGAGAGAGGGAGAGAATGAATATGATAATGATCAAGATGGAAGCAGCAGTATATTCGTGGCTGATATGGTTTGGCTGTGTCCCTACCCAAATCTCACCTTGAATTGTAATCCCCATAATCCCCATACGTTGTGGGAGGGACTCGGTGGGAGGTAATTGAATCATGAGGGCAGTTTCTCCCATACTGTTCTCCTGATAGTGAGTTCTCACGTGATCTGATGGTTTTACAAGCGTCTGGCATTTCCCCTGCTGGCACTCATTCTCTCTCCTGCTGCCCTGTGAAGTGGTTCCTTCTGCCATGATTGTAAGTTTCCTGAGGCCTCCCCAGCCCTGCGGAACTGTGAGTCAATTAAACCCCTTTCCTTTATAAATTACCCAGTCTCGGATATTTCTTCATAGCAGCATGAGAACAGACTAATCCAGTGTCTAATCTTGGAGATGGCATACCATCCCTTCTACCAGCATTCAGACCAGACCTGGCACAATGTGGGAAAGGACTACAAGAGGGGAGGTCAGGGCACATCAGTATTCTTGGAGGCTAGCCACCACAACTTTTTTAAGGTTTAGTCCAGACATCATTGAGAAAATCTTTCTTTCAGATGTTTACTGAAGTATACTGTAGGAGATGGAAAGACAGCTGAGGTCTTTAGTATTGTAGAAGCTTTAATACTATATGTGAAACTTTTATGTTCTTTCTTCCGGTTCTTTGTTAGATGCTGGAATTAGCCAAGTATGCAGTAGCTTTGGAAATAGAAATTCAGATCTTGCTGGTCCCTAAACCAAAAGGAACATCTGAATTTTTTTCTTTAACCCCAAAACAAGTTGGTAAAAAAATATTGCCAAAGTAATCTCCTTTGATGAATGGCTTAAAATTAGTCATTCATTATCTGTGTGTTCTTAAAAATAAAACTCATTGGCAAAGTAGCTGAAAAATTTTGGGGAACCTAAACCCTCTTACTCCTCCCCATTATTTTAAAACTTTGGATACTGCTTGTTTGCCTAGCAGTTCTTCAGTTCACTTTTGAGACCCTCATACATTTTAATTATTGACCTGGATAGAAGGGCGCTATTCTTTTAGCTCCAGATGAAATCTTCCTGAAGTGCCTATAGGTGGAGAGAAGAGTTTCTGGATCCTGAGCCTGAGCCTGGCTAAATGACCTCTAAGTCCCTTCCATCTCTGAAAATTCTATGATCCTTATTTTTTTTTTATAACGAATATCCTTTGAGTTGTGCATATTTATAACAAAATATTTCATTGATCATGTTAAATTGCAACCTCAGAAGACAAGCTTTTCTGAGAATAGCTTTTGTTCTTCCCAATCCAGTTGAAGGTTGTTAGAGTCACTGTTAGGCAGAGTTGAAAAGTCAGCACTATTTGCACTTCCTCTGCTTCCTATTTTTGGCCCCTTGCCCATCCTCTGCCCTAATTTATGAGCTAGTATCTTTCTTTTCTTTCATTCTACTTTCCTTGTAATCCCCCTCCTTCCTCCCACAGGAAGGATTGGTGGCCAGTCCTTTACTGCTGATAGCTGATGCTATTGTTAGGAATGAATTTTAGCCAATGTGTTACCTCTAGTAATACTTGCATGGCAAACCTTTTAAAAATCTCAAATTATATGTGTTCATGTAGTAAACACTGCCATTTTTTAACATCCTAAGTAGCCCTAAAATTTAGTCACTTTCCTCATGTGCATTGTTGTCTCCTTAGTCCCCACCGTGTTGCCGGCCTGGCCTGGTGCATACCCACATCTGCTCTTGACCCCTCTGTTTTTCTACTCTGTAGCCAGAATTACCTTTTCAACATTCAAGCCTAATTATGTTACCCATTGACTTGAAACACTTCAGTGGCTTTCCAGTGCTTTCAGTCAAAGGTCCCAAATCCCTCAACTTGGCCTACACTGGGGTCTTGAATGATCCCGCCCTTCCTTACCTCCTCAGTGTCATCTTGTACTGGGCTCTGCCTCTTTCTCTCTGCTGCAGATAGCTGTGAAGGTCTTTCTCGAGTTTCTTGAGTGGACTTTGCTTCCTCTTGCTTCAGGCCTTCCTGAATGCAGTGTGTGTGTGTGCAGGCACGCGTGATTGGGGGTGGGGGAGTGTGGAGGAGTCCTAGGTAGGAAAGCGCTTGGCACATTCACAGGGCTGGAAGAAGGCAAGGAAAAGGCCACGGAGGCCACGGCCAGTGGAGGGTTTAGCTGCCGCTCATGGTGAGCCTTTAAGGAGCGTTAAGCACAGTTTCATGTGCAGTGTTAGAAGCCCCATTGGAAGGGCTGTGTGGAGAACAGATTGAAGAGGGGCTGGAGTGGTAATGAGGGGTCACTTAGGAAGCTGGGGCTGTTGAATGAATGGTGGCAGAGAAGATGGAAGAAGTGCATGGCTTTGAAATGTATGTTGGAGATGGAATAGCTAGAAATGGTCATGAATTGAGCTGGGGAGAGGCAATGGGAGTCAAAAATGACTTCCAGGTCCCTGGCTTTGGTAACGATACGGATACTAGCGTGTCCGGAATTGGTGGGTTCTTGGGCTCACTGACTTCAAGAATGAAGCCGCGGACCCTCGCGGTGAGTGTTACAGCTCTTAAGGTGGCACGTCTGGAGTCTGTCCCTTCTGATGTTCAGATGTGTTCGGAGTTTCTTCCTTCTGGTGGGTTCGTGGTCTCGCTGGCTCAGGAGTGAAGCTGCAGACCTTCGCGGTGAGTGTTACAGCTCTTAAGGTAGCGCGTCTGGAGTTGTTCGTTCCTCCCGGTGGGCTCGTGGTCTTGCTGGGCTCGGGAGTGAAGCTGCAGATCTTCGCGGTGAGTGTTACAGCTCATAAAAGCAGCGTGGACCCAAAGAGTGAGCAGTAGCAAGATTTATTGCAAAGAGTGAAAGAACAAAGCTTCCACAGCGTAGAAAGGGACCCCAGCGAGTTGCCAATGCTGGCTCGGGCAGCCTGCTTTTATTCTCTTATCTGGCCCCACCCACATCCTGCTGATTGGTAGAGCCGAATGGCCTGTTTTGTCAGGGCGCTGATTGGTGCGTTTACAATCCCTGAGCTAGATACAAAGGTTCTCCACGTCCCCATCAGATTAGTTAGATACAGAGTTTCCACACACAGGTTCTCCAGGGCCCCACCAGAGCAGCTAGATACAGAGTGTCAATTGGTGCATTCACAAACCTTGAGCTAAACACAGGGTGCTGATTGGTGTATTTACAATCCCTGAGCTAGACGTAAAGACTCTCCACGTCCTCACCAGAGCAGCTAGATACAGAGTGTCGATTGGTGCACTCACAAACCTTGAGCTAAACACAGGGTGCTGATTGGTGTATTTACAATCCACGAGCTAGATATAAAGACTCTCCACGTCCCCACCAGACTCAGGAGCCCAGCTGGCTTCACCTAGTGGATCCCGCACCGGGGCTGCAGGTGGAGCTGCCTGCCAGTCCTGCGCCATGCACTTGCATTCCTCAGCCCTTGGGTGGTCGATGGGACTGGGCGCCGTGGAGCAGGGGGTGGCGCTCGTCGGGGAGGCTCGGGCCGCACAGGAGCCCATGGAGTGGGTGGGAGGCTCAGGCATGGTGGGCTGCAGGTCCCAAGCCCTGCCCCGTGGGAAGGCAGCCAAGGCCCGGCGAGAAATCGAGCGCAGTGCCGGTGGGCCAGCACTGCTGGGGGACTCAGTACACCCTCCGCAGCCACTGGCCTGGCTGCTAAGTCCCTCATTGCCCGGGGCCAGCAGGGCTGGCTGGCTGCTCCGAGTGCGGGGCCCACCAAGCCCACGCCCACCCGGAACTCCAGCTGGCCCGCAAGTGCCGCACACAGCCCCGGTTCCTGCTCGTGCCTCTCCCTCCACACCTCCCTGCAAGCCGAGGGAGTGGGCTCCGGCCTTGGCCAGCCCAGAAAGGGGTTCCCGCAGTGCAGTGGGGGGACTGAAGGGCTCCTCAAATGCCACCAAAGTGGGAGCCCAGGCAGGGGAGGTGCCTAGAGCAAGCGAGGGCTCTGAGGATTTCCAGCATGCTGTCACCTCTCACTAGTAGTGACTTCAGTAGCTAATAAATGGGGGATAGTGAAGGAGCAGATTTTAAGAGGGAAGAATCAAGAATTCTATTTTGGGAATAAGTTGAGAATCTTGTGGCAGCCCAGTGGGCAGGGGCAGCAGCAAGGCTGTGAGCCTGGGGCCAGGAGAGCGGTCAGGGCTGCATCCTCAGGTTCGTAAGTTGTCTGTACAGCCACTGGGCTGTATGTGGTGCAGATGAGGAGGGAGCAAGACTGAGCTCCGAGAAGTGCTGACATCTAGATGGGGAGGAGGAATGCCTGGCAAGTGGCGCCGAGAAAGGGCCCAGAGAGCCACCCGGGAAGCACTCAGCCTGTGGGAGAATGTGGGCTGTGGAAGCCAGGAGGGATGGCCTCAGGAGGGGGACGCTGGAAGGGGCCCTATACAGGCCTGCTGCGGGCCTTCCCTTTCCAGGCAGCGTTTTGTCACTCTTGCTACTTGCTCATTTTAAAGAGGAGGAGGGCATGGGAAGGAAGAAAGAAGAGTTTTTATTGGAGCTAGCTACGTGGAGTTTGTGGGTGATCTTGATCTCACAAATTTCTGTGAGCTTATATTGGGAGGAAGTTGGATTGGAATGGTTTCCGTAAATAGTGAGGGAAGGAAACAAAGGCTTTTGCTACACAGTGTGGGGTCTGTGGGTCAGGAACATGATTAGAGACTAGGTTAGTGGTGCCAAATCTTGGGCTCCACTCCAGACCTACTGAATCAGAATATGCGTTTTCACAAGATTCCCAGGTAAACTATGCATTAAAGTTTGAGAAGCATTAGCACAGATAATTCCTATAGAGGAATTGTGTCATTAGCTAGAAGGATATATGGGGGTCAAAGGCACACACGCATGTGTGAATCTTTAGGGTGAAGATTCAATAGAACGTGTCTACATGCTGTTGGGGATGATCCTGTAGCAAAGTAAAGACTGATTGATGCTGCAGGAAGAAGGGTAGTGGTAGGAATTAAGTTCTTGGGCATGGTGGTGGTGGAGGGCTTGGCCTTTGCTAAGAGCAGGAATGTGTACTCCATGAGGCTGGAGACAAGGAGAAGAAGGGCGTGGAAGGTTTGTAGATTTGTTGAAGGAGCTCTGAGGGAGTTAGGGTTTGATGGCTTGGTGTTCTCTGGGACAAATGAGGTTAGGTTATCTGTCAAGAGTAAGCAGAGGGAGGGCACAGGGGAGAGTCACAGCGAGATTACTAGGAAGTGTGGGGGAATGCCCATTCGTGGTTTGTGATCATAAGTGCATTGAGAGTGGAGTGCTGGGAGGCTGCTTTCTTGAGTTTCTTTCCCTCGACAGCAGCATTTGCATGCTGGGTGCAGGTGCTGAAAACAGTGAGTGAGATGGAGGGGAAGGGAGCAGGGAGATGAGGTATCTGCAAGAGGGCTTTTCTCATGTCAGGCTTTGGGATCTAAGCTGGTGAAGGGAGGCAGTGCAGCCCAGAGGGTCTTGTTATGCAGAGAGAGAGTGCTGGAGGCCAATGCTTGCAGGTGTCAAGAGGGCAGAGAATTGTGTGTGGGGGTGGTATTTGAACAAGTGAGCAAGAAGGATGGAGGCTGAGGCTAGAGGGTTAGAGGAGATAACTGTTTCTGGTGACGGTGAAGTTCAGGTAATGACCATGATAATGTTAGATAGAAGGAAAGAAAGGGTTTTCGGAGAAGAGAGGATCAAGGACTTGAGAGGGGCCGAGCTTGGCTGGGACATCCACATGCACAGATGTCATTGGGGAGGACGACAGGAGTTGGGTAGAATGGAAGTCTGCAGACCAGAAGCAGATGTCCTCAATAAATGAGGGAAGTGACCAGGAAGTCTGTAGCTGATAGTAACAAGGTGAAGGACAGGCTATTATGGCTGGAAAGGCCAGGCCTCAAAGGTATGGGGGCTTTTGTAAGACGGATGGGGCTAACAGAGGTACTGAAGTGCAGGTGACATTGGGGAGGGAGGAAGGACACATATCTGGTCTGTCTGGCCCTGAAGCACATGGCATGGGAGGAGAAATAGCATCTGCTTGATGTGGTGTCCCCAGGGCACACCCAGGTCTCAGAGCTAGAAGGTAGAGGAACATTCTTAGAAGAGGTGGAGGCTCTCGAAGGGTTTGCTGGTGTGCCTGAGGTTGCAGGGACCAGGTGGGTTAGCCATTTCAGGAGATGGATGCAGTTCTGTTGGGTTGAGAGCCCTAGTCATAGGAAAGAGTGGGGACACCTGCACTTCTGGTGGTGACTGTTCAGGACAGATGTTCAGCAGTGTGCTCCCCTTAAGAGGAGGGTGGTCCTGTTCTAGCACCGTAGTTCCCAAACGTGGCTGGGGAGGTGGCAGCTTCCTTGTGTGATCCTCTCAGCCTTCACATACTGACACAGCAGGGAAGAGAAGGCAAGACTGTTTCTGTTAGAGCCGTTTCGGGAGTTGCTGGGGAGATTTAGGACAGGGACATCCTGAAATGCCCATTGGTTATGCCTCTAAGGCAAATTACGCTGTGTTTTGGGTGATGAAGAAAGAAGGGTGTGAAGGGCTTCTGTTGATGAAAATCTGCCTGTGCTTGTTTCCAGGTGGAGTATGCCTTTGGTACGCGTTTTCCACGTGTCCCTCTCCACTGCCCTGAGACGTAGGCAGGGCAGATATTGTCAGTGAGTGGGAGTGACTTGCCTAATCCTCTAGTGAGTCAGTGGCTGAAGGAGGACTCAAAGCCAGGCCCCTTCATTCCTCAGGACAAGGGGGACTGCGTCTGAGCAAAAAGTATCTTGCCTTATCTCTTTCTTATGGACTGGCAGCTTTTCCTACTTTACCATATATTTGGCTCTGAGGCCAGTTTCTTTCTCAAGACTTTCTAGAGTATTAGAGTGATATTTATTTATTTATTTTGAGGTAAGTTCTCACTGTCGCCCAGGCTGGAGTGCAGCGGTGAGATCACAGCTCACTGGAGCCTTGACCTCCCTGGGCTCAGTGGTCCTCCCACCTCAGCCTCCTGAGTAGCTGGGACTACAGACACATGCCACTACACCCAGCTAATTTTTGTAGAGATGGGTTTTGCCACGTTGCCCAGGCTGGTCTTAAACTCCTGGGCTCAAGCGATCTGCTTCTTTGGCCTCCCAAAATGTTGGGATTACAGGCATAAGCCACTGTGCCCAGGCTAGAATGATATTTAAAAAGCAGCTAAGTGCTTACTGAGAACTTCTTTTAATAGGTATTCCTTCGTTTAATCTTCATAACAGTCCTAAGGATATAGCCCTCCTGTATTTCATTTTATTTTTGAGACGAAGTCTCGCTCTGTCACCCAGGCTGGAGTGCAGTGGCGTGATCTTGGCTCACTGCAGCCTCTGCCTCCCAGGCTCAAGCAATCCTCCCACCTCAGCCTCCAAACCCAGCTAATTTTTTGTATTTTTGGTAGAGATGGGGTTTCACCATGTTGCCCAGGATGGTCTCGAACTCCTGAGCTCAAGCATTCCGCCCGCCTCAGCCTCCTAAAGTGCTGGGATTATAGGCATGAGCCACTGCGCCTGGCCTGTCCTATATTTTATTTTATTATTTATTTATTTTTTGATACAGAGTCTTGCTCTGTCGCCCAGGCTGGAGTGCAATGGTGCGATCTCGGCTCACTGCAACCTCTGCCTCCAGGGTTCTAGCGATTCTCCCTGCCTAAGCCTCCCTGGGAGCTGGGATTACAGATGCACGCCACCACGCCCGGCTAATTTTTGTATTTTTAGTAGAGATGGGGTTTTACCATGTTGGCCAGGTTGGGCTCGAACTCCTGACCTCAGGTGATCCACCTGCCTCAGCCTCCCAAAGTGCTGAGATTACAAGTGTGAGCCACTGCGCTAGCCTATTTATTTATTTATTTATTTGAGATAGAGTCTCACTCTGTTGCTCAGGCTGGAGTGTAGTGGTGTGATCTCGGCTCACTGCAAGCTCTGCCTTCTGGGTTCAAGCAATTCTCCCTGCCTCAGCCTCTTGAATAGCTTGGATTACAGGCACCCACCATCACACCCAGCTAATTTTTGTGTTTTTAGTAGAGACGGGGTTTCACCATGTTGGCCAGGCTGGTCTGGAACTCCTGACCTCAAGTGATCCATCCACCTCCGCCCCTCAAAGTGCTGGGATTACAGGCGTGAGCCACCACACCTGGCCTTGTCCTGTATTTTGTAGATCAGACTGAGGACAAGAAATGTTAACTAAAGCTGTTAGCTTCTTAATGGCAGAATTCAAGTCAAGGGTTTGTTTTCCTGTCCCACAACTGTAGTTGGTATATAACTACTTTTTAAAAATTCTGGTAAAATGTACATAAGATAAAATTCAACATTTTACCTATTTTCAGGGGTACAGTTCAGTGACATTAAGCATGTTTACTTTGTTGTGCAGCCATCACCACCATCCATCTCCAGAACTTCCTCATCCCAAACTGAACCTCTGCACCCATTAAACACTGACTCCCCACTCCCCTCTTCCCCCACCCCCTGGCAGCCGCCATTCTATCCTGCTTTCTGTCTCCCATTGTGATTGTTTTGGGTACCTCATATCAGTGGAATCATAGTATTTGTGCTTTTGTGTCTTGCTTATTTCACTTAGTATAACGTCTTTAAGGGTGATCCATGTTATAGCATGTGTCAGCTTCCTTCCTTTGTAAGGCTGAATATTCTACATTTACACCACATCTGATTTATCTGTTTATCTATTGATGGACATTTGGGTTGTTTCCGCCTCTTGGTTATTGTGAATAATGCTGATGTGAACATGGGTGTATAAATATCTGTTCAAGTCCTTGCTTTCAGTTCTTTTGTATATACAGCCACGCATCACTTAATGACACCTATGTTCTGAGAAATGCTTTTAAGCAATGTCAGTGTTTTGCAAACGTCGGGGTATACTTACACAAGCCTAGATGGTGTAGCTTACTACTCACCTAGCCCGTACGGTACAGCCTTTTGCTCATGGGCTGCAAATCTGCACGTCATGTTACTGTACCGAATACCGTGGGCAGTTGTAACACAATGGGGAAGTATTTGTGTAAACATATCGAAACGTAGGAAAGGCCCAGTAACAGTACAGTACTATAATCTTATGGGACCACCGTTGTATTATGTGGTCTGTCATTGACTGAAACTTCTTTATTTGGTGCATGACTGTATAACAACTATTTTTGTTGTATATTTTCTCTCAGGTCTTTGTTTTAGAGCTTGTGCTCTGTGTTGCCTGCCTATGCATTTTTCTCCCTCTTTAGTGAGCTTTCTGACCCATAGATCTGTGTCCTTGAAATAAGTTTCAACATTTCACATCATACTTGAAGCTCTTCCCCACCCCACTCTAATCCACTCATAGAGCACAGACCATGTAGTGGCTCAGAGTATGGACTGCTAGGGCTCCAGTCCCAGCCCTGCCATCCGCTAGTTAAGTGACCCTGGACAAATCATACAAACTCTGTTTGAGTGTATGCAATATACTAGAGATGCTATAGAAGTAGAAGTAGAAGTAGTAGTAGAATCTGTTTAAGTCTCTAAATAGGTTTTATTTGAATAAATAATTCAGGATAGGGACATGTATGCTAATTCCAAATTTGCCTTCAGCTGTTAGGAGTCCAGTAGCTCTAATGTCTCCACGGCTGCCTCTTCAGGTAGCAGGAACTTCAGAGTGAATCTGTATAAATGTGTAACCATCTGTAAGGCTAGCAGAATCCCAGATTCCATGGGTGGGTGGAGGAGGACTTTATTTCAGAAATATATTAAAATAAGCTTCCAATTTCCTCCCACCATTTATTGTTGCTTTATAGTTCAGGAAAGTTATCAGATAAATGAATTAATGTTTCAGAGCTTACTCGTCTGCACAGTGGCTCATGCCTGTAATCCCAACACTTTGGGAGGCTGAGGCAGGAGAGTCACTTGAGGCTAGGAGTTTGAGACCAGCCTGGACAACATAGTCTCTACAAAATTTTTATTTTATTTTTTGAGATGGAGTCTTGCTCTGTCGCCTGGGCTGGAGTGCAGTGGCGCGATCTCGGCTCACTGCAACCTCCACCTCCCGGGTTCAAGCGATTATCCTGCCTCAGCCTCCCAAGTAGCTGGGACTACAGGTGTGTGCCACTACGCCCAGCTAATTTTTATATTTTTAGTAGAGACGCAGTTTCACTATGTTGGTTGGCCAGGATGGTCTCAATCTCTTGACCTCGTGATCTGCCCACCTTGGCCTCCCAAAGTGCTGGGATTACAGGCGTGAGCCACTGTGCCCTGCCAAAATTTTTTTTAAATTAGGTGGGCGTGGTGGTGTGTGCCTGTAGTCCCAGTTACTTGGGAAGCTGAGGTGGGAGGGTTGCTCGAGTCCCAAAGGTTGAGGCTGTAGTGAGTCATGATCACGCCACTGTACTCCAGTCTGGGCGACAGAATGAGACCTTGTCTTAAAAAAGAAAATAAATAAATAAAAAGCTTACCAGTTACCATTTATCCTTTTGAGGCCTCACAACCCAGGTGGAGAACACCAGCTCTGGTGTTTTATCTACCAAATATTGAGCGTCCACCAAGTACCAGGCACACTGGGCACACAAAGATGAATGGGCTTGAAGTTTGGTGGGACAAACAGACCTCATCTTGGGGGAAATCACGACTTTCCCTAAGTGAAATGGTAGACAATATTGACAGGCATGGGGGCCCCCTGAGACTGGGAGGATGGGCTGGCCGGGGGATATCTAGGAAGGTGAGGAGGAAATATTGCAGCTGAGTCTTAAATTATAGGTGATCCTCCTCCATCAGGAGGAAGGGCAGTCCTGGCAGTAGGAATAGCATGTGCACAGAGGTACAGACCAGAAGCAGCCTCCTGCTTACAGGAAGGGACTCCAAAGCCTTCTAGTTTTTGTTTTAGTTAACTTCATTTGTTTTTGTTAATTTAGTTTTTCTTTTTTTGGAGGGGGCGCGTGGGAAGGGACAGGTAAAGAGGTATCCATTAGGGAATAGAAATATCTAAAACAAATTTCCTTAGGCATACAGGAGGGCTAATTAGAGTTGTTTTGCATATCTAATGTCAGAAAAAAGTCAAAAATTGAAAGATAATTTAGATCACTTAATTCAACTTTCTGGTTTTTATAGACATGGAAAGTTGAGTCATAACGCGTATGAGCATATGAACATTTTCCATTCCCTGGTGCTAATTAGAATAGCAGCTACACAAGGGAAGGGGAACTTGACCAAGGAGGTCGCTTGACTCAGGCCAGGGTCTGGGTATGAGATCGGGAGGGCTGGGCCTATCATGTCCGAAGCAGGGTCAGGGAGCCAGGCAAATGAGTGAGGCAGGTGGAAGTAAGACTGCAGCAGGCTTACGCTGGCTTTCACATAGTGTATGTCCCTTCCAGAAGCGGCAGCTGCTCCACAGCACCAGCTGAGTGGGACTTAGGAATGTCAGACTTCTTGATTTTTTTAAGCGATGCCAAAAATTTGGACTTTTATGTGAAATCGTTCTTTAAAAAATGTAAGTAACTAAATGAATATATATATATATTTTTTTCCAGATGGAGTCTCGCTGAGTTTGCCAGGTTGGAGTGCAGTGGCGTGATCTGGGGTCACTGCAACTTCTGCCTCCTGGGTTCAAGCGATTCTCCTGCCTCAGCCTCCCAAGTAGCTGGGATTACAGGCACGAGCCACCATGCCCAGCTAATTTTTGTATTTTTAGTAGAGACGGGGTTTCACCATGTGGGCCGGGATGGTCTTGAGCTCCTGACCTCGTGATCTGCCCGCCTTAGCCTCCCAAAGTGCTGGGATTACAGGCATGAGCCACTGCACCTGGCCTAAATGAATTTTTAAAAGCACTATATGAGCAAACAAAGCATGTCTGCAGGCCACCAAATTTTACAAATTGGCATCTCTGCTTTTGCCACATGGTGAAAGCTGGTCCACAGCAAGGAAGAGAGACAGAGCCAGCATGTGGCGAGAATCACAGGGATGGTCTGGCAGCTTTCAGGGCCCTGTGTCCAGTTGCTCCTGAGTCCCAGCCCTATCCTCGGCCTCCTTCCTGTAGCATAGTTTTTCGTTTCGAGTCAGTGACATACATTAGTAGTCTGCTAGTAAATCCCCCTTTGTGGTATAAATTAATTTACCTTACGTTTGTTTTTAGTGGAAATTTTCAAACATATACGAAGGTATAGAGAATAGTACATAATGCGCTACCTTGTCACCATCAGTCAATGAATGGCTAATCCGACCAGATGCCATGGCTTACACCTGTAATCCCAGCTACTCTGGAGTTGGGGGCAGAGGGCCCAGGACGGGAGTGTGTGTGGGGGGTGTTGCTTGAGCCCAAGATGTTGAGACTGTAGTGAGCCATGATCGTACCACTGCACTGCAGCCTAGGTGACAGAGCAAGAACCTATCCTAAAATAAATAATTAAGATCCACTCAGTGTTCAGATTTCCTCAATTTACTTTGTTCAAATTAGGCAAAATAAGGAGTATGTGTTTAAAAAACTTTTTTTAAAGCGGAAGAAGAGGCCGAGGCAAGTTTCAGAGCAGGAGTGAAAGTTTATCAGAATGCTTTAGAACAGGAAGGAAAGGAAAGAAAAGAAGGAAAGTCCAACTTCATTGTTGCCAGTATTAACTCTGTATCCTACAATAATTCTTTGTTTATATATAAACAAACAATTTTTTTAAACAAATGACATTGTATTATATGTTTTCTGCACGTTTCTGATAGAATTTGGATCATTGCCATTTTGTACCTCCTCCTAAATGGATACATCTGGACATTGTTCCTGGTCAGTACATATAGCACTTCTCCATTCTTTTCAATAGCTGGATAATCTAAAATTTGGTTGTAATTTGGTTTGTTCCTTCCGTGGGTTCATCGTCTTGCTGACTTACAGAATGAACCTGCAGACCTTTGTGGTGAGTGTTACAGCTCTTAAACGTGGTGTGTCTGGAGTTTGTTCCCAAGATGTATCCGGAGTTTGTTCCTTCCGGTGGGTTCATGGTCTCACTGACTTCAAGAATGAAGCCGCAAACCTTCGCAGTGAGTGTTATAGCTCTCAAAGGTGGCACAGGCTGAAAGAGTGAACAGCAGTAAGATTTATTGTGAAGAGTGAAAGAACAAAGCTTCCACAGCGTGGAAGGTGACCTGAGCAGGTTGCTGCTGCTGGCTGGGGTGGCCAGTTTTTATTCCCTTATTTGGCCACACCCATGTCCTGCTGATTGGTCCATTTTACAGAGTGCTGATTGGTCCATTTTAGAGAGCACTGATTGGTGCATTTTACAGTGTGCTGATTGGCACATTTTACAAACCTCTAGCCAGCCACAGAGCGCTGATTGGTGCGTTTTACAATCCTAGCTACAGAGGACTGATTGGTGCATTTTACAATCCTCTTGTAAGACAGAAAAGTTCTCCAAGTCTCCACTCGACCCAGGAAGTCCAGCTGGCTTCACCTCTCACTATCATAATTTATGCAAGAATTCCCCATTGATGGAAATTTTAAAGATTATTATAGCATTCTTTTTAGTGACAAAAAATTATTCTTGTAATTATATCCTTATACTTTTGTAGAATAAATTCCTGGAAGAGGTTTACATTCATATAATTCTTTTAGTAGTTGCTTATTTTTTCCCAAAAGGCTGTGGCAGTTAATAATATCAGTAGTATTCATTTCCCCAAACTCTTGATGAACCCAATCTAATGTTTTATTTACATTTCCTTGACTACTAGAGAAATTGGGTTTAGCTTCATATGTTTGTTATCTGTGCCCACTTTTCTGTGAAGTACTTCTTCATTTTTTGCCCGTTTAAAAAAACTAGGTTGTTTGACTTACTGCTTTGCAGGGGCTTTTTATATATTAGGGATATTACTTTGTTTTGTGTTGCAAATATTTTCTCCTTATCTGTTTGTCTTTCAGTTCTTCTTATAATTCTCCTTTGCTTTTCAAATTATTTTCCCGTTTTTTAGCTGTTGAATTAAACATTTCTTACCATATTTTGATTCCCTGCATTTTTCCATTACTGCTTCCTGTTGGGAACGCTTGTTTGAAAAAAATAACAGGAAGTTGAATTTTAACTATACTGTTGAGTTTGAGCTTTTGTAAAGTCAAAAGACAAAATTATCACAAATGTAGTTTAAAGATCTTAACTGGCTTTATTTGCAGTTCTGGTATCGGGCAGCATGTGATTCCATAAGATTGTGTTCGAGTGAGCTGAGGAGAGGAGGCTGGCTTTGTGGAAAGAAAAGGGCTGAAAAATGCAGAAACATAGAACCCAAAATAGGTCGTTTCAAAGTTACTTTCTTTGTAAGGCCGGAACAGGGAGACACAACAATGGAAAATAACTGGTTAAAATCGGTTAGTTTTTGTTGTAAGGATTAAAACAAAGGAAAGGTCATTTCTGTGATTGTAGGAAAATGTGAATTTTCTGACTCAGGTGTGCCCTCCACCTTGACCAGTCTCCCCTTGGTGTTCTCCCGAAGCAGAGCCCTTCCTTCTCCCTTGTTTATTTAATATTCATTATAGTTATGGATTTCTGGATTCCTAATTTTTCAGGGGTCTGTTTTCAATACTGTTCTTGTTTTTGTCCCTACATTGTCCCAGCTTTAGGATTGCCAGACTCAAATATTATGATTATGGCCTACTAGGTGACCTTCAGTTCATACTGTCTGGAGGAGTGCTGAATGCAGTTATTGGCAGGTGTGTAATGTTTGACTGTTTGCTGTGTGCTTCTGTTGCCGTAATACTCAGGACACAGAATTTTAGGAGGGGGACTGAGAGATTAGGTTTCCCCTAGGTTTTCAGATTCTCATTTGTGATTTTCATGACAACCCTATGATACTGCAAGGTGGCATTTGGACACGACTTACCAACGCATTTCCTCTTTGCTCAAGCTTAATAAAAGACTGACTATATTGGCCTATGGGACTAACGCTAGTAGAAACCACCTCTTCCTCCTAACATGTATGGTTTTATGTACTATGATTTGCTTTCAAAATACATTTTACTTCTCAAGTGAATATATGTTCTGGTATTTGGTTTTATGCTAAGTGGTAGAGAGCCCTATCTAATATTAGTGTTTCATATAACATTACATAGAAAAACCATTTCCCAGTGCTCTTGCCCCACTTTCCCGACAAGTCATCTAAGTGGACATCCTTAGTTTGGAGTGTCTTGTTATTCTGTATCCTTGTTGATTCAGTGCCTTACAAGCTAAGATGGGCTGGAGGACCCGCCTAGCAATGACTCCCTGTTTTCTCTAGAATCAAAGTTTCTTAAGATGGCACTTTAGGCCCATTTATAGACAGAGCTATCTTTGGAGACTCATTACCCAGGCACTTCCCCATCCCATACCTTATGCTTCAATATTATGTGACTCCTGAACCCACTGTGATGTTTCATGCCTTTGTTGCTTTGCACATGCTGTGTGTTAAGCTGGAATATGTTCTCACTCCCATCTGCTGAATGGACTATTATTAACCTTTGGAGCCTCCCTGATTCCCTTTTCCTGGAGTTCATTATGCTTTCCATTATATCTTGTACCATCTTTATCTTTGCATGTGAGAAATTACATTAAAATGCTTTATTTATAGAAGTCTTTCATTGGGAAGACTGAATTTTCTAAGGGGAGAAACCCAAAACTTGGCACAAAGTAGAGCCCAAATGTTTTTTGAACAAACTTCAGTCAAACAACAGAGCTTTTGGGTGAGTAGATAGAAACATGTTGAAGGGTGCCATCTTAACTCAGGCTGCCATAACAAAATACCATAGACTGGGTGGCTTAAACAACAGGAATTTATTTTCCCACAGTTCTGAGGCTGGAAGTCTGAGACAGGGCACCAGCATGGTTGGGTTCTGGTGAGGGCTCCCTTCCTGCCTTATAAGAAGAGGAAGAGATACCTGAGCTGCCTTCTCAGTGTGTCCTCACATGGTGGAAAGAGCCCAGGTCTCTCTTCCTTCTCTTATAAGTGCACCCATTGAATAGGATCAGGGCCCTACCCTTATGATCTTATGGTTTGCAAGTGGTCCCCGCCCCACAGATGTAGTTCTGAAATTGTTAGTGAATTCAGTGGGGGAAGTCTAATTGCTTTGGGGAAAATGAATGTCTGTGCTTCATGTTAGGGACAAAGTATACGGATACCTGCAATTTACACTGAAATATATCGGAAAATGAGGTGCACTGATGGGTAGAGAGAGGGACGACAGATGAATGGATTTGTGATAAAGCAAATGGAGCAAAATGTTGATTGTAAAGTCCAGGCAGTGAGTGTATGGATTCACAGGATGGTTGTTTCAACTTTTCTTAGTGTTTGAAACTTTTTGGGATAAAATGTTGGGGAAGATACCTGTATTTTTTTAAGAACACATTTATTGGCTAGGCATTTCCATTATAGGTATTAAATCATTAACGTGAGCTTCCTAAACTTAACTGATTTTTTTTTCCTTCCTGCTCTTTCTCCTCCTGTCTTTATCTAGTCAGTTCCTTCAGCTCTTAGTTCATGCGATGTCCCTCCAGGAAATTTCCCCTGACCTTCCAGCCTGATACAGATATGTCTTTCTGTGTTCCCAGGGCACCACTTGCATACTTCTGCCATAGAATTTATTATCTTGTACTGTAATCATTTACTTACTAATCTGTCTGAACCACTAGTCTTTGAGTTTTTTGAGGGCAAAGACTGTGTTCTGGAATGTTTTTGGTACAAGAAAAAACAAACACAACAGTGGACTCTTTGTGGCTTAAACAGTTAGAAGTTTCTTATCTCTAATACCCTGTGTCATCGCCCGTTGGGTCTTCCTGCCCACTGCACAGACAAAACCAATTCACTGAGACCATGGTATTGCAGTAAAGAGAGTTCAGTGGACTCGAGGCTGGCCACATGGGAGAACTGGAATTATCAGTCAAATCAGTCTCCCTAAAGGCTCAGAGTTTAGAGTTTTTCAAGGATGTTTTGGTAGGCAGGGGGTTAGGGAATGGGTGCTGCTGGTTGGTTGGGGATGCAACTATAGGGGTGTAGAAAATGGTGCTTGTGCCCTTGAGTTCACCTCTGGATGGTGGCGAGGAACCACAGGACTGGTTGAGTCATAAGTCCATGTGGGGTCAGTCTGAAAAACATCTCAAAAGACCAATCTTAGGTTCTGCAATACTGATGTTATCTATAGGAGCAACTGGGGTAGTCCACATCTTGTGACCTCTGACCACATGACTCCTGAGCAGTAAGGGATTATAGGAAGGAGGCCTATATTTTAGCAGAACTCAGGCCCCTCCCATAATTCTAATCTCCTGGCCTTTTACTAGTTTTATAAAGGCCGTTTCAGTCCCTGAACAAGGAAAGGATCAATTTTAGGGAGGGACTATTATTATCCTTGTTAAACTAGAAATTCCTCTCAGGGTTGGTGTGGCCTATGCCCAGGAATAAGAGAAGACGCCGACCTGTAAGACCAGAGGCAAGATGGAGTCAGCACGTTCAGCTTCTTTCACTGTCAGAATCTTTGCAAAGGCAGTTTCACCCAAAGTCTGGAGGTTGCTGTTTCTAGGATTGGTTCAGTGAGGGGCATGTGGTCAGCACCTCTACCTTCCCTGTTCTTTCCCTTAATTATGCCAAGTTGACTGAAGCAGTGATACAGGCTGGAAATATCCACCATGGTTATTTCAGTTTTTGAACTTTAAGCACAGATATTTTGGGAAGTATCGGGGTGTGTTGAATAGTTTTCAATTCATTTATTATTTCTTCTAGAGAAATTGACTTGTTTTTGAAAACAGCAGTTCAGAATTAGATAACTACACGTGTTTGCAAGGATCCCCCCCAACCTGGAAAAATATCCTTTTCAGACAGCCATAATAATTCATAGAACCAGGATTGATTCAGAGAAATTGTGTGACAGGTTGATGGTCTGGAGGTTCCAACCTCATTCACAAACCTCAGCTCTGTAGGAAACAGTGTGGACCAGAAATGAGGCCAGAAGTAGTTTCACCTTCCTAAACTCAAGCCTTTTGGGGAGGTCTGCCTCTTATTCCATTTATTCTATTTTAGCCACATTTCAGATGTGCTTACTTATCTAGTTACTTGCTTAGCTCACTTATTTAAAAAAAAAAAGTACGTAATTTGCAAAGGGGGAGTGGAAAGAACGCCTGGTGTAGGCAGGCGGTCAAGAGTAGGGGGGAGAAGAGCAAATGTGATCTGGACTCCTGGCAGCCAAGGCCTTTCACAAACTGATGAGTGCCCTGAGGTCGTCAAGAGAAAGCTTGGTTATGTTCAGTCTGTGCTGTTTCAGAAGACAGAGAAATCTAATACATGAAAAGTAACTTGCAACACTACATAAATAATGGCCTCAAACAGGTTTTAAATATAGGAAGGTATAGATAAAATTCTGGTATACACAGTTAATAGTGAGTATCTCTGGGTGGTAGGATCATAGGTGCTTTTTATGTGTATTCTGTAAATTTGCTATGAGCATCGTTACTTTTAAAATACTTAAAAAGTATTTTAAGCATTCAGAATGGTTCTTTTTCAACTCCATCAGGTCTTTCAATGATGTCATTTTTTTCACATTTTGCCTTTGTCTTTGTTAAAATTGATCAACTAATACTTTTTATAATATTTGCCTGAAGAGTCCTGCTTGTTACTGCCATTGACTCTCATGAATTGCGATTTGCTTGTGTTTTGTGAGCTGGAATTTTAGGCTTTAGCTGTGAGACTCCCGAACACTCATTGCCCCTTGTTCCCCCAGAGAGGTTTCGTTTAGCATTGCCTGGGCCTCCAGCACTATGAGCAGCCTGGGACCACTTTTCATGTTACTTTATTGGCTTTAGAGGAGTGTTGTGGGTATAGGTTTTCAGGGGAGAATTCCCTACAGCCAGAGCCCAGACAAGCTTCCTTGTCATTTTCCTCTGTTGGCGCACAGATGGTGTGCTCCTTCAAGGGTCTTGACTTCTCAGTTCCCAATTGAAAAGGTGTCTCAATTCTAACTGCTACCTTGTGTGTATGTCTGGTCTCCCAGCCATGTGAATGTGTGTGTGTGCATGCGCACACATGCACATGTACGTTAAATCCTAAATTACCAAGAACAGCAACCATCCAGAACTGCAGGAACTGCCGCTCTTACTGCTCTGATTCTCTCCTGTTTGGGGATCCTTACTTTCTTTTGAGCTCAGCTGTGCATTTAAGAGCAATTCTAAGCCTTGGCTGCTCATGAGGATCACCTGGGAATCTTTTAGAATTTCCCATGCCCAGGTTGCATCTCAGACCAATTATTTCAGAATCTAGGGTGGGACCCAGGTGTAAGGATGTTTCTGAAGCTCCCTGCATGATTCTGTTGTATAGCTAAGAATGGGAACCACTGATTTAAGATGATGTTGTTTTATTTCGCCCAGTGATGTGTGTGTGTGTTGTGTGTGTTTATTTTTCTAGTGGGGATGTTTTCAGGCTATCTCGTCAGCAGTAAGGGAAATAGGAGTCCACCATGTTGTAGTTAGAATGAACACTCTCGTAAAGTGGCCTCGTTGTCTGGAGTGACATCCAGAGTTCTTGGTCTCATGGCCAAGGAAATCAAGGATGCAGACACACCAAGGGTGAGGTTTAGAGCAGAAATTGAATAGGAGAAAGAAAGAGAACGGTTCTCTGCCACAGAGAGTAGTCCTGGAAAAAGGGTTGCCATCCTGCAGTGAAATGCAGGGGTTTTTACAGATGTGCTAGTGGGGAGGCAGTATCTGATCTACATAGGGTGTGGAAAACCAGTTAGGACCAAGTGTGCCATCTGCATAAGGCATGACTCTCTGGCAGCACCCACCACAGTCTTTTATTATGCAGGCGAGTCCTCAGCCTGAGCTACTCTATGTTGCTTATTTCTTTCCTATTGCACATGTGCTAAAAATGGGGGAGGTGGAACCACCATGGTGGACCTGCCTGGCCCCAGGTAGCCCTTCTATTGGTGCAGCCGCTGGCATGCAGCTGTGCAAGCCTCCGGCTTCCTTATCTATGTTTGTAACCTGATCTTCCAGGCTGCTCTTTTTTAGAAAATAATTGATTTCTTGGGCTGTGTTTTGTTAGAAGGGAAGTTCTGGCCAGGTGCAGTGGCTCACACCTGTAGTCCCAGCATTTTGGGAGGCTGAGCAGGGGGTGGATCACTTGAGATCAGGAGTTTGAGACCAGCCTGGCCAACATGGTGAAACCCCATCTCTACTAAAAATACAAAAATTAACTAGGCAGGGTGGTGCGTGCCTGTATTCCCAGCTACTCAGGAGGCTGAGGCAGGAGAATCACTTGAATCCAGGAGGCAGAGGTTGCAGTGAGCCGAGATCGTTCCATTGCACTCCAGCCTGGGTGACACAGTGAGACTCTGTCTCAAAAAAAAGAAAAAAAAAAAAGGAGGAAGTTCTGCCGAGGACTCTTTGCCCTCACTATCTGCCTAAATGGTCTCTTTCTACCTCCTGTATCACTCTTACAATTAGATGGGATGGAAAACAACATTGGTTCATTCCTACTGGGTGCTGGGTCTGTGCCTTGGTGTTTTCCATGTATATCCTATTTAGTCCTCAGAACATTCCTGCAAGGTAGGTGGTGGTTGGTTTTATGCACATAAGAAAACTGGCTTGGAGACATTGAACTAGTTCTAGGGTCACGCAGCTCACAAATGGCAGAACCACACTCATGCCTGCCAGATGCCCAAGCCCTGCCCTTTATTCTTGTGTTTTGGTATATGTGAAATAGATTTTTCCATACAAATTGGTTAAAATAAAGATTGGCACTTGGGTTACGGTAGATTCCAGGTCCCTGTTAAATATACTTACTTGGGATGCTTTGTTGTCCCATAATACTGGAGTTGCTCTACTCATTTTATCTTCCTTCTGATTAGGGCAAATTGATTTTGAGATTTCTCCTTTTAACTCTCATGTCATGAAGGGGTATTTGTTCTTGAACTCACTTCTTTAATCAACCAGAGGGATGTGTGGGGCTGTGTAAGAGTGTGAGAGCATATGTGTGTGTGAGAAAGTGTATGAGAGCATAAGAGTGCATGGGAGCATGTGCGAGAGCGTGTGTGTTCTGTGAACGTGTTACAGCATGTGAGATTGTGTGTGGTGTGAGCATGTGAACATGTGTGTGAGAGCATGTGTGTGGTGGCGTGAACATGTATGTGTGAGAGCATGTGAACACGCATGTGCATGTTAGAGCCTCTGAGCCTGTGATATGAGCATGTGTTAGAGCATGTATGTGGTGTGAGCATGAACATGTATGTGTGGTATGAGCATGTGAACGTTAGAGCGTATGTGAGTGTGTAGTTGTGTGTGTGTGTGAAAGCGTGAGTGCACCTATGAGAGGACAAGTGTGTGATAGTGTATGGAGTGTGTGTTGTGAGAGCATGTGAGCTTGTGAGTGTACATGAGCACAAATTTGAAAGTGTTGTGAGAGCGTTGTGAACGTGTTATGAGTGAAAGTGTGTATGTGGGTGTGTGTGATAGTGCGTGTGTGATAGTGTGTGAGCTTGTGTGTGAATGTGAGCATGTATGACAGCGTGTGCTAGCATGTGTGAGCCTGTGATAGTGTGTGAGAGCGTGTGAGAGCAAGTGTGTGAATATGTGTGTTTGAATGTGAGAACATGAGCATGTGTGAATGTGAGAACATGAGTGTGAAAATGAGTGTGAGCGTGTGTGTGAATGTGAGTTAATGTGAGCGTGTGTGAGCGAGTGTGAATGTGTGAATGTGAGTGAATGTGTGTGAATAAGAGCATGTGTGAATGTGTGTGCGAGTGTGTGAGCATGTGTGAATGTGAATGTGAGAGCGTGAGTGTGTGTGAATGTGAGCGTGTGTGAGTGTGAGCATGTGTGTGAATGTGGGCATGTGTGAGTGTGTTAGTGACCGTTTGTGAGTGTGAATGTGAGAGCGTGTGTGAGCGTGTTGTGAGTGTGTGCGTGTTGTGGGGTAGAGGGTAAGAGGGCAAAGCGAGGAGTAAAGCTAAAGAGCTGGGGATTGAGGTCCCAAGCTGTTCTCCGCGGCAGCCGAGAACCGAGCAGAGAGGTAGGAAACTGGAGCTACGAGCGGTTTGGTCTCTGCCTCAGTGAGGCCCTGCTGAGGGTCTGATGATTTTTGGTGACTGGGTGTCCTCTCCACCCTGCCCAGTGAGGCGGGCGTGGGGTGTGCGCTCCTGTTTCTCCCCTCTAGCCTTGGCTTCGCCCCAGCTGTGCTGGGGTAAGTGACTTCCAGAGTTGTTGGAGGGCTCGCATGTCTGCCCTGAGCCTGAAAGGATTACTTTCCTGTTGGAATGTCTGGGTTAGTTAGGCTTTAATGGAGGATGTGAATGACATTTGGTTTTAGCTAGGTTGAAAGCAAATCGCCTCTAAGTCTTTGTCTTTGTCATCAGCAGCTCTTCAGTGGGTCATCTGTGTGTCACAGCCTCAGAAGACCAGCGAGATGGCTGCCAACAAGAGTAAGGGCCAGAGCTCCTTGGCCCTCCACAAGGTGATCATGGTTGGCAGCGGAGGCGTTGGCAAGTCAGCCCTGACGCTTCAGTTCATGTATGACGAGGTAAGCCCTGCTAGGCACAGACCACCTTCCTTTGGCATTGGCCGTAGCAGTGTCCCTGCTCCCGCTGTTTCTGTGCCGGTCCTCCCGTACACAGGGGTTCACGGAGCAAGTCTGTGTTGAGGTGGCTTCTGAATAGCTTCCTAGGAAGGTCTAATCAGCATAAGATCTGGATTGCTGATTCTAGGTAAATAATTTCAACTCCGGCGGGGATGTGAGAGATCTCTGCTTGCATCGTTTCCATTGTTATACTTCGAGCTTTCTTTCTGACAAAAGCCCAGGGGAGGAGAGAGGAGCCTTTGTACAGATTTTCCAAACAACACAAGCATTTAGCCTTGTGATTGTCAGTCAATCGCGAAGTGAAAGAGAGTGAAAGGGGAGCTGAGCTGTCATACAACTTAATCCTTTCGCAAGTGATAGACATCAGATCCAGTTCTCCCGTGCGGCAAGGTAAAGCTTGCACTATCCTTGCCCAAAATTTACGTCACCTACTTAATGTGGATAACATCACTGGTGTTGAGTTCAGTGTGACAACACAGCCTTGATCCCCGGAGCTACAAAAGTCCCTGCTTGAGCTGTTTGCTAGGATACTTAGCCTACTGTGGGCTCTACATCTGCAGATTCAAGCAATGTAGAATGAAACGTTGCGGAATGAAAATATTCGGGAAAAAAACCCAATGAAAAATAACAATGCAATGATAAAAACAATACAAATTAAAACATGCAATGTAACAACTGTTTGCGTAGCCTTTACATTGTATTATGTATTATAAGTAATCTAGAGATGATTTAAAGTGTACGGGAGGATGTTACATGTAAATGCTGTGCCATTTTAAGTAAAGGACTTGAGCATCTGCAGATTTTGGTATTTGGTGGGGGTCATGGAACCATTTCTCTAGGGATACCGAGGGATGACTGTAGTACAGGCAGGGAGAGTGTTCCGAGCAGAGCTTAAACCTCAGGGCCTCTCACTTGCATTGCGGCCACATGGCTTTATGAGATTTGCGAAAGAAAGCTATCACAACCACGTCAGTTAAGATCACTACCTCTTTTCACTAGACTTTCCCATTGTCCTGCTTCCTCTTATGCTGGGTGCAGCTGGAGTGGCCATGGGCATTTTCGGCCTCTAGCTGAGGGAGTTTGTGTTGGGCTGGGTTAGGTGGGAATAGTGGTATGTGTTGGTGTGGTTTGGAGTCACGCGGCATGTGGCGATTATCGCTGGCTGCAGGAGTACTCCAACCGCCCACTGTGCTGACGTGCGAACATCGTGATGTGAGGTGCAGGGCCAGGGGTGGATCCTGATGCGAACCTGTCCTGTGGCACCTGACACAAGTGTGTGAGAGCTAGAAGCTAGAAACTGGGCCAGAAAAGTCTTTCAGATCTTACAGCTTGTACAGTGAAGCTCAATAGAGGTTTCCTAAATTTGGCAGTAATCCCAAAACTTTCATTACTAGAAATGCCATGTAGTCACATGCACATGTATGTTTATTGCAGCACTATTTACAATAGCAAAGACATGGAACCAACCCAAATGCCCATCAAAGATAGACTGGATAAAGAAAATGTGGCACATATACACCATGGAATACTATGCAGCCATAAAAAAGAATGAGTTCATGTCCTTTGCAGGGACATCGATGAAGCTGGAAACCATCACTCTCAGCAAACACAGGAACAGAAAACCAGACACCACATATTCTCACTCATAAGTGGGAGTTGAACAATGAGAACGCATGGACACAGGGAGGGGAACATCACATGCTGGGGCCTTTTGGGGGGCGGGGGGCAAGGGGAGGGAGAGCATTAGGACAAATACCTAATGCATGTGGGGCTTAAAACCTAGATGATGGGTCGATAGGTGCAGCAAACCACCATGGCACATGTATACCTACATAACCTGCATGTTCTGCACATGTATCCCAGAACTTAAAGTAAAAAGAAAAAAAAAAAAACTCATGTAGTTGTGAAGCTGAAAGAACCTCTTCTAAGCTGTCAGAACAAAAGACATTTTCATTAACCATGCTAAAGGAAAGACTAAATTATTTTTTATTCTCTATAGGAATGTTTCAAAATCATTGGCATATGACAAGAAAAAGTATACAGCAAACAAAAAAGTAGAAGGTATTCTAGAGGTATGTCAGGCAGTTTAATTAATAAAAATATTGTTATTTTGCTGGATTTTGTGATGTCAGTGCTGTTTGTATTAGTTTTTTTTATTACTGTATAATAATCACAAAGTTAGCAGGTTAAAACAACATACATTTGTCATTCCATAGTTTCCATGGGTCCAGAATTGGAGCCTCAGCTGAGTCCTCTGCTCAGAGTCCCACAAGACTCCACTCAAGGTGTCAGCTGGGGCTGTGACCTCTTCTGAGGCGTGGGGGTCCTCTTCCAGGCTCCCTAATTGTTGGTAGAATTTAGTTCCTTGTGGGTGTAGGACACAGGTGCTCGGATTCTACAAGTTGCCCGCAGGCCCCTGCCATGTGCCGTCTCCATAGGCAGCTCATACCACAGTGGCTTGCTTCTCCAAGGCCGGCAGGACAGTCTCCAGCCAGCCTAGACGGTCTTATAAAATGAAATGGAAACATGGGGGTATTCCCTTCGCCTCACTGAGAGTCACCCGGGGGTGAGATCGCTGGAGTACTCATCTTTAAAACTTTATAATGGATTATGATTTCTCATTCAATGTCAACATTTACTTTAATGTCCAGTATTACGTGTGTAATTTTGTATCTTAAGGAAGGGCCCCCATAATGAATAAGCTTCAAACCCAAACCTGGTTATCCTCCTGGGTCATGCTCCCCATGTCTTATAATGAGACACTTTTGTGTTTGGTACCTGCTTTTCTTTATCTTATTCTGGGGGGTCAAACTGGATAAATCTAATGTAATCTGCTGAATTTCCCCAAAACGTTTTTGCATAAGAGAAGCAGGTTGGGAGATCTGCATCTGCTTTGTAGGTCTTTTGTTTGTTTTTGCTCAAAAACTTATAATTTGCTTACGAAAGCTTTTTTCTCCCCTATAACAGAGGTTGGGGAAGAGAGGGGGTGGTGAGTAGGGGAATTAGGATTAGGGAGATAGGATTAGGGAAGTAGTTGTTAACAGAGGTGAGAGAGGGGGATTTTGCTTCCCCAGGGAATATTCGTAAGTGCCTGGAGACATTTTTGGCCATCACAGCTTGGGGGAAGATGCTACCAGCATCTAGTGCGTGGAGGCCAAGGACGCACTCAGCATCCTACATCACACAGGACAGCCCCGAACAAAGTATTAGCCAGCACAAAATATCCACAATGCCACTGTTGAGAAACCTGCATTAGAGGCAGAGCCGTGGCAGATCCAAGGAGAGAAGATTCCCCTACAGTGTTAGTGATTGAGAGGCCCTGGGTTGCCAGTTCCAAGAGCAAGTTCAGATACAGAGCTGGGGCCGGGCGCGGTGGCTCACGCCTGTAATCTCAGCACTTTGGGAGGCCGAGGCGGGCAGATCACCTGAGGTCAGGAGTTCAAGACCAGCCTGACCAACATGGAGAAAACCCATCTCTACTAAAATTACAAAATTAGCCTGGTGTGGTGGTGCATACCTGTAATCCCAGCTACTTGGGAGGCTGAGGCAGGAGAATCGCTTGAACCTGGGAGATGGAGGTTGCAGTGAGCCAAGATCGCACCATTGCATTCCAGCCTGGGGAACAAGAGCGAAACTCCATCTCAAAAAAAAAAAGATAACAGAGCTAGCACTGCTGAGGAGACTAGGAGAGCCTGGTCTGGAGGTTTCTGGGTGTGTGTGTGTTGGGGAGGGGGGCGGGGGTGGGTAAGAGGAGGGGGCAGATGCATGCAGAAGATTCGAGAGTTTTTTCTCTTCTTTCTGTTCTCTTCACAGAGACCAGGGAAAGCTGTGCCTGGCCTTAGTCTGTTTTTCTCATGGGCTAACATACTTGAGAACTGGAAAGTGGCAGTTATTGAAGAAATTGTAAAATAAAATTGGGGCAAGGAAGGAATAGAAATGAAGTGATGTATGTTTGGGGGAGGAGTTCTAATCGATTTTCTAAAACGGTGCTAATAGAAACTTCCATGATGATGAAAATGTTCTGTATCTATACTGTCCAATACAAGTGGCTATTGTGCATTTGAAATGTGGCTGGTGGCTACTATATTGGACAGAATGGTTCTAGAATCATAATTTTTTAGCTCGAAGAGACCTTAGCAGTAATTGTCAAACCTAGCTGATTATAGAATTTCCTGGGAGACTTTAAAAAAAAAAAACACCTCCTGAATAATATTGGTGGAGTTGGAGAACTGGGACTCTTTCAGTGGTGCTCTTCTGGTGGTTCTGCCGCGTGGCCAGGTGTGGCAGCTCCTGCCTGAGAGATCATCTAGTCAGGAAATTGAGCTCTGTGTTCAGGGAGGCCGGCTGTCTAAATCAAGCTTGTCCAACCTGTGGCTCAGGATGACTTTGAATGTGGCCCAACACAGATTTGTAGACTTTCTTAAAACATTCAGAGATTCTTTTTGCAATATATTTTTTTAGCTCATCAGGTATCGTTAGTGTTAGTGTATTTTATGCGTGGCCCAAGACAGTTTTTCCGATGTGGCCCAGGGAAGCCGAAAGATTGGACACCCCTGGTCTAAAGTCTCCTGCACCATTCAGACTCTTTGTTCATAGTGCATGCTTAACCCTTATTTAAAATTGTTTAGCTTATGTGATGGAATTTTCATGAAGATTAGATTATGGAAGGAGCCATAGTCCCAGAGTCTTTATTCTTGTCTAAGTTCTGACTTTGAGAAAAATTGGAGGGAGCTGCCAGGGTGGCAGCAGTCAGATTTTAAGCTCCTTATGCTCGGCCTAACATACTCGTTTTTGCCTTTTTTGGGAGAGTAAGGTTGGGGATGGAGAGGCTTTGGCAGCAACCGTTTCAGACTTTCAGTCTCTGGCAGCTTAGAGGAAAGTCAGCTTAGAAAGAAAGGGTCCACGTGAAGTTTGTCTTAGACTCTTGGGCATCTGAAACTGAGCCATGCAGAGCTCTGCAAGGCCAGTAGGGGATACGTATGGTTCACGCTAATGGATACAAAGACTTTGTGATTTTCTGTTTCCAGCTGAGCAATGTAAATAAACATCAGGGTTGTAATGGAATGTTGGGGTAATCAGCATACTTTTCATTGAGTACAGAGGTATGTAGGTACAGCAGGACATTCTGACTTCTGTGTCAAAGGAGCCAGTGGAACTCTGGCTGGCTTTATCCTTGGAAGCTCAGAAATATACAGTTGAGATAATTTATGGTAGAATTCAGAGATTTTCAGGGGACAGTCGTGTGTTGGATTTTTTTGGCGTGTATTTTTCTTTTTGGAAAGGAGTTAAAAGAAGGACACTTGAAAGCACAGGCAAGTTTTCACATCTCTATTTGGAGATAATTTATTAGTACACGTTGAAGAGAACCTAATACTAAACATGTCTTAATATTTTTATTTTTGAGTAGCTGTTAACTGACAATACAAGGCTCTTTTTAACAGTCTTCCTCAAATAACCTTTAATTCACTTGGACATTTTCAATTCCATTTTTAAGTTAAAAAAATTTTAAATCACAGCCTTATTAAGATGTAATGCACATATGAAATTCGCTCTTTTTAAAGTGTACAATTTTTTTTTTTTGAGATGTAGTTTTTCTCTTGTTGCCTAGGCTGGAGTGCAATGGCACGATCTTGGTTCACTGCAAGCGCCACTTCCCAGGTTCAAGTGATTCTCCTGCCTCAGCCTCCTGAGTAGCTGGGATTACAGGTGTGCACCACCATACCTGGCTAATCTTTTGTATTTTTAGTAGAGATGGGTTTTCACCATGTTAGCCAGGCTGGTCTCGAACTCCTGACCTCAGGTGATCTGCCTGCCCCGGCCTAAAGTGTACAATTTAATAGGTTTTTTTTGTATATTCATACAGATGTGCAACCATCACCATTATCTAATTTTAGATCACTTTCATCACTCCAAAAAAAACCAACCTACGTATTAGTAGTCATTCCCCGTTATTGCTTCCCCGTCCCACCCCTGGCCTCTGGCAACTGCTTTCTGCTTCTATGGATTTGCCTATTCTGGACATTTCATATAGATGGAATCATACAATATGTGGCCTTTATGTCTAACTTCTTTCACTCAGCATCATGTTTTGAAAGTTGTTCCATGTTGCAGCGTGCGTTGGTACTACTTCATTCCTTTCTCAAAAACCCACACCACTGAAAGCCTCTTGGTACACTGTGTTAGTTCATTCTCTTGATGCTGTGAAGAAATACCCAAGACTGGGTAGTTTATAAAGAAAAGAGGTGTATAGCCTCTTTTCTTCCACAGGGCTGGGGAGGCCTCAGGAAACTTACAATCATGGCAGAAGGGGGAGCAAACATGTCCTTCACAAGGCGCCAGGAAGAAGTGCAGAGCGAAGTGGGGAAAAGCCCCTTATGAAACCATCAGGTCCTGTGAGAACGAACTCACTATCACAAGAACAGCATAGGGGTACCGCCCCCATGATCTCATTGTCTCCCATAAGGTCACTTCCCCAACACATTGGGATGATAATTCGGATTACAACCTAAATGATGAGATTTGGGTGGGGATGCAGAACCAGACCATATCATACATCTTGCCAAATTACTTTTCAGATGAATTTTATACTTCCGTTATGAATAAGAACTCCAGTTTTTTGATATACCTAATGTTAAATGACGAGTTAATGGGTGCAGCACACCAACATGACACGTGTATACATGTGTAACAAACCTGCACATTGTGCATATGTACCCTAAAACTTAAAGTATAATTAAAAAAGAATTCCAGTTTCTCACCCTTGCAGGTGTTTGCATTAAAATTTTATACTGACAATAATATTGCCAAGTGTTCTGCTCTGTGCCTGGTTTCCTCATCTGTAAATTGGGATATCTGCCTGTATTGTTTAAAAACAAAAAATGGCAAAACAGAGCTATAAAGAACAGAAGTGTTACGTAAAATGTTGCTTCTGTAGTGTCCTGTTCATAGTGTGAAGTGCCCATATGTGGAATTTTGTTTTTTGGCAGATTTTGTTCCCCTTAAGACTTTGTTAATTACCGATAATGTTTATTTCCTCAGTTTGTAGAAGACTATGAACCTACCAAAGCTGACAGTTATAGAAAGAAAGTGGTTCTTGATGGGGAAGAAGTTCAGATAGATATTCTGGACACCGCTGGGCAAGAGGACTACGCAGCCATTCGAGATAACTACTTTCGGAGTGGGGAAGGGTTTCTTCTTGTGTTCTCAAT
The DNA here is from genome assembly GCF_000001405.40 of Homo sapiens. Taxonomy (NCBI): domain Eukaryota; kingdom Metazoa; phylum Chordata; class Mammalia; order Primates; family Hominidae; genus Homo; species Homo sapiens. The sequence goes on from NC_000002.12 coordinate 120,286,044, forward strand.
CACAGAACATGAATCCTTTACAGCAACTGCCGAATTCAGGTATGTCTGAAATGAAATAGCAGAAGCCCCCAGGAAGCTTTTTGCCTTTTCTCATATGTCTTAGGCCTATGAAGAATTTGGGGCTGAGCATACTAGGAGAGGGCTGAGCTTGTTCTCAGGAATAATTCTGTCTAAAGAATCTTCTGGGGCTTTCTGAATCTTGGCACATTATAGACTATGATGATTATAATCTCTTTGGGCTTTCCTGATCTGTGATTTCTGAATAAAATAATTTTAAGAGTCTTACTGTCCCCGAAAACAATGAAGCTATTCCATATAATCAAGAACATATAATTTTGTTCCTATAAATACTCAGAGATTTTCATTGATAAATTAACCATCTATCCTTTAAATAATGTTACTAAAAAAAGTAGCAGGTTTAGTCTGTGTTGAAGGTTATGAAACAATGACTGGAAAGTGAAAGATGGGAGTCAAAATGACCATTTGCTGCTACTTAAGGACTTTCAGCACAGTGGAGGGACGAGAACGCGGCTTTAGAGTCAGGAGACCTGGTTTGAATCCCTGCCTTGCCGCTCACTGACCATGGGCAAGTTTACTTAGTGTCAGGATTTTGTTTCTTTCTCTGGAAATGCACTTGTGAGTTGAGAAATGAAATGAAAGGATGTATTAGACTGTGAATTTCATGTGGGCAAGAACCTGGCTACCCTCCATTGTCCCCTGTCACAGTGTAGACACATGGTGCTTCCATAGTGAGTAGAATATCCATTGTTATTTATTTTAAAATATGGCAACTATTCTCCATGAAGGTGTTAGAGAAGAAAGAAAAAGAAAATATAGCAGTGAAAAAAATACCTTCAGTTCATTTTGTTATAAAGAAATAGCCTTTTGGGCATAATTCTTATGCTCTATAAATGTCTCTTTACCCCATGCCCTTCCCTTTCTCCTACATAATTGAGTTTTAAAAAATCTGTTCTTCTTATAAACATATCTATCTAGATGACTTTTTAAGAAGCAGATCTAGAGTTTAGTAGGGAACTGAAGAGAAAAAACCCAAAAATCAAATCAGTTTTTTTCATTCTTCAGCAAGTTCTGGTCTGACAGTAAGGTGGTCAACCAGAGGTGAAAAGGAGAAAGCTAGCTATCCTTCCAGGACTTGGATGGAAGCATCACTGAGCCAGGGAGGCCTCGGGTGAGCACAGGTCACCCAGCAGGGCTAGTGAAAGATAATAGGGAGGTGCCTCAGTGATGCTTCATAGCTCCAGGCTTCAGAGTCGAAGACCTACTTTTCTGGAAGCAGAGTGCGTGTGGTGCAGTGACTAGTTAAGTGACTATGACTCATTATGAGAAGTTCTGTTAATTTTTAGACATTTCAGACCTTCCTAAGGGCTGCTCTGTTTGAATGTAGCCCATGTATTTATAATTGTTTGCATCTGCGTAGTCCTGTTTTTAATGCCTCATAGAGGGTAAAACAGGACAGATGCACACACTCTCTTCTTTTCTTCCCTGTCCCGAGCCTTTTGATTTCCTGTTGTTCTGTGACTTACTTAGAAGGGAAGTGGGCAGGAGAGTTCTCTGCAGAGGATATGGAGAAATACAGGTATTTCAAGTGCTCCTTGTCCTCTCCTCAGTCACCACACATGCACAGATAGCACTCGGGCGTTCTCACAGAGTTGGAGCAGGGCTCCCCTCAATGTGGAAAAGGGTTTTGGTTGTTAGGTGGAAAGAGAGATCCTTAGAAGAAAAAGGACAGATGAATACCTAAAACCAGAAAGAAGGGGAAGTTGACCTCTGCGTAGGTTTCTCATGTTGTTGGGAACAGAAGAATGCAGGTCAATTATCTGAGCCCTGTGGCTAAACTCAAGTCACTTTACTTCATGTCTGTTAGCAGTTTTAAAACAGCATTTGTGTACTATCTTCCAAATAGAAAGGCCCCAATATAAAATGACATGTGAATATGCTGTCTTCCTTGAAACTTTTTCTGGAAAATATTTTATGAACTAAGATAAGTTCTGTCATAAGAGACCAGAACTTGGTACTCCCATTTTTGGATCGATATGTTTATCAATGAGGTAATTTTGTGTGCCCCTGCAAGACTAATGAGCCAGAAAGCTATCAGTTTTTATTGTTCATAGTTTATAATGATCACATGACTTCAAATGTATCATGTTCTTTGACCCCAGTTCAAATGTAGGCTATAACAAGGCTACACAAAGCCAATTTCAAGCATCTTTTCATCTTTTTTAGTTTGTCTTAAAATATTTGATGTCTGGCACTTAAATTGACTACATGAAAATTTTAGTTTTTTTTTTTGTTTTTTTTTTTGTAGATACAAGGTCTCCCTATGTTGCCCAGGCTGGTCTTGAACTCCTGGGCTCAAGTGTTCCTCCCTCCTCAGGCTCCCAGAGTGCTGGCATTACAGATGTGAGCCACCACGCCTAGAAAATATTTTTATTATTGTGAAATGTTACCCTATACCATATAAAAATCAATACAGATCTCTACAAAATACATTTTTGAAGGGGACTCTTTTTAGAATGTATTGGCATATAAAAGTAGAAATATTCTCATGGGACCAAAATAATGGAAATGGGGTATTTAATTTTTTTAAATATTTAGTTTTGATTAGTACTTTCAGATAGCTGATAATTTTTAGTAGACGTAAAATTTAATATGCTACGAGTAATGGTATTTTTGTAGAAGACACTTTTGAAGTACTTTTCCATAGGGCTTGTCGTATTTCCTTTCATTTTTTTCACTTTGTAGTAGAAAAATGGTACGTATTGGAATGTGATTACTGCCTAACATATCTGTCTCGATTCTGTGGCCTATAACATTACTGTGTCTGCATGGAAACTGGGGATGGGATGACATACTTGTCGTGTACACATGCAGATCTAATCAAAACTGAAGTTTCAAAACAATACAATATTCACCTTTCCTACTTGAGATTCCCTTGGATATTTCTGATCTGGTCAGTTCTGTTCTATAATCTATTTCACTGCAGGGGGGAGAAACTGCTGGTTGCGACCCACTAGATTGGTTTTGTGATCCACTAATAGGCTGCCACCTTCCATATAGAAAACACTGGATTTCATAGCTTTTATGTCACAAACAAATATTTTCAGGGGAATTAAGCATTTTATGGAGATAGTTCCCTTAGCTTGTTTTTATTGCAGAGATTGACCATTTTTCTTCTTTTTGTTTTTTTTTTTGTGTGTGCATAAGTTGGGGACCCTGTTGTGACGTAAAATCCTGGGCTCCTATCCAGACACTTCTGTAAGACTGAGCCCAGAAATCTGCATTTGTGATGAGCATCCCAGGGGATTCTGATGTGGGCAAACTGAGAAGCAGACTTGGAAAACACTTGTCTTGCTCATGACTGCCTCTAGGGAGTGCTTTCTCAGAACATGCCCTAAATCTAGTGATTTTTTTTTTTCCTTCTGCCTTAGGAAAGCCTTTTATTTTAGATGGGTTCACAAAACCAGGGTTCGTTCTTTAGTTTTTTTAGCTGCTGTATTTTTGGTGTAACACCTTAGGGAACAGATTCTCCGTGTGAAGGCTGAAGAAGATAAAATTCCACTGCTCGTCGTGGGAAACAAGTCTGACCTAGAGGAGCGGAGGCAGGTGCCTGTGGAGGAGGCCAGGAGTAAAGCCGAAGAGTGGGGCGTGCAGTACGTGGAGACGTCAGCGAAGACCCGGGCCAACGTGGACAAGGTAGGCGTGAATTCTGTGTATTTCTCAGAAACAGACCTGAGAAACAGCAGAATGGAGGCATCTCATCTGCTGGGTTTTAGGGAACCATTTATGAAAACTAGGTGAAGATTCTGATTCCTATGAATGTCTAAGCCATTATCATGATTATAATGAGAAACATTGAGAGGATGTCACCTTGTATTTCAGACAACTCACAGAACCTTTTACTTTGTCATGAGGCTTCATTAGAGTATGCTTAATGTGTTCTTTTGGGTTTTTCTTTTTTGAGACAAAGTCTCACTGTGACACCAGGCTGGAGTGGTGTGATCTCAGTTCACTGCAACCTCTGCCTCCTGGGCTCAAGCAATCCTCCTACCTCAGCCTCCCAAGTAGCTGGGACTACAGGTGTGCACCACCACACTGGCTGTTTTTTGTGGAGATGGGGTTTCACCATGTTGCCCAGGGTGGTCTCAAATTCCTGGGCTCAAGTGATCTGCCTGCCTCAGCCTCCCAAAGTGCTGGGATTACAGGTGTGAGCCACCACACCCGGCGGACTATGCTTACTGTTGGTGTGGTCCTGGGAAGGATGGTGGGACGAGGCCATTGGTTTGTGAAGGCTGGGCTGGAGGGATGGACGTCATTAGCTTCTGTGTGTGCTCTCACCTTCCACAGCCTTGCTCTTCAGGAGCAGGGTGGGCGGGCCTGGCTGCTTCTAGGAGGTTCCCCTGGAGGTGCCCTTGAAAGATACGTGGAGCTTCTTGATTTTGCTCTCATTGAGTTATTGGTCAGATTTGTTCTTTTCACCTTACTGTTCACTGACAGAGCCACAGTGTTCCATCTTTGTAGTGTAGTCTCTAAATAGTATTTGCTCTCAGAACTCAAATCTCTGGGATCTCTTTTTTTTTTTTATCTCTTATCCCATCCCAGCATACTTTCTCATTCAAATCTCTGAAGCTAATAAAAGGGTGACCTTGAGTGACAATGATGAATGCTGACAATTTGAAAATCCACCTATCAGGGATTGCTATTGTTAGGCCTTTTTTCTTTTTAAAATTAAAGTTCAAGGTGGTTGCCACACAGCTAAAATTTTAACGCTGTGCCTTAAAGATGAGGCTTTCTGCCTTGACCTCATTCACTAGCTCTCACTGCATATCCATGTGCTTGTAGAATCTAAGCACATAGCACTTTGGCAGCCACACAGTGGACACGTCTGCTTTTTGTTCTGCAGCATCAGCATCTGAATCCCCTATATCCTGTCTTCTGTTTCTCTTTCTTGTGCAGAAACATTCCCCTTTGCTTTCATTACCTGACAAGGGAGAGATTTTTATCCAAGCTTTATTTTCACTTGAAGTGATGCTAGAAGAACATTGGTATTTAGAATGTTGGTATTAGAAGGGGTTTGCTTTAGACGCACTTCGGCAAGATACATCTATTTGTATGTATCGTACATAAAAACATGTATCTTAGGAGACATATACATATAGGATAGATATACATATAGGATACATATATTGTACAACCTAAGTCCGTTTAGTTGTAATCTGCAATGGGAAGCGCGTGTTCCGCCGTCAGCTTTTCTTTATATTGTCATCTCTCAACTCTTACACTCTTATATTATTGTGCTACTTAAAATATTTTTATTAAATTATTTTCCAGCTGTGGAAACCACACAGGAAATCCAGAAATATGGCTCATTTTAAAAAAATCAGGGAGACTCTCTCAGCTTGGAACTGTGGATGTGTATTTCCTGGATGGGTTGTCGCGTGGGGGGTCTGTGTTGTCATCTCCCCTTGTCTGCTGGACCAGCTTGACCTGCCAAACAGGAACCAGCAGAGACTTATGACTGGCAGCATGGTATTCACTTGTAAAGAATTTCTATGAAAGGTGTGATAAGATCAGCCCATGAACAACTTTGTCATCATTTTAAGTTGGATGCACTCCATTCCCCTCCTCTTGTCTTTTGCTGTTAGGACAAAAAGACAAACCTGTAGCATTTGAAACTGTTCACTGTTGCTGTCTTGGGCAGTGCTTTCCTGAGAGGCTGGCAAGAAGGGATGTTTGGGTTGGCCTGATCTAGCTGGGGGCTGGGGTTGGGGGTGCTTTTCTGTGCCTGGAGCTAGTGGTAAATGCATGTGGAGCCCCACACTCCAGAGGCTTGATCTTGCTTTTCACCAAGAAGAAGGTGTGGCCATGAAGGAGCTTGTGGTTTTGTGTGAATGTCTGAAGATAAGGGCTGTGCTCAGTCCCACACTTGCAGTCTCTGTCATTCTCTATGAGAAATCTCAAATGTCTCTTCGTAGGATTCATATTTTGTCTGCTTGGGTATAATCAGTCCTCTGGCATGATGGCTGGTAGCAGAGGGCAAAACCCAAACTACTGTGACAAAAGGATAATCCATATCTAAGTAACACACTGACCTTCAAAGGACAAGTCTCATCAGTTCTTGATAAAGTTCCTCTCAGCTGACATCACAAGGGTCGGAGGAGTGGTTGTCCTGAGATTGAGGGTGGGGGAGTGTGTGTGGGGAGGGATAGGGTGGCCAGAAGGACATCTCTCATCCTCCATCTTCTCAGTCGCCTAGTGCAGGAGCTTTAGTTGTTGATGCTTTACGCCCTCCTTCTCCCATCCTACTGCCTCCCCAGGGTGGCTGTTGTGGAGTTAGCTGGGAAAGCTGTCATGCATAATGATGTTCCAACCTCCATGGGGTCCTTGTAAGGATTAAATCAGATGCAGGGGTGTCAAGAGCACCTGGGAGCAGGGACTCATTATGGCATTCTTCCCTTCCCTGGTGGTTGGAAATGCTAGAAAGTCTGCTTGCTGTTATTACTCTCAATATTTGTAAATTTTATAAATGTATAGATCTGTTATATGCAAAAATATGTCTTACCCTTCATCACACTTATTGTAAGATTTTATCATTTTGAAAGCAGCTGTTAGGCCGGGTGCAGTGGCTGACGCCTGTAATCCGAGCACTTGGAAGGCTGAGGTGGGCATTGCTTGAGCTCAGGAGTTCAAGACCCGCCTGGGCAATATGGGGAGACCCTGTCTGAATTTAAAAAAAAAAAAAGCTGCTGCTGCATGGCAGTGACAGTACGATGATTCTGTCCTTGGCTTGAGCAGTTGTGTGATACGAGCAGTTGTATGAGAGATGTTTGCTTTGTATAATTAGAATTTTTTAAGGTTAATTTTTCTTATTTGCCCCAGAGCTATTGTTTCTGTTGACATATGGTTTATAAAAATCAGTTTGACTTTGTGCTTTAAAATGTAACTACATATCCTGCTTAGTCAAATTATTTCATTGAATCCTTAAATGCTGTGTTCACAGTGTCAGGTTAACAAAAGAAAAAAATCATTAAATGGCTCTTTCTTCACTATTCTTTTTACTCTTTACTCCTCACCCCCAGGTGTTCTTTGACCTAATGAGAGAAATCAGAACAAAGAAGATGTCAGAAAACAAAGACAAGAATGGCAAGAAAAGCAGCAAGAACAAGAAAAGTTTTAAAGAAAGATGTTGCTTACTATGAGTGTCAAGGTGACGGATGAAGCCAGCTGCTCCTAAGGACACAGGGCTGGGTTGGTAAAGAGAAGGCTATGGTTGACTTCTTGCTTGTGCTTCCCACTCTCCCCGACTTCATTCACTCAAACTTCTTTAAATGGGGAAAAATATTTGTGACTCTGTGGCTGGCAGAAGAAATAAGCCCATGCAAGTGGAAGGGCTGCTTTGTCAGGAGGTTGTGGAATTTCTTTCTTCTCCCCTTCTTCCCTCCCAAAAGCTTAGCTATGTATAAAGTGCCACAGATAGGAAACAGCTGTTAATTACAAAGAGAAAGAATTGTCATAGCATCTTATTTTGTTCCTAGTTTTATAACATTACCATCCTTCGTTTTGAACTACAGATGTTGTAGTGGGTTTTGGAGGAGGGAGTGGAGTAAGATGCCCTCCCACTTTTATCAGTTTAGTAGTAGTACTGAGAAAAATCCCTTCAGCTCTAAGAACACTGAAAAATCCACCGATTTTTTGGGTAAGCTTCTTGGCAATACCCTGTGGATCTGAAACAGCTAAAAAAATGAATTTGAATTGCGCCAGATAGGTCAATACCAAGCTTCTGATTCCTCCTCACATATGAAAAGTGAAAGTTGTGAGTTGTTTTCCTCTTATTTAAACATTGGCCTATTATAATCTGTGTTGGTTATTTTTCTCCTGTAAGCATCCTGATTTTTCTGTAGGAACTTTTCTTTGGCAGACCAAGTGAAGACTCAGGAATGGTGTGCATTATAAATGACACACATTGCCACTTGTGTAGATATTTTTAAGTTCTTTGGCTAAGTCCTCTCCTAACTGCCTGTCCTCTGGTTAGGCCCCTCCCTCTCCACTAGTGGTGAATGCATGTGTCTGTCTGATCAGCATCACTGCACACGGAGGTCTAGTGAGCCTCTTGCTAAGTGTCACACACACTCTTCCCAAAGACGTGATGAGTTAAAGTTGTATTCTGAAATCATGAAGCCAGAGCCTGTGCCAGACCTTCTGCTACCTCTCATAGAATTGCTCTGTAATTCTAAATTTAAAATTAGAAGTAGAGAGAGATAAGCCATCGCCCCTTTGCCTCTGAGAATTGGCTGCTGTTTCTAATATAATTATTTTCTAAGATAGCCAGATAGTTAGAAAAAGATTTTCATTGATGACATATCTTTAAACTTTCTTGCATCAGTATTCTAAATTGAGCAAACTGAAAGATTTTCATCAGGAAAGGAGCACTGTGGGAAGAGCCCAGTATTCACATTTTTTCCCCATTTTTCAGAAGCGACATTTCATATATAGGTGCCAAAAGTGAATCGGGGTGCGGAGAGTGGGAACCTTTTGAATTTATGATTGTCACAGAGATGGTAGAAATTATGATCTGACTGGAAAACAATCCTGTATCCCCTCCCAAAGAATCATGGGCTTTTTTTTTGAATAAAAAAGCAGACAAATAGACTTTCTCGGGATTTCAGCCTTTTTATTTTATCCTTTTGTCATACATGTGAAATGCAAGTACTGAAGGAATGGCCAGTTATTCATTATTCTTGTCAGGCGTTCTTCAATATCTGACAAACTATTTCAATTAATACTTGAGTTGAGGCAAATAAAATGGTAAGTATTAACCGTCCTTTAAACTTCATCTTTCCTCCATCTCTTCTTAAAATTTAAAAAGTTGATGGTAATGACACTCTTGAATTTTTGAAACAAGCTTTTTGTTTTCATCCTAGTTTGCCATCCATTTGATACCAGTTCTAGTCAAGAGTGGGTAAGTTTGAGCCGATCACAGTGGCTCACGCCTGTAATTCCAGCACTTTGAGAGGCTGAGGTGGGCAGATCACCTGAGGTCAGGAGTTCGTGACCAGCCTGAGGGAAACCCCATCTCTACTAAAAATATACAAAAATTAGCCGGGCATGGTGGCGGGCGCCTGTCATCCCACCTACTTGGGAGGCTGAGGCAGGAGAATCGCTTGAACCCCGGAGACAGAGGTTGCAGTGAGCCGAGGTTGCACCATTGCACTCCAGCCTGGGCAACAAGACTCTGTCTCCAAAAAAAAAAAAAAAAAAAAAAAGGTAAATTTGGAATATGTACAAATGAATTAAAGATGTTATGACTTGTTTCATGCTATAGAAATTATACTTGATATATTCTATTAGTATATTTCTAAAATTTAATTGGATAGCCATTAGAAATGGATCTTCTAACAAAATAACTTATGAGATTCTTAGCTATTGAAAAATAATGAAGCCATGCTGCTTATAGATTTGAAACACAGTCACTAAATGTTTAGATGTTATGTCCATAGCTTAGTGCTATTTTAAAAAATATTTATTTTAGAATTATTTGAGCACCTACTTGGTGTCGAGCTCTATTCTAGGTGCTGGGGATGTGGTGTTGAACAAGATAGGCAAGATGTCCACTCTCCTGGAGCTTAAGCTTTAGTAAGGAAAGAGAAATGAAAACATCAGGATAACTGCTTTGATGAAAATTGGGTAATATGACAGAAAATGTCTCTAAGGTATAGAGCTGATTTAGATTGGGTGGCCAACAGGCTTCTCCGAGAGAGTGATGTGTAAACTGAGACTTGGTGACCAGAAGCAGCCAGCGCTGTGAGGAATGGGTGGGCTGGGTGCAGGAGCTTTCCAGACTAGGAGACAGTTAGTCCCAGGATCCTGGAGTGTTCAGGAAGAAACTAACAACCAGGATACGGCTGGAGTACAAGGGAGCAGAGCAGAGTATTAGAAATAGATGTAACAATCTGATTTCATCAAATAATGTGGGGAAAAGTATGTTGACATAATTTTCTGCAAGTGCCCTATTAAATCTAAGGCACCCTGATTACAAGATAACATAAACAATTTATGTACCACTAGGAACCCTACCAATTAAATGAATTCATCTTGATTCCAATGACATAAAAATGTAGGAGAAAATGTGTCTTTTAGATTAGGTCAATTTTGGCATATAATTTAAATGACAACTGAAATACAAAACTCACCTCTGTTGGTCTATGAGCTACTTTCTAATAAAGCACCATAGAAGCTTAACAGTGTTTGAAAAGTACTAATATGTTAATGTTATAGCAGTAAACTTGACCTCGATATTTTCATTTTAAAAGTTTATTATTATTACTATTTTTTGAGATGGAGTCTCGCTCTGTCGCCCAGACTGGAGTGCAGTGGCACGATCTCAGCTCACTGCAAGCTCCGCCTCCTGGGTTCATGCCATTCTCCCGCCTCAGCCTCCCAAGTAGCTGGGAGTACAGGTGCCCGCCACCATGCCTGGCTAATTTTGTTTTTGTATTTTTTTTTAGTAGAGACGGGGTTTCACTGTGTTAGCCAGGATGGTCTTGATCTCCTGACCTCATGATCCGCCTGCCTTGGCCTCCAGAAGTTCTGGGATTACAGGCATGAGCCACCACGCCTGGCCAAAATTATTATTTTATGTTTGTTTGAGATGGAGTTTTGCTCTTGTTGCCAAGGCTGGAGTGCAATGGTGTGATCTTGGCTCACTGCAACCTCTGCCTCCCGGGTTCAAGCAGTTCTCCTGCCACAGCCTCCCAAGTAGCTGGGATTACAGGCATGCGCCACCACACCTGGCTAATTTTGTATTTTTAGTAGAGGCAGGGTTTCACCATGTTGGTCAGGCTGGTCTCGAACTCCTGACCTCAGGTGATCCGCCTACCTTGGCCTCCCAAAGTGCCAGGATTACAGGCATGAGCCACCACACCCGGCCTAAAATTATGTTATCAAAATTCTAACTGCATGGGCTTTAAAGTCCAGTGGCCTGGAAGTTGTTGTGATGGAAGGTCTTCAGTTTCACTCTTCCCTGCTCCAGCTTCAAAGCTCACATCTAACCCTTCCTACTCTCAGCTCATTCATTGGGTACTCCTGTATTTCTAAATAATCATCTTATGCCATTATTTCTTTTCAACCTCAGACCTTTCCAGTAAGGATTTGACATAACAGACAAGGATTTAGCTCACCTGTTCCCCTCACCCCCAGTTATGACCGTCAGCAGTAATTTCAGTTTTAATTCGTTTCTTGGTGACTGCTATACCTTTAAAACTGTATATTTAAACTTCTGTTTTCTTATTTGGTCAACTCTCAAAAGCGCTGTGTGGTTCTCCACTTGGAAGGGTGAGGGTGTGAGCAGTCCTGCCACCATCTCTTGACCCTGTCTCCTTCCCAGCTCTTGTCAGTTCTTTCTTCTTTATTTACATTATCAGGATGGATGACATGGACATTCCATTCTGTGAGCATAATTCAGGCGTTGGTGCTTCTCTGTACATTAATTCTGAAAGTTGAACACCAATCGCAGATGATACGGTTATTCTCACTTATGTGAACCTGGCTCACTGTCGAGCTGAGCACCATGCAGCAATCATGTCTTTTACCGTGCCGTGCAGGCTGCCACTTGAAGGAGCATTCCTAGTGTCTGGTCCAGCGGACTGTTGTCAGCTGCCTGGATCACGCCATGTGTGGGCTTCAGCTTTGGTTATTTCCTATGCAGTGCCCCTTCACCCCCTCGCCATTTTTCCTGATGTTGGGTTGCTTTTTTTCTTGAGAGAACACTCATGTGCTCTCTTCCCCCTCATGCCAGTTTCTTCCTCTATCGCTTGGAATCTGCTTCCATTCTTCTGAAGATTATTCTGCTTAGAGCTCATGGATCGCGCGATCTCATTTGGACTGGTTACTTTGTAGGAGGTGAGATTTGTATTGGACACTTGGATCAGTTCCACACTTTTCTGAATTTCACGTCTTCCTTTCTTGGTTTTCATCCTCGTTTTGCTGGAGTGCATTTTCGGGAAGGACGTGATGGAGAGCTTTCAGAGCCCCTCGGCATGTATGACAGTATGGGTACTTTTGCCCTTTATTTGATTGCTAGTTCAGCTTGGAGTAAAATTCTGGGTTCAAAATTGTTTTCCCTGGGAATGTGGAAGGCTTGGCTCAGAGTTCAGGAGGGTGCATCATCACTGATCAAATTGGTGCAGCCCTCCCTGGTTGTCCCTTTGCAGTGGGGGCCCTGGCTTTTCCCTCTCTCCCGTTATCGGGGCCTTCTCCTTATCTGCAGGGTCTGAAATGAACACAGCTGTGGATCTTAAGTGTGGCTGTTTTGTGACTCATCCTGCTTGGTAGTCGGCAGAGGCTTCCAATGAAGACTCCTGCCTCTTCAGCTCTAGAAAAAGTATTTTTGAAATTCTTTGATCGCTTCTGTTTTCTCCTTCCAGAGCTCCTGTTACCACCTTTGGAACCTCCTAGATTCATGTCTGCTCCATCCATTTCCTATATTTTCCATCTTTATTTTCTCTCAAATTTATCCTCCCTCCCTGTGTTTTTCCAAGCACTTTGCCAAGCACTGTTGTAAGTTCTTGAGATAGAGCAGTGAGCAAAACAGACAAATTCCTTGCCCTTTGGAAGCTTACACTAGTGGGATCAACTTTGTCTTCTCACTTGCTCACCGTGTGTATGTGTGAACAAAAGCTTTCTTTGTCTTTATTTGTTCCTTTTTCATAGCAACTGTTCTTGGCGGCCTTACGGATTCAATATCTTGACTTTTGAAGGATATTAGATCTTTTGAAAGTTGTATTTTTATTCACTTTTTCTTCTTTATTTTTTAAGCTGCAGTTTTTCTCACGTATCTAATGATTCCTGCTTGTCCAGCCATATTCTTAGGAGGAAATAGAAAGTCGGCCAGGAGTTCCATGTACATGAGTGGGGCTTGTGAAATAGCAGGCTTGACTTTGGGGTGAATGGGTAGAAAACCAGTCATAGTGCTGGGAACCCCTAATGCCTAATCGAGGGAAGGTGTGCTCTGGGGGCCATTGGCCAGGCTGGATGCCTTGGTTCACTCCAGGCAGTTTCTTCCAAGAGAAAAGCACTGGTGATGGACAGAGCTGCCTGCAGGGGTGGGGTGGACCGTGTCCCACACAGACCTCTACCTAGGCTCTCTAGCCACGCACCGTGGTTCTGCTGCTCCATCTGCCGGTTCAGACTGAGCCGGTCCTGTTGCCCTCATCTCAACAGATCCTTCCTTATCGAACGGCTCACGTCTGGGTTTCAGCTTCTGTAAATTTGTCAGATTCACACATCAGCTAGTGACCCTTCCATTCTCTTTGCCCTTTGGGTTTTTTAAATACTATTATTTGAAGAGAGGCTTCAGGGGAGACTAACTTTTGGGCTCAGCTTTCCATTTTGCCCTGGTTTCATTGTCACAAATACTTAAAATTTCCTTTTTTTGCAGATCAATGTTAAATAAAGATTAGAGTGAACACATTGATTTGACTTTATGCAGGGGTCATTTTGAACTTGAGGGCCTATGGCAATCTCTGTTCTCCAGGAGTATGGACCTCAGCATTTGGGGTCAGACCTGGGTCTGGCCAGTTGTCTTTATTTAATTTTTGAGACAGGGTCCTGCTTGGCCACCCACGGTGGAATGCAGTAGTGCAATCATGACTCACTGCAGTCTTGAACTCCTGGGCTCAAGCAATCCTTCCGTCTCAGTCTCCACAGTAGCTGGGAATACAGATGCACGCCACCATGCCTGGCTAATTTTTAAATGCTTTTGCAGAGATGGGGTCTTGCTATGTTGCCAGACTGGTCTTGAACTCCTGGGCTAAAGCGTTCTGCCTGCCTTGGCCTCCCAAAGCGCTGGGATTACAGGTGTGAGCCACCATGACCGGCCTGGTCAGTTGTCTTCTGATACCAACTTTCAAGTGAGGGAATTGTGAGTTTTCACTAAGCCTGTGTTGATTTCACTTATATGTTTTGCTTTTACCTCTTGGTGATCAGTTTATTACCTGTGCAGGTAACAACCTGAACTGCCCGTGTGGAGTAGTACATCCTTTGTCTTATCTTTTTTGAAATGTAGCTGACTTGGGATGTTCTCTTGTTTTTATATGGTCAACAAATCTAAGTTAATTTACCTGTGCTGTTAGCGGTTTTGTAGATTTTTTGTTCTCAGGTTTGGGACGATCCTGCTTGCCAGCTGCAGTTGGTGAGTTACCTGCTCCTTGGTGATGCTGCTTTTTAAAATGCATATTGTCAGTGCAGACTTCCTGATTTCCTTTTGTAAGTTGCTACACGAGGCCCGCTTTGAGGACTTTTTAGAAAGGATGTAGTACAAGTTTTAAAACTAATTTGGGCCCTTGGGTTTAAGGCTGTTCTTCTCTATTTGAGTAGATATGAATGAAAAAAGAGACTTCCTCCAACACCCTTCCGCCCCAGCCTTTGTCTAATTCAAGTGCTAGAGCTTGTCCTGACACACCGCAGCTTGCTGTTCATTTCTACTTGTTCAGTTGTGTGCCACCAAGCTAGACGTGTTCAGTCACACTGACAGTACTGTCAGGATGATTCATTGCCACACACGTAGCTCAAGTCGGAATGGGGCCTCTGGTCGTGTCTGAGAAGCACAGAAACCTGGCTAAGCTGAGGATTCGGCCTCCCACCCAGGTTGGTGAAGGTGCTGCGGCCTGGGAGCAGGAACGGAGCCCCCAGCTGCCAGGAGTGTGAAGCTGCTTCTCCGCAGTGCAGCCTCCACAAGCCTTCTCAGGTGGCAGTGAAGAAGGACCAGATACCTAAACAGTTTTCAAGTTCCGGAATCCTTGGGAAAGTTAGTGTCCATCAACTTCACATGTTAAAACAAGCTTACGGCTGGGCGCGGTGGCTCACACCTGTAATCCCAGCACTTTGGGAGGCTGAGGCGGGTGGATCATGAGGTCAGGCGATCGAGACCATCCTGGCTAACACAGTGAAACCCCGTCTCTACTAAAAATACAAAAAAAAATTAGCCGGGCGTGGTGGCGGGCGCCTGTAGTCCCAGCTACTCAGGAGGCTGAGGCAGGAGAATGGTGTGAACCCGGGAGGCGGAGCTTGCAGTGAGCTGAGATTGCGCCACTGCACTCCAGCCTGGGCGTCAGAGCCAGACTCTGTCTCAAAACAACAACAACAACAACAACAACAACAACAACAACAAACCAAGCTTACTTATTTCTAGTAGTTAAAAACATCTCAAGGTGAGTGTTGCACAGGAATCAAAGGGATGAGCTGGTTAACTTCTTATGGGCTAAGTCATCAGTTACTTCTTGTGTATTTTCAGTAGTTGCAGCTGGGAAAGTTTTCCTAAAATCTGATTTATGTGGCGAAAACACATGTATGATATTATTTTAATCCTGTGGTAAAACTCTGTGAGTCTAGACTGCCTTAATTAGCCACACATTGGTTTGAGTGAGAATCTAAGACAAGAAGATGTCCTGACCCATGAAGTTTCTTCATCCCAGCGCAGCTGGAAACGTAGCCCCAGGCCAGGGTTTCTCAGCCTGGGGGAGGGCTGCGGCATTCTGCAGGGGCTGGCACTCAGTGAAGTGGGGGAAGTGCTGGGGACTCGATTCTGGCTGTGGAGACAGCAGTGGAGTGTGGCTTCCTTAAAGGCCCTGACTTCCTGGGTCAAGGTAACTAAGATACCTGTGTAACTTTAAGTCAGCACTTATCCATGTGCGATTGGCCAACTTATCAACTCATCTGTGCAAATTATGTTCTTTATTAGGGAAAAATTGCTTTTGGTATGTGTATGGATTTTTTTTTTCTCCTGCAGAGATTCTTGAATTGTATGGGTGTAGGAAAATACCCCTTTCTTCTTTTTGTCTTTTCATGGCTAAGTCGTATTCCTTACCTCAGGCACAGGGCAGGGGCTACATGTTCCAGAAACACACATCAGTCGCCATTGCAGCCGCTTCCACTTCTGCCAGGCTGGTTGGGGCAGAGTCACCAGGGACCTCCCCCTGCACAGTCAGTGGCCGTTTCCAGTCTTTACAGTATTGCCAGTGCTCTCGTGCCTGACTGAGCTTTCTCCTGCTTCTCCTTTCACCTCTCTCCCTGCTCGGGGTCTCACTCCTTTACTGCCCACTGTGGTGGTGCGCACCTGTAGTCCCAGCTACTCGGGAGGCTGAGGCAGGAGAATCACTTGAACTCGAGAGGCAGAGGTTGCAGTGAGCCGAGATCGTGCCACCGCACTCCAGCCTGGGTGACAGAGTGAGATGGGAAAAAAAAAAAAAGAATAAAGCTTATTGACGTATAACATACAAACAATAAAAGGTCTTTGTAAAGCCCCGTTCTGACCCTCTGCTCACCCTTAAGTACCGTGTAGCTGCTCTGCAGCCTTTCTGGACGCGCCGAGGACTTTCCCTGACGTGCCTCATGAGCCCCTCACAGCTCCTTCTGCGGCTTCGTGCTCCTCTCAGTCCCTGTTGTCGTGTGAGCCCCATGAGCACAGAGACCACACACTGTTCACTCTGTGTCTCCGGGCCCTCTATTGATGTGGACTCATTGCAGGATCTTGGGTGTTGGCTAAACTGAATGAGTTAGCTTAAATGTAAAATCATGTCGCCTTGAGGAAGTGCTTCAAGTTTCTCTATAAAGCAGGGGCTCTCTTTTGAGGACTGGTACCAAGAGACATAGTGAAATAAGAGCTAGAGCAGTGATCTTAGAAGTCTGACCAGGTTCTGTTTCTCTAAACCCAGATTGGAGGACTGATTGTTTTCTCAGTGAGAAAGTTTTCTGCTAAGTTGAAAGTAGACACTTGCCGTCTGCCTTGCCGCTCCCCACCCTTAAATCCGGTGGTGGTGAGCTCGCCCTCACGTTCTTTTCTGCCCTGTTTTTCTTCCGTTAAACGTTTGCTGGCCGGCATGCCTTCTCCCTGGTATCCCCCAGAACATAGTTTTCCGTTTCTACTTTTCAGCCTCCTCTTCTTCCTTCCTTGTTTTCCTGACCTCACACGCTTTGGAGATGTGGTCTGGTAGTCATGGTGGTCTTCCCACTCAGGTCTCTCCCTGTTTCTGTCCACTGTAGGAACCCCTGCCTTGGCAGCTGGCTTAAGTACTACCCAGATTGCACTCCTGCCCGTCGCCTGCAGAAGTAAGTACAACTGATTTAGCCAGCGTTAGAGCAAACGATGGAACTGCCTCAACTGAACACACACCTAAGTGAGCCATGGCGCACCAATGCTGTGGAAATGCAGCTTTGGATAAGCCTTCTCCATCCCCCACCCCAGCTGTTCCTCCAAACCTCTCCTCTGTAGGGATTCTGGAGCGCTCTATCAGAGCCCCCAGGGACCTCACCCCATCTGGATGCCTGCCATCCCTCCACCTGCACCCTTGCCGTTCAGCACTCTCCTTCTCCCTGAGCAGTGCCTGTACTTGGCATAGAGAGGTTGCTCTGGCTGAGGAATCACACAGAGCTCTGTGAATTTCAGCTCTGCCCCATGTGGGCTTTGTGAGCCAGCAAGTCTGTAGAACGAAGGTGGTTAGAGTGGCCTCACAGGTGATTGTAAAGATGGATGCTATGCAAAGCCCCTTCCTTTCCCCTCATCGCTCTGTGCCTCTTCTCATGCAATTCATTCCGCCTGGACTCTTACTCTCCTCCAATTTCTGACACAGTTCTACCCATCCTTTCAGGGCCACCACCCCGCAAAGGTGCTCCTTCCTCCACACAGATGTCCCACATCTCGAGCTCCACACTGTGCACGGCAGCCTGAACCCCTCCTGGTCATCCCTCCTGGTCACCCTATTGAACTCTTTTCAGATGTCCCCGCTCTTTTCCTAGAACCCCTGGCATGCCTTCTTTGGCTCCTCCTGGTCGTCTGCCTCCACTCTGTGCTCTGATTGCCTTCTGACCATTCTTTTGGGTAGGACTAGGGTCTGCCCCATGTGTCTATCCTTGTCGCACCTGACTCCTTCAACAGAGGGGGCTGTCAGCGTCAACTACAGGTGCTTTCACAAGAAGTTGGCTAAACCTGTGACGGAGCCTCGCGTTCCATATTCTGGCTGTCTTGCATAAAAGTCTTCTAGCAATCTTTCCATGTTATGGGCTGTGAAGAAACTTTATATTTCAAAGAGGCAAGAGACCACTCACCTGTGACTAGAAAGCAACTTTAAGAGTTGAAATTTCTTTCCAAGTCCCTTCTTGAAATGTGTGTGAAATGTACATATCTAGCTATGAGGATAAACCAGCTGAGTGTCTGCACACACAAACTGTGCAAGGAAGCTGTGTTAAGTGTGTGAAACTCACCTCCTGTGTGAACCTGAAGCAGTAATTATTTCTGGATGAAATAATTACTTCATTGCCTTCGATATTGATTTTATAGGCTTTGTGGGTGTCTAATCCAGAGGGTGGGCTTGCTCTGCCAGCCTGTGATCAAAGGCTCAGAGCGCTTTCCAAAGGTTTTACAGATGCTGGGTCCAGGAATCAAACTCAGGCCGAGCTTGCGGCAGAGAAGCTTGGTCCAAGTGGCACTGAGTGGGTGGTTAACGGAAGTGAGTGCCCTAGGTTGGTGAAGAGAATATGTCAGTATATTTCAGAGGCCCTGGGTTTATAAGCAAGCAGTTTATAAGCACCTACAGGAGGTGAACTTTGACTGTTACCACGAAGGTAGTTATGAACTTTAGTTCAGGGCTAAATCAGGGAGAAAGTAATCCTATAGAACTTCTGTTTAACAAAAGAAATTAAACTTTTTATACTCTACCTGTTCATTAGAAAAACAACTGCAGTCCTCCTTCCTCCAAAGAAAACAAGGATAATCAAATCAGAAAATGGGTATATGATGACTGATTTGATCAACTTTGAATTTACATGGTAACAAACTGCCTTTGGGAGAACTGGTATGACGGGATAAGTTAAACGTTTCCATTTAAAGAGAGTGTATGCTGATAGATACAGATCCTTTGTGTGGTTTTGGCAGTACTGGAGCCCTGGTTTTAATAGATTGTTTTTCCAAAATCTCTTACTGCAAAATCATAGTAGTTCTTGCTGGGGTGGGTGGTTGGGGGCAGAGTCTTTTTTTTTTTTTGATGAGTTATTTAAAAAAATATGCCTTTGAAGAACTGTACAATGTGATGTACCTATTGTCTGTATTATTTTGAATGTTCATGAGAGCTTCTTAAAGCATTTTAAGGTTGAAAATTTCATAGACTTTAAAAGATTTATAACATATATTTTATTTACTGCTATATTAGATGGGTTTATTACCAGTAATAAAGAGGTATATCTAATATTTACTCTGTGGTTCTACAGCTGTTTATTCTGTTGCGATTGCCAGAATTCTTGTGTATTGATAAGCGCTCTTTCTGGACAGTTGTCTGAATTACTGCACCCTTTCCCACTGAAAACACCCCTCCCAGTTCCAGTGCTTCATGGATGAACAAAGCCAGCGAGGACCACTAGAGGTCATTCTTCTGCCTCATCAGGTCTGCAGAAGCTCCCCAGGGCACCGGAGTGTGTATCCAGAGGCTTCTCAGTGTCCACCAGGCAGTCCAGCCAACAGGAAAGCATGCGTAGTGGGTGAACGAGGCTGTCAGAGACTCTCCTGGACTCTCCTTCCCTGGAAGGAGGGTGAACCTAGCAAGCTCCTGGGTAGGTCCATAGAGTCAGTTATGCAAACAATATTTGTCCAGTGGTTGTTTGTGGAAACTCCTGTGCCGGGTGACTGCTAACGTGGGTGATAGTAGGGCTTCAAGGATAAGTAAACATTAGCCTCGCCTTTAATTACTTTCCAAACTTCTAGTGCTGCTGGTCATTTCATGGGCAGGAGCATCACTTCGACCAACATCCTGCTCTGTCTCATGCTTTGGGCTAAGCACTGGGATACAAAATGAAATACACACAGCCCTGACTTCAGGAGTCTCCACATTGTTGGAGAAGATGAACATGTATGCTGATAAAAGTAATACCATGCAGTAATGCACTAGGTAGCACAACTATCATCGTGTGCAATAATGCTCTATGCTAGCAGTATGCATTTGTGTTAGGAATAAGTAACCCAGGCTAGAAAGGGAAAGAAGGAGGGCTTCTTAGAGGAAGTGACAAGATGTCTTGAAGGGTGGGAAAGTAGAGAGGAAGACAAAGAAAGGAGGAAGTTTGTTCAAGACAAGAGGAGACTATGAGCAAAATAGAAGCAGCGAAGCAGCCAGCTGTGTGTGGGGAGACACACCATCCTGATGGGAAGATGGGGAGGCCAGATGGCGGCAGGCTCTGGGAAGTCCCATGTGAAGGGGGACCCAACTCTCTTTTGAAGTGCCTTTGGGGAGTGGCTTGTAGTGGACCACACTGGAGCACAAACACATCCAAGCAACCTCTGGTCACACCCGTCCTCCACCTGCTGCCACCTGCAGACTTCATCTTTAAGGGAAGACTCAGAGCTGGCAGGCCAGGTTGTAAGGATTGTTTGTAACGGTCAGGGGCAGCCTGTGGAAAAAACGTAGGCTTTAAAAAGAGCAGCCTGGGCCGGGCGCGGTGGCTCACGCCTGTAATCCCAGCACTTTGGGAGGCCGAGGCGGGCGGATCACGAGGTCAGGAGATCGAGACCATCCCGGCTAAAACGGTGAAACCCCGTCTCTACTAAAAATACAAAAAATTAGCCGGGTGTGGTGGTGGGCGCCTGTAGTCCCAGCTACTTGGGAGGCTGAGGCAGGAGAATGGCGTGAACCCGGGAGGCGGAGCTTGCAGTGAGCCGAGATCCCGCCACTGCACTCCAGCCTGGGCGACAGAGCGAGACTCCGTCTCAAAAAAAAAAAAAAAAAAAAAAAAAAAAAAAAAAAAAGAGCAGCCTGAGTCTTAGCAATGAAGCTCTATGCCCATTTATGAGTTCCTCAATCTCTCTGAGCATCATTTTCTCATAGTTTTTCTTAAGTGGGGATGATGCCATTTTACTTTTTTGTCCTTGGAAAGATGTAATGAGTGTGTATATACATTTATATACAAGATTTAACTTATGGTAGATGCTGAGTAAAACAGTACATGATGATACTCATCTCCACTAGCTACACACACACACACACACACACACACACACACACACACATATTTTTTGAGACAGGGTCTCACTCTGTCACCAGGCTGGAGCGCAGTGGTGCGATATTGGCTCACTACAGCCTCGACCTCTTTTTTTTTTTTTTTGAGACGGAGTTTCACTCTTGTTGCCCAGGCTGGAGTGCAATGGCCCGATCTCGACTCACCACAACCTCTGCCTCCCGGGTTCAAGCGATTCTCCTGCCTTGGCCTCCCAAGTACCTGGGATTACAGGCTCCTGCCACCACGCCTGGCTAATTTTCGTATTTTTAGTAGAGACGGGGTTTCACCATGTTGGCCAGGCTGGTCTCAAACTCCTGACCTCAGGTGATCCGCCCGCCTCGGCCTCCTGAAGTGTTGGAATTACAGGCGTGAGCCACCGCGCCTGGCCTCACAGTGACTTCCATGTTTCCCTGGCAGGTGATTGGAAGGTTCATGGTATGGTGTCTGACACAGAGGCCGCAGGGAGATGAGCAGATTTCTGGAGAAGGAGGGAGTGAATCGTGAGAGGGTGCATGTGAGAGCCAGCCCTGTGTAGGACTGGAATGTCGAGCAGGATGCTTCAGGGCTCTGCTGAACAGGCTGTCCTCCTGCCCCGACAGGGCCAGGCTCCCGGGGCTCCCTTCCCTGCCAGCAGCTCCTCTGGGACTCAGCACCTCCTCCTGCATTTGCCACGTCTGCTCTGCTGCTGTGACTGCTGACTGATTCTCTGTATATGTCAAGTGCCATCTCTGACATCGGACACCCTTGTTTGGTTGATGTATTGGTTACCTCTTGCTGCACAAATTTAGTGGCTCAGAAAACACACATTTATTATTGTATCTTACAGTTTCTGTGGGTCAGGAATGTGTGTACTGCTTGGCTGGGTCCTCTGCTTAAGGTCTCACAAGGCTGCAGCCAAGGTGTCAGCTGGGCTTTTCTCCTCTGGAGGCTCGGCATGGGAAGAACACACTTGCAAGTTCCCAGAATTCAATTCCTTGCAGCTATAAAAGTGAGTTTTAGGCTGGGTGCGGTGGCTCATGCCTGCAATCCCAGCACTTTGGGAGGCTGAGGTGGGCGGATCACCTGAGGTCAGGGGTTTGAACAAGCCTGGCCAACATGGTGAAACCCCATCTCTACTAAAAATGCAAAAAAATTAGCCAGGCGTGGTGGCAGGCGCCAGCTACTCGGGAGGCTGATGCAGGAGAATCACTTCAACCCGGGAGGCGGAAGTTGCAGTGAGCCAAGATCGTGCCATTGCACTCCAGCCTGGGCAACAGAGCAAGACTGTCTCAAAAAAAAACCAACAAAAAAAGTGAGTTTTAGTTTTTTGTTGGCTGTTAGAGGAGCTGCCCTCAAGTCCCTAGGGCCTCCCATGGTTCCCTGCGCTGTGGCCTTCCCCACGGGTCATTCATGACGTGGCAATTGGCTTCTTCATGGCCAGCAAAATGTAACATAATGTAGTCAAGATGGAGTGCCATCCATCACACTGGCCGTATTCCATTGGTTAGAAGTGAGTCACAGGTCCCGCCCACACTAGAGGGGAGAGAATTGCACAAAGGCAGGGGTGAGTACCAGGAGGTGGGGCTCAGGGGGCTGCCCCAGGCTTTGTTGCCACAGTGGGCTAGTCACCCTCCCATGCAAAGCAGACCCCGAACGCCAGGGTGGCTTCTTTTGGGTCAGGACTCAGTTCTGGGGCTGGGCTGCTGTGGCTAGAAGGGGGTTAGTTTGCCCAGCCTGGAGCATGGCAGCCTCTTCGTGCTACCTGCCTCTGGGCACCTGTGCCAAGGGGTCCCTGGCATTGCAGGCCCAGGGCATCATGTCCTGTTCTTTGGGACCCAGGGGCGAGGGGAATTTGCTTGAGTTCACACCGCAGTAAACATTGTACTGGTAAAAACCTGTACGCTACTCATGAGATTCACTTTTTCTAGGTAAGCGGGTGGTTTGGGTAGTCTAAAGATTGACACTGGCATTCTTTGGATGCTGTCTCAGCTTTTCTCATGTTCCATCTCCTCAGAATGGGTAGTAACACATTTATTGATTTTTTTTTTTTTGAAATGGAGTTTCGCTCTTGTTGCCCGGGCTGGAGTGCAATGGCGCAACTCGGCCCACCACAACCTCCGCCTCCTGGGTTCAAGCGATTCTCCTGCCTCAGTCTCTCAGGTAGCTGGGATTACAGGCGTGCACCACCACACCCAGGTAATTTTGTATTTTTAGTAGAGATGGGGTTTCTCCATGTTGGTCAGGATGGTCTCAAACTCCTGACCTCAGGTGATCCGCCCGCCTCGGCCTCCCAAAGTGCTGGGATTACAGACGTGAGCCACCGCGCCCGGCTGATTTTTCTACACTGATTTTCAACACTTAGAATAAATCAACTTTTCAGTAGCTGTTTTCTCATCTCTGTTTAAAATACTCAGCATTCCCCATTTTCTGAACTTACAAAAAGTTTTGACATAAATAATTAACAGTTTAACAAAAATCTTTAACACTGAATATGAGAACTTTGCCTTTCGAATTTAAAGAAAAAAGTCACTTGGCTTTTTTGTTTTCTTTTTTTTTTTTTTTGAGACAGGGTCTCACTTGTCATCCAGGCTGGAATGTTGTGGTGCCATCATAGCTCACTGCAGCCTCAATCTCCTGGACTCCAGCAATCCTCCTGGCTCTGTCTCCCGAGTAGCTGAGACTACAGGTGTGGCCAGCTAATTGCTTGATTTTTTTTGTACAGATGGGGTCTCGCTATGTTGCTTAGTCTAGTCTCAAACTTCTGGGCTCAAGTGATCCTTCTGCCTCAGCTTCCCAAAGCATTGGGATTATGGGCTGGGCATGGTGGCTCACACCTGTAATCTCATCACTTTGGGAGGCCGAGGTGGGTGGATTGCCTGAGGTCAGGAGTTCGAGACCCGCCTGGCCAACATGGTGAAGCCCCATCTCTACTAAAAATATAAAAATTAGCCAGGCGTGGTGGGGCACCTGTAATCCCAGCTACTATGGAGGCTGAGCCAGGAGAATTGCTTGAACCCGGGAGGCAGAGGCTGCAGTGGGCCAACATCGCGCCACTGCACTCCAGGCGGCCTGGGCAACAGAGCGAGACTCAGTATTTTTTTTTAAAAAAACAAAAACCCACAAAGCATTGGGATTATGGGCGCGAGTCACCGTGCCCGGCCTCACTTGACTTTTCTGTGCTTCACCTTCCTCATCTGTAAAATGAGGGGGGTAGTAAGCCATTCTCTGTTTCTGAGGTGCTGAACTTCTGGGGCTACCCTCTCCCAGGCTTGTGGTTAGGATCAAAGGAGGACAAAGCACAGGTGTTGGCTGCCCAAACACACACCAGGGGTGTAATCACACCACAAAGAGTTCCATTGTGATGCTGCAGCTATTTTAAATAGAATTGCTTCTCTTCTGTCTCAGGCTTATTTGCTTATAATGCTTCATTTGTATATGACTTTTCAGAAACCTGTTCTATAGATTGAGATTCCCACATCAATTGCTAAGCCCTAGCACAGAGGCCTAGCTAGGTCACCAAAAAGGTTTAATGACAAATTCGGGGTCTTTGCATTCCTGACTGTACATTTTTGATGGAATCTCCTCTCCATCATGTCTTTGACTTGTTGCTACTGTTTCAACCAAAACAGTACTGTTTTGAACTGGCTGTTCAGCCAACAGCCAGTACTGTTTCTACTGGCTGGTTTGTTTGTTCGTTTGGTTTTTTGTTTGTTTGTTTTAGATGAAGTCTCTGTCGCCCAGGCTGGAGTGCAGTGGCATGATCCTGGCTCACTGCAACCTCCACCTCCCACGTTCAAGCGATTCTCCTGCCTCAGCCTCCCGACTAGCTGGGATTACAGGTGTGCACCATCATGCCCAGCTAATTTTTGTATTTTTAGTATAGACAGGGTTTCACCATGTTGGCCAGGCTGGTTTCCAACTCCTGGCCTCAAGTGGTCCACCCGCCTCGGCCTCCCAAAGTGCTGGAATTACAGGTGTGAGCCACTGCGCCCTGCCTCTCCTGACTGTTTTTACTCAAATGCCAGGAAGTCATTGGTGCCACAATCTGACTTTCCGTCAGCACTGGCCTGCATGTCCCATTGAATTGGGATAGTGTTCTTCAAAAAATATGGCACGAAATACTAGTTCTTAGAAATGCAAATTGGTTTTTCAGGAAACAAGGGTTTTATGACTGAATGTGCTCATGGAACATTGCATGTTCATGTTAGAGTCCTCCTTTCTGGAGGTTCAAAGCCCTTATTAGGACACTTTATTTTTAATCCAATATTTTCTGGGCTTATTTGAATAGGAAACACTTTTTTTTAAATTAAAAAAGTTGAGAACAAAACACTTATTCATATACTACAGGTCAAAACAATCTTTGGCAAATGCTACACATGTGCACAGATATGGTTTCTTTTGAAAGTTTATGTTAGCTCTGGAAGACCCTAGAGCTCCTTGGCTGCTGCCTGAACCCTGTGACCCGATTCCTTTAAAATTACACTTTTTGGCTGGGCGTGGTGGCTGATGCCTGTAATCTCAGCACTTTGGGAGGCAGAGGTGGGAGGATCACTTGAGCTCAGGAGTTTGAGACCAGCCTAGGCAACATGATGAGACCCTGTCTCTATTAAAAAACAATAACTAGAAAAATTAGACATCTTTTTTTTTTTTTTTTGAGATGGAGTCTTGCTCTGTCGCCCAGGCTGGAGTGCAGTGGCACAATCTCAGCTCACTGCAATCTCTGCCTCCCAGGTTTAAGGAATTCTCAGCTTCAGCCTCCTGAATAGCTGGGATTTCAGGGACGTGCCACCACGCCCAGCTAATTTTTTTGTATTTTTAGTAGAGATGAAGTTTCACCATCTTGGCCAGGCTGGTCTTGAACTCCTGACCTCGTGATCCACCTGCCTCGGCCTCCCAAAGTACTGGGATTACAGGCGTGAGCCACCGCGCTCAGCCGAAAAATTAGCCTTCTTTTTAAAAAGCATGCTGCTTTAATAAACTTATCATTTCCTATGTTTTTTCGTGGTTTGTTTGGAAATTAGCAACTAGCTTTCCTCTTCTGGTTCATCATTGATTAGCCATAAACGGATCCAGAGATTCCTATTGGAACCTGTTTGGGGCCCTCTAGCTCTTCCTCTGCCCACCTACAGGAAGAAGCCTCACAGGTGACTCCACTGTGGACTTGCAGACCCTGGCCCTAAGGGTTCATTCACCATCCCTGATGCTGGGGCGGGGCTGCTCTGAGCTCTGGTTATCTTGTGTACTTGATGACCATGTACAAACTTATGCTCCCCGCCATGATTTCTTTCTAAAGTTATCCGAGAAAGAAATTCTTTTTTTCTTTTCTTTCTTTTCTTTTCTTTTTTTTTTTAGATAGACTTTCGCTCTTGTTGCCCAGGCTGGAGTGCAGTGGTGCGATCTTGGCTCACTGCAACCTCCGCCTTGTGGGTTCAAGCAATTCTCCCGCCTCAGCCTCCCAAGTAGCTGGGATTATAGTAGGCGTGTATCACCACACCCGGCTGATTTTTTTGTATTTTTAGTAGAGATGGAGTTTCACTATGTTGGTCAGACTGGTCTCGAACTCCTGACCTCAGGTGATCCACACACCTCGGCCTCCCAAAGTGCTGGGATTACAGGTATGAGCCATCACGCCCGGATGAGAAGGAAATTCTATCAACGAGGATGTGTGTTAAAAAGTGTCAGAAAACATGAGTTTGAAAAAAGACTTATCACACAGCCAATGCTTTATGTCTCCCTCTTCAGTTTACGTCTGTTTCCTGATAATAATAACAAAACAGTCCTAACAACGTCTGAAGATTGCATTATCTTTTCAGAATCCTTTCACATCCCCTGGCAACCCTAGCTGCTGGACAGGGAGGGTGTCAGCATTGCTTCTTGGTACGTGGGTCCCTGGGCGCAGCGACCTAGCACAGCAGGCGGTGAAGTTAGTTGCGCAGTGAATGGTGCCGGTCTCCGCGTTCTCAGGACTGCTCCGGTTGGGAGATGGAGAGAGGCGAATCAGGACTACGTGGCGCCTCAGGTTCTGGAGGGTTCCTCTACCTCCTCCCTTCCTCCCATTCTCCGCACTTAAAATGAGACACGGATTCCTTCCCGACCACATACGGGGGGCTTCCCCCAGCATGAAACTTTCAGGTGCTTCTTATAGCTCCCACTCCATTTCACTTTTATGTGTAAAGGGTAGTTGCATATAAAAATGACATTTTAATATCGTAAGTCCCCAGCGGCACCAAAGCTCAAGCTGCCCTTTTTGGTAAACACCTAGCTCCGCCTAGTGGCCACGGGAAAGTGCGTTTTCCCGAGAAAACGCTGCGTGGCTGGCCTGCCCCGCTCTCGGCGGAGGGAGCTCTGGTAACGCTTTGTAAACTGACTCGGCGAGGAGAGCACCTGCCTGAATCACTCCCTTGAAAAAGGCCCAAGTGCAGTTGTTTCCTTTAATGACCTGCGCTATTACAGGCTTTGGATTTTGTGTGTGCGCCAAGAAGAAGGGTAAACAACACACAAACTCTTGAAGGGAAGGTTTCCTTCGGAGAGCGGGGCAGACAACATAAGCCGCACTGTTTGTGAGGGCCGGTGGTTTCGCTTTTATGGCATCAATCAGTTTGTATTGTAATTGATAGGAATCCTGTTCCCACACTGAGTTTTGTTTACTGAGAAAAGATTTGGAGAGTAAAGGGAGGCCCCAGCCCTTAGCCGGAATCCCAGCCAACTCTTCCTCCAGATGAAACAGAAGCAGGAGGACCCCACAGCCAGGCGGAGCCACGCCCGCCCCGAGGAGCACCGGGCTCCATCGCCTTCCCCCAGATTGCAGCGGACCTTGATTTCAAGAAACATTCCCGCCGTGTCAACAGCAGCCCTGTGCAGCGGCTGCCCCGGGCCCCACCCGCTGTGAACCGACGCAATGGCCTTCACTTCAAGGACTGCCCTCTCACACCCGAGCAAGCTGACCTCAGAGGTCTGGGGCAGCCGGGCAGGGGACGCACCACTCTCACCCGCGGGCAGTCCTCTGGGTGGGTTCTGACCGTGACCTGTGAGCTGGACCACGGGACACTTTTGGCATATTCTGCTTGGGTGCGTGGCAGGTCGTGGTGACCATCTTGTCTTACGCGTCATTTTGTCCTTCTACATTGTTCCAGCCACGTGTGTCTGACCTAGAGCTGTGGTGTGGGGAGACTGTCTCTGACTGCGGGGGTTGTGGAGTCTGGGAAATGGGCTCACCTTCCAGACCCTGTAATTCAGCTTTGCCTCCAGGAGCTCCGGACGGAGCTGGCAGCAGAAAGCCACTTGCACATAATGAAACGGTGACCATATGCTGCCTAAATCTCCACGCAGGCTTGTCGTAGCAGCTCCTTGTCACCCAGCTAACAGTAGCTGGACTCGCCTTGCCATAGATGTTCACACCTCTCCCCTCCTGTCCTGTGCCTTTCCTTCTGCGCTCCCGAAATCACAGATCCTTGGTCTGTGCGGGGAAAGACATCTTTGGGCTTCTGCTCTTCATGGATGCGGGTGCTGTGTCAGCCTCCCCCGGCCCTCCTTCCCTCCCCAGCCTCCTCCTTCCCCACCTGTATGCGGTGGGTCCCTGGAAGAGCTCCAAAGCACTTTCTTTCATCCCTCGACTGAGGTTTTATTTTTAATTAGAAAGCCAAGCACACTTTTAACAGCCACAGCCAGACTGAGCAAGCTCTTCTGAAGCAGCGCAAAGGTGGAAGCCTGTGCTGCTGATGTGGCTGGGCTCACGGAAGATGACGGGCTTCCTGCCAGCTTGCACTAGCCTTGGAGGAAACCTTTGTTGTGTAGGAGGCAAATCACCCAGGGCAGTGTTTTCCTAACTTCTTCTGTCCTTAAACAACTGACCACAATCTGTGCCTTCCTCAGGCCCAGGCTTTCCCATCTCTGTCCTGAACACTCTTCACTCCACGGGCTTCAAGGTAATTTTTTCTCCCTGGTGACATCGTCGGTGCCGCCTCCTGCCCCCGGCACACTCGTCCACACACAGAACAGCAGCTTGTTTCTCCATCACTGTGTCATTCCCTTTGAGCCATAATCCTTTCCTTCCTGCCCTCCAGCGGCTTCTGGGATGGATTCTCTCTCGCCCGCTGGCTGAGGGCGGCCTCCCACCCGAAAGCACCATAGGAGCTTGGCTGCCCGCAGGGTGACACCGCAGGTGTCCTCACTCTTCCCGTTGCCTGGCCCCTGGTGATGGTCACCGAATCGTGCTGTCCTTTCTTGTGGTCTGTCAAGTGTGCTCCTTCTGGGTGGCCTCCACTGCCCCTTGGTGCCACTGTCTGGCTTGTACAGCATCACGCCTTGGCCACTGCGACCGTCTTTTCCCTGACCTCTCACACTGATGCTCTGGTCTCTGGTCTCTAGGACGGTCTTTCACTCTAATACCAGTGTGAGCTCGCTGCTGCACAGGCCTGGCCATGTCACTCCTCAGCTGACAATCCCTGGAGGGTGGGGGACACCACCGTGACCACACAGCCATTGACGAGTGGGTGTGAGGCTGGGGGGCTGCCAGCCCCTTCTGCAGAGGGCACCTCCTCTGTGTCCCTGGCTGCCATCCGCAGAACATCATTTTGTCTGTGCTCCCGGCTGTCATCTGCACACGCTGTGGTCCCATCGTGTGCCTGTTGCCCTTTTCTGCGTGTTCAGCACTGTGCCTTTGGCCCTGGCTGCACCCTTCCCCACCCTGCCGCCACAGCACACAGCACACTTCCCCCAACTGTGCCCTTCTGCTTCTCCAGGCAAAGCCAGACACTGGTTCCCACCCCGGCACAGTGCTGAAATGCCCGCAGCAGCACTGTGGCCCTTGTAACATGATGGTCAACTCCAGCTCACTCCCCTCCCTGAGTTCCTGGGCAGCCCATGCCTTTTTGCTCAGTGAATGATAATGGAATGGCGCAGAAGCAAGCACAGAGGCAGGAGCAGGGACAGAAATAGCAGCGATGTGAGTAACAGCCTTTTGCATCCTCACAGTGGCCTTGGCCCTGGCTGGTGCTGTCGTCATTTTAGAGGTAAGGAAACTGAGGCCCTGTGAGGTGGGCTGACTTGTTTGAGTTCCCACAGCTGCTGTGTGGCCCCAAAACCTCTGCTTGGAACATTCTGCAGAAAGTGGAGACAGGGCCTGACTGTGCTGGGGTGGGGGCCTGGCAAGGGCCGGAGGGGTGGCCTGAATGCCAGGGCCCAGGAAACCGGCTGGTGAGGAAGCCTCTGAGAGCTGCTGCTGGCTGAGCAGATGTGCAGGGCTGCGAGTGAGCGCAGAGGAGGGCTGCTCTGGCTGGGAGACAGGGCAGGGTGGCCAGAGCCAGGGAGGGTATCCAGATGGATTTCAGAAGCACACCTGGAGGTTTGGAGGGACTTGGAGGTGACTTAATGTAAGGTGGGGAAGGAGAAAGAGGCCTCGGGACATGGGAAGGAGAAAGAGGCCTCGGGACGTCTGGTGCTTCTGACTTGGGGGACCGGGTGGTGGAGTCCCCCTAACAGACATTGGGAAACAGGAGAGATCAGTCCTGCTGGGGTGGTGTGGGGAAGGGAGGAGCCAGCTGTGAGGGGACCACTGTTTTCCTGATGGAGGGATCCGACAGCAGCCGGAGCTGCAGTTGGTGGCAAGTCCCTGGCATGGTACAGCAAGGGCAGTAGGAAAGCTGCAGAGGGGTGGGGTTTGCCGGGCAGGGGTGGGGTTTGTGGGTCACGCAGGTCCCAAGGAGCCCAAGCTCAAGGTCCGCGCCTGCCTGCTCTCCCCACTCACCCTTGCCCATGGGAGCGCTGTCCTTTTCTCTGAAAAAGCCTAAACGCGTTGGCCTTCCTCTTTAGCGAAGTCTTTCCTGCCTCAGCTGAGTCTGTGAGGGGCAGCCCAGCGTCCCCTCTGTGCCAGCTGTCTTCTCCCTGTTCTTGGCCCACCCTTTCTGGGCACAGGCCTCAGCTCCCTCCCCATTCCTAAGCCCCGCTTTCTGTATCTCCACAGAGGCCTTCCTCGGCCCTCCCAGCCTGATGCAGGGCTGCCTTGGTTCCTACTGCCAAGAACCTGCGCTTTGCCACCAGCTCCTCCCCACTCACCAAGGGAAGCAGGTGGGAAGCACCCTCCTTTCTCCTTCTGTAAACCTGGGTTGGCAAACCTTTTCTGTAAAGACCAGATGGCAAATAATTTTGGTGTCACAGGCCCCACTGTCTCTGTTGCAACAGCTCAAAGTGAGAAAGCAGCCCCAGATGATATGTAAAGGAACAAGTGTGACTGTTTCAATAAAACTTTATTTAGAAAAACAAGGGGTGGGCCAGCTTTGGCCCACAGGTTGTAGTTTAATGGCTCTGCTCTAAACCAGTCCTCATCCTCCTGCTGGATAACAACCAAACTTTCTAGAACCAACAGGGCTGGGGGTTGGAAGCAGCAGGTGGAGGTGGGGTGTTGGGGAAGGAAGTGGGAGGGGAGGCCTCCACAGAGAGATGGAGAGCTGTCTGCCCAGTCCTTCTTCTCTTCTCTGGGAGAACCGGGCACGGTGCCCCCTCCAGGTTTAGTTGCCCATGACGCAGAGCCCCATTAGTTCCACATCAGGCCTCCGCTTGCCTATGAACTGAAAATCAGTTTCTCTGGCTCCATGATTCCTGCCCCCTTCCCCTCATATATATATATATACTAGGGAGGCTGCCTCAGCCTCCCCAGTAGCTGGGATTACAGGTTCCCACCACCACGCCCAGCTAATTTTTGTATTTTTAGTAGAGACGGGGTTTCACCACGTTGGCCAGGCTGGTCTTGAACTCCTGACCTCAGGTGATCCGCGCACCTCAGCCTCCCAAAGTGCTGGGATTACAGGCATGAGCCACCGCGCCTGGCTCCCCTTCCCTTCATATTAGTTAAACAAAGCATGAGACAGGAGGTCCCTCATCCTCTTCCTGCACTGGAAAATTAGTCTTCAGTTACCACAGCGGTCTGGAAAGACTTGAATGAACTCCACAGTTTAGTTGTCAGGTGGGGAGTGTCCCTGTGTGTGGGCGCTGGTGGTTCCAAGGTAACTGTCTCCGGCCCCTGTCCCCAGGTGTGCAGTGGAGGTCAAGGCCTGGAGTCCCTCCTTTCCTGGAACTTTGAGCCCCAAACCTGGTGACCCCACGAGCACCTCGCACTTCTTCACTTTTCCTCGGTTTTACATCACATGTGTGTAGCCCCTGTTCTTTCTTCTCTAGGCTACAACTGTACCCGCTGCCACCAAGCTAGACCCTCGGAGGTGACCACTTCCTCTGGGGGTAAAGGGCCCCTCCCAACCCATCACCAAAAAAACTTCCCCATTTACCCCAAGTCTCTCCCCAGTTTACCCTAACATGCGAGTTGAAGTTTTCCCTCCTGTGCGGTGGAGGTAAAGCTTATTTCCCGCTGGCCCTGTGGAAAATGCAGGGAGCAGGGACCATTCCCGAAATCCCCACTCAGCACCAACCACGGAAGGAGCAGCACACACTTACTTCTCTGTGCAGTTGGAAGATGCAAAATGGAAGCTCAGTGTTCGATGGTTCATCCAAGGAGAGGTACAGGGATGGGATTTGAGTCCAGGTCCGGGTGACCCGGGTCCTCTCAGAGGCCTGTCTTCTGGGGTTCCACAGCCTTGCCCCTCTGGAACAGAGAACAGGATGCAGGGGTGGGGGCAGATAAAGCGTTCTGTGCAAGAGACAGGCTTGACAGGCCTGGGGGCGGTCTGCTGAAAGGGACCCCTGGAGCAGCCCAGGGCCGACTGGAGGCCCTTGGGGATGGGGAGGACGTTCACTACCAGAGGGAGAGGCAAGGTGGGGAGGCCGCAGGCCCCTTCTCGGCCCCTCTGTCTGCTGTATCTCCACCCTCTCTCCCTGTGACCAGGCCTGGAAGGGATGGGCTCTGGGCCAAGCCCTGCTCTTGGCACAAACTCTCCACCCCACCCTGGAGGCGCTTGTTAGTGCTTTGCTTAAAAGTAGGCTGAGAAGTCCGAGCAAAGATGGGAAGCTTTGTTTTCAAATATAATGGGAAGGGTGTGTGGAAACAGACCTGGCAAAACAAAGGCAGATTGATGTTTCTGTTTGTGATACCAGTGGAGAGAGGAGGGCACAAGCAGGTATGTTGGGGGCTATGGAGGCCAGGGCATTTGTTTTTTTAAGAGGGGGAGAGGGGAGTGTCTGCAGGAGCCGTTCAAGCGTCTACACCGGCTCTGCTGTGAGGGTGGCTCCTGCCGCACAGCTGTGGGCCTGCGCTTCGCCTCCTCAGAGCCGGGAGGCCAGGAATGGTCCTGCTCACATCTGTATTCCAGCCCTGGAGACTGGGCGTGGCAGGCAGAAGGTGCTGTATTGGAATGCGTAGGGCAGCAGAGGAGAATGGAACAGGTTCTGAACCATGGCGATGACCTCTTGGTTCTCAGGGGAGTCACCCTGGTGTCTGGCCCTGGCATGTCAGCCCTTTACCTACATTATCACTCCACTGGGGCCCACACAACTCCTCCAGGTGGGCCCTATTTATTATTTTCAATTTATAGACAAAGAAACAGAGCCACAGAAAACTAAGTCGCCCAGAGTCGCAGAGGCAGCACAAGGTGAAGCTGGCTGGTGTCTGTCTGAGCGTTGGGCACTGGGTGCGTGACCACACAGCCCAGGTGGACCCCCACCTCCTCTGGCCTGTGATCTCCTCAGTGCTCAGCAAATGATCATCAAATTTGGTAACACCAGCAGGACCAGAAGCGATTCCTACAGCCTTTATTGATCCCATAATAAAGAGGTGTTCGTGTTTCAGACCAATGTGAGTGCTTCCGAGCAGGTCTGTGGAGTTCAAAGCCGACAGGATGTTTAGCCATTTCCTGCACTTCCCTGCCCTGTCATTTACAGCCTCATTAGAGCCCCTGGCTTGCCAAAACACCTCTGTCTGATGCCGCAGCTCTGACGGAACGCCTCGATTTTCCCTTTGCGAGCTTTTGCTTGGGCTGCAGGAGTAGTGGGCGGTGGATGTTTTTGGTGGAACTTTGTGGGCCAACATCAGACACGGCCAAAATGTGGCAGAAAGGGAGGGGCGTGTCGGGGAGGTGTCTCTAGAATCTCAGCTTTTCTGTTCCGGGGCAATGCTGCCTGCACCGCAAACGCTGTATGCTAGAAGCCATCAGGCCTGGGTCCTTGTGGGGTAGTAGTTGTTCACTCCAAGTAACTGAAGGAGAAGGGTTAGGCTTTGGGGCAAATAGGGAATGAATGAGCTTCTGTTCTCTAACCTGACCACATGAGTTGGAGGCTTTGCGCCCGTAAACACACCTTGTGCAGGTAGACGCCTGTCTGCTCACCACACTCGCATGGGAGAGATGCCCTTCTCATGCCCTGGCATCGCTGGATCTTTGCTGCTCGAAGGACACTGCAACTTTGAAGCAGCTCCCCAGTTGCTTCCAGCAGGGATGAAACGAGCCATCAGCAGAGCCTGCACCTTTACCACACCTTGGCAAGGCCCCTGGGAAGGCAGGTCACCATTGAGCAACACCCAGACAGAGTCTAGCATTCATTTCCAGATGCCTCTGGGGCTCAATTGTTTTCTTCCCCTCTCCCCACCCCTCTCTCCCTATAGTTAGATTTTGCAAGATCTGCACAACACGTGTGTGTGTTGATTTCCCTCTCCTAAGTCATTCCGATCTATCAGCCCAGTGTTTCTTTTGCTGTCTCCAACGCTGATGGTTTTCAACAGCTGTGTATAGGAAAGCTGCTGGATTAGAGCAACAGGCTATCAACAGCACTCACACGGCTTCCTCTGTGGGATGACAAGAACCTATGCTTTCTTCATGCGGGCAGGATGGCCAGCACAGCTTTCACAAACAGGCCTGGGAAACTTTGGGTTTTTTTTTTTTTTTTGACAGAGGATAATATCCTTGTTTGTGATAAATGGAAGGTTGGGAAACTTAGGGTACCTGTTGGGAAAGCCAATTCCTACAACCAGAGTCAAGGGAAAAATATCCTTGAGATATATAGATTTTCATAAGGGCCTCTTCTTCTTCTTCTTCCTTCTTCTCCCTTCTCCCTTCTTCTCCCTCCTCCTTCTCCCTCCTCCTTCTCCCTCCTCCTTCTCCCTCCTCCTCCTTCTCCCTCCTCCTTCTCCCTCCTCCTCCTTCTCCCTCCTCCTCCTCCTCCCTCCTCCTCCTCCTCCCTCCTCCTCCTCCTCCCTCCTCCTCCTCCTCCCTCCTCCTCCTCCCTCCTCCTCCTCCTCCCTCCTCCTCCTCCTCCCTCCTCCTCCTCCTCCCTCCTCCTCCTCCTCCCTCCTCCTCCTTCTCCCTCCTCCTCCTTCTCCCTCCTCCTCCTTCTCCCTCCTTCTTCTCCCTCCTCCTTCTTCTTCGAGTTTAAACATAGAGACAGGGTCTCGCTCTGTCACTCGGGCTGGAGTGCGCTGGTGTGATCGTAGCTCACTGCAGCCTTGAACTTCTGGGCCCAAGAATCCTCCCTCCTCAGCCTTCCAAGTAACTGGGACTATACAGGCTTGTGCCACCATGCCCAGCTAATTTTTATTTTTTGTAGAGATGGGGTGAGGGGGTTCTCACTATGTTGCCCAGGCTGGTCTCGAACTCCTGGCTTCAAGTTATCCTCCTACCTTGGCCTCCCAAGGTGTTAGGATCATAGGCATGAGCCACATGCCCGGCCATGAAGGCCTTCTTTATACACTGTTCTTTCTGAGCTGTTCTGGCTGTGAGGGACCGGCAGGACCCCCTCCATCTACCTCGGGGGGTTGAAGGTGGGCTGATACCCAGCAATGACTGTGAACTCTAAGTGGGACGCCTGGAATGCCAGTGTTGGGGCTTCATGCCTTTGAATCATGGAAGGCCTTTTGCTGCAAATACTGTACATCTAAAGGTGCTGAGCAATGACAAACCTGAGCCGGGGGCCTTCCTGGGGCAGGGATGCATGGCAAGCGCTCTGTGTCACACGTTGGATGCGCAGGGTGGGCCAGGGAGAACGATATATTCAATGTCTTCAGAGTTTTTGCAAAAGGTTTGCTGCGAGGACCCAGGCTAAAGGGGGTGGTTCATTTCCTGTCACTTCCGGGGGTGGCTGCAGCAACTACTCATGAACTCACACTACTGGAATCTTCTCTTCTTCATTTGAGCCCTTACCTGGTGGCAGAGATGGCTGTGTTTCCATCAAAATCTGTTTCCTTTTCCTCCTGGGAACCCAGTGGAACTACTTTTTCTAGCCTCTTGCCCAGTGTGGCTGTGGCACCCAGGCCTGCCCAGTGAAGTGTGGGCAGAAGTGTGTGCTATTTCCGTGCCTGCCCGGAAAGCTTCTCACACAATTCTCCATGTGCTCGCTCCTCTCCAGGGGATGGCAGGGACACTGGGGGGAAGGAGCCTGGGTCCCTGAATGACGATGTGGAAGCCTGCCACTGCCCTGTGACCTTGGCATTGGACTTTGAATGAGAAACAAACTGTCACTGGGTCAGGCCCCTGAGGCTTGGGTGTTTGTTTGTTACGGCAGCTAGCATTGCGCGCCCTAACTAACGCAGAACCAGCAGCCCTCTCATGTGTTCTGCTGTGCCTGTGCCTCTTGCTTTTCTGGGTTGCTCGGTGTCATCTATGTGAGATTCAGCCCCTCCACCTGAGCACTTCTCATTTCCAGCTCCCTTTCTCTCATCCTTCTCTTCTGTCTTAGAGGATAAAGTGTCTTTTCCCTTCAAATCTAAACCTATCTGCTTGTGGCTGGGTGTGGGGGCTCATGCCTGTAATCCCAGTGCTTCGGGAGGTTGAGGTGGCAGGGTTGCTTGAAGCCAGAATTTGAGACCAGCCTGGAGAACATAGTGAGACCCCATCTCTACGAAAAATAAAAAAATTAGCCAGGTGTGGTGGTATGTGCCTGAGGTCACGCTACTCAGGAGGCTGAGATGGGAGGATCTCTTGAGACCAGGAGGTCGAGGCTGCAGTGAGCAATGATCAGTTCACTGCATTTCAGCCTAGGTGACAGAGAGAGAGAGAGAGAGACCCTGTCTTTAAAAAAATAAAAAGAAAACAAAACCCCGTATCTGCTTGTACCCTTTGTTCTGGGCCCCTGCCCGCCCCTAGCTCCTCGCCAGCTCTGCCCTGTGCACACTTTTTCTCTTGGACAGTTTAAATCTTTATCTCCCTGGCTCAATTCCTTCTTGTCTGCAAATATGTCCCAACTGTCCCTATCTTAAAAACAAAACAAAACAAAAAAACAAAAAAAACCCCTCATCCTGGTTACTCATGTATCCACTTCTCCTCAATGTCAGACTTTTTGAAAAGTGTCTCCCCTGCTGCTGCCTCCCCCCTCCTCCTCCTCCTCTGTTGCAATCAGCCTTGGCTCCACTGCCTTGGGCTCGGCTTGGTGACCAGCCCAGAGCTACCTCGGTCACGGCAGCCCCAGCATCTGCAGTTCCCACGCCTCGGCCTTTTGGCCAGGCTTGAGCCGAGCTAGGCTGTGTCACATTGCCCTTTCCTGGGTCTCTGAGGAGCTCTGCCCTTTCCAGCATGGGCCAGCCTCCGTGGCAGGGTAGAGGGGAAATGTATTCCCCGGGCTCCTGCCTGGGCCTCCCCTCCTCCTCCACGGCCTCTCCTTCCGGAATATGTAGTAGCTGCCGCCTTCATGCCAAACAACAGCAACATCACCTTGTCTTCTGGGTCTGTTCCTTGTGGCCCGGTCCCCACAGCCTACTATATTTTGGGGTGCCAGGGAGGACAGGTATAAGTCAGCCAGCTGCCCCGTCCCTGTTAGTTCTGTCTCCTTGAGGTCTCCCAAGCCCACCTCCCCATGTGTACGGAGTCTCTGTCGTGGGGCAAGCCCTCCTTGTCTCTCTGCTTAATTAAGCCTTCTAAGTGGCTGACCAGCTGCCTCCCTGCTCCTCACCGTCCTCCACCCCACCTCTCTCTCCTGACTGACCTGGGTGCTGAGTGCTTGTGGGGGCACCATGTGCCCAGACGTAGTGCCCAGAAAGGGAAGGGCGTGGGCTGTGGGCTTGGGCAGACCTGGATTCCTGTCCTGGCCTTGCCACCCAGGAGCTGTTGACTGGCAATTGCTAAACCTTCTGGAGGCTCAGGGTTCACTTATAAAATGTGATAGTGCCAACTTTAATGGGGTGATGAAAATCAAATATGAGAAGTCTGTCAGCCCCGAGGGCACACAGCAGGTGTCCAGTGCCCAGTAGCTATCTCCCTCATTTCTCTTGCGGAGCTCTTGGGACCTGCTGGAGGGAAGCCTGGTGTGATAAGTCCAGGGCTTGTGGCCACGAGGAATGCAGGAAGCCACCACGGCTTTATCAGTCCTTCAGGTCAGCCGTGGTTTTCTGCTCTAGGGCCTCGCTAATCTGATGAAGAACCCCAAGATACTGAACCATGTTTTTATCCCTCATGTTTAAGCTCTTTTATTTCTAGGACATTTATAAACAGTGAGCTCTTCTTCCAGACCTTCAGTTTTACTCCCTGGGAGAAAATTAGGCCATTGGAAACTCTTCATCCACTGCAGAGGCACAGGCTGCAAAAGCCTTAGTGAGCAAGACCCCCTCCCCAGGAGTTACCTTTAAGTCGCCCATGGGGCCAGGTCAGGGTGACGTTGCCTTAGGAAGGGCGACCCTGGAGCTGCGTCCAGACCAAGGTCGTGATGGGGGAATATTCCACACAGCTTTTAGGTCTTCTGCCTGAGGGCTGGAAGGCGGGCCCTCAGGTGTCTCTGGAGACCCAGTTGTTACTCTGCTACCAGTGTGGGCAGGGTGAGGAGGTCAGCGCCTTGTGTTTCCAATGCACTTCCACTGCTTAATAAAAGCCCGAAACTCCTGGGCCAGGCCCATTGAGAAGATAAAAAAAAAATAACAAAAATAAGAAATTGTTGAGGCACTCTCAGAAGAAGAGCACCCATAGGTTTGCAGAAAGTCCTGTACGTGCCCAAGGGCCAACACCTGCCCTGTCTCCAACTGACCAACAACTTCCTCTAACCAGCTGTCAAGGACAGTCTGGCCCTGGGGTCACAGACACCAGAGTATTATTTTGGGGATTGCCACTCACCTGCTGGGGTGACCCAGGGCAACTTGACCACTGGATCCCATGTAATCTCCAGTTTAAGCATGGACCATCGTGGCTGGTGCTGGGGAACGCTCGGTGTGCCCTGCTCTCTCAGCCTCACAACAGCTGTTGTGCAGGGAGAAGGGCAGGTGCAGCCCGCCTTGCGCAGATGAGCAAGCTGAGGCCTGGGAGGGGCCCAGCGTCGGCTGCTCTGATGGGGCCAGGCCCCTCATACTGAATGCCTTGGCTCCTAATCCCACCCATCTTTCCAAGGGTGGGTGAGGCATGAAGGTATGATTGATGTCATTCCCCGAGTTACTAGGCTTGGAGGGCAGTCCTGAGACACCCCTTGTTGTTCCTCACTTTGGATCTTTCTTGCTTTCTTTCTCTCCCTCTCTCTCTCTTGCTTTGTTTGTTTTTTTGGTTTTTTTTTGTTTTTTTTTTTTGTTTTTTTTTGAGACTGAATTTCTCTCTGTTGCCCAGGCTGGAGTGCTATGGCACAGTCTCAGCTCACTGCAAACTCTGCCTCCCGGGCTCAAGCAATTCTCCTGCCTCAGCCTCCCGAGCAGCTGGGATTACAGGTACGTGCCACCGCACCTGGCTAATTTTTGTATTTTTAGTAGAGACGGGGTTTCACCATGTTGCCCAGGCTGGTCTTGAACTCCTGACCTCAGGTGATCCACCCACCTAGGCCTCCCAAAGTGCTGGGATTATAGGTGTGAGCCACTGCACCCGGCCCCCACTTTGGATTCCTATGAAGAGCTTAGAAAGACAAAAACTGAAAAACCCATGGATGGAAAGTCAAGCGGCCGTGGATCAGGCAATGTTGACTCCTCGTTGGGTTGTTATCCCTTCTTCACACGGCACAAATTTCCTTTGCATCTAAACCCAACTTCTTTAAGACTCTGGCTTATAAATATCTGCTTTCTCTTAGATTCATGCCAGGCTCAGAGCCTGTCCCGGTGACAGACGCCCAAACACCTTGATGGCTGAGGAAAAGTAGAGCGAGGAGGGCTCTCTGAAGATGCAAGCGTGTGGGTGGGACAAGTACAGGCAGCAGTGGAGATGAATTCACTTGGGATGGATTCCAAGGTTGTCTACACCTGGAGCAGTCACAGACTTCAACATATCTTTAAGTGTGGTGCCACCAGTAGCTGAGTTCAGGCCACTCCACGCCCAGCCACTGTTTCTGTTCAGGCCAAGGGAGCTGATGCGGGAACTCACCAGCATCGTGGGAAGCAGCTGCTCATTGTCCTTTGTCGCTTCTGAAACGTTCGGCAGCAGCACAGAAGAGACATCACCCCTTAATGCTTTATTTACATGAGCTCTTTTGAGAAACTTTTTTTTTTTTTTTGAGACAGACTTTCACTCTTGTTGCCCAGGCTGGAGTGCAATGGAACGATCTCGGCTCACTGCAACCTCTGCCTCCCAGGTTCAAGCAATTCTCCTGCCTCAGCCTCCCTAGGAGCTGGGATTACAAGCGTGCACCACCACGCCCGGCTAATTTTTTTATTTTTAATAGACATGGGGTTTCACCATGTTGGCCAGGCTGGTTTCGAACTCCTGACAACAGGTGATCCACCCACCTCAGCCTCCCAAAGTGCTGGGATTACAGGCGTGAGCCACCGTGCCCCACTGAGAAACATTTTACAAACAGGTGCATTGTGGGAGTGGGTGTGGTTAGTGTCGCATCAGGGACGAGTCTGAACACAGACCTTGGCCGTGGCTGTGGGTCCTGCTCCTCATTTTTCTGCGAGGACATGATACAATCAGGGACTCTTGTGAAACTGCCTGGAAAGGAGCTTGGCTGGGTTGGTGTCATCCCGGGAACACCTGCCAGCCACCTTCCCGCTTTGGGTTCCCTGAGGCGCAACCACAGGCCTATGTGTGGGGCGTCGGGGGACTTGAGGCTTCCTTGTGATGGTCTCCTGAGGCTGCCACACCCTCTGTCTCTGTGTCACTGGGAGCCCCTGAGCTTTGGGTCTGTAGCTGGGTACTCGGGTGCCGGCACAGCTTGTTCGTTTAGGGAGAAGACAAGAGGGCAGGCCTTCTGGGTAGGAGGAGGGTTTTTGTTGTTTTGTCTTGTTTGTGCTGGTTATTATACAAAACTCAAACATGTAGAAGGTCATGTGCCCACTGCCCAGCTCCAACAGCCGCCAGTGTAGACAGGAGTCTTCGGGCGTGAGTGCTGGGGCCAGACATGTGCTTTAGGAAGCTGCCTGGTGGCGCCTGCAGCCCCCATGCCAGAAGCTGGGCTGGAGGCGAGGAGAGATGGTTGGGTCTGTAGGCTTGTTGAGGTGGGTGAGGGTGAGGACCCAGAACAAGGTAGGGGGAAGAGAACAGGGTGGAGAGTTGGGAGAGAGTCTGAAATAGAATCAGTAGGATTTGGTGGCCAGCTGAATGTGGGAGCCGGGGGAGGTGAAGGGGTTCGGTGATTCCACTGACCATG
This sequence comes from Homo sapiens, assembly GCF_000001405.40. Classification (NCBI taxonomy): domain Eukaryota; kingdom Metazoa; phylum Chordata; class Mammalia; order Primates; family Hominidae; genus Homo; species Homo sapiens. The sequence continues at coordinate 120,327,489 of NC_000002.12, forward strand.
GGGGATTATAGGGGAAGGAAAGGGTTTAGGACAGGGCAGAAGTCCAACCACAGCCCTCAAAGCCCCGTGCGACCTTGTTTTGGGACCTTGCCCACCATGCTCCAGCCCCCTTGGCCATCTCCTGATGCCTTCACTGTACCCGGCGCTGTGCTGCAGGGACTCTGCACATGTGGTCCCTGCTGCCTGGACCGCCCCAGTCCTCACACCTCACTTCCGGAAGCCCCTGTCACCTTGGGTCTCAGCTCCAGCAGTACTTCCATCGGGAGAGCCACCGACTCTTGCTCTGACTCTTGTTTCCTTATTAACTAATCACAACATGCAATTGTTTTGCCTATTTGATTATTTTCATGTTTATTTTCAGTTTGCCTCAACAGAACGTAAGCCCAAGCAGGCCCGTACCGAGAACTCAATAGACACAAGCATGGGAGGAATGAGGGACTCCGGAGGCAAACGTTGGTGGAGGCGCTTGGACGAGGCACTGCAGCCAGCAGCGAGCCAGGGAAGGCTCCGAGCAGAAGAGGGGCCTGAGGGAAGGCACACAGGGGCGCTCAGAGGGAGCCCAGAGTCAGACACAGGAAAAAACCAGCTCAGCCCAGCCTTCTGTTATTCAACCCCTCCATGCTCTGTGGGAAGAGGGTACACAGAATCCCTGAATTCAGTCATTAATAGCAGATGCAGAGACCTTTCTAACTTGGAGGCTTAGATGTCAAATACATGGTTTTAACGAAAGTGAAGTCAATTAGTATGTTCTTGTGTCTTACTCAACTTGTGTGTGCGCAAGCTTGTGTTATTAACCTGTTGAGAAAGCCACAGGCGCTGAAGAACCAGAGAAGCGCCGGGGCTCCCAGGGGCTCTCTTTGGAGCCTTCAGTGCCCTGGACAGTGAAACAGCCTCCATCTCTTTCACAGTTGGTGCTGTACTAGGCGGTTCAATGGTGTGCACATCCATTGAAGGTCTCCTCCACGCCGGAAAATGATGCACATCTGTGTGCAGCAGTCACTTCAGAAATGCTTTCAGGAAGTCCTGCTTTGTGCAGAAACCTTCCCCAGCTCCCAAGCTGTTACAGCATCTGGTGGCAGCTCCCCTCCTTAACCTAGGAGGCCTGCCCCACCCACCTCCTCTGGCTCGTGCCCATTACGTGCTTGTGTCTCCGCCATACCCTTGCTGGTGGCCTAGAATGTCGTTCATCTCCAGCAACTTCTCCTTCGAAGCTGCCCTCCAGGCCTTGCATGTGCCCTGCCTGTTCCCCGGGCCTCCCTGCCTGCCCCAAAGGCCTCTGACTCCTCTGGACACCCAAGTTGCCTGGGTCCTTCATCATGTGAGTCTTGCCTTGGCTACCATTGTTTCTCTTGTATCTGTCTTGAGTTCCCAACATGAAGCTCTTTGAAAGAAGGTATCATTGTTTTCACCACATCTTCTGGGTTCTAGCTCAAGTGTAGACCTTCAAAAATGTATGTAGGTTGGCTGACTGACTGATAAGGTTAGCGGGGGATTGATAAAGTGCTATTCTATACCAGGCTTTAAAAAAATGCCAATCTAATTCCAGAGATGGCTAGAACCAAAAGGTGACTAGAAAGGCCTGGCGACCACAGCAGTAGGTGCAAATGTGCTGGGTTTTGGGCAACTGTGATGTGCTCTTGACCATCTCTTACTCTTTCTTTTCTCCCAGCCATGAAACTGAGGGGGCCCCCATGCTCTCTGCCCCTTAGAGGATATGGTGAGGGAAAATGAGGTGCTATAACCATGTATAGGTCTTGCTTGGAAGCTGTGATTCTTATCAGGCTTGTTAGCGTCTCAGAGGAGAGGCTTCCCAACCAGGCCTCCCATCCCCTTCGCACAGATACTGTCTGTGTGCATGCCTCTTGTGACGCCTGCGGGGACGCACACCCATGCCAGGCAGTCAGGGATCCTGCTCCTGTTTCCTCAGAGGGTGAGCAGTTCCATCCACCGCTTCTTGCTTTGTCAAATGGGTAATCCTGGCAGCTGCCAGGCTCATTGCTATTTGCAACTCTACCTGTTGGTTAGCTCCAGGTGGATTGCCCAGACCGGGCCACCCTGTTACTGCTGGCTTTGGGCCACTGGGATCTCTCAGCTACTGTCACTCCCCAGATGTTAATGTCTGCCTGAAATCCCAGGGCAGGAAGGGACCCAAAAGGTCATCTAGTTCTCCCTCCTGCCTTGAAGTGAGACCACACCTAAGCTGATCCAGACAGCCGAGGGTCAGGCCTGGTGGTAAAACCTGCAGAGAAGCCTCCCCCGGGTAACTTGTTCCAGGCCCCTCCATCGGGAGGCACTGACACTTTCTCACTTCAGATCTGGTTGCTGCTCATTCCCGAGGGGTTTTGGATGCCCCTCTTGAACATCTGCTGGTGTGTTGGGGGAAATAGGAGCCTGCCATCCTCGCTGCAAGGGTGGAGTGAGCCAAGAATGGAGAGTGTGAGTGTGTGTGTGGGGCTTTCGGGAGGTCTTGCTCCCTGTCTGCCAGGGGCCTGACACTCCAGGGGCAGCCCCGACTGGGAAGTGCCCCAGCCCTGCTGGTGGACAGTGAGTCCAGTCCAGAATCCTACTGAGCCCAGCCTCTTGTTCTGGAAGAAATGAAGTTTCAGTAGGAAAGAAATGAGGGCAGAGCAGGAGGAGTGAATCCGTCAGAACTTACATCTCTTCACTCATTCAGCAAATTCTTGCTGGCCCCCGCTACATGCTGCTTGGGGATAGGGGAGAAATGAGAACTGGAGGGTGTCCAGGTTGCTTTGGCTGTCGGAGAGAGGTCCCAGCCCAAGGTTGTAGGGCACCGGGAGAGCCTGCACAGTCTTGTGCTGTCGGCAGGGGTGTGGGGGGTTGAACATATTTGCAGAGCCCCACCTGCCTGCTCTGGCTCTCTGGAATGGCTCCGCTGTGTTGGGAACAGCTGGTCTTCGCTGCACTTTCCTATCCAGGCCATCCCACAGCCACCATGGCCTGCAGTGGAGCAGGCACCCAGTAAAGACAGGTGATGGTTCTTAGAACCTGCTGTACACCATCCCACCCCTGACCCAAGTGAGGCTGCCGGGGGCACATGCAGCTCCAGGCACTCAGCCTACATCATCTCCCCTGACCCTGCCGGCACCTCTGCTGTGAGCCATGTCCCCTCGAAACTCATATGTCCAAGCCTGAACTCCCAGCACTTCAGAAGGTGACTGTATTTGGAGATTTGGAGATAGGGCTTCTAAAGAGATAATCAAAGTAAAAAGAGGTCATATGGTTGGGCCCTAATCCAGTGTGACTGGTGTCCTTATAAGAAGAGGAGATTAAGACACAGACACACACAAAGGGAAGACCGTGTGAAGACACAGGGAGAGGACGGCCACCTGCAAGCCCAGGAGAGAGGCTGCAGGAGACATCAACCGTGCCGACACCTTGATCTTGGACTTCCAGCCTCCAGAACTGTGAGAAAATAAATCTTGTTGTTTGAGCCATCCCGTCTGTGCTACTTTGTAAGGGCAGCCCTAGCAAACTAACACAGCTTCCGCGGAGCGGGATGTCATCCCCATCTAACAGATGAGGTCTGTAGCGCTGCCAGATGCCACACAAGGAATGCCGGGCCAGTTCCTAAACCTCCCTGAGCCTCTGTTTCCTCATCTGCAAAGAGGGATTAATGATAATTTTGTGGTAAGGATTCAGTGAGATAGGACACAATGCATGTTTGTTCCCCACGCATGCCTCGGCCTGATTTGATTAAGAAGCCCATGGGCCTGGGGCAGAGGCTAGCTGTGAGTTCTGCATGTGGTTGACAGCTGGTGTTGATGAATGGTATGTTAAAAATAAAACCCAAACCAAAAAGCCTTTTGCACTCTATGGAGAACCTGAAATCGGAAGCGCTCAGTTTCATTAGTTGGCAGACGTCTCTGACTTGTGAACCTGACCGGGCACCCTGGGACTCCCTATGTCAAAGTCTTCCTACGGCAGCCTCCAGCGAGGTGGGGGAGGGTGAGAGGGCGCGTCTTCCAGGCACTGTCTGCCTGACTTGACCCTGGTAAAGTGTACACGGGAACAGAGCCCTAGGGACCAAGCCCTCAAGCCCAGGGGCAGAGCTAGCTGCCCGCCTGTAGGCACCATTGGTGCAGTGTCAACCCAGTGGATGTTCCCTGTTAAGCCTGTGCCCTGCTCAGCTCAGCTCGGCTGTGGGAGTCAGCTTCCGTCTGCCTGGAGACACCCGAGGGTGCAGAGCAGCACGTGCAGATATGTTCCTGGGGGCGGGTACCACTTTCTCTTTTATTTGGAAGTTGTCTTTCACAATGAAACAGCCTTTAAGCCACATAACCTTTTTCCATCCCTGAACCTGGAGGGGCCATCGAAATCCTCAATGTCACTCTGGGGGAAGCTGATTCTGGGAGGGACCCAAGGGGGAGGGCAGGCAGGGGCCCTTCTTTGGGTTGGTCCAGAGACCTACTCTGTACCACTCAATTATATTTTAAAATCTATCTGTACGCTTTCACACCACAAGTCCTAAAGCATCTTTAATTAGGTCCCACACACAGATACACACACCCAGCTCAACAATGATAGAAAACGCCAAATTCCAGTTGACAAGGAGCCAGAAGCCCAGCCTTTCCTCTGGCTAAACAGAGGGACCCATTATGCTGGAATATTATTTTCTCATGGTTTGGAACCATTACATCAGCCTTGATGTAATAACATTGTTTAACTTCAGAGGTGTATTTATTTTGGTTTGGAGTTCAGATAGTTTAGCCGTTAGCTGGGGATTGAGCAAAACCCAGACAAAGCCACTAAAGTTTGAAATGAACCATTCTGCCGTTCCCCTTCTCTGCTCCCCAGAATAAATATTCTTCAGATGTAGTTTCATCTCACAGCAAAGGTGGTGACCTGGCTGCTGATAAATTTTGGAGGCAATTTTTTTTCCCCTCTGGTGGTTGGCCAACATGATGATGACCAGCTGGGCACTGAGTGGGTAATCAAGCCCCAAACCCAGTAAGGACTTGGGAATTCCACCAGCAGCTTCTCTGAAGATAGCCTGTGATCTTTCCACGGTTCCTCCATAAGCCCAGCTCTTCTCCTTAAATAACTCGCTACAGGTGGCGCTTTGATCGGTCACCGTGGGGACACAGGGGATGGCTCTTGTTAGCGGCTGAGCCCAGAGGGCCAGGTCTCCAGACAGGAGCTCTTAAGAGCCCCAGAGAGTAACTGGAGGCTTCTAATTGTTTCCTCTGAGCCCAATCCTTGGAATGGGTGGAAAAAACTCTGGTATCTGGGCTGTGATATCCTCTGTGCTGGAGTGCAAGTGACAGGAACTGTGAAATGACCACTGAGGCCGGGTGGTGGAGGCGTGGGAGCCCCAGGGCTTGTTGGTTGGGGAGCCCTCCCAACTGCATGTTCCTTCTAGCTCCATGCATTTCTGTCCCACCCTCCACAGCAACACCACCATGGGGAAGAGTTTCCTGGCAGGTCCACTTGCTCATCAGCCATTCTTTCCGAGGCCTTCTTCCCCCACTCTACTGTGATAGCTCTTGGCTCTTATCAGGGTCCCTACCAATCTCCACGTGGCCACGTCCCGGGTGCATTCCTGTTCTCATGGTACTCCATGCTCGCAGCATTTGGCACTCGGCCCTCGTTCCCTCTCCACCATGCTGGCCCGTTTTCCTCCTCCTTTGCTGGCTCTCTGGCCTTCAAAGGCCAAAGTGCCCCAGGGTTCCTCCTTGGCCCTCTTCTCTTCATCAACACCCTCTCACTGAGCGAACTCATCTGGCCCCTGGGTTTCAATACCAGACAGTTACTGGTGGCTCCCCAAACGGTATGACCTCTGCCCTGAATCCCAAACTTCCCCATCCAACTACCTCTTCAGCAGTTGCCCTTGGCACCTAACAGGCCTCTCGAAAGCAATATACCCAAGCAGAACTTTCACTGTCCTAGGTCTCTCCCCATCCCTTCCTGCCCCGTGAATGGCATCCTCCTCCTGGCTCAGCCCCATAACCTGGGATCCATCTTCTTGTGTCTTTCCTTCATATCCACACCCAATCTTTCAGCCAGGTCTGTCAGCTGAGGCAAATCCAGCCACTTCTCACCACCTCCACGCTGAAGCGCTAGCCCAGCCACCCTCATCTCTCACTTGGATTATTGCAACAGCACCTAACTCATCTCCCTGCTTCCACTCCTCCCGGCTCTAGTTCCCCCTCCATCTGTAGCCATAGCGGTCTTCTCACCTGGTAAATCAAATCATAGCAGCACTTTTTAAATCCTTCTCATTGTAGTTAGAATGCAGCTCAGGCTCCTTTCCACACCCTTGGGCACACCCAGTATTTATTCTTATTTATTTATATTTATTTATTTGAGACGGAGTCTCGCTCTGTCACCCAGGCTGAAGTGCAATGGCGCCACCTCAGCTCACTGCAACCTCCACCTCCCGGGTTCAAGCGATTCTCCTGCCTCAGCCTCCTGAGTAGCTGGGACTACAGGTGCATGTCACCACGCCTGGCTAATTTTTGTATTTTTAGTAGAGACGGGGTTTACATCCAGTATTTATTCTGTGTGTCTTACTTTCTGATTGAGCCCTACTTTTATTTGGAGCAGCACAGTACCCAGTTAAATGCCTGTATTTCCCAGCCTCCTTTATAACCTAGGGGTGGCCAATGAGATGAAAGCAGAGCTGTTGAGTGAGACTTCTGGTATTGTCCTTTCAAGGGAGCTGGCTCAGCTGGGAGAATGCAAAATTTTTCCTGTTCCATGCTTTCCTCTTTTCTACTGCTTAGAATACAGATGTGATGGATGGTGCTCCAGCAGCCATCTTGTGATATAAAGCAACCTTGACGATGAAAACTTCATAAGAGAGATAGATGAAGCAGAGCTGCCAGATGACCACAGAGTCATCATACCAGGCTTGGAATTCCTAATTCTGAACTTCTCTGATGTAAGAAATATCTTGTGTTAGCCACTGATTGAGGCTGATTGAATCTAATCCTAAGAAGTAAAACCTGCAAAGCTTGAAGTAATCTGGCCTCGACCTCTCTAATTTCCTTCAACCACTCTATTCTAGCTTTGCCATGTATCATGCATGCTGGTTTTCTCTCAATGCTCCTTGAACATTCTAAGCTTAGTCCCATCTTGAAGCTCTTCCCCCAGATCTCTGTGACTTCTTCTTTTGTATCTTTTGACCTTTTCAGAGAAGCCTTTCCTGACTTATGTAGCCCCTAACCAGTCTGCTTCTCCTTAAGCTCCTTTAACAAATTTCATAGCACTGGCCTGGTGTGGTGGCTCACACCTGTAATCCCAGCACTTTGGGAGGCCAAGGTGGGCAGATCACGAGGTCAGGAGATGGAGACCATCCTGGCTAACACAGTGAAACCCCGTCTCTACAAAAAATACAAAAAATTAGCTGGGTGTGGTGCAGGCGCCTGTAGTCCCAGCTACTCGGGAGGCTGAGATAGGAGAATGGCATGGACCCGGGAGGTGGAGCTTGCAGTTAGCCAAGATCGTGCCACTGCACTCCAGCCTGGGCGACAGAGCGAGACTCCGTCTCAAAAAAAAAAAAATTTCATAGCAGTTTCACTCTTTGAGATTACTTTGTAAAACATGCTTATTGTCTGTTTCCCCCCTTAGATTGTAAGTTTCATGAGGACAGAGGTTTTGACTGTCTTGTTCACTGCTTTATCTCCTAGGCTTTGCATATGATACGTGTTTAGTAAGTTATTTGTTAAATGAATGTGTGGAATGAGATGACTTTTCAGAAGTTTCTGAAAAAAACTGGTCTTGGGTGTGGCCACACATCACAGAATCCCTTCTGCTGTATTTGAAAATAGCCCAGCAAACACTTGTGGCTCACCCATGACTTGCTGGGCCTGCTGCAGCACTGGGATGTAAAGATAGAGTAGCTCCTTGTCTGAGCTCTGGAAGCTCAGAGTGGACAAGAGCGTGTGTAGATAGAAGACTGAGGTACCAAAATACAGGAACACTGCGGCCAGCCTCAGGAGGCTTCAGTAGAGACTTAGAAGGCAGAATCCTAGGGGCTTGTCATTGTCTGGATGAGGAAGAAAGGGAGAAGGGAGAATGGAGAGTGGCAAGTGTCTGGCATCAGGGCCACATTTCAACAGGCATGTGTGACATTAGAGGGCATGACAGAGAATGCAGCACATCTGGACAGTAAAGTATTTTTTTTTTTTTGAGACAGAGTCTTGCTCTGTCCCCCAGGCTGGGGTGCAGTGGCACAATTTTGGCTCACTGCAACCTCCGCCTCCCGGGTTCAAGCTATTCTCCTGCCTCAGCCTCCTGAGTAGCTGGGATTACAGGCGCGTGCCACCACGCCTGGCTGATTTTTGTATTTTTTGTAGAGGCAGTGTTTCCCCATGTTGGCCAGGCTGGTCTCGAACTCCTGACCTCAAGTGATTCGCCCGCTTCAGCCTCCCAAAGTGTTGGGATTACAGGGGTGAGCCACCGCGCCTGGCCTAGACAGTAAAGTATTGAAGTGCTGTGCTGGAGCTCTATGCAGGCTACCAAAAAGGCACAGAGGACCACCTGGCAGGTTCTGTGGTTTTAATAGAGTCAGGGGCTGATTAGGAGAAGCTCTGGGGAGGCAGTGATGCTGGAGGCAAGCTGTCAAGTGTCTTCCTCACAGACAAGGCTCAGGGGAAGGAGCTGCAGACTGAGCAAATAGTAGAAGTAAAGATATGAATGGGCGAGGTATGTAGCATGACCTGGTTTGTCTGGGACTGTCCTGATTTCACCACAGAAAGTCCTATGGCCCAGGAAAACCCTTCATCCCAGGCAAGCTGGGAAGATTGGTCATTTTAGAGACCCGGGGTCTGTTAGGTCCATTGGAGTAGCTTTCAGTGGCTGGAGAAGAGAGAGTCAGTGCGTGAGTTGCGGGGGAGGAGGAAGGGGCTACTTCCTGGGAAGCTGGAGGCAGTAGGGGCTGGATAAAAAGCCTCCTAGGCAGCAGAAGGAATTAGATCTTTTTCCTGAATAGGGGAGAATCACTGAAAAATATTGCAAGATAGGAGTGAGGCAGTAAAGAAATGAATGACATCTCCATTGGAGAATGGTTCTTCCTACTGTAACATAACATAGAGCTGCAGCTCATCAGTCTGTGTGTTTTATGGGCCAGGCTCGGCTGCCACCACTTTTCTCCCAAAGCAGCACACCCCATACCCAGGGCAGACCGGGCATAGGCACCTGCTTGAGGAAATGGCTCCAGTGTTTGCCCGGCTCTGGCATCATCGGTCAGAAGCCAGTTACATCAACCATCCCTTAGCTCCCACTTTTGGGGGCTTCCCAGCTGAAGAGTCTCGCAGCTCTGGGCTCCCTGTGGACCTGAATCAGGAGGGCAGACCACGCCCTTATGCATCCCCAGCGTCTTCCCTGTTCTGGTCACTTTTTACACTCAGAGACCACCCACCTCCTGCCCTCTCTTGCATACTGTCACCTGCAGTGCCCTCTCCTGCCTCCTTCAGAGCCCACGCTGCTGTGCCTGGACTCCCTGCCACCCCCTGGCTGCAGGACACCACCTGTCCTCGTTTCCTTCCACCTCCCTGACTGCCCCTTTCTGTTTCTCATCTTCGTTTTCTCCTGCTTCCCAGCTCCCATCTCAACCCTATGCCTCTTGACTCAGTTACCATTAGGTCTGGCTGCACATAGTGGAAAATCCCAAATAGCGGCGGCTTAAGTGCCCAAGGTTCTCTTCTGTCCCACAAACGCAGAGCAGAGGAAGCAGCTCAGGGCTGGTGTGGCGGCACTGCGAAGTCACCACGACCCCGCGAACTCACCACGACCCCAGTCTGGCCTTTAGGAATCTGCTGTCTGGAAGGCCCTGGCCAGACCCTGTTCCCCGACCCTGACTGGCTGGGCCCTACTTCCTCCAGGGTGGCTCCAGCCCCCAGCGCAGGCCCAGGCAGCTCTCCCACAAGCTCCCGTTGGCCCTCCATCTCCTGCAAGCTCCACTGTGCCAGGGCCTGTCCTGCTCATTTGCTCCCTCCGTACTGCCTTCTGCGGGGCCTAGTGCTTGCTGCCAAGGTGTCTGCCCTCCCTGCTAATTGATCTGAAGTCAGGACAGTGCCGTAGCCCAGTCATTGCCTGGTACAGTGTTCTGTTCCTACTAGGTCCTCTGCGTACATGTGGAATGAATACAAGAACCTTTTTGAACAATAGTTGGAGGCATCAGGAAGGGCTAAAGACCATCCTGAGGGGCCCCGAACCCAGAATATGTTCTGTGGTTGGAGGCCGGGAGTGGTGGCTCATGCCTGTAATCCCAGCACTTTGGGAGGCCAAGGCAGGTGGATCACCTAGGTCAGGAGTTTGAGACCAGCCTGACCAATATGGCAAAACCCCATCTCTACTAAAAATACAATAATCAACCGGGCGTGGTGGCTGGTGCCTGTAGTCCCAGCTATTTGGAAGGCTGAGGCACGAGAGTTGCTTGAACCCGGGAGGTGGAGGTGGCAGTGAGCCGAGATCGTGCCACTGCAGTCCAGCCTGGGTGACAGACAAGACTCTGTCTCAAAAAAAAAAAAGAAAAAAGAAAAAAAAAGAATATATTCTGTGGCTGGAGAGGAGGGCTAGTTATCACCAATGTGTGCAAGATTGGTGAGTGTGTCTGACAGTGTTCATAGATTTAATTACAAAAAGATTCATGGTTAGCTGAGCTCAGGTAAATAACAGTTTGACTACATTATGTACAGATACAAATGATGTCCTAAAGAGGTTGTGTAATAATGCACGTGACACCTCTTTTGACCAGTGTTACTTAATGTCAGTTGATGAGTGTTTCAGTATTTCTATGCCTGGCAGGTTCTTCTTTTTATTTCTAACTAAGTGTCTTGCTCTGTGCTGTTATTTCTGAATCAGTAGGAAGTTGTAGGGGTATGAGAAACATTAGACACCCTAAGGGAGATGAAGGTCAAATGAAATTTTAATGTTTTGTATTTCTTCATCCTAAAGATGCTATCTATTTATCTGGTCTATCTTTACATCTTTCTTTTTTCTTCTTGTTTGGAAAGGTGTCAAAGGGCACATCCTCCAATCCCTGGCTTGAGACCAGTTTGCGTGACAGGCCCTGCTGACAGGTGGAGGGTTGAGGACAGTGCCTGGTGGCTTGGGCTCTGCTCACTGTTCTACTGGCATCACGAATGCATGTGGCTCGACTCTGGGAATCTTGGAGCAACGCAGACGGCAAGTTCACAATAGGTGTTTGCCCTTCAATAGGCCAGAACTAAAACTTTATCCCCTTCACAGTGGGGCCTCCTAATTAGATATAAATAAATCCATCAAGCAAAAATCAAATCCTTCCCTTTCCATTCATTTTTTTTTCCTTTGGCATTTCAACCCATAATCTAATATATGGGGAAGAGAAGGCACTGTAGAGGTTGAATGACCTGGGCTAGGGAGGTAGGTGAGAAATGCCTCCTTTCTCAGACCAGCACCTGACTCGCAGTTTGGGGGCCTGGGTGGGGAAGGAGGAGGAAAGACAGGGAGCATGGTGTGAACCAGGAGCCTGCCCAGTGCCCAGACCAAAAGGGAAGGGGCTGAACATTGAGAGGACTTGAAATTAACAGAGCTTTACCAGCCAGTCAATAGGTCCTGGCTGCAGGAAGCTGAAGCTGCTAATGGCTCTGTTTTTTTCTCCTTCTACAGCCACGGTGGTTCCCCCTGTGGAGTTCCCTTCAATGCGAGACAGAGACCATTTTACTGACTGCGAAAATTCAATTAGAGTCTTATGTCAGGGTGGGGAGAACTTATGCGAAGCCCAACATTCTGGTGGCTCTCTTTTTGATCTGCTTTACCGTGGTACCTTCACAGGAAGTGAGTTCCATGAATACGGAACATATGGGTGCAGCTGGAGGGGGTGTGGGCTGTTGGAGACAGAGGTTCCTCAGTTTTCATATACATGAAATGATTGATGAGTTTCTTGCTTCTGTTTAGAAAGCAAAAAAGGGGAGGCTGAGGTGGGCGGATCACAAGGTCGGATCAAAACCATCCTGGCCAACATGGTGAAACCCTGTCACTACTAAAAATACAAAAATTAGCCGGGCGTGGTGGCGCGCGCCTGTAGTCCCAGCTACTCGGGAGGTTGAGGCAGAATCGCTTGAACCCGGGAGGCAGAGGTTGCAGTGAGTTGAGATCATGCCACTGCACTCCAGCCTGGTGACACAGCGAGACTCCGTCTTAACAACAACAACAACAACAAAAAAGCAAAAAAGATGTCTTGTCTGTAGACAAGCATAATTTCTTTGGTTTCTGTGTTGTCCCTGTCACCCATCAGAACCTCAGAAATGCTATCTGGGGTCAGCTGTGCATTTTTCTTTGTTGGTGGCCCATTGGACAGGCAGGTCACTTCTCGTCCTCCGAGGAGTAGATGGAAAAAAGGTCAGTTTGAAGCTCAAGGACAGCTGAGGACCGAGGCATGCCATTTAAGGGGAGTTTGGTACTTGGACCCAAGTATTCCCAGAGTGGACGCACTTGGGCTTGGAGACCCTAAACAAAGAAACCTTAGAAATGCTCTACTTTTCCTTTGTTAGTAGCAAAATAGCCAGCTCGCTGGGTTCTCGGCCACACATGGGCACCCGGAAGCCATCTACAGGCGCTCCCACGGCAGGAATGGGAGGAGGGGGCTCCTCAGCTTTTCTTGCTCAGCCCCTCCTCCCATGAGCTGCCCAGGCCTGTGTCCTGATGGAAGGACTCCAATCCCTCTCCTTCCTCCCTTTTGGTTCTCATGCTAGCCCTCAGTGCCTCCCCGATAGGCTGGGTCTCTGAGGCACTAGAGTGCTGCCACTGTCCTAAAACACCCCTGCAAGGGGTCACATGTCCTCCTGGCCTTACCACCTCTTTCTGGGCTGACAAACCCAGGCCTAGCTACACTGGACTTGACCTGGTTCCTCCCCTAGACCTACTCTCACGCAGTTCATCCCAGGGACCTCAGTTCCTGTCCACCTTGTCTCTCTCATGTCCACCTGGGGGCCACCTGGAAAATGCCTCCTTGTGCTTCATGGCTCAGTTCAAATCCTGCCTCCCCTGAGACACCTCTGGTAGACTTAGGTGTCTTTCCCCCTCAGCTTTATCCCTGTGGTCTCTCTGGGAGAGGGAGGATCTCCCTGCTCATGCACTGGTCTTCCCAGTAGACTTGGGGGTGGGGGTGTCAGGGCCTGACTTATGCCTTGCTGGATCTCCAGCAGCTATTTCAGTGTGTTTACTGAATGAAAGGGAAGGAATTCTGTGCTAGGAATAGTTTGTGATTAGCAATTTGAAGTGGGTCACTAACCAACTGCTGTATTTAGCACCTCTCTTTTTTTTTCTAGAAAATATACCAACTTGGACAGCCATCCTCAGGGGCCTGCTGTTGAAATATTTCCTGAATGTTCACAAATTTCCTGGATGTTCAAAACATGTTGAATTCTACTCTCACAGAACCTCCAGTAGCCCACGAATTGGTCTGAAGGCCCTTGCTGGATGAACCAGAAGTGGGTCCTCTCTACCTAGCTACATCGAGGCTCCCCAGTCTTACTGAGAATGAGGCCCAGAACACAAGAGTTTGTATGGTTCTTGCTGACGTACAATAGATTTCAGGGGTTGGGGAACTGAGGACATCATCTCAAAAGTACCACAATTGATGAGTAGCCCTATGAAATGCTTTTGTGTTAAAGCCTGTTTAGGAAATAGAATGGGGACATGAGCAGGTATGATATACCTGTGTCCACCTGCTTACACCTGCTGGGAGGGGACAGCAGCACACACCTGGAAGCATGGAGTGGCTTGCCGTCCAAGCTGACCAGAACGCAGGGCCTGTGCTGGAGTCCTGGGCCTGCTGCTGACCTACAGGGTCTTGGCCCAGCCACACTGGGCACCTCAGCTCCTCTGTCTGCCCCATGTGATGCCCCTACTTCATTCAGTCCATAAGCACTCACCAAGGCAGGTGCGGTGCGGGACACTGGACAGTGACAGATGAATAACATAGGTCTTGGCCCCCCGAGCCCATGAGCTACCAGAGATAATAAGCATCCTCACTGAGGCCACTGCTGGGTTTATGGATGCAGATGGCTGCCAGGGCCCTCCTGAGGTAGGAGGCACCCAGCTGCCCTGGTAAGAAATACAGGACTGTCTTATCAAAATAACCCTCCTGTGTTCACTCTTTCATCAAGGACTTGAGTCTGTGACCTCAAAGGCATGAGGTGGCCTTGGGGCATTCTGTGGGGCTCCATGTTGGTCTCTGAGCTCTTACAAAGGCCAGCTTGACCCCCAACCCTAGGAGGCACTCTTGGCTGGGTTCTCCTTCCCACCTGGCTCCAGGCTGAGGCCGTCCATTGCCAGTGTCCAGGGCTGCTGGCTGAGCAGGACACTGCTGCACTGGGCCTGGCACGCACCTCCTCTGTGCAGAGATCGAGTTGCTCTGGAGAGGTGTGACATATGATGGTGAAACTTGGCAAGAGTGGCTTCAGTGACAGAAAAATACATGCCAGGTCCCTAAGCCCAACTCTGCCGAAGGCCTTCTTCCAGCCAGAACCCTAGTGCCTAGTGGTGCAAAGACCTTCTCTCCACTCCACACCTTGCAGGAGCTGCAGGGCCAAGAACTGCACCTGGGTTCTCAATTTGTTTTGCAAATGAGCCCTAAGGCTCACGTATATGGTTTGCCTTGTCACTTTTGGACGTTTCCATCATCCTCAACAGATAGTGATGGGTTATGCAAAAAAAAAAAAAAAAAAAAAAAAAAAAAAAAGGCGTGCGTGAGAGGAAGTGCTCTGTACTCTTCCAACTTCTGCAAGCCCGAATCTACAGTGTCGCCATGTTTCCTTCCTGCCTTCTCCAAGGAGTTCCTTGATGGCAGCAGGGAGCCAGCATCCTGCATTAGGGTGGCCTGGTCTTGCAGCTGCTTGGAGGGTGTTGGCTACGGCACTGATGTGCATTATTGTATTCAAAACTGACAGACGCAGTCACATCCTTAGCCGAGATGGAAGGCTGAGTTTACCAGTACAAGGAGAACCAAGCTCGATGCTAAATGAGGCTTTGAAGCAACAGGAACAGGTCCTTGCCCCTCAGGAGGGGAAGGGGAGCCCCCCCCAGAAACACAAGGTGATTTGGAAGAACTCAATTTACACCCTTGGCTCCCGTGGGCTGGGGGATCAGCAGAGGGCAGGATAATCCCAGCTTCTCGAGCAGATGGTTTCTGACTACCGCTTGACCCAGTTCCCTCCCAGCAGATGACTGGCAGCGGGGCTGACAGCTCCTCCACTAGGGGAGCAAAGTGTGGACCCTCCTCCCAACCTCCTCTTCCCTCCTCCCACCAGCAAGGACACGGCGGCTTTTGCCCCTCCCTGGTGCCAGGTCAATGGGCAGGATGCTGCATCTTCTTGAAGGCTTGAAGGCAGGGAAACCTCACCCATATTCTCTCCCTTTCCACAGCCCTGTCCAGCCCAGGTGGGGCTGACAATGAGAAGGGCTGGCCAGGAACACTCCTGTGAGGGCTTGTGTTGGGGAGTGGGGGTTGTGAACTCCTTCATTGGCTTTATGGCTTCTCTCATTTCTTCATTCAATCATTACTTCAATAAGTTCTCCCTGATCATCTGCCAGGTCTGGCACCAGATAGGGCCCAGGAAGTCTGCTTCCCATGCAGGAGACAGACAAGGGAGGAGATAACAGCCAGGCACTGGGCTGAGAGCCTCACTCAGGTAAAAAACTATACAGGGCACAACCGGGTCAGGGAAGGCTTCGCCAAGGAGGAGAGACTGGGCTGACTCTGAGAGCCTGAGAATGAGTTTGTCAAGTAGCTGGTGGCTGTGGTGACGGAGACAGCCGGGTGGGCAGATGCAAGCAAAACCAGGAGGTGGCCAGC
The DNA here is from genome assembly GCF_000001405.40 of Homo sapiens. Lineage (NCBI taxonomy): Eukaryota > Metazoa > Chordata > Mammalia > Primates > Hominidae > Homo > Homo sapiens. Next base: position 120,343,291 of record NC_000002.12, read on the forward strand.
CTGGCTCAAGGCCACCATGCAGGAGGTGCTTCCCAGGAGGCAGAAGCTCCCGGGCCACAGGCTCCCAGGCAGGGCAAGGGCAACCTGATGGGAGAGCAGAGACTCTGGCCCTGGTGGAGATTCTAAGGAGGCAGAAGGGCTGCCATCTCGGGGATCCTCCTGGATCCCTGCTTCTGACTTCGGTCGGCAAACTCACACCCGCCCTAGTTTTGCCCGCCAGCTTCGGGTCGGTTCCTCCGATTGGGAGGGAGGGGGCGCTCGGCTTCCAGACTTGCAGGCCGCCGCGGGCCTGCGGTCCCGGCCGAGCTCCACGGTGGCAGGGCTGGCCCGAGAGACTGGCGGTGGGAGGCGGGGGCAGGAGGCCACGCTCCGCCTCCGACGTCCCCGATTCCCCAATATCCTGGGAAAGCCAGGATGAACTCCCATCGTGCTTCTGCCTTGAGTCTAGCCCGTTGCGAGGGAACGGGGTACGGCTCCGTGTCCTGTGGGCATTGTCATGCGGCCCCAGACCCGGGTGGGGGCGTGAAGAAGGACAGAGGAGCGCATTGCACTTGGGGCCCCGGACGGGTCTGAAAGTCAAGTTTCCACTGACAGTGTTCCTTGTCCGGTGGCCTGAGAACGGTGACCCTAGAACCATCCTTTATCGGGTTGTGTGAAGAGCCTGGCCCAGTTGCCTCGCTGGGCCTCCCACCCAGCCCCTGTGATACAGGTGTTACTGTCCCTTCACAGAAGAAGAGGTAGGCGATAGGAAAGGTGAGGACTCTATCCAAGGTCACTCCTGCAAAGCTGGCAGTGGCTGAGCCCGAGTGGAACCCGGGTCTGAGTGAAGCCAAAGTTTGTCTGCTGGCGAAAGTGGGAATTCCCTGGGGGTGGGGGTGGGGGTGGGGTACTGTAGACCCTGCCAGCCCCTCAAGCCCTGAGGCTCAGTGGCCTCCGGGCCGCGCGCCTGGGATCCCGCACAATCGGGGCGTTCCTCCTGGCCCAGCAGACGCAGCCGCTGGCCAGGCCTCCAGTGGCTACTGCCTTCCCGCCCTCCAGCTCGCAGGGTCCACGCCTCGGCCAGTGCGACGGCGGCCCGGGGAGCTGGGTGAGGGCACTGCAGCCCCAGAGCGGCAGCCGCCGGCGGAGCCTGCCTCTGGCATCCCAGGCCGCGCCGCACCCCGCTCGCCTCGCCAGGCTCGGCCGCGAGGGAGCGCCCCGGGAGGGCCGGGGGCGGCCACGGCGGCGGGAGTCGCCTCTGCTGGTTGGGGAGGGCGGCAGCTGGGACAGAGGCAGGGCCTGCGCGGCGGCGGGGAGGCGGGAGTGGGCCGGGAGGAGCGCCTGGGTCCAGCGCCTGGAACCCGTCGGTGCCGCCGGCCGCCCAGCTGGGCAAGGGTCCGGGGCGCCCACGTGGTGGGAAAGTTTCGAGGTAGCAAAAGTAGCCCGGCATTGCGGGGGGTGGGAGGGGAGAGGAGGGGAGGGGAGAGGGCCGGCTCGCCCCTCCTTCTCGGGAAGGCAGAAAGGAAAAAAGCGGTGGGAAGCAGGGGTGAGCGCGGGGAGCGGGCAGCCCCAACCTGAACAGATTCCGCTTTCTCCTCCTCCCCCCACCCCGGGAAGCTCGAGCGGGGAGGTACGGACCGTCTCCTCTCGCACGGGCAGGACGACACCCTCCCTCCCCCCCTTTTTTCTGCCAACGTCTATCTCAACGCGCGCGCACATACGGAGATTGTGCGGCTTTTTTCCCCCTTGGGAGAAAAAACGGGGAGAGTAAAAGAAGAGAGACCAAAGAGAAGAACTCCTCCTCGGCGAGCTCCGCACTCCGTGCCGCGGCCCGGCGCGGGGACGCCGCCGCCGCCCGCCCGCTCTCTCCCGGCCCTGCGGCGGGTGCCAGTACGAGCGCGAGCGAGGGCACTGCACCCGGGGACGCTGCGAGACTTTTCGGCGCTCGAGCCGACCTCGCCGCCGCCGCGGCAGGCAGAAGAGACAGGAGCGAGAAGGGCCCTGCCTCCCCCTCGCCTTCCTCGCCCGGCGCCCCGCGCCCGGCCGGGCCGCGCAGGCAGGCGGAGGGAAGGAGGGAGGCTGCGAGGAGGCGGGCGGAGCAGAGGCCCCGGCGAAGCGCGCTGCGGCCGCCCGCCCGTGGATGCGGCGCCCAGGGATCCTGGAGACAACTTTGCCGTGTGACGCGCCGGGAGGACTGCAGGGCCCGCGGCCGAGGGCTCGGCGCCGCCTGTGAGCGGGCCCGCGCGGCCGGCTCTCCCGGGCACCAAGCTTGCTCCGCGCCACTGCCCGCCGGCCCGCGGCGAGGACGACCTGCCCGTCTCCGCCGCCGGCGGCCCTTCCTGGCGCGAGGCAGTGAGGGCGAGGCGCTCAGGTGCGAGCGCGGGGCCCCGCCGCAGCGCCCGCCGCAGCGCCGCGCCAAGCCGCGCCCGGCTCCGCTCCGGGGGGCTCCAGCGCCTTCGCTTCCGTCTCAGCCAAGTTGCGTGGACCCGCTCTTTCGCCACCTTCCCCAGCCGCCGGCCGAACCGCCGCTCCCACTGACGCTGCTTTCGCTTCACCCGAACCGGGGCTGCGGGGCCCCCGACGCGGAAAGGATGGGGAGAAGGCTGCAGATGCCGAGGCGCCCCGAGACGCCCGTGCGGCAGTGACCCGCGACCTCCGCCCCGCCCGGCGCGCCCCTCGGGCCCCCGGGGCCCTCGGCGCCCCTTCCCTGCCGCGCGGGAACCCCCGAGGCCCGGCCGGCCCCCTCCCCCTGCGAGCCGGCGGCAGCCCTCCCGGCGGGCGGGCGGGCGGAGGCCCGGGCGGGCGCGGGCGCGGGCGGGGGCGGGGCGGGGCGGCGCGCCCGGAGCCCGGAGCCCGGCCCTGCGCTCGGCTCGACTCGGCTCGCCTCGCGGCGGGCGCCCTCGTCGCCAGCGGCGCACCATGGACGGGCTGCCCGGTCGGGCGCTGGGGGCCGCCTGCCTTCTGCTGCTGGCGGCCGGCTGGCTGGGGCCTGAGGCCTGGGGCTCACCCACGCCCCCGCCGACGCCTGCCGCGCCGCCGCCACCCCCGCCACCCGGATCCCCGGGTGGCTCGCAGGACACCTGTACGTCGTGCGGCGGCTTCCGGCGGCCAGAGGAGCTCGGCCGAGTGGACGGCGACTTCCTGGAGGCGGTGAAGCGGCACATCTTGAGCCGCCTGCAGATGCGGGGCCGGCCCAACATCACGCACGCCGTGCCTAAGGCCGCCATGGTCACGGCCCTGCGCAAGCTGCACGCGGGCAAGGTGCGCGAGGACGGCCGCGTGGAGATCCCGCACCTCGACGGCCACGCCAGCCCGGGCGCCGACGGCCAGGAGCGCGTTTCCGAAATCATCAGCTTCGCCGAGACAGGTGGGTCCGGCCCTCCGGCTGTCTGCCGCGGTCCCCGCTCGCTCCCGCTCTCCCTCTCCTTGCTAGCTCCGGCTGCCACCGCCGCCACCGCAGCCCGCGCGCCCTGGGGCAGCCTGGACTCCCGGCAGAGCTCCTTCGGCCGTGGCCCTGCGCGCTCCGCCCGGGTTGCAGTCCTCTTCCCCCAGGCCGCAGACCCTTGCCTGCTGCCTCAACCCCCCGCCGCCGATCGCCTGGCCCTCCACCCCTGCTCTCCGGAATCGGGCCCCAGCGCCTCTGGGCGCGCGTCCCCCTCCCGGCAGATGCGCGCGGCCCTGGCTCTGCGGGCACTTGCTTGGTGATTGCTTAATGTTTTTGTTTCCCACGATCGGAGTGTAGGCTTAGCAGTGTGGATGGAGATGTGTGTGCTTGTTGATATACGTGGGCCGGAGGAGAGAGAGAGTGTGTGTGTATCTGTGTGTGTGTCTGTGTGTGTGTGTGCCTGCGTGAGAGGCCCCTGGGGCCGCTTCCATCACCGGCGGCGTGGGCTTGCCAGGATTGCTGAAGCCTCGCTGGGGAGAGCTAGGCAACCTCTCTTCCGATTGTGTGGGCACCGGAATCGGGCGGAAGGCAGGCTTCTCAACAGGTCCATCATTTACACAGAGAAAGCCGCGGTTCGGGGACAGCCCCGTGCCTCTCGGCTTGCCTGGCAGCTGCAGCAGACCCCTCGCCCGAGAGGCAGAGTCGTAGTTAACAAAGGGTATGGCTCCTTTCTGGAATCCGCCCCCCCCCCCGGCCCCAGATTGCAAATCTCTAACACTGTCTAAATATAAAAATCAGGGAGAGAAAAATCTTTCGGAACTTTAAAAGAAGGAGAAAAATGTGCCCGCGCCAAAATGCTGCAAGTGCTTTCGACTCCGCTGTCCTTTTCAGGACTTGAATGAGCCAGGCTGGCTTTTGTGCCTGGAGCTCGGCCCCATTTGTGCCGAGGGGACTGCGGAGAAGGTCGCAGAGGGGGAAGCCCCGGTGCAGTTAGGGCGGGGGCAAGCGGGGAGCCTCGGTGGGGGGAGCGGTTGTGCCCCTGGCTGCAAATGCCCCCCACCCCACCAGGCAGCAGGCAGCCCGGGGATGAAAAGGGATGAAAAGTTTTGCATGGCCGGGTGTGGAGAAAAGCAGAGACAATCGGGGCTGGTTTGTGCTTAGAAAGAAATGCATTGCCGTTTTAGCTGTCCACTAAAGTGAGTCAGGGAAAGCTCGCCATGCAATTAGAGGGCTCGGATTAAAAGGTGCTTTGGGGCCCAGAGTTAGAAATGTGATTCTGGAAGGTCGAGGAGGCCTTTTGGTCCCGGTGGCACAAAATGACAGCGGGGGCTGTTATATTTCTGGTCCGTTTCACGGAGCCAGCTCTTTGACTTATAAATAACAGATTCAGGTCACAGGCAGCTCGTCCAAGACCAGCTTTTAAGGCTGCAGTTTCCCCCATTTCAAAGTCAGATGTCAGTGTTATTAGAGGAGCCAGGCGAGGCCTGAGGTAGGGGCTTGGGAGGGGCATGGTGGGAGGTTTGATAAAACCAGCCCTGACCACAGAGTTTCATTATTTGTTCTTCCTGAAAAAAAAAAAAAAAAAAAAAAGGAAAGAAAAACGTAGATTGTCAGAGGCAAGGGTCACCGGAATGTAGGATGAGAGGGGAGTCATCTCTTGATTGGCACAGCCTCCTTCTTGTTGAGCTGAATTATTGAGAAAATTAACTAGCCAGCTCCCCTACTCCTTGGGGATTTTGAACGTGCCATTAACAGGGAGCCAGAGTCTTGTCAAAGGATTGGACCTCAAGTTTTAAGGCTGAATGTCCTGTCCCTTGAAACTATTCTATAAGGGCTAGGCTCTGCAGCCTGCAAAGCACACGTTCCTATGTCAGAAACCTGAGCAGAGCCTGCTTGTTTGCAGTGGAGGTTCCACTGGGGGTTGGATCACATCATACTTAGGTAAACACTGGAAAGAGGCGGTAGGTGGCTCAGCTTGATTTTGCAATGCGCTAAGTTAACCAAAAAAAAAAAAAAAAAAAAAAGCCCTACTAAAACCACCCACCCCAAAATCCTCCCTGCGATCCTGGTTTTGTTTTTCAGATTTCACAGATACCCATAACAACTTGTTAAGATCTTGGCCCCCTGACAAGTTCTTCTGTTGTGCTTTGAGGCCTGACAGCCTGTCTCCAGGGAGCCCTGGCCTGGGAGAGGTGAGGCAGGATTTTATAGGCGCGGACCCTCCAGCCCCAGCCTGGTCCGGGTTTCTCAATGAGAAACGATTTTCTCTGCCTCTCCCAGGTTACAGTCAGAGGCCCTGGCCCCAAGAATGGTATTTCTGGTCAGTAACGTTTTCCAGCTGTGTGGCGAGTTGCATTCCAGCATCCTGCAGCAGAGAGTGTGTTTCCCCCATTGCCTTGTGTTCTCCTTGAATTAACTTGGCTCGCCCTTCCCCTTTTCCGCAGATGGCCTCGCCTCCTCCCGGGTCCGCCTATACTTCTTCATCTCCAACGAAGGCAACCAGAACCTGTTTGTGGTCCAGGCCAGCCTGTGGCTTTACCTGAAACTCCTGCCCTACGTCCTGGAGAAGGGCAGCCGGCGGAAGGTGCGGGTCAAAGTGTACTTCCAGGAGCAGGGCCACGGTGACAGGTGGAACATGGTGGAGAAGAGGGTGGACCTCAAGCGCAGCGGCTGGCATACCTTCCCACTCACGGAGGCCATCCAGGCCTTGTTTGAGCGGGGCGAGCGGCGACTCAACCTAGACGTGCAGTGTGACAGCTGCCAGGAGCTGGCCGTGGTGCCGGTGTTCGTGGACCCAGGCGAAGAGTCGCACCGGCCCTTTGTGGTGGTGCAGGCTCGGCTGGGCGACAGCAGGCACCGCATTCGCAAGCGAGGCCTGGAGTGCGATGGCCGGACCAACCTCTGTTGCAGGCAACAGTTCTTCATTGACTTCCGCCTCATCGGCTGGAACGACTGGATCATAGCACCCACCGGCTACTACGGGAACTACTGTGAGGGCAGCTGCCCAGCCTACCTGGCAGGGGTCCCCGGCTCTGCCTCCTCCTTCCACACGGCTGTGGTGAACCAGTACCGCATGCGGGGTCTGAACCCCGGCACGGTGAACTCCTGCTGCATTCCCACCAAGCTGAGCACCATGTCCATGCTGTACTTCGATGATGAGTACAACATCGTCAAGCGGGACGTGCCCAACATGATTGTGGAGGAGTGCGGCTGCGCCTGACAGTGCAAGGCAGGGGCACGGTGGTGGGGCACGGAGGGCAGTCCCGGGTGGGCTTCTTCCAGCCCCCGCGGGAACGGGGGTACACGGTGGGCTGAGTACAGTCATTCTGTTGGGCTGTGGAGATAGTGCCAGGGTGCGGCCTGAGATATTTTTCTACAGCTTCATAGAGCAACCAGTCAAAACCAGAGCGAGAACCCTCAACTGACATGAAATACTTTAAAATGCACACGTAGCCACGCACAGCCAGACGCATCCTGCCACCCACACAGCAGCCTCCAGGATACCAGCAAATGGATGCGGTGACAAATGGCAGCTTAGCTACAAATGCCTGTCAGTCGGAGAGAATGGGGTGAGCAGCCACCATTCCCACCAGCTGGCCCGGCCACTCTGAATTGCGCCTTCCGAGCACACATAAAAGCACAAAGACAGAGACGCAGAGAGAGAGAGAGAGCCACGGAGAGGAAAAGCAGATGCAGGGGTGGGGAGCGCAGCTCGGCGGAGGCTGCGTGTGCCCCGTGGCTTTTACCAGGCCTGCTCTGCCTGGCTCGATGTCTGCTTCTTCCCCAGCCTGGGATCCTTCGTGCTTCAAGGCCTGGGGAGCCTGTCCTTCCATGCCCTTGTCGAGGGAAAGAGACCCAGAAAGGACACAACCCGTCAGAGACCTGGGAGCAGGGGCAATGACCGTTTGACTGTTTGTGGCTTGGGCCTCTGACATGACTTATGTGTGTGTGTGTTTTTGGGGTGGGGAGGGAGGGAGAGAAGAGGGGGCTAAATTTGATGCTTTAACTGATCTCCAACAGTTGACAGGTCATCCTTGCCAGTTGTATAACTGAAAAAGGACTTTTCTACCAGGTATGACCTTTTAAGTGAAAATCTGAATTGTTCTAAATGGAAAGAAAAAAAGTTGCAATCTGTGCCCTTCATTGGGGACATTCCTCTAGGACTGGTTTGGGGACGGGTGGGAATGACCCCTAGGCAAGGGGATGAGACCGCAGGAGGAAATGGCGGGGAGGAGGCATTCTTGAACTGCTGAGGATGGGGGGTGTCCCCTCAGCGGAGGCCAAGGGAGGGGAGCAGCCTAGTTGGTCTTGGAGAGATGGGGAAGGCTTTCAGCTGATTTGCAGAAGTTGCCCATGTGGGCCCCAGCCATCAGGGCTGGCCGTGGACGTGGCCCCTGCCCACTCACCTGCCCGCCTGCCCGCCCGCCCGCATAGCACTTGCAGACCTGCCTGAACGCACATGACATAGCACTTGCCGATCTGCGTGTGTCCAGAAGTGGCCCTTGGCCGAGCGCCGAACTCGCTCGCCCTCTAGATGTCCAAGTGCCACGTGAACTATGCAATTTAAAGGGTTGACCCACACTAGACGAAACTGGACTCGTACGACTCTTTTTATATTTTTTATACTTGAAATGAAATCCTTTGCTTCTTTTTTAAGCGAATGATTGCTTTTAATGTTTGCACTGATTTAGTTGCATGATTAGTCAGAAACTGCCATTTGAAAAAAAGTTATTTTTATAGCAGCAAAAAAAAAAAAAAAAGAATACAGTTAAATGTATTATACATAATTTTGGAACCAAAGAGGCCAACAGATCAGTTTTAATTTTATTAGACGGTGAGGCCATCTGAGATGAGGTGGACGTTCTGAGCAGTCCCTTGAGTGGCCTGCCAACGTTTCAGGGTATGAATGGATTTTGTTTATTCGGTTTGATGTGTCTTTTCCATCCTTACACACCCAGAAGGTAGAGTAAAAATGACTATGATAGAATGCAGGTGTGTATCCTTAAATCCTCATCTTTATGTTTATTTAATAAAGCTCCCCTTAGATTCTGTTTCATAATAATTTAAAACCAAACAATTTTCCCATAGACTTGCTGTTAAAGTATTGTACGTTTGTGTACAGTTTAAGAAAATAAAAGATTGAGTGCCACGGGCCTCCTGCCTTGCGTGATGTCTGGGGCAGGGAGGCCTGGGCTGGAGGTGGGCAGCTGGGAGGAAGGCCAGTCCAGGTGTCCAGGTTGGATGCCAGCAGCTTCCACGGCCTGCTCCTGGCATCTCTGCGTCCTTGCCATGAGATGTATGTCGGGCAGAGATTCCAGGAAAAATGGCTGAAGATCAAAATGAAGGACAATTAGCAAATTCATGAATTACACATTTGTTTATCCTGCTAGTCCCAAGATTGATTATGTTTCACCAAGGCCACATCCATTACCATTTGCAAGTGCTGGGTAAGCCCCCGTCCCCAGGTGGAAATGTAAAACCCTGAAGGCTGAAGTCCAGCTAACCTCTGCTCACCTCTATTTGGAGGTGACTGGGACCTAGAAGTGGCTTGGTATCTTGGGATAGAAGGGTAAACAGAGTCAGGCTGTGAGTGTACGAAGGAGCCCTTCCTGAGGGGGTTTTCCCGGTGGAGAGTGGTGGTAGGGGCGGTGTAGTAATAATGGCCCACTGCGCAGGTGTAACTGGGATACCCGCCGAGTCCTGCTGTTACCATGCAGCATCGCATCTTTGTGGAAAGTGGCTTTGTCTGCATTTCCCAGAGTTTGAAAATCTGAGGCTTAGAGAGTTCAGAGCCTGCCTGAGGTCAGACATCCAGGACAGGGACCCTGGTGTTTGAGCCCACCCGTTTCCTTGGAGGACTGCAGCCCTGTGCCCTTGCCTTTGTCTGAGGCCCTGCAGGGCTGCTGGGGCTCCGCCCTGGGGTTTGGGTAGCATGTGGTCTTCCCAGAGCACATGGCACTTTAGAGAGCATGTAACCTCATCAAGGTAGTGGGAAACCGAGGGAGGCCCAGACAGCTAGAGGGGTATAGCTCAATCAGCACAGCCAGCTGGTGGCAGGAGGCAGCCTTCTAGCCTTTTCTTTTTCCATTCTTTGCCCAACCAAGGGAGCTACTGCCCTGCCAGGCTTTCAGCCCGAGGGGAAGACTGGTCATCTGTGAAGTTGTGAGACAGTATTACTGTAATTCACAGGGGCAAAGAAGAAAGTGTCATAAAGACAGGTCTGGCCTGTGCATTTCAGGCAGTGAGTCACGACGTCTCTGCCCTCTGCTCTGCGGGGGGCTGGGCCTAGCTGCTGGTGGCACTAGGCCCTCAGCCCAGCCCTGCCTCCCCGCTGCCCTGGGACTTTTTTCAGGTAGCGGCCAGGAGGTGCGATGTGAGCCACTGAGTTGCTTCTGCTGTTTGGACATTGAGCACCTACCAAAGCCCTTCTGGACTGAGCATCCCAGGATGGCCCCATGAGTAGCCCCAGGAAGGGCCTGGGGACCCCAGGGGCACAAGGCCTTGGGGCTGGCTGACCTGGTCCCTGAGTGACTTTGCTGCCCTATGCTGGCTCCTGTCCCTGTGGGGTCTGGCCCCCGGGGGCACTGGTGGGCAGCAGTTCCTGTTGCTGAGAGAGGCAGTGAGGACAGGCACTGGTCTCCTGTCCCAGCTGGGTGTCCCCTCTCCAGCAGGGCCCTGCAGCCTCCTGTGCTGCTGTGGTCACCGCTCCCCTTGCTCTGCTTCCCCCCACTCGATGCTCCAGCCTCTCCCGTCTGCTCTTCTTATATCCCCAGTGGCCCGGCCCAACGGCCCTGCCTTTCTCTGAAAATGTCCCTGGAGCCCAGCTCTGCCCCCAGGTCCAGTTCCTCTGGCTGGACTCCCCGCTGCTGGACTTCAAGGTCCCCAGCCCTTCTTCCCTCCAGCCCTCCCTGCCTCTTCCGGCTTCCAGGCTGCTGGCTTCTCATACTCATCCCCAGCCCCACCTGGGACCAGTGGGACAGGAAGGGCCTGCCTGAGCCGGAAGGCCGCCATCCCCACCCACCTCAAATGCCTCCCCCACCTATCTACCACCATGCCTGGGATCCCACCATGCGGGGGTCACCCTGGCCTTCAAACATGCCCCAAGTCCTCAGCGACTCAGTGGAGCCCATGGCCTGGGCTGGGGCACTGGGGTCAGGACAGCACCCACACCTGCCTCACCTCTGCTCCCCCCATTTCCCAGACAGGCGGCTGAGGGGCTCAGTACTTGGAGGCTCCAACTGTATGCTCTGTCTGTGTTTTCTCTCCCAGCCCTCCCTCCCAGGGTCTGGCTTAGAGTGGGGCACACAGGGTGCCCTGTGGCGCAGCCCAGAGGTGGGGCCAGCATTTAGGAGGGGCTACTAGGTGTCCGAGCTTTATACCTGTTACCTGTGACATGGCGTGATACTATTGCCTCGGGCTTTACCAGAGCTCCAGGCCATGGTGTCCCTGCAGCCTCTTGCGCTGTGGCCGGGCTCCTGACTCACCTGGAGCTCAGGCCAGCCCAGCATCACGCCTGCCCAGACCCGCCGCAAGGGACTTGTAGGCCATCACAACTTGGAGAATCCTGCAGCTGCCTAGAGCTCCCTTGAGGACCAAGAGCGAGGATAGGAATGGGGGTGGGAGGTCACAGGTGGCCACCAAGCCATGAAAACTGCTGAGGGCTTAAGAAAGTGTGGCTTTGCAGGCAAAAAGTAGAACTCAAACACCGTTCTGCGGGGAGAGGCCCTGGGAGCGCCCCCAGCCCTGTTTCTAGGCTTTCGATGGGAGCAAATGACAAATTAACGGGGTAGGCTTTGAAAGACCTGCTGATGGTGGTTGGCTGTAGATGAGGCGTGGAGTGTGAGCATGGTGGCTGTGGGGGCTCTGTGTCGTGTGGGGACTGTGGGCGGGCAGTCACTGGTGTGTGAGGCTGTGCGTGTGTGAGGTGGGCGTTGCTGCTCATGGGTGTGGCCTGGGTATCGTGGGTGTGTGAGTGTTGGTGATGCACTGTTTTGTGATTGTAGGTGTTACTGTGTATGCTGAGCCACGTGGGGCTTGAGACTGTGATCGTGGGCGTGCGCGGTTGGCTGTGAGTTTGTAGTGTACGGTTGGCTGGCCTTGAGGTTGTGAGGCTGCGTGGGTGAGTGTGTGAGACTGTGTGTGGGGTTTGAGACTGTGATTGTAGGGGTGTGGTTGCATGGCTGGCTGTGTGCGTGTCTTGCCATGTTCGTTTTCTTCCTTACGGAGAGGTGATGCACCTAGCCAGTTATGTACGTTGTGATTGGGGTAGTTATCATCTTGCAGTTAGAATCTGTGATCACCCTCAAACCCGGCAGATCCTGAGAAGGTCTGGTGCAGGCACTATTTCTGTGGTCTGTGCAGTTGTCCTCAGTATGGTTTCACAGTACCTGATGCTCTGCTCTGTCTACACAGTGTGCTAGGGGTCACCTCAAAGCCAGAGCACTTTAAAGGGAGAAAGGTACCATCTGGTCAGTCATTCAGTCACTCAACAAACATTCCCACGGTGCCTGCTGTTATGTGCAGGGCTTCATCCCTCATCTCAGTGTAGTGCTCACAACAACCTGGAGGTGGGGGAGCAGGTATCATTATCCCCATTGTGTAAATGAGAAAACAAAGGCCGAGAGCAAGGCAGCCGTTCACTGAAGGTTGCGCAGCTCTAGGACTTGTCCCCAGCCAGCTGTTTCCAGAGTCACTCACAGCCCCCGGGCTGCCCAGGAGGAGGGATAAGGGGAGGGGCAGCTGTTCTGGGGTCTACCTGGAAGACAGGGGAGGCTGCGGTCCCGGGTGTTCTCAGCGTTCTTTTGGGAGGGGCCTGCTCCCCAACTCCTGCCCTTGGCTCTGGCCTCAGGCATCAGTGGCAACTGTGCACTGAGACGTTCTTCTCTGCGGCTGTGGGGAAGCCAAACACCCAGCCGTCCATGCACCATCTCTGGCCAGGTGGATGAGATGGCTGCTGCACCCAGGGTTGGGGGGTGGGGGCTGAACAACTGTCATTGTGACTAGTCACTGGGAGCATGGGCTGTGGGTCGGCCTCCCTGGCTTTGCGATCGTAGCCTGGTCCAGCCTCTCAGAGTCATCCTCTGTAAAATGGAGCAATGACAGTGCCTACCTTAAGGGGGTTGTTAGCATTCACCTGGTTAGAAGGGCCATGCTCTTGAGTTGTTTTGCTGTTTTCTGGCACATTCTCTGTGTCAGGAATAGTGCTGGGTGCCCAGCCAGAGCCCTGCCCTTCCTCTGAGAGGCCCTCTTTCATTCTCAGCTATTCATTCAATGAATATTCACAGAGGTGCAGCGATGATGATGTTGACTACCATTTATTGTTTACTGTGGTCAGATACAGCGCTTTGCAGCAGCTTTGTAGTTAATCTCTATAATCTCCCTCTTGGGCAGGTGAGATGTACCCATTTTACTGATGAGGAAGTTGAGGCTCAGGGAAGTTGAGTATCTTGCTTGAGGCCTCATAGCTATTCGAGGGGAAGACCCGGGCCTGGCTCTTCTTGAGCTCGCAACCCAGTTTTGAGGCCACTGGGAAAGTCACGTACCCAGAGGGGAGCCACCCTAGGCCCTCAGAGGAGCAGGCCCTCCAGATACTGCCTTCTCTCCCTTCAATGTTTCCAAGAAACTCGTGGTTCCCTGAACCCTGGGGGACTTGGGGTAGGAGAGAGAGCTGCTGTCATGGCAGAGGGGACCTGGGAGCTGCTGGGGTTGCCCTGGGGGGAGCCTTTCAGAGCCCCTCAGCTGCCCTGCAGCTCTCCTCCTACCCCATCCCCATAGGGGCCCCTGAGGGTCTGGCTACCTTCAGAATCAGGTGTGCACACCTGCAGGTCCCACCAGGTGAGAATGGCCATTCTGCCAGCAGGAAGAGGGAACTGTCTGAGGTCATGGCAGACCTGCAGGGAATCTGATGAGGGTGAGGACCCTCTGAGTGTCTGAGAAAAACACTGACCACATTTTCAAGTGGGATTTCAGGGAAGGGTTTTTGGACTACTTGGGATACATAACCATGTGTGGGGAGGAGTAGGGGAGTGGGGCGGAGACAGGCATTGTGGAATGAACCAACTACTCCCTCCCAGGGAGGAGCTTCTCGTGACCTTCTCTCCTCTGGGGGAGGGGCTGCCAGGGTGGGGACAGCGGTCTTCGCTCGGGAGGCAGAGGCAGATGGGCAGCTGGACGTGCCAGGCTGCCTGCGCCTCCCCTCCTGTGCAGAGCAGGGTCTTGTTCTGCCCTCTTTTCTTCTGGCGTCTCATCTCCCTCTTTCCTTATACCTTCCATCCCACCTCTGCTCCCGGGGTCTGCTCTGCCCAGCCCCAGGGACAGAGGTGAGGCATGGGGTGGGGTGGGTTTCCCAGTGCCAGTTCCAGCCCTTGCCTGGAATGATGGGGGCTTGGTTTGCCTGCTCAGCCCCCTCCCCACCTCTTCCTGTGGGGTCTGTGTGTGGAGCACAAGTCAGGCCCCAGGGTCCCCAGGGGCCAGGGTCAGGCAGGGAGGGAGACTCTTCCTGGCCACCCTGGGCACCTGTGTGTGTGTGTGTGTGTGTGTGTGTGTGTGTGTGTGTGTCAGTGGGTGTGTGTGTGTGTGTGGATCTGGAGGATTCTCCTAGGCAGCTCCCGGTCTCATGGAAACAGCGCTGGCTCTTCTTGAGCTCACAACCCAGTTTTGAGGCCAATGGGAAAGTCACATACCCAGTGGGGAACCACTCCAGGCCCTCAGAAAAGCGTTGTGAGCTTGTCCAGCCTTCGAGGGGCTTTCTGGGTGTCCTCTCACTCCTCACAGGAACCACAGAAGGGAGATAAGTTAGAACTATTATCCACATTTGCATGGGAAGCTCCTGGCGGGCGACTCTCCTGGCAGGGCCGCAGAGCTTAACCCCACTCTGCGACAGCTCTCCCTGCCTGGGAGGGGCCCTGAGTGGCCTTGCTCTTCTAGGGAGGGGTTTCAGTGACCCTCTCAGCACAAATAGCCTGACCCCCAGCCCTCAACCGTGATGGCCTGAAGTTGTAGAAACCGGTTCTTTTGGGAACCTTACTCCTTCACCTGCTTTACTTGCTTTACTCCTGGGAAGGATGATGCCTCAGACGCTTTTTAGGCAAGTCGTGCCTATTAGAATGGCTGGGAATGGGAGCGTGGAAGGGGCACAGCCCAGGTCCTGCTCTGGGCTGCACTGCAGCTGGGGGATCGCAGAAGATCCTTTTCCAAAACATGCCTGTGGCATTCTCCTGCCCCTTCCGGGTCATGCTGTCAGTGACCCTGTCCCTCTCATCCATGCACCTGGGAAGAAGGAGTCTGATGTCCCCTGGGCTGCCCACGGCCCCCGGCCCTGCTTACCTCCCCACTTGGAGCTGGTGGATCCCTCCTCCTGAAAACCAGGCTTGGGCATCGGGTCCCACCCACAGCTCACCATCCTCCACCTCTGCACCTTTCAAATGCCCTTCCTTTCCCTGAACTCCTTTCCCCCACCTTTGCTTGGCTGATTGTGATTTATCCTTCAGGGCTCTGGGCTAGAAGCCCTGACTCCCACAGCTCGTGGAACCCGTCTCCTGTCTTGCCTGCAAGATCACTTGCGGTGTGCACACCCGCTCCCCTGAGAGTCTGCAGGCCTGGATTTTAGGGGAGCTAGAGTCTGTGTTGCTCACCACACCAGTCTCCTGAGACTGGGGCAGATGAAGTGCTCAATACAAATTTTAAAAATTTGTTTCTGCTTTTATAGTTTTAAAGTCTTAGATCTTTTTGTATTACTTTAGATCTGGGGTTGGGGGGTGCGAGACACGTGCAGATTTGTTCCATGGGCGTTTGCAGGTAGTGAGTGTGGTCACCAATAGGCAGTTTTTCAGCCCACTCCCCCACACCGCCCCCTGCTCCCCCGACGCTGGTCATCCTCAGTGTGTGTTGTTCTGTGTTTATGTCCATGTCAATACACACTTATTCAATGAACGAAGGCACATCCATCTCAGGGTGAGAAGTTAACACCCCTCACCCATTTTCCTGCTGGAGCAACTGAGGCTGAGGGGGTCAGCAGGACCCAGGGAGAGGCTCAGCCCTGGCTAAGACCAAAGCCAGCACTCTCGACCACGCCTTTGCTATTTTTCTTTCTTTTAGGAGCACCTCATGCCCCGCAGGTGATTCATGTAATAGCATTTTCAAAAGCCTATAATTTGCGCCAGCGTTTGCGCTTCATGGTGAAGCTCAGCCTCATCCGTGCCGCAGGCAAAGGCAATGCCAATCCAAACGGGTGGCAAGCTGGGCCCGGGCACCAGGGAAGATCAGCCTTCCCGCTTCCTCCCTGCACCTCAAGGAAGGCAGCCCTTCCCGCCGGCATCTTCCACCTTCAGGAGAGTGTGGTTTGTCACCCGAGGGTGTCTCATAGAAGCTCAGCTTAATTAATCAATCGCCGACTGATGCATTGGTTAACGCGGGGCCCCACTCCCCCGTGAATGATGGGCGCATTAATGAATGCCAATTATTTCAGCATTAATAATTAATCTCCAACCATGCCGGAGAAGGAGTGGAAAGTACACAAGCCTCGAGTCAGCTCCACGAGCCAGCCTGCCACCCCGTGCTGCTCACCGCCTTGCCCAGAGTATCTGAGCGGGGCCTCTTTGCTACTGCGGGGCGAAAAAGCACCTTGGACTGGGCGTCCGGGGCCTGGACTCTGGTTAGGAGCAAGGCTGTGAGCTCCATGGGGGCAGGGGCTGGGCCTGCTTGTGCATTGCTCTATGCCAGCACTGGGATCAGTAGCTGGCACACAGCAGGTGCTCAAGAGATGCTTGCTGGTGGCTGGCTGTACCCAGGCCCTGCCCCTCAGTGGTTGTGTGATCTCAGGCAAGTTTTTCACCCTCTCTGGCCTATAGTTTTCTCGTTTGAAAAGTGAGTGGGTTGGACTAGAGGGTTCATTTATTTGTTCATTCATTTCTCTAGTAGGCACAGAGTCTGTTCCCTACACAGAAGGCAGCATCCCTTTCCCTCTGAGGACAGTTATCTGCAGCCCATAAGGATTTGTGCTGTGGCTGCTGGTCATTCCTGTAGGAGAGGCTGGGCTTCTGCCGGCCTGGGAGGGCATCAGGAGTGGCCAGTTGTCCTGAGCTGGCATCATGTCAACTTCAGGTCCCAGGCGAGACCTCGGTGTGCTCACTGGCCCGCACCTACAGGATTATGCTGTGGGCCTTGGTGGCTGGGGTGGTGACTCCAGCCATGGTGGTGGGACAGACTGTTGGCTTCCACACAGCATTTCCCCTCTTCTGAGCTCCAGTCCAGGATGGTCCCTCACTGCCCAGGGCCTGGCACCTGTCCCAGGTAGGTAGGGGGTGGTGGCCAGCACAGCGAGATTTGGAAAGGGTGGTGGTCTCGCCAGCAGGGGGGCTCTTCTGGGTAAAAGTTTAAAAAGAAAGCTTCTGTCCTGTCATCGATGAGTTGTGGGAAGGCAGACACTCCGAGGTTTAGTGGCTTTGGGGGTGGGGTGAAAGTGGAAGACCTTTCACAGGCTGGTTAGATCTGAGAACTATGGAGAAGCCCATCTCACCTCTTTTCTCTAGGTGGGGAAACTGAGGCCCAGAGAGGAGACTTGCCTGAGGGCCCACAGCTAACGGGCACAGGACTACGGGGCCCCTCCTAAGCAGAGGCGGAACCCCCAGGTGTCATCCTCACCTGGCATGTGGTCCACATGAGTGTGAACTTGGCTCTAGAGGATGAGAGGTGGTCACCAGGAGGGCTTCCTGGGGGAAATAGGCCTCTGCTGGATGACCTTCAGGCACCTTCCTGCAGGGTCTGTCCCGGGCCCGGGCTCCCTGCTCCTGGGCCTGCTCTATGGCTTCCCAAGAGGGTGCACAGGCCAGGGTCTAAGAGGGTGGGTCTGCCCATGGACCAGACATGGCTCTGCAGACCCCACCCTGTCCTAGCTGTGGGCCTTAAGGCTGGTGACTTAACTTTTCTGTGCCTGAGTTCGCTCATCATACAATGGAGCTAAAAATAGTATTCACCTCCTGGGTTTGTTGTTCAGATTAGATGAACTAATAATACCCACAGCTACTACTGAGTCAGTGCTCACCATGTGCCAAGAATCTTTCTAAGCTCTTTACGTGTTTTAATCCACCTGACCCACACAGCTCTGGGAGCTGTTGGCATTTCTGTTCCACAGATGAAGAAACTCAGGTGCACACAGAGGAAGCGACTTGCCCAGGGTCACACAGCATGGCAGGGAGGGGCTAGAATTAAATCCCCTGCGTCCTGGGTCACATGCTGAGTCCCCAGCCCTGGTCTTTGGGGTCTGTACCCTGCTGACCTTGTGAGGTGGGCTCGCCCCAGGGAGGGAGGGGGTGCACCCTCTCTCTCCTCCCGCCTGTCCTCTCAGGGCCACCAGAGTGACTGTGATCCTCCTTCCAGGACAAAGCTGAGACAGGGCTCCGGAGTTGTTTTAGGAAATAGTGAAGCAAGCCGACAGCACTGATTCCTCCGGAGTTCATGTCATCTTATTCCCTATCTTTGGCCCAAAGATCCTTCTGCATCAGCGGGTGCGCATGGATTCTGTCTGCCGACACCAGAGCCGCAGAGCCAGACACAGATTGGTGAGCAGTGCTTATGCGTTGAAGGCACTCAGGTTCCATCATGGAACCAGGTCGCCCGAGGATGCTGACCCCATGGAGGCAATCAGGCTGCAGAGAGCTCGAGGAACGCCTGTCCCTGTGAGCTGCTCAGGGACCTAAGCTCTCAGAGTGTCACTGCCGTTGATTCTGGAACAGAGTTTGCAGGCCAAGTCCACAAGCTAAGAATAGTTTTTTACATTTTTAAATGGTTAAAAACAAATCAAAAGAAGAAGAATATTGCATGATGTGAAAATGATATGACATTCAAACTAAATGCCTATACATACAGTTTTATTGGGATGCAGTGACCTCATTCATTTATACGTTAGTTAGGACAGGGACCCATATGGCCTGCAAGGCCTTTAGGGACTTTGGCTGACCCTTTGCAGAAGAAGTTTGCTGGCCACTGATCCAGAGGCTTCCTTGGCTGGCAGATGTCCCAGCAGACCACCACTGCTCCCCTTCTGTCCTCCTCCTGGGACTCTCTCCTGGGTGGCCATGCTGCTTCCATGACCCTCCTCAGCTGACGGGTTCACCTGTGGCCCTGACCAAGACCATCACAGTTTCCTGAACATCAAAATGCATTATCAGTGAGTCTGTTGAAGACATTTAGAGAGTGAGGATCTGGAAGGCTGAGGGTGGCACTCTGTGATTCTTCAGAGCCCTTCTCATGCCCAGCACAGGACAGGACTAAATAAATAAGGGAAACAGATGGGCATTAAGACCAGCAATACCGGCCGGGCACTGTGGCTTATGCCTGTAATCCCAGCACTTTGGGATGCCGAGGCGGGAGGATCACGAGGTCAAGAGATCGAGACCATCCTGGCTAACATAGTGAAACCCCATCTCTACTAAAAATACAAAAAATTAGCCTGGCGTGGTGGCAGGCGCCTGTAGTCCCAGCTACTCGGGAGGCTGAGGCAGGAGAATGGCGTGAACCCGGGAGGCAGAGCTTACAGTGAGCCGAGATAGGGCCACTGCGCTCCAGCCTGGGCGACAGAGCAAGATTCCGTCTCAGAACAAACAAACAAACAAACAAAGACCAGCAATACCACCTTACACCCCTTAGGGTTGGCTACTATCAAAAACATAGACAGTAACAACTGTTGGTGA
This sequence comes from Homo sapiens, assembly GCF_000001405.40. NCBI lineage: Eukaryota > Metazoa > Chordata > Mammalia > Primates > Hominidae > Homo > Homo sapiens. Next base: position 120,362,344 of record NC_000002.12, read on the forward strand.
GGATGTGGAGAAATTGGGACCCTTCTGCCTTGCTGGTGGGAGTGCAAAATGGTACAGTCCTTGTGGAAAACAGTATGGAAGTTCCTCAAAAAATTAAAAAAGGTATTACTATGTGATCCGGCAATTCCACTTCTAGGTATATATCCCCCCAAAACTGAAAGAAGAGCCTTGGAGAGAGATTTGTACGCTGATGTGCGTAGCAGCATTCTTCACGTAACCAAAAGGTAGAAGCAACACCTTTGAACACAGTGTCCCTCAGCAGGTGAACGAATAAACAAACGTGGCATCTCCATACAACAGAATATGATTCCGCCTTCAAATGGAAGGCATTCTGTCAACTGCTACAACATGCATGACCCCTGAGGACATTATATTGAGTGAAACAAGCCAGTCACAAAAAGGCAAACTGCATGATTCCACTTGTGTAAGGAAGTCAACGTGGAGTAGTGAGATTCACAGAGATGCAAAGTAGAATGACGGTTGCCGGGGGTGTGGGCAGGGGAATGCAGAGTTGATTTTAATGGTACAGAATTTCAGTTTTGGGAACATGAAAAAATTCTGAAGCAAGATGGTGGTGATGGTTGCACGACGATGTAAATGTGTTTAATGCAACTGAAGAATACACTCAGAAATGGTTAAGATGGTAAATTTTATGTTAGGTATGTTTTACCACAACTAAAAATTTTAAAAACACCATAAAACGCAGCAGCAGAAGCGCCTTCCCCCGCGGGCAGCCCCGTCTCCAGCCTCACTGGCGGCCGCCATCCATGTCCTCTAGCCCCACGGTCCTCATCCCTTCTCCAGGGTGGGGTGCTCCAGAGCTCCCTCACCTTCCCCAGCCCATGAGGTTCCTCTGTGAGTGAGTGGGTGTGTGTGACCTCTTCCCTGAGATGCCAGGCCTCACCTGAGGCAGAGCTGGAGGCAGGTGTCATAACCACCCCAGAAACCTTAAAAACGGTGCCCAGGATGGTCCCTGAGAGAGTAGGCTGCCTCAGGAGCCTCTCCAGAAAAGGTTGACATGCTCAGCTATGATGTTAGGCCCTGGCCTAAGGCTGGGCCACCTCAAAGAGCAGTCTGGCCAGCTCACCTGGTTGGGTACAGTCCTCAGGACTCAGAGACTCACGTGGGCCACATCTAGAATGGCCACCACCTTTCCCTTGCAGGCCCACAGCGAGTGTGAAGCAGGACTTTGAGCGTGTTCTCTTGGCCACGCATGGAACAGGCACTCTCTCATCTCATTTCATTCTTACACAGCTGTTCAGTGAGACCTGGGCACCATGAGTGCCTGCCCAGCCTTGGATTGCTGCCAGGCTTCAGACCGAGGGGCTTGGGGGGATCTGGACAGGTCTGGAGCCTGGGGCCTTGCCAATTGGGGCTCTGAGACCCAAGGGCTGATGTGGGGGTCAGGAGGGCACCAGGGCCTGCCAGGAACACTTGGCTTTTTTCCCTAAATGTTTTTCTGAAACTGCTCTGCTTGGGCCTTGCATGTCGGCCCTTTGTAACTGATGGGTAGAACCCAGAGGAGAGGGCAGTGCCCAGGCCAGAGCCGGTAGCTGCAGGAACATCAGTGGACACACACGGCAGGGGTGCCCAGGTGAGTGGGGAATAGGACGAGAACTGTGGTCCTCTCAGGGGCTGGTGACTGAGGGGTCCTGTGTGCTAGACAAAGCCATGACGCGTGTCTGAAACATCTTCCATCACATGTTCACAGTTCTTTGTAGGGCGCCCAAGAGGTTATTGCGGGAGCCCAGTGTTCTGGGGGTGGGGGTATCTGAGAGGTCTTCCTGGAAGAGGTGGTCCCTGAGCCAAATCTTGCAGGACAGATGGGAGTTGGTCAGAAAAGAAGGGCAGAGGGAAAGGTATTTTCGGAAGTGGACACAGCTGCGGCAAAGGCCCAGAGCATGTGGCCTTGACCTGCAGTGCCCCCCACTCCCCAAATGTCCCCCCAAGCCAGGCCTCTGGGAGGTGCCTGTGCTGCCCCTGCCCCTCATACCTGCTTCACGACACATCCCCTCCTCCCACTCTCCCACCTCAAGGCCTTGGGAAGCGTCTGAAACCTCATTTGCAAGGCCCTTCAGCGGATGAATTGAATGTGAGCATCTGTTTAAAGGGACACTCACATTTTCATTTTTAAATAAGAATATCATTCATTGGTGGCTTCACTATCATGATTGTAAGGCATATCCATGGAGAGAATTAGGAAAACCCAGGAAAGTAAAAGGAAACAAAAAATCACCCATAATCCCAGCAACCATAAGGTGCCCACAGTTAACATGTTGGTGAATTTGCACACGTGTGCGACTGCCGTACGTGACTGTGTGTGCGCTGCTACGCTTGTCTTCTCCATATAATATTACAGTATGAGCGCTGCCCCTGTGCCGTCATTCTTCAAAAAGAGCATTTTGGTGGCTGTCTTTTAATTTAGGACCCTTTCTCCTTATTGTTGGATATTTAGGATATTTCCAGTTTTTGCCCTTGATAAACAACGCTGCAGTGACCATCTTTGTCAATTGCACCATTGATGGGTATGCTTGCTGACCGCCAGGAATGGTACTATAATGGTGAGGAGAGGTGCCTGGACAAGCAGGCTGGAGATTTTCAAGCTTGACTGTGACACAGAAGCCCTGGGTGTCTTGCTAAAGCAGATTAAGGCTTTGTGGGTCTGGGCTGGGCTGGAGAGAACATTTCTAACAAGCTCCCAGGGGAAGCAGAGATGCTGGGAGAACCATACTTTGAGTAGTGTGACCTCTTTGAAAAGTCTTCCCTGAGGTGACCACCAACTGGGGTGTGGGCTCTGGGGAGAGACTTGCCGGTCAGGACTTCTGTGCCCTGGGCACTTGGAAAGTGCAAACCACTGGGGCTTACCTGAGGGCACCAGGCAGTTTGCAGCCAATTGGCTCTGCCCTGAGCCCTGCAATGGCTCTCTCAGAGCTGCACGGAGGTCCCTGACTCTCAGCCGTCCTTGGGGGTCCCTGAGACTTCTGTGCGGCCAGCCTCATTCTGGCTTCAAGCCGTGGTCTGCAACACAGAGGTTGGCCAGCCAGGGTCACTCTTCTCTAGCCCCTTGGTCCCCCCTGTGCCTCTGTGCCTTGGCCTGCTCTGTGGCTGCCGGGGGCTACGGGGACTCCTTCCTCTGCTAAGGGTTGCTCTTCTGTGACAGAGGTGCCTCTTTTTTCCCATCAGCAAAGTGGGCTAATAATAGCTCCCACGTCACAGGAACAGTGTGTAGATTGACAAGGCGATCCGAGGGTGGCGGGTGGCCCGTGGCAGCACTCAGCACTGTGGACTCTTATTCCCATGAGCAGTGAGCAGGTGGCCAAGGGGGCTGGGACAGGCAGAGCTGACTCCAGTGCTGGCTTCCCATTTGTGACTTCGTGTCTGTGTTCATCTGTGAGACCCTCTGTTCATTCCACAGCTCCTTACTGAATGTCTACAAGGTGTCCGTTCTGTAGTAGGGACTGGGTCCATAGTGGCTGATGAAGCAGACATAGTTCCTGTTCTTACAGAGCTCATTATCTAGTGAGAGTGACAGATACGGACAAGTAAATCGACGCTGCAGTCAGGGAGGCCTGCTTCAGATGGGGTAGTGGGGAACGCCGAGCTTCAGAGGGAACAATTCAGCTGAGTGCTAAAGAAGGAGCTGATTATAGAAGTGGCTGTGTCAGGGTGGGCTGGGTCAGGCATTCCAGACAGAGGGGACAGCATGTGCAAAGGCCCTGAGGTAGTAAAGGGCTTCTCTAGTGGAGAAACTGCAGAAGCCTGGTAGAGTCAAGCTGGGGTGATCTAGGAGAGGACACAACTGTCACAGGTCACAGGGGCAGCGGCCTTTGTGGGGAGGAACACTGAGGGGACTTTGGCAAGGGTGTGGGAATCTGACTTATTCTTTCAAGGGATCCCCTGGCTGCTGTGTAGGGAATGGACCTTGGCAGGGGGAGAGAGGGGCAGCGAGCCCAGCCAGAGGCTCCTGCAATGTCCAGGTGGTGTGGAGATGTGCAGAAGAGCCCAGACTTAGCTGGACTCCAAAGACAGACAGGCAGGGCAGCGAGGGGCAGGCAGGCTCAGGGCCACATAGCTGTGGGCTGTGCTATGGAGGGGCGATAGGGAGGTCCAAGCAGGAGACTGACCAGGGTCTCTGGGGCAGGCCAGAACTGAATGGCTAACCTCCAAGGGCTGAATGTGGGAGGCTGTGTTGCTGCCCTCCAGGGTGACATGTGGGACCTACCTGCACAGCCCTGACCTTCCCTGCCCAGGCTGCCCTGGAGCCATGCCACAGAATCAGCTGGGGCTCTTTGTCTTTGCCGTCTTAGGCCTCTTGTCCTTGGGGCTGGGAGATGGGGGACAGTCTCCATTAGGTCATGAAGTGGGTTTACAGGTCTTGTCCCATTGCTTCCTCCCCATGGCCTCATTTCTCATGAAAGAGGATACAGAGCCGTCTATGGGCCAGAACTCCCGGACACCTGCGGGGCTAGTTCCCATGAGTGGAGGCTGGCATGTGCGTGTGTGCATGCTCATGTGTGTATGCGTGTGTGCATGTGTGTGTGTGCACGCTTGTGTGTGTATGCGTGTGTGCATGTGTGTGTGCATGTGTGTGTGTGCACGCTTGTGTGTGTATGCGTGTGTGCATGGGTGTGTGTGTGTAGGAGGATGCTCTGGGGGATGCTGCATGGGGTGGGGCAAGCCGCATGCTGGGAGTGAGCTGGCTGAAGCTCATCCTTCCCAGATGAGGGCCCCACAGGCGTCAGCACAGCCTCCAAACTCACACAATGATGAGAGCCATTGGATTTCCCATGCTCAGGCTATGGTTAAGGGGCTGAAGTCTGCCTGCCAGCAGCCTGGGTCACCAGGGGAATGGGATGGGCAGGGGGAGCCATGAGTCAATGAAGTGGGGAATTTGTAGAAACTGTGCATGGGGGTCGGGGGGAGGTTCTAGATGCAAGCAGACTGGGAAACTGGCAGTTCTGGCCAAGCGTCCTGAAGGTCTGAAGGGCAGGGAGTCCCCATGCCCTACCTGAGCAAATGGGCCCAGTCCCATGGGTTGCCTCGGGGGTGGTGTTCTCCGAGCCACTCTCCTGCATCTTGTGGGCTGCCTGGCAAGAATGTCGGCAGGTGACAATGGGTGGGGAGGGAGATGGCTGTCAAGAGGAGGTCCACCTTGCTGGCTCCCAGATTCTCAGAAGGCTTTGCAAACGCCCCTGTTCCTGGGATCGCATCACTGAAGTCTCAGGAGGTATGCAAGGGCCGAATCTTACTTACTCTAACCTTTTCACTGGCTGCCAGTGAAAGGAGGTCCGGAGACACTGCTTACTTCCCCAAGGTCACACAGTGACTAGGAGACAAGCAAGAGTAAACTCAGCCAACAAATGCAAGGACGCTCAATGAACCAGGGGCCTCTGGAATCTCTCCTCCCTCTCTCCCTCCCTGTCTTCCTTCCTCTCTCCTTCCTTCCTTGTCACTCAAGAAAAATTTATTTGACTATCACCCAAGGCCGGCTGTGCCCTCAGAAATTCCTAGCCCATGATACTCTCTTCCTGGGGGTGGGGGGCCCTCCGCCCTCAGGAGGGCTTGTGGGTTAACTGTTGTGATGAGCTATTTCCAAGGTAGGAAAAGAGAAACTAGATCATTGAGCCCTGGGGAAGGGCTGTGGTTGGCACAGAAAATGACAGATCCCGTCAGCAGGCAGGCGGGGCCAGGGGCTCCTCCCCATGGCTGGGATTGGGGGCTGGTCCTGGGGGGTTTGTAGGGTCCCAGGGACAGGAGCAGGGCTTGTCCTCAGAACCTAATTCCTGAGCATGTGAGCTCAGACAGGTCCTGCATAGGACCCAAGGCATCTGCGGTCTGAGGACCATGCACTCCAGCTTTCATGTTCTGCCTGTCTGTCTGTCTGTCAGTGTGTCTGTCAGGCTGCATGTCTGCCTTGCTTATCTGGGCCCTGAATCACCTCATATCAAAATGTTGCCCGATTCCTAGAACACAGCTGGGCATCAGGGGGTGGGCCTGAGTCATTTCTGCCTTGTGGACCTGCCTGCCCTGTGAACCCAGGAGGCACTGAAGGCCTGAATGGTGCAGCCCCATGGCCACCTAGAAGCCTGAGGGGATTCAGGGTCTGTTTCAGCCTTAAAAGAGTATAGATAAGGGCCCGGAGGGCTTTCAGGGTGAGGGAAGAGTCGGGGAGGAACAGCCAGGGTGGACACTCGGGAGGAGAACCCATGCCAGGCAGTGGCTGGGTGAGGGGAAGAGGGAGGAGGGTGGAGGGAGGCTGGAGGGGTGGCCAAGGGGATGAGTTGAGTGTTGGAGTGTGAGAACCCAGCATGGCGCTTAAAGGTGTGGGCCCCAGCGCCAGCTGCCTGGGTTTCAATCCCGTCTCCTCCATTTCCCAGGCTGTGTGTCTTTGGGCAAGTGACGCCCCCTCTTTTAGTCTCAGTTTCCTTATCTGTGAAATGGGATATAAGTAGCAGTGTTGGCCGCTTCGGGTTGTGGTGAGCATTCAATGAGATAATGCATATAAAGGGACTTGGTGCATAATAAATGCCCAATAAATGTTAGCAAGCTTCGACATCACCATCATCATAGTCACGGTCTCCATCATCGTCATTGTCCTTGTCATTGTGATCAGAAGAGATGGAAATGGGCCTGGCACCCAGACACTCAGGAGAGAGGTCCTGGATGGAAGGAGGGAACTGGAAGCTTTCTGCACACTGGGAGCATATAGGTGGGAGTGCAGGCGAGGAGTGTCTAAAACTTACAACTTCATCCCCTACTCCTCCCTCACCCTGAAGCCTTTGGGCCCTGAGGTCACCTGGGGTGACTGTGTGCAGAGGAGCAGAGGCAAGGCTGAGGAAGAGACTCCCCAGAAGGTGAACACGTAAGGGTCAGGTGGATTGACAGGAGGCCAGAAAGGGTGGTGTACAACTGAAGAGTCTTGTGCCCACCTCCCCAGCTCCAATGCCAGGCTTTATGAGTCCACAGCTGCTTTGTTTTTCAATTACAACAGAGAAATTGAAATATAATTCACATCCCATCCAATTCACTTATCTAAGTGTACAATTCAATGGTTTTTAATATGTTCAGAGTTGTGCAATCATCACCACAATTTCAGAACATTTTTGTCACCCATGTTCATCAGCAGCCACTCCCTTCTCCCGACCCCTCAGCAACCTCCACACCCCCAGGCAACCACTCGTTTATTTTCTGTCGCTGTAGATTTGTCTCTTCTGGACATTTTATGGAAATGCAATCATACAATGTGTGGCCTTTTGTGTCTGGCTTCTTTCACTTGGCATGGCGTGTTCAAGGTTCATCCATGTTGCAGCAGGTATTAGGCCTTCATTTCTTTTTACAGCTAAATCATATTCCCTTGTGTGGATAGACCACGTTTTGTGTATCCACTCATTCATTGCTGGACATTTAGGTTATTTCTACTTTTTTTGCTATTTTGAAGAATGCTGCGTGAGTATTCATGTATAAGTTTTCGTGTGAACGTTTGTTTTCCATTCTCTTGGACATACACCTAAGAGTGGAATTGCCAGGTCATATGGTAACTCTATGTTTAACTTTTTGAGGAGCCACCTAACTGGTTTCCAAAGTGGCTGTACCATTTTGCATCTCCACCAGCAAAGCACAAGGATCCCAATTTCTCCACATTTTCTTCAACGCACTCATTAGAATCTTTCTTTCTGATGATAGTCATCCTAGTGGGTATGCAGTGGTACCTCATGGTGTTTTTGATTTGCATTCTCCTGGAGGCTGGCGATGTTGTTCATTCTTCCTGTGCTTCTTGGCCACTTGTATATTTTCTTTGGAGAAATGTCTATTCAGATCATTTGCCCATTTTTAAGTTAGATTATTTGTCTTTTTATTACCAAGATGTAAGAGGTCTTTATATAGTCTGATGACAAGTCCCTTATCAGAGGTATAATTTGCAAATGCTTTCTCCCCTTCTGCTTTTTTTCCTGCTTTTTTGATAATGTTCTTTGATGCATGAATGTTTTAAATTTGTGTAAAATGCAATTTATCTGTTTTCTTTTGTTCTTTTGTTGCTTGTGCTACTGGTGTCATATCTAAGAACCCATTGCCTAATCCAAAGTCATGAATATTTATATGTATGTTTTCTTTTTTCTTTTTTTTTGAGATGGAGTCTCGCTCTGTCACCCAGGCTGGAGTGCAGTGATGCAATGTTGGCTCACTGCAACCTCTGCCTCCCAGGTTCAAGCGATTTTCCTGCCTCAGCCTCCCGAGAGGCAGGTGCCACCACGCCCGGCTAATTTTTTGTGTTTTTAATAGAGATGGGGCTTCACCGTGGTAGCCAGGATGGTCTCAATCTCCTGACCTTGGGATCCACCCACCTTGGCCTCCTAAAGTGCTGGGATTACAGGTGTGAGCCACTGCGCCAGGCCTATATGTGTTTTCTTATAAGAGTTTTATAGTTTAGTTCTCACATTTAGGTCTTTGGCTTGATTTTCCTATCCAGCTTCATTCTTTTGCATGTGGATAGTCACTTGCCCCAGTACCATTTGTTCAAAAGACAATTCTTTCTCCATTGAATTATCTTGGCACAGTTTAAAAAAATTAGTTGACTGGAAATGCGAAGGTTTATTTCTGAACTTTCAACTTATTCCATTGCTCTATATATCTATCCTTGTGCTGGTAACAAACTCTCTTAATTGCTGTAGTTTTGTAGTAAGTTTTGAAATCAGGAATTGTGAACCCTCTAATTTTGTTTTGGTTATTCTAGAGTCTTTAAATATCTGTGTGAATTTCAGGATTAGCCTATTACTTTTTGCAAAGATGCCAGCTGGAATTTTAATGGAGATTACATTGAATGTGCAGAACAATCTGGGGAGTATTGTCATCTCATCCATGAACATAGGATGTATTTCTATTTGTTTACATCGTCCTTTATGTCTTTTAACACATTTTTGTAGTTTTCAGGGTATGATTTTTGTAATGTTTTGGTTAAATTTATTCATAAGTATACTTTGATACCATTGTAAATGGAATGTTTTAAAATGTTTATTTTCATATTGTTCATTGCAAGTGCATAGAAATAGAATAGATTTTTGTGGATTGCTCTTGTATTCTACAACCTTGCTGAACTCATTTATTAGTTCTAATAGATTTTTAGTGGATTCCTTAGAATTTTCTATATACAAGATTATGTCAGCTGCAAATAGAGACAGTTTTACTTCTTCTTTTCCAAATTGGATGCCTTTATTTTAGGCATGTCTAAGGGCCCTGGCCGGAACCTTCAGCACATCCACTTTTGCACAGAAAAGGGGCCCACACTCCATCTGTCCACAGATTCTAGAGCTTCTCCACTCAGCTTCTGGGGCCCTCACTCAATTCCCTCCCTTTTATTGCCGACCTGTACTGGTGCCTCCTCACTTCCCTTGACTCCAATGCCATCCTCTGTTTTCCCAGACCCTGTTTCCTCCCACCCCCCAGAATGCCCCTCTTGGTTCAACCCAGCTCCTGCACCCTTCCACCCCAATCGTGCCATTGAGGGCAGTTACTTCCTCCTCACTTCCCCTGGTGTGGCTGGACAGGGCTGCTGGTCAGGAGGCATGTAGTCATGTTGGAAGGCAGCAGTCCCAGAGCCAGGAAAGGGGTTAAGGCCATCACAAAGTTCAGCAAGAGGCGGGCTCTGTGTGGGTCTGGGGCCACCAGAACTCGTTGCTCAGAGGTCCCCAGTGCTGGGAGCAGGAGGTAAGTCCTGAAATCAGTAGGGCAGGGGTGAGACTGCTGCCAGCTGGTCCTGATGGTGACCCATGAGGCAGGCAGGAGTGAAGCCTCCACCAGCAGACCGCTGCCTCCCCGTGTGGGGGAAGCCTGGCCCAGCAGGCTGAGAACCGCGCAGGTAAGCTCTGGGGACTCCCCAGGCCAGGAGGGCAGCCAGGAGGTTGGAGATCAGCAAGAGTCCCAGGTTAGAATGAAGCAAATAACCCCTGAAACTAAATGGGGAGAAATGCAGTGTTGCGCTTTGCAGCTTCCAGTTCTCAGGCGAGGTCAGTGCTTTGAGAGAAAGCAGGAGAGAGGGAGGTGACCAACGGGAGCCAGCCAGCGGTCAGCAAGCACGAACCAAGTGGCCTGACTCGTGTTTGCTTTCTTCATGGGTTAGCATGGGGACGGCCACGGTGCGGAGGCTGCGAGGTGCTTTAGGCAGGACATGATAAATTATCCTAAGGCAGCCTTGTGAACTTGATGGAGAAACAAGGAGGGTGAGGGACTCAGTTTAAAGATGGTGGCTTCCTTTTTTTTTTTTTTTTTTTAATCAGAGAATTCAGCACCTCCATGTTGACCTGGAAGGAACTCTCCAGGGCTTCAGAGCCTGCTCTACACGGTCTTACCTGGTGTGAAGTAAATATCCTCAAGGCCTCCACCATCTCCTGAGCCTGCACATCCTGGGTTAAGGAAAGTCAAATATGCTTCCTCCCCACAGGGCTGCATTGTGTTTTGTTCTCTGGGAGTGTTTCAGACACAGACATGCATACACAGACACACACATACAGACCCATACAGACATGCAAACACAGACACACACACAGACACACATAGACACACAGACATACAGACACATAGACACAGACATACACACACACAGACACACATGCAGACACAGACATAGACACACACACCGAGACACACAGACACACAGTCATACACACATAGACATACACACACACACACACGGACACATACATGCAGACATACGTAGACATACAGACATAGACACACAGACATAGACACACATACTGAAACACACAGACACACAGTCATACAGACATACACACACACAGAGGCACACACATAGACACACAGACGTACACACACACAGACACACACAGAGTTCTGCATGTTTCCTGTGGACACACATTTACATGTATGAAGGAGGAAAAGAGGTTGGCTCTCCCCAGTGCCTACGGTTCTCTCTGGGGAGGGAGAGAAGAAGGCCTTGGATGGGCTTGATTTCTGAGGGGATCTTAGTCATATCTATGCATAGTTTTTGCTTTTTTCTTTTATAAGGATAATGTATTCATGAATTTACTTGCAGAAAAATTAATTGCAATGCAAAAAGAATGTTTTTTAAAGAACTAAAACGACTTCCAGGGTCTGGCAGCAGAACCATTACAATAAGACATCAACTCCCACAGTTGGCTTTGGTGATGCAAATGTTTCCTGGGACCCGGCCCTTGCCAAGCCCATACTAGAGAAAGCCCCAGAGTGAAATAAACCCCTGGCCTCAGTGCTTCCAGGACAGCGGGGAGGCCTGCATGGAAACTTTCCCTTTGATGGGGAAGAAACCCCAGCTGCCCAGAGGGAGGGGGAGGGATGGTGACGCTGGGTGGGGGCTGGGTGACGTGAATGGTGGCTCTACGGAGGAGACGGTGCCCGGGCCAGGTCCTGAGAGATGAGCCGGAGTTACTCCCGTGAAGGAAGGGCATTCAGGGAGAGAAGGGCAAGGTGGAGGCTGAGGGGAGCTGTGATCAAGTGCTCAGAGTGCTTACCAAGGCGGGTCTCTGCTCCATGCACTTTACACTGACTTCATAGCAGGATCATGTGGTGGGTCCTAAATTGTCCTAATTTACAGATGAGCAAATCCAAGCACAGAGAGATTAAGAAACCTGAGTAAGGTCCCACAGCAGGCACCTGTGTCTGAGCTCTTAAGTACTGTGATTCTCAGGGAATGGGACTTGTGTGAGAGTGGGAGGGGAAGCACAATTAGAATAGTGACAAGGAGTCCTAGGTGGGGCTGGAGGAGGGGCCAGTTGTCTTTACTTCAAAACCTCCCTGGGGGCCGGGCGCAGTGGCTCACGCCTGTAATCCCAGCACTTTGGGAGGCCGAGGGTGGGCGGATCACGAAGTCAGGAGATCAAGACCATCCTGGCCAACATGGTGAAGCCTTGTCTCTACTAAAAATACAAAAATTAGCTGGGCGTGGTTATGCCCACCTATAATCCCAGCTACTCCGGAGGCTGAGACAGGAGAATTACTTGAACCCGGGAGGCGGAAGTTGCAGTAAGCCGAGATCGTGCTACTGCACTCTGACCTGGGTGACAGAGTGAGACTCTGTATCAAAAAAAAAAAAAAATCCCCCTGGGGCCTGGAAGGGGATGTGACCCCTTTCTTGGGGCTGTGCTGTCTCAGAAGGTGTGCCCTGTCTGGGGGTCCACTGAGATCCCGGTCCTCAGCACCAGCCTGTCCCCAGCACAGAGTAGCCCATCCCAGCCTCCCGGTCTTCTGGTTCCTAGTCTGTGGAATGGAGAGGAAAACCTCAATCAAAGACTTTGTAGGGCTGTTGGATAGGACAGTGGCTCTGACAGTTCTTAGATGTATAGGAGAGCTTCGATCCAGGCAAAGAGGAAAGCTGGACAGACCCGGGACTCCCTGGGAAGGGGAGGGGAGGAGGCCAGCCCTGAGGAACCACTCATGTCTCCTCCACCACTGAGACCAGAAGGCAGTCAGCAGACTCCCCACATAGCCCCATTGAGTCCCCGCAGCAACCCCTGGAAAGGGGATGTTCTTGTCTGAGGTACCAAGGCTGGAAGTGAGCTGCCTGTGGTCATCATACTTGTGGAGTGGGGGTTGGGCCTGGGCTGGGCGACCCCAGGCCTCCATAGTGGAAGTCAGTCCCCAGCACCTCCAAGAGAGATGGGCTGTCTCAAGGGGTGTCCCACTCCTGTCCAGGCTGCCTCCTGGCTACAGCGCCTCACCCCCACCAGGAGACATTTCTGAACCTGAAGACAGGCTTGGGGCTGGTGCCATGTGCTGAAGGCAGTATCCTTCTCCCTGGCTGGGAAGTCTACCGTTCACATAAGACACCTGCCCCTGTGGCTGCCGAGGAGCTGAGGGTGTGGCCAGCCCAGAATTTGGACAGGGCCAAGTGTCTGGGTCACTTTGGTCCCGTTGACAACTTTTGGGGCATCTATTCTGAGAAGGGATATCCCCAGGTTGCCCCTCACTGCCTCCCCAAGGAGAATCCCCCACCCCCAGTCCCCAGGCCCAGAGCCTGCGCCAGCTCCTTCCCTTGCCCCAGCTGTCGGCCGATACCCCTTATCGCTGTTGTGTCTTGAGGCTGGCCGGGGGCTTCTTGATCTCCAGCTGCGGCTGTGGGCTGGCCAGGGCAGGCTTGAGCTCCCCTTTGCCCCAGCTCCTTGAGAGGCTCCCGCCCCCCAGGGGCTGGAGAACCAGCTCATGAGTCTTTCTCAACTGGCAGAGCCTTGGGGGCTGCCACAGAGCCTGTCAACCCTGGACTTCCACCAAGCCTGACTTCACTGCCTCCTGGCAAGCTGGGCGCCCCCAAGTCCTCACTGCCTTATCTGTCCTTTGGGCACAGGAGGTCTTCCTGCAGGGTTGGGTGGTACGAATGGGGACCCCTTGCTGGCATGTGGCTTTGAGCAGCCTCAGTGCTGGGTCTCACTCCTGCCCACCAGGGCTTAGTGAACCCTAGGTCCTTCCTGGGCAGAGCCAGTCCAGCTACACGGCCAGCAGGTCAGGTGCCTGGAGGCCGGGTGAGGGCCTCAGCCACTGCCCTGTTGTGTGGTCCTGGGCAGGACAGCCCCAACCCCCTGCCCAACCCCACCTCGGTTGGCTTCAGTTTGTCCCATGAGACGTGAGCAGGTTGGACTGAGGGTGTTTGAATGCCTTTTCTGTCACCCACCCCTGGCAATGCAGCGACCCTCCCTGCAAACCCCACGTGGCACTTCACCCCAGGAGACAGTTTTGAGTGGCAGGGGTGCTGAGGAACATCAGAATCACAGAGCCCAGAGGCCAGGTGGAAGGTAGACGTTGAAAGCAGGAGGGTCCTGGCCTTCGGGGTGAGGAAGCAGAGGCTAAGCCCTGGGCAGGCCCAGGTGACCTGAGTTCGTACTCAGCCTCCGCCACTGACTGCTTCAGCACGAATGGTGGAAACTGGGGCACTGGTAGAACCACAGAGGGGGGTCTTTCCCCAGGGACGAGGGACTTTCTGGCGCCCCTCCTCCAGTTGAACCGCATAGGTGACTTAGCCCAGAGAGCATGGTCATGATCCACGTCTCAGGCGGTCTTGGCGGCCCCAGGCAGCCTAACCCTGGTGACCTTGGCATTCCTTCCTCTCTAGTGTCTAATCTCCCCTCTCACCCGCTGTGGACTCCTCTTCCCTCTGCTCTGCTGCCTGGGGGGCCCACCCTCCTTCCTCCCTTCTCCTCTGGGCCCCACTCCCTCCTGCCTTTCTCACTCCCACTGCTTCAATGACTTCAAAATAAACCAACACAAAGAAATGCTGTCTTGGAAAGACTGGTGCCACAGGTGGATGCGATTGAGCCCAGCACAAGGACAAGGTATGAGCTTCAGGCTCCATCCCCCGGGCATCCCTCTGCTCAGCGAGCCCTCGTGGTGTGCCTGGCACCCGCAGTGATGGTTTTCTGTGACCCGCATAGCAACCCGAGGAGGAGGAATTGTTAGGATTTCCATTTTACAGCTAAGAAAATTGAGGCACAGCTGTTAAGTAAAATGCCCCAAGCCACAGCTGCTTAGAGCCAGTCCACTGGCCCAGATCTCAACCTTTGAACTACGATGCTGATGCAGCAGGGGCCAATCCCTCAGCCTCCCTAGGCCTCAGCTCTTCCATCTGTAAAATGGAGTCATAGCATGTTCCTCAAAGGGCTGTTTTAGAGGTTTGATGGCATCCTAATTTCAGAGTCTGGCATAGCACCTGCTGTGTAGTGGATGCTCAATGAACATGTACGCCTTTCCTCTTCTGTTCTCTCTGCAATGAGGTTGAATGCCCCAGTGTCACCTGGCTATGACCCAACAAAGTCAGGCTCTATGACTGGTTTGAATGGAGGTTTGAGGCGGAGGGGAGGCCCCATAGGAGGCACCATGTACCCCTGCCCCTGGCTCGAGGGTCTGGCCACTCCCGTTCCCACCCACACCCTCTGTGGGCCACCTAATGTGGGGAGTGGGAATACCACCCTGCAGACCCCTCCCTTCTCCGGCCACAGGCAGCTAGTCCCACGTCCAGCCTGCCAAAGCCCTCTGCAGCCCCCACCCCTGCCCGCCCCTACTCCCAGGAGTGGAGGGCTCTCTTTGCAGGAGCCCAGAAGTTCATTTCCTGTTCCAGCAGCTCCTGAGGTTGGGGTGAGAGGAATCGAGCCTGGTGGGGAGGGGCCCTTGAACACCCTCTGCCCCAGCACGTGCCAGCTGCATACCAGCGCCTCTCTACTCCTTGCGTCCCCTCTGTCCCCAGCAGCCTCTGACCCCATGGGATGCCCTCCTTACACCCTCCCCTGAGAAAACGGGAGCCATTTGTCAGGGATCTTTCTCTTCCCACACCCCGGTCTGCACTCCTGCATCTGGCTCCTCTCTTTGGCTCCTGCCTGGATTGCCGTTGCTCCCTTTGCTCCCTGCCTGGGATCTGGGGCTGCCTCAATGGCTCTGCTGCTCTGTCTCTCACAGTCTCCCATGGCTGCAGCTGGCTGACCGGCCCCATGCTGCGCTCTCCTCTCTGGCCTCAACTCGCTATGACTCTAGCATGGTTTAGTGGATCCAGTCTCACTCCATTTACAGGTAGAACAATGGAGGCCTCATACAAGAGTCCGAAGACCTGATGAGCCTTCGGCCAGCCTGGAGCTCCATTTTTCTGCTCCCCCGGGGGCCCACTGTCCAGGGCATCAAGGGTTATCGGGTGCTGCCCCTCACCAGGGAGAGCTGGGGTCTGCCCCCTTCAGCCTGTGCCTCCGCATGGCTGCAGGTGCACAGGCTAAACATCAGAGCCAGACAGATCTTGGCTTCTATCTGACTCACTGTTTCTGGCTGGGCACTCTTGGCCACTTACCCAAGCTCTCTGAGCCTTAGTTTCCTCATCTGTAAAATGGGGTTGATAAGTACTTATACTTGGGCTGTGAGGATTCAGTGAGTCAGGATTGTAAAATGCCTGACGCGTGGAAGGCAGGAAACTAACGATCATTTTCATCATGATGATGGGGCCCTTGGTTGGAGACGATGTCCCGACATGGGTGGTGGCTGGGGCTGGGATGTCAGGTCAGCAGATGCACCTGCCAATACACAGCCCAGGACTTCTGCAGGAGAAGCGGAAATTGCATCCCTGCCTTCTGACAGCCAGCTCTCTGACTGGGGTAGGGGGTAGGCTCTGGGTAACTGGAGGGGCAGGAGAAGGGCTCAGCACAGGCCAAAGGCTAGGGGAGAACATGGCTGGGTAGAAGTGGGGAGCAGCTAGGACGCTAGCTTGGGGAGAAGTGGGAGGCGAGGCTGGCAGGAAGAAGCCAGCGAGGGTGATGTTGGCTTTTACTGCCCTGACAAGGGGAAAGGGAAGGAAGGGTGGAAGAGGACAGTGCCCTTTATAAACATGGTCTCCAACCATTCCTCTGAGTAGGAGAGATCTTTACCACCACTTACATTTGAGGAAACCAAGGCTCAGAGAGGTTAAGTGACTTGCCCAAGGACACACAGCTGCCCTAAATTGTGGACTCCAGGTTTAATTGGAAGGCTAGGACCACTGTGGGCAGGTGTTCAGGCTGAGGCAGAGCACGGATAAGCACGTCTAGAGGATGGGGCAGAGGAGAGGGGTAGGTGGGTTGGGCTAGGCAGGGGTCTTAGGGCACCTGTGCAGGCTAGAGGGGAGGGGCGGAGGGAGGGATGAAAATCTGGGAGAGGACTGACCTTTGCACCTTCAAAAAGGGTCAGGTAACCCAGACTTATTGATTTCTGGCACCCCCAGTTCCAACTCCGTGGCCTGGGGCTCTGATGTTCTCCTTCCTTCTCCCCACTGTGCCCCCACTCCCATCCTCGCCACCTAGCCGGGCTTGTTCCCTGAACTTAAAGCCCTGGGGGGAGAGAACAAGGCTGAGGGGTCTACACCTCTGCTGATCCTCCTATTTCTCAGCCTGGCCGGTGACTCCAGAGCTGAGGCTGCACGCACCCCGGGCCCAGCAGTGTGGCTGTGGGTCCTGCGGCAGGCTGCAGGCAGACAGGGCCACTTCAAGGGGTCCCAGCAAGTGTGTGTGCTTCAGGCAGCCCCCAACAGGGCGCCACCAAGCTCAGGCCCTACCAAGCCTGCCCCAGGTTGGTCTCTGCTCTAGGAAGACCAGAGGTTTATTGAATTCCACATAGGGGCTAGTTTGTAAAGAGGCTGGTGGCCACCTTGCCTAACCTGGACAATGCTGAATCCAAAAAGCAAGTGGGTAGAAAGACTGGGGAGGGTGGTAAAGTGGGGGTGGGGTGTGCCCCAGCAGAGAGTCAACAATTCAGAGCGAAGACTGGGCACCAGGCTCCCGAGTGGGTAGAGAGGACAGGGAGGCCTGGGAGGGGTAGGGGCCTCCCCACTTCTTACCATAGGGCAGGTCGGCAGAGGAGAGCAAGGAGCTGATTAGGGCAGGTGTCCTTGCATCTCCAATACCATCCACACGTCAGTGGGTCTGTCCTCCAGTAGGTGGTGTGTCCAACCCTGTGCCAGAAGCGTCCCCTAGAAGCCACTATGGTTACAAGTGGACACTTACAGGGCGTAGGGGAAACAGACCCTCATCAAGACATCCCTGTTGCATGTGTGTTCATATTTGCTCTGGACACTTCTAGGAGGACAAAATGCACCAGCGCATTCGTTCGTTTCATAAACCTTTGCTGAGCACTTACTCTAGACCCCGCACCAGGGTTTCAGAAATACAAAAAATGGAAGGAAAGAATCTCGTGTGTATTGATTTTCCAACTCTGTGCCGCAGGCAAAACACGTGTGCTTGTACTGCTCTGCAGGAGCCCCGCGTGCCCGCCACCGTCCTCTGCATCTCAGCTCTGACTTGGCAGCCCTCCGACCTCAGCCTGGTTACTTCGCCTTTCAGCAGCTTCTTTATGTGGCTGCAGTGAGAATTAAGTGACATAATCCATGTACAGTGCCAGGCACAGAGAAGGTCATTCAGGAAAGATGATTAAACTACTCACCCAGGGACGCTGACTGGTAAGTGGCAGAGCCTGGGTTTGAACCCAGGTCTGCTGAGTGCTAGAACCTGCGGAAACTGGAGCCTTCATGGCCACTTCTTCTGTCCCCCTTGGCCTGTCCATTTGGCTGAGCTGGCCAGCTTGGCTATTGGGGAGCCACGCCCTGCAGCATCCACGGGTATCCCAGCATCCTGCAGGGCCCCCAGGGTGCACCAATCCTAAGCGGGATGTGGGTGCCTCCTGTTTAGGGACCAGGTGCCTCCCCTAACTCCTCCAAGCAGAGGGAGCAATGCTTTCTGCCTGTTGCACATGGGTTGCTCCCATGGCTGGCAGCTGGGTTGAACTGTTTGTTTTGAACTTGACTGTGTTTGGAGCAGGAAAATGCTTTAAAAGAAAGGCAGGTGAGGCAGTGAGTCAGGTAGAGGGTGGCCCACCCGGCTCCACCTGTGTGCTGAGCTTCCCACTACAAAGCTGTTCTGCCACGTGAGCTTTCCATTCCCCAGCCACGTGCAGACCCAGCTGCTGGAGCCAAGAGGAACAGGTGTCAGGAGCCTCTGGCAGGTGACAGACCCTGAGAGGCAGGAAGACCAACAGGGATCTTGGGCTGATTCCACTCTTGACTTGCTCTGCAACCTTAGGAGTGAATCCCTCAGCCTTCCCTCCTCAACTCAGAGATTTAAAACACACATGTTTCGTCCTTGTCAAGGCCTCTCAGGCAGGATGGCCAATCATCTCTTTTTGCCTGGGTCTGTCCCAATTTTAGCACTGACAGTCCTATACCCCGGGAAACTCACCAGTCCTGGGAAAAGCGGGACATTTGATCACCCCATGGATCTCATATGCAGAATCTCCTAGGCCCTCAAGCTCCCCACAAGGCAGACTGAGTTGTGGGTTATCATCCCATTTCACAGGTGTGGAAAGCAAGTCGGCAGAATTTCAGTTTTAGATGGTGAGACATTCTGCTCTCATTGTCGTAAGACAAAGTGTTTTGCAAAGCAGAGGTGCACGCCAGAGGACAGGGCAGGCAGCATGTCGGGCCTGCTCAGATCTCCTGGGCTCATCTGAGGCAGAAACAGTGACCAGGCATGAGAACCCGCAGGGTGGGCTATAGGCTGTGGGCTCTGGGGATGTGCCCAAGGCTTGGGCTTGGCCAGGTCAGGAAGTCCCTGGGGAATGACATGCCTGAGCTCCCAGGCCCCAAGCTCCCACCTGTAAAGGTGCTCAGGGGGAAGCAGATGCCCAGAGTCTCCACCTCCCCATGGGTCTGCCACCGAGCTGGGTGCCCCAGGCAGTGCTGTGGCATCACTGGGCTCATTCATTTTTCAGGAAACAGATGCTTAGGGAGAGCCCACTTGGTGCCAGGCTCTGGGGACTGGGTGAGAAGCAAGAAGTACAGCCCCTGCCTTCATTAAGCTGGCATGCCTGTGGGAGAGACAGATATACAAATTGCCAGACAGAGACTGGTTTAACCGCAGCTGTGGTCAGTATCATGAAGGAGAAAAGATCAGAGCTTATGCGGGGGCCTTAGCCCTGGCCTGGGGGACCTTGAGTGCACTTGAATGGGACCCCAAGGGTGACCAGGGAGCAGCCGGGGGAGCTCTCTGGGGGTTGTGACTAGGCTGGCCCCTTTTTGGCTGTGCGGCCTTGGGCAAGTTGCTTGGCCTCTCTGAGCCTCAGGTGTTTCCTCTGTACTATGGGGATGGTATATATCTACTTTTCCCACCTGATGGGAGGCTTCAGTGGGAATGAGAGAAGCAGCTGGCAGAGGTAGGCACTTCATTAGAGGAGGAGCTCCCTTTGATCTGCTGCCTGAGTGCGTGGCTGTGTCCTGGGAGGAAGGATGAAAGAGGCCTGGCCAGGACCCCCAACCCAAAGTTCTGGGCTCAAGGGCAACCTCCAGTTCAGAAGAGGCACTTGGCTTCACTCCAGCCCACAACTGGGGACAGGGGACAACTGAGGTAAGTGGAAGCATGAGGCTGGCTCACCAATCAAAGGACAACTGTGGGCTTGACTCTGCCCTTCTGCTTTGGGGCCTGCAGGGATCTACCCAGAGCTGTCTCTCCTGAGCCCAGCAGCCAGATTTTCACTCCTGCCCATGAGGTTCTCCATGAACATTAAACATCCTGCAAGTTCTATGCTGTGGCCCTCCAAGTGTGGACCCCAGACCAGCAGCCTCAGTATCACCCAGGAACTTTCAGAAATGCAAATCCCTGGGTCCCACCCCAGACACGGGAGTTGGAGATGGGGGGTGAGGCCAGCCCCCAGGTAAACTGATGCACACTGAAGTTGGAGAACCCCTGGGCTATAAGGTGTCAGACTTTCAAAGCCCCACTCAAGCTGTGTCATCACCATGTAACTGTCATGGCAATAGCAGCACTGGATGTGTGCTGGTCATTTTCTGTGCGTTGCCTTGTCCCCAGCATTTGACCTGTGTTGTGTCATTTGGGCCTCGTAACAGCCTGTGAGGCAGTCATGGGCATTACTCCATGTCACAGATGGGCAAACTGAAACTTGCCCAGGTCACACAGCAGACGGTCGCAGACCCAGGGCTCACACCCAGGCACTGGGCTCACAACTCAAAGCATGAGCTGCCAGGCCACCCTGAGGTTCAGCTGGCTGCGGCGACACGGCCAAAGCCATGGCCCATAAGCCCGCTGTGACCTTGGATGGCCAGCTCTGCCATTCACCTGGCACTGCAACTGAGGACAGATCACTTCACTGGCCTCAGTTTTCCCATCTGTAGAAAGGAACAATAGCACCCACCACATGAGATCGTTGTGAGGATTCCATGAAATAATGAAGGGAACGCTTGGGAGGCAGAAGGCATATAGGAGATACCCAGTGTGTGCCGGCAGCTCCCCTTTTTCTTAGGGATTGCAAAGAGAGGTAATTGGCCTGTGCCTCAGTTTACCCATTAGCAAGGGAAGGAAGTCCTCTTCACAAGGTGGGTGAAGCGAGCATTGCTGACCTGGAGAGGCGGTGGGGTGTGCTGGAGTGTGCAGGTCCTAAACCCTGGAGGCTGGGTTTAAGCCTCACTCTCCTGGGCCTGCTATGCAGCATTGGGCAGGTTACTACACCTGCTGGGCTCATTGTCCTCATCTGCATGAAAGGGCTGAACCTGAGCCTCCCAGCAAGGCTTAGTGGGCTATGGTGATGTGGCCGGGGTCAAGCTGCTGCTGAGCATGCTGGCATGTGGTATTTAGGCCCACTGTGTAGCGCGTCCTCCCGGTGCCCCCCGCCCCCCACCCACACCATCAAACACTCCTCCCTTCAATCACCAGGAGTTTGCAAAACTCCCAGGCATGAAGCTTCATCTCTTTGTACCTCAGTGTCCATCTGAAGAACGGGCGTGAGAATCAGATCGTGAATGCAGACCCGCCTAGTGCAGCGCCAGCCTGCATCACGCACTCAGCCAGTGGGCTGCCTGCAGCCAGGACATTCCCTTGGCTCTCAGGGCTGTCTCTAAAAAGGGCCCTGGGTTCTCAGGGTCTCTTGGGTGAGCCTCAGGGCTCCCATTCATCTCCTGTGGCCCTGGGGGGTGGCCGCATGGCCAGAAGGTTGTAGCCGGTCTGCAGGGACAAGAGGCTAAGGTGAAGCCGTCCTGGGGCTGTAGCTGACTGGGAGGGAGCTCAGGCCCATTCCTCCCCAGCCCAGGCACCTCTGGCCTTAAGATGGCAAGATACTGAGTTGAGTCTATTCGCCTGTGGCAGACACAACAGAGGGGCCCAGGAGGGCAGAGCTGGGGTGAGGGGCGAGGAGCCCCTGCTGACCTCACCGTGTCTACTGCCCGATAAGGCCCAGCTGAGCTCTAGCGTAAACTGCTCTTCCCTCTCCCTGCTTCCCTCCAAGCAGCCGTGTCTGGCTGGGAGCTTGGCCTTGGGATGGGGCTGGTAGGAAGGGATTCTCCTCCACTAGGAATGTGAATCTCTCCCTTCTCCCCTTTCTTGAGGCCTGGAGTGGGACAGGAGGAGTGAGGATTTTCCACTGAACTGGACTTGAGCCCGGGCTCTGTCATCTCCCAGCTGTGTCACTTAGAACTGGCTTTGGTGTCACCTCTCAGAACTGGTCTTTTTCATGTGCAAAATGGGGCTGGAGCTTGAGGCCTGCTGCCCTGAAGGATACCTGGCATGCAGCAGGCACTTAGTGCATGGTGGTGATTTTGAAGACTGAGCACCTAGTGTGTGCCATGATGAGGATGGAGAGGACAGGAGCCTCGCCCTCAGAGACCCCCTTCTCCACATTGGGCAGTCTGGCTCTCCCCATGATCAGCCATACCAAGGCACTTGTTCTGGGTGGCTGAGCCCATGTATGTCCCTATGAGCCTCCATAATGTCCCAGAGGAAGCTTCCATGTCCTGATGCCTGTCCATTCTGGGAGCCCCATTTAGGGGATGGGCCTATGCCTGGTTCCTGGGGCTTGCCAGGCCCCTGGATGGGGGAGTCTGGCCTGGAAGCTCCCTGCACTGGACCAGTCTGGGGTCTCCCACTGGGGCAGTCCTTGGTGGTGTTGTCTCCCCCTTGCATCTCCTCCCGGGGGGAAGGCTGGCTCATGAAGGCTCAGGCTAGCAGGTGAGGACACAGAGTCAAGGCCACACCCTCCCCAGGCCTCAGCCAAATCATCTACAGGAGTTTGGGACCTCCCCTAGGGCCTGTGCACAGAGGCAGTGTGGACTTTGGACTCAACCAGACCCATATTCTCATCTGAGGACAAGCTCTGACAGGTCGGCTGGGGGTCAGCAAACCTGACCTTGGGCACCCTGTGGTTTGGGCCAAAATGGAGCGTGAGATATACCTTCCACAGAGGGACGATGACAAGAATCCTTGCACGTGGGCTTGCTTTAAATGCCATGCGCACATTTTCCTCCTGCCCCCACTGCCATTCTGACCGGGACTTGACCCAGAGGTCCTCGAGGACCTGCCACAGGATCGATCTGACAAGGCCCTCGGGGCAAGGAAGTGCTTACAATCCACAGAGTATTTCCAGCTCTGTGAGATCCTATCCCTGGGATGGGCTTCCAGAACCACTGCTGCTAGAAAAATGTCACTGGGAACGCAGATGCTCGATCTGGGAGGATCGGCTGGGCTGGGCTGGGGGCGGTGGGGGAGGAGGCTGGAGGCCTGGCACAGGGAATGCAAATTGGCATCATGAATTATGCATCAGCCCAAGCTTCTCACACGTTTGGGGCTGAATGAAATCATGTTTGCCTGGGAAAGGGGGAGGGGAAGACAGGACAAAGATGAGCAGGGCCTAGTCCTGGGAAGTGGGAGAGGATGTCTTGCTAGGTTTCAGGAGGGGCCTTAGGAAGGTGCCTGGGCAGGAGGTGGTGGTGTCTTTCTGATACCACCTTTTTTGCTGTGTGACCTCAGGCTAGCCTCTCACCCTTTCTGATCAGCCTGTTTCCTTAGGGACATAATTTGAATGAGAGCCTCTGCTCTGTCTCACTGTGATTGTGAGGGCCTAATTAATTTTACAATTGAGAATGATCTACCTGAGGAGAATTGTTATTTTAGGAAACTAATAATAATTATTACTACACTTACTATTTACTGAATTCATGCTCTCTGCGTGTGGAGCTAAATGTTTTACAGTTATTTTTCGTGAGATCCTCACAACCATCCTTGTACTCACATGCTATTTTTGCTCCTGTTTTACAGATGAGAAGAGTGGTGCTCAGAGAGGTTAAGTCACTGGCCTAAGGTCACACAGCTGGGTAAGGAGCAGAGCCAGCATTGGATGCAGACCTTTTGGTTGCAGGGTGGTTGTGCTGTGGGCCATGGGAGAGGCTGCTCTCCCACCCTGCAGACAGTCTGGCTTCAGAGAAGTAATTTCTCTTTTCCTGAATCTTGAGAATCTGGGGGCTTGGTGGGGGACGTGGTAAGGCTAATGTGGTTGTGGTTGTTCTGGGTTGGTCCCCAGAATGACTGGCAAGATGCTAGCTCTAGAAAAACTACTCAGTTAGGACTCATGAAATGTGTGATGATTTCACCTGAAAAGTAAAATAAGAGCCAGCATTTATTGAGCAACTACTGTGTTCTGGGCCTGTCCCAGGTACTCCGTGTGGACGAATAGACCAACACACCATGGAGGGTAGTTATTGTCACACACATCTTACAGGTGCAAAAATCATTTCTTTGTACTTTACTCATTGCATTAGACCAACGTTGTGCAGTCACACTTGTGTGAGGAACAACTCTAACTACGCTGTTACTTCAAGTCAAGGACCTGGGAGTAATAAATTAAAATGGTGAGGGTTCTCAGATTGCAACTGGGAGAAACATTTGGATTCTGTAATGAAAATAGTGATGATCAACTCAGAGAAAAATGCTGGAGGATTTTTAGTGATTTTCTGTATTTATAGGAAAACATATCATGTTTAAGTGTTTCTGTTTTTTTTTTCAAAATATTCCTGTGATCTGAGTGGTCACTTATCCACTGCCCCCAAACCATATATCCCCAAAATGTTTCATCTATGCAACCACCCATCCACCAATCTACCCATCTATCCACCCATCCATCTATACACCAATCCACCCATTCGTCTACCCACCCATCCACTCACTTATATACTTACCAATTCATTCACCCATCTCCACCCATCTATCCATTCATTCGTTCCTTTATCTACCCAGCTTCCCACCCACCCTTACAACCACCACTCATACATACCCCAATTCATTTATTCATATCTAACTATCCATCCATCCATCCATCCATCCATCCACCTATCCATCCATCTACCTATCCATCCATCCACCCATCCATCCATCCATCCATCTATCCATCCACCTATCCATTTATCCGTCCGTCCATCCATCCATCCATCCATCCATCCATCCATCCATCTATCCATCCACCTATCCATTTATCCATCCATCCATCCATCCATCCATCCATCCATCCATCCATCCCCTTTTCAATAATTGAGTGCCTACTCTTTGCCAGACACAGCTCTAGGCAAACAAAACAGACACAAATTCTTTCATTTCTCCAGTTTGCACTCTAGTGGGGGAGACAAGCCATAAAGAAAATAAAATAAGTAAATGGCATATCAGATGGTGGTAAGAGCTATGGAGAAAGATAAGGCGAGGAAAGGGGATCAGGAGTGGCAGAGGTGGGGCTACAATATTCCTTGCAAATTAATTCGATTTGCTCATTGGACATTAAAATGCCCTCATTCTAAGAAATCTTTTAAATTGGACCAGTTTGTTGTGGGTGGAGTTTATGCCTGTGAATTCTCCACAGAGTCATGATGGGGCCTTGCTTTGCTCATGCCTGGATTCCTGGTCCCGAGCACAGTGCCTGGCCCAAGCAGCTGCTCAGTAAAGATGTGTTGAATGAACGATGGACACATTATTAATCTAGTAGTGAAACAAGTGTGCCATGTTTGTGGTGCTTCTGTCTCTCCCATGAATCTTCTGAAAACACTACATCCCTCCCTTCTAGAATCTGCCCTTCTTATGCTCTGAAGACCTGCCTGATCCTCCTTGCCTGCCCAGGCCAGCCTGCTCTCTATACCTCTCTGATCTTGGCCTCAGATGCTGGAGTCATCTGGTCTCGGCAAGACTGTCGGTGGATTGGGCTTTGTCTACCCCACTCCATCTCTAGCCTGTGTGCTGCAAGAACATATCTGACCCTGGGCATGTGGTTGGTGGAAGGTAGGGGAGGGTGGAGTGCAGGGGTGCTGCTAGTTATCAAGCACACAACTACTGGTTAAAGCAGGCCCTAGGCTAGGAGGTCTAGGAAGGAGCAGGAAGAGGTCCAGGAGCAGAGCACTTCAGCATTTATCCCCCGATGGGGAGCCAGGCATTCTGGTTAATAGAGGTTTTTACTCATTTTCTCCCTCCTTCCCTTTGTCCTTCCTTTCACAAATTAGTTTAATAGTCTGCTAAGCATCTTCTACTCTTCTGGCACTACCGTAGGCCATGGAGACTCTGATAAGAGATGCACGTAGTAGCAAGACGGCTCCCTCCCCAAACCAGCTGGGGACAGGAAGGACCAGAAGGCGAAAGTCAGGGACAGCTTCCTAGAAGAGGGGACATCTGAACACACCTTGAAGGATAATGAGGAGGAAGGAGGCAGATGGAGAAGGCAGAGAAGGGTGTTTCTGGAGCAGGACCAGCCTGGGCAGAGAGCACTGGGCAAGTTCCCAGAGCACCCTTTGGCTAGGAGGCAGGGATGGGGCTGGAGAGCCAGCTGCCAGCCCTCTATGGCACACACAGGCTCACCTCCAGGACAATGCAGGGGGATCTTCTTGTCACTCTTCACTCAATTGCTTCTAGCTAGTTTTGGATTTCTAAAAGTTCAATTTTTCTAAGTTCATTTATCATTAGCATTTTATCCATCTGTCCATTCATCCAACTGACCATCCATCCATCCATTCATCTATTCATCCAAACATCTGTCCATCTGTCCATCCATCCATCCGTGATGCATGCCCAATCCACCTTCCCAAGTGTCTGCACTAACTTAGGACATCGAGGCACACTGGAGTTACAACCAGAGAGTGCTTCAAGTCCTGACCTGGGTGCCCAGCGGGGCTGGACTTCAGACATGGTGCACTTGAAAGGCAGAACCTTTGTGTCCTTGGAAGTGGCTGCCCTGCCTTGCCTTGGGTAATTGAGGTGGGGTGGGGATGGGGTGGGTGCAGGGCTCAGCCACCTGCACTGGGCCCTCCGTGCTTGAGAACTCCCAGGCCTCGCTGCCTGCCCACCATATCTCACTGTTTGATGTTCCTAGTTATCTCTTCTCGTGGGAGCACCTCTCCCGCTTTGCTAGCTTCTACTCCCGCTGCCTGGCCCCCCACAGCTGCCTCCTGCCCTCCCACTGCCTGACAGCCACTGCCAAGGTCGCTGATGACCTCCTAATTGCCAGATCTGACAGGCACTTGGGGGCTTTTATCGCGGTTGCCCTCTCTGTGGCATCTGACGGGCTGACCTGCCCGCCCGGCTCCTCGGCTGGTCTGGCTCCTGGCATCTGCTGCTCCCTGAGGTGCTGTGCTCCAGAGCCCTTGGCCTCTGCAGGCCTCCTCCTCCACCCCTGTGGGGTTCTCAGGGCTAGGGCTCGCCTCTACTGGCTGCTCTCCTGGGGCTGCACTGTTCCCAAGCTCATCTCCTCCTCTGAAAGTGCTAGGACAGAGCCTGTGCTCCTTAGCCCCTCACCCCTCCCTGGCCTCTGGCCCCGGGCCCCTGGCCCCGTCTCCTGACATACTGCAGCTGGCCAGCATGCTAAACTTCCTATGAATCAGACCCTTGGCTAGCCCACCCCATGAGATGGGTCTCACTAGTTCCATTTTACATATGAGAACCTGAGGTTCCTCAATTAAAAGACTTGCCCAAAGCCACTGGGAAAGAGAATGGTCAAGTGGACGTGCTCAGGCCTGGGGACTTCCCAGCCTGCACACCCGTCCATTTCCCAAGACTGCCTCCCTCAGGGAGAAAGGGCAGGGTATCCCC
This sequence comes from Homo sapiens, assembly GCF_000001405.40. Classification (NCBI taxonomy): domain Eukaryota; kingdom Metazoa; phylum Chordata; class Mammalia; order Primates; family Hominidae; genus Homo; species Homo sapiens. Next base: position 120,389,718 of record NC_000002.12, read on the forward strand.
ATTTACATACAAAAAAAAAAAAGATGTAAAGCTCTGTTGCTCAGATCTCCGGTCTATCATTAGGATTTTATATCTCCATTCACAGTGGAGAAGACAGAGGCTCAGCCTGTCAAATGACTTGCCCAAGGTGACATGATGGGATTCAGAGTGGAAAGAGTCTGGACTCTTCCCAGGGGCTTGACTGGGAATCTGAGCTCTGCCACTTACCAGCTGCGCAGCCTCGGGCAAGTTATTTACCCTCTCTGTGCCTCAATTTTCTTCACGGGTATAAAGCTAATTATTAACCTCAAATAGAGATCATGTCTGTATGTCCCCATAGATCACTGTGGGGTCAGCATCCATGCTAGGATTCCACTCCTCCCTTCACCCTGAAGGACTTAGGCTTGTTGAAGTTTCATGATCCTCCTCATGCCACTCCTTTTACCTGGAATGGTCTTCCTTGCTTATCCTTTTGGCAAATTCATGCCCATCTCATAAAACTCTGCCTAAACGTCTCTTTCTCCAGGCAGAGAATCTCTCCTTCTGTTGTAGCCTCTAGGTGGCCACTTTGAGGGAGTGACTTCTGTGTGAGACACAAGAACCCCACTCTGGTAGGCTTATGCCCTGGTGCTCTGGGTTCCACAGAACTGCAGGTCAGGAGCACAGAGGGGTCTGGGGGTGACTTGGTGCACGTTGCCTACAGTCCTCCACTCTGCCTGTGGGCTGCAGCCCCTCTGGGTAGAGTGAGATCCTGCAGCAGCTCTAGGTTCATGTCTCTGCAGGACAGCAGCCAGGAGAGGAGGGAGCAAGTCGCTTCTGATTCTGGAAGAGAGGGACAATGGGGCAGAGGCCCCCCGGAACCTCTGGTCCAGTGTTTTGGCCCCATTGATCGCCAGCAAGGAGTGGGGTGGGCCATTAATGGGTCATCAGCCAGGCCCCCCTTGGAGCTGGCGTGGGGCCAGCTTGCAAGGGGAAGGGACACAGGGGTAGCTTGTGGGGTGGTGGAATGTGGGCACAACATCAGGGCCTTGGTTGGTGGGGAGGATGAGACAGTTACGCCTGGAGAAAAGCGAGGCATGGCTGCAGGGTCTGTTATTTAAGTACTTTCTACTTTTTCATAGGCTTGTCTTCCTCCCCTGATAGACTGCCTCTTAGAACACAAGTCCCCCCCTGGGATGGTGGCCAAGGCGGGGTCTTTTCCTTTTGGTACCCCCTGCCGTCTGCACAGGTGCTGTTCGTGTTATAGGCACCACTTACACACTGGGTACCCATTTAATAAGTGCTTGTGCAATAGATCACAATGCTTTCCTAGCACATGGCTGTCAGCCATTCATTCATTCACTGGTTTACTCATTCGTGCATTCATTCACTCATTTATTCCTGCATTCATTTTTAGTTGGGAGCCTGTTCTTCAGATGAAATAATTTGAAATAATGAGGCAAGCATGAGGAACATGCTGGAGAGGAGAAGCTCGACTCAAGGAGGGGTGGAGGTTCTGAAGCCCCAGCTTGGCAGGACCTTCCATCTCTGGGCACCCCTGGGACTCTGACACAGACTATTCATTCCACATGGGTAGGGCTCGTGCCCTAGAATTCTTGGCCTTTGCTGGCTCAGAGCTCTTCTGCCTGACATCAGCTAAGAGCTTGGCCCCAGGGGCCTCATGAGGCATGAGACATTGACATGAGCCATGAGACATGAGACATGAGACATTGACATGAGCCATGAGACATGAGACATGAGACATTGACATGAGCCATGAGACATGAGACATGAGACATTGACATGAGACATGAGACATGAGACATTGACATGAGACATGAGACATGAGACATTGACATGAGACATGAGACATGAGACATGAGACATTGACATGAGACATGAGACATGAGACATTGACATGAGACATGAGACATGAGACATTGACATGAGACATGAGACATGAGACATTGACATGAGACATGAGACATGAGACATGAGACATTGACATGAGACATTGACATGAGACGTGAGACATTGACATGAGACATGAAACATGAGACATGAGACATTGACATGAGACACGAGACATGAGACATTGACATGAGACACGAGACATGAGACATTGACATGAGACACGAGACATGAGACATTGACATGAGACACGAGACATGAGACATTGACATGAGACATGAGACATTGACATGAGACATGAGACATTGACATGAGACATGAGACATGAGACATTGGGACATGGCCGAGGAAGGGGGCTCCGATGGTTGCCTGGTCCATACCCAATTGCATGAGCAATGGTGCAAACTTCACTTTTCCCTGGGCTGGGGGAAGAACGCCCCCCACAGAGCGGCCACCTGCTTGCCCAGGGCTCTGATGCCCGATGCTCACCCTGAGGCTGAGTGCCCAGCCCACTCTGTCCCCTCTCCCCTGGCCCAGCCCCTTTTCTGAGGTGTCACGGCTCAGTGGAGGCCAGGGAAAATCGCTCTCGGGCAGGAAGCTGTAATGGGGCCTGTATGTCTGGGCCAGACCAGAGCGGCCTTGTCTGCATTTTATGTTTTATCGCCTCCTTCTGACATCAGCCTTTCCTGACATTTATTGTTCTCTTTGGGGCCTCAGAGAGCCCATCTGGAGTCAGTGAGGCTTGTGAGAGGGATGGCGGGGGGTGGGGGGGTACCGCTAAGCCTGGCCCAGTTCTAGGGTGCAAGCGGTGAAGAGGAGCTGCCCTGAGGTGCGGCAGCAGCACCAGGGGGTGGCCGCAGGTGCTGTCCAGATAGACAAGGTGGGCTGTGCTTGGGACTGGGGCTCCCACCCAGGGTTCTCCACTGGTGGAAGTGGAGGACGTGGTGGGGAGATGCACTATGTAGGGGTGCCCTCCTGCAGGAGGGGTGAGAGGAGGACAGGTCCTGGATCTGCAGGCTCTATTGATGGGACAGTGACTGATAATTCTCTCTTGCCCTTAGGGTACATGGATGTTTATTTTCGTTAATGAATGTACAGATACATTTAGTACATATTTGCACACACTTCTGTATATTTAACATAATTTCACAAGTGAAATGATTGAAAAAGAGTGCTTCCCTGCTTTCTAGATAGATGTTACTCAGTCCTTTAGTTAAAATGCCAAGAAGGGGGAGTGAGTCACCTTCAACTCCTTTTGGGACATCTCCCCCTCTTTTCCCTCTGCCTCTCTTCCCTGTGGCAGACTCTGCTGTTTTCATACCCAATATTCATTCTCCACATCTTCATTTCTAAGAAAACTGATTTTATTCCATATGGCAAAGTTCTCAATTTGAGGACTCCCTTGATAGCTAGTGTCAACCAAGGAGACAGAAGTTTTTGGGTGAAGCTGATTCAGCTGGAAGGTATGCCCATTAGTGGCCACTGCCTTTCCTCCCCACCCAACTGTTTCTGCTTTCTGCCTGGAATGAGGACTTGATGGCTGGAGCCTCAACAGCAATTTTGCAACACAAGGCAACCTTAAGGGGTAGAAGCAGCATTGAGGTGGCAGAACAGAAAGACAGAAAATGTCAGTATCTGAACACTTTGAAGAGCTGCCATGCTACTTCTGGACAGCCATTTCAGATAGTTGAGGGACAGATAAATCCCTAGCTTGTTTAAGTCAATTACGTATGTTTACTATTTGTGGTAGAGTGATTAAAAATTGTTGTAATCACCTCCTCCTTCCTATACCCACATCCTTTGCAATGTGACTTTGCAGCTTCCCCATCAGAGGTGGGGGTGATTTCCTCACCCTTTTTATCTGTTTTGCAGAGGTGACTGGAGCAATTCTGAGCCTAGGTCTCAAGAAGTCTTGCACTCTTCTGCTCGATTTCTTGGAAGCCTGCACGGCAGGCCTGTTGGAGGATCACAGATACACGGCTCAGTCCCCACCACTGCCCTAGCAGCCCACCAGCCAACCCCCAGACATGTGAGAGATGCCATCTTAGACCAGCCAGCCCCCAGCCCCCAGCTGATCCTTCACTGATACAGATGCAGGAGCTAGCCCAGCCAAGATGAGCCCCCAGCCTGCCAAGACCAGCAGAACCTCCCATTGAGCCTAACCTTAATGACTGACCTGCATAATCGTGAGCTAGAAATGTGGTTGTTGTTTTAATCCTCTAAGTTTTGGTCTGGGTTGTTATGCATCGTTAACTAAATGATGTACTTTTATACCCACCATACTTCACCATCACAGATATGGTGAGATATTCAAAAGGCAGCCACATTTGACCCCTTACTCTCGCCACAAGGTCTCCAGGATACATCTTCCCTTCAGCTCGACTTCTTTCCTTCTTTCCCTCCTTTCTCCCTCCTTCTTTTCCATTTTTTATTCATAGGAGCCCAGAATCTTAGTGCTGGGATGGGCCTTCTCACTTAGTTTGGTTTTCTCAGTTTACCTGTGAGCAGGAAAGTCACTTGAGCAAATGGTCACACCCCTTCATGTGTCTTCTATACCTAGGGCCCTACTGCAGGGCCAGACACGTTGGGTAACTGTTGGAAACAGGTCTTGTTGCCTAAGAACCTGGCATCTGAAAGCTGGAAGGGACATCATCCAGGCAAACAAAATCAAAGACCCACGGGAATTGACAGTAAAAGTAATGAGTGGGCCGGGCACAGTGGCTCATGCCTGTAATCCCAGCACTGTGGGAGGGTGAGACGGGCAGACCACTTGAGGTCAGGAGTTAGAGACCAGCCTGGCCAACATGGTGAAACCCTGTCTCTACTAAAAATACAAAAATTAGCCAGGCATGGTGGCGAGCACCTGTAATCCCAGCTACTTGGGAGGCTGAGGCCGGAGAATTGCTTGAACCTGGGAGGCGGAGGTGGCAGTGAGCCAAGATGGTGCCACTGCACTCCAGCCTGGGCGACAGAGCATACTCCAACTCAAAAAAAAAAAAAAAAAAAAAAAGTGCAGAAGCCAGGTGTGGGTGAAAGGGAGGGGTGGGGACTGTGGTGAGCAATACAGGCCTTTCCAGACCAAATTCATGTCTTGTAGGATTGTTGGATCTTCAACAATCTCCTGGTTTTCAAATGTAGGCAACTCATTTGATTTTTGAAATATCATTAGTGAGACAGAGGTGTATTGGCCAAGAAAATCCCCCAAAACACACCTGAGGGTCAAATTCAGCCTTCGGGCCCTCAGTGTGTGACCTCTAATCTAGTGTAAACCTCTCTCCAATTCAAGCCTCTCAGCCTCAGCTTCTCGACGGCTCTGGCTGCTGGCATCAGCCCTCCCCAGAGAACAGGACCTCAGCTGAAAGGACAGCCGTCCCTCTAGGGGTCCACCCATGAGCACTTCTCCGGGACCTGCTTTGGTTAGAAAATACTTTCTGAAGAGGTGCCCCTAGCGGTTTGTGCCTCCATGCCCTCTTACTGCTCCCTTCTTGGGGTATACCTGGTATCCAGCGAGTGCCCATACACAACCCCCCAATTTCAACCTTGAGCAACGAATGTTGTGGAGCCAGGTAGACCCAAGCTCAAGTTCCAGCTCTGTGTCGACTTGGAGATGCTGCCTGACTGTCTCCAAAAGGAATGGGATGAAATGCTTTCCGGGTGATGAGCTGATGTAGGCAACGTGCCTGGCACTGGCCTGGCTTGAGGCGGGGGCCCTGGAGAGTGTGCTGAGGTGGTGGAAGCCGTATGGGGAGGCCAGGGAGTAGGGTGTGGGGCACGTGTCCAGCATCGAGCTCTGTCCACAGGCCTGTTCCACAGTCCTGCTCCGGAGCGCTCCCCCGCCCCTACCCACCGGATCCCTCAGCTGCAGACCTTTCCTTCTTCGTGGAGTTAACCTTGACACACGCACATGCGCATATGGGTGCCCACACCCATACGTGTGCCTGTGTGTCTGCACACACACCTCTGGTGACAGCACGTCTCTGGCCACCTCTAGGTTTTACTGCTTCAAATAGCTGCAAGATGCTCCAGTTGAACTGCAAAGTCTAGAGGCTTCCTCAGGCCTCCCCCACACCCTCAGTTGCACTTTGAAGCTCCTCTCCCTTTCACTTCCTGGGATTCTGCCCCGGCCTCATGGGGTTCCTTGTTTTGACCCAGGCTCCAAGTCCTGAAGGGCCTGGTCGCTGGATTCTCCTCTTAGCCTGAAGGGGTAAGAAGTGAAAAAGACCCAGGACCCTAGGCTTTCCTTGCTAGCTCTGCCACTTCCTATTTGAGCAGCTCCCTCCGCCTTCCTCACCTCTAACCAAGAGCATGGTGGCCTCTGCGTTAATATCTACCTTGTGGGGTTGTTGGAGAGAGGCAATGAGAGGGTGTACAGGTCACTCAGCACAGCCACCAATCCCCACCCCCCCACACACCGTCGGCCTCCTGCTGGAGTTCCCTCCCCTCCTGGATCTCAGCCAGGTCTTGGGAAGGCCGGGCAGGCAGACAGGCAGGGGTGGGGGAGGTTCCTGAGGGGTAAGCAGCTCCCGGGAGCCCTTCAAATCATTCCCAGAGGCAGCTGCCTGTGCAGAAGGCTGGGGCTGACGCCGCGCCAAGAGTGGAGGGCTCTGCGGGCTCCAGAGCCTCTCGCCGGGAAGCTGCTCCCCAGGCACCCACCCACGCGCACACGGCCCTCAGGAGCCCTGGCGGAGGGCGGGCTGGGTGTGCACATGCGTGTGTGTGTGTCCAAGAGTGTGCGCGGAAACGCTAAGTGACTTGTACAAGCTCATCCTGCAGGTGGGCCTCCATGCTACCCTCCAACCCGACTCCAGGACTCTCATTGGAGGAAGGGCAGTCCCATCCTTTCCTGGGTTCCACTGTAGCATTCCCTGGGGAGCTCCGCCCGCCACTGGCACGCCGGGGACAACAGGGGCTCGCCATAGCCAGGCTAGGGACCATCCTAGTATCATCTACTTCTGCCTCTTTCCTGAGGACAGTGGTGGGTCGGGGGATGATGTTGGGGGCTCGGGACGGCGGGCAGGAGTTCTTAGCACTGCTCTCAGCTTTGACACTGGCCTTGTGATGACTTCAGTCTCAGATTCCCCAACTGTCAAGTGGGGACGACAATCCAAAGCTGTTGTGAGGACCCCATGGGTCTTGCACAAGAAATTACCCAGCAAAGGCTGCCCCTCGGGATATGAAGATGGAAGAAGCTCCTGTCTTCTCACCCCTGTCTTGGCAGGGCCGGGGGAGAGCTGAGCCCGAGGAGGGACTGAGCCCAAGGAAGGACTTCCTCTCCTGGCCCTGAGGGTGGTTGGACCCACAGCTGCAGATGAAGTTCTTGGCCACACAGAAAATTGGGGCTGACCCCCACCCGTGCAGGCCCCAGGTTGGAAGTGGGCCACATACATGGGAACTGTCCACTGAAGTACAGGTGACCTCAGAGGAGGACCAAGGTGATCCGGCTGGGGCAAGGACAGCATCTGTAGCCCGCGTGTCCACAGGGAGCATCTGAGTCCTGGAGAAGTGTGGTGGTTTCTGGGCCGGGAAAGTAGGGCTAGGGTGGAGAGTGTGGGTGTGGGGGAGGAGGATGCCGTAAACCCTGCCCTGCCCTGCCCTGGGGGTCTCACTCACAGGCACAGAGCTGGACAGCATTTTCACTAACGTAATCTTTCTACTTGCCTGGAAGAATCTGAGGAAGGTTATCTGAGCCTAGTCTCACCAGATGCCACGCAATTCAGTATGGCCTTGCTGAGGGTTCTCTCCATGGCCCCCAGCCTGTGAGGGACACACAATATTTACTAACTCACTGGTGGCTGAGTCATCATCCACTCGTTCATTTATTCCACAAAGACGGCTCTGATCACACCCGCGGCAAGTGGCCGGCACTCCCTGGAGCTCCAGGCATCTTGTCTCTCGCATGCACCAGGCTCTCTGCAGCAGATGCTCTTGGGTGTTCCTGTGGGCAGGGCACACCCCGTCCTCCACACAGCCCAGCTCCCAGCTCGGTGCCTGACCTAGGCCAGCCCTTGGTGAAGAGCAGGGAAACGGACGGCAGACATGGGGGCAGGCATGGGGCGCAGAGGGGACCCCACCTGCCTCCCACAAGCTGCCCGTAGCTGGAGGGCTGTTCATAAATAATTCGAGCTCAGGTGTGAGGGGTGTATCGCTTCCCTCATCCCAGTGGGGCTGCAACACACAAGGGTGAAACTGACTTCAGCGACAGGAGCCCGGGGTGGGGGAGGGCCGGATGTCCTGAGTCCCGGGGTCACAGATGTCTCGGATGGTGGGATATTCTCAGAGCCCTCAAGCCACGTGGAAAACACATCCTGAGCCTTTCCAGCAGGAAGAGCAGGTGAAGAAGGTTGGAGAACCTAGATGCCAGATTGAGGCTTAGCTCTGTTCTCTGCTGGCAACTGGCAAGCCGTTTAATGTCTCTGAGCCTCAGTTTCCCATTTGTAAAATGGGAACCATGGCAGTGCCTACCCCTCAGGTTGCTGTGAAGACTAAACGAGATGATATAGGTAAAGGGGACGGAACAGGGCCTGGTGTATAGTAGATAAGTATTTGTTATTTTTAGCATTTATTTCTTCATTCTTTCCTTCCCACAAGTGTTTGTCAAGCACAAACTATGTGCTAGGCCCTGGGGATGTAGCTGAAAGTAAGGATCCCAGTGCCTTGGAGCATATTGGTTCCAGCCCAAGATACCTACTGCAGCAGCTGCTCTGTGGGTGACGTGAGTTCCAGGGCATGAGCCTGATTTTTAAATTGCAAAGTAATAATGATGATACCAAATCTGGGGCCAGGATGGGAAGCAGGTATCCTTCTCCCCAAAGGCCTCCCGGCAGCTGGCTGAGAGACACATTCTATGTGGGAGGCAGGAGGCAGGAGCCCCAAGTGTTGGAGCCGTGGGTCCCCTGAATGCAGAGTGAGTTACTATGGTCAGGAATGGGGTGGGTGCTTGCTGGCAGGGCTGTTTTTGTCGTGAGCACAGAGATGCAGCCATTTGCCCGGAGTAACTATGCACACTGGACTGGGGCTGCAGCAGTCACGCCTACCCAACCCCTGCTCCCCTGCTTGCCCTCGGTCTGGTGGTGTCCCTGTTTCCCTTTCCCTGCACGGCTTCCGTCCCCTCCTCCAGCATGCAGGGGCTCCTTGAAGCCACGTCTGTGGCCTTCTTGACCTTCAGCCCCGTAGCCAGCCATCCCCAGCCCTCAGATCAGACTGGTCCAGCCCTTTTATTCCCGGGGCCCTCTGGACGCTGCCTTCCCCACTTGGCCATGTCAGGGTTATCTCCAACTGAGCACCACCTACCCTCACCCCACCCCCAGCCTAGCTGGCAGGTGGCCCCGAGGCAAGCCCAGGAGGATGCCTGCTCATCTGGGTGCAACACCATCCAAGCCTCCCCCGCGACTTGAAATCCCCCTCCCCATCAGCAAGGGTGCAATGCTGGGGCACTCAGAGACGTGAACCCCTTGACAGGACCCTGCCCGGCCTTAGGAAGCTTGGGGGCCCCCGGATGATGATAAGCTGGATGCTAAGAAGCCAGGTGGTCTGGGCAGGGCTGGACTCTCTGTGACCTGGGAGGCCAGGACATCCAGGGCCCTGGCAGAGTCGTCCACCAGGTGTCCATCCTCATGGGCCCCACTGTGGGGGCAGTGGAGCCACCCAGCATGGAGTGTGTGCTGTCCACTGCTATGGGTCAACAGGCACAGGAATGAAGCCCCGGGAGGTGCTGTTTGTCCTGGTGTTTGTAGAAAGCAAACAATGGGATGCCTTTGTGAGTGCTCACACCGCACTGGGTGCCCGGGAGCGTTTGGCTTTCATGCCTGGCTTTCATGTCCCCACTGAGCAGGCTTCTACCACCCCACCCTCAGGTGAGATCACATCTCCCCAGTCCTCGCCACTGCCACACCCTGGTTCAGAGGTCCCTCGGGGCACCCGGAAGCTGGCCCTTCGTCCCAGCCTGGGCTGGGGCTGACTCTCAGAGCTGCGGGTCCTCACGTGGAAGATGGACATGAGACTCGTGTTCTGACCGAAAGAGTTGCTGTCAGGGTCCGAGGAACTTGCGGGAAGTGACTGTATCAATATAACCACACTGTCACAGTGGCTCATTTTTGTCGTAATGATTAAGAATGCTGTTGCTCTGATTTGGTAGTTAACTGTCACTCCGAGGTTCTCGAAAAGACAGTAAAAACAAGCCAGTCAGAGTGACATTCCTTCATTCACTCAAAAATATTGGTTGACTACCTACAGTGTGTCAGGCACTGTTCTGGGCCCTGTAGACCAGACACTCAAGGCTAGGGACGAAGCCTCCTTTACCAGGCCTGCCACGTGGTCAGACAGCAGTGTCCAGAGATAGGCGGTGGGTGTGTGGGGCACTGTTTGGAGACTGACTGTCCCAGAAGAAACCAGGACAGCCAGAGGACAGAGGTCCTGGCACGTCCAGTGGAGGGGAGGAGGTGTCATCCCATGGTCGACCTGGAGACTGCAGTTCAGGGAGGGGGACTGGTCCATGAGGTCAGCAGTGGCAGGGCTACCACCTGTGCCTCTCGCCTTCACACTCACCATGCCCACTGCCTCTCGGGTAGATGGAGGCACAGCTGGCCCTCCCGGGTCCAGCGGGAGAGCAGGGAGAGGGAGAGGATGAAAAAGCAAGTCACATGGATTTGCTAGCTCCGACCCTCCAAGTCGTCACTGGCCATCTGCTGGCATGGTGTCCACTCCTGTGCGGGGAGAGACTCCACAGGTCCCAGATGGAGCTGCTTTTCTTCCCTTGCAAATGGATTTCCCTTTCTGTCTTCCTAAATACCAATATAGCACATTCATTTACAGATCCTTTATTCATTCATCATATTTTGTCAAACAAGGCAGAGTGCTAGGCACTGGGATCAGCAGGGAACAAAGTAGATCAAACCCCTGCCCTCCAGGGATTCACATTTTGGCGTGTGGGTGGCGCGGGTTTGGGAGGGGTGAAACTTGGAGAAATCTGTGTACATGTCAGGTGGGGCCGAGGGGTAGGGAGGAGAAAGCGAGTGCCAGGTCCCTGAGCTGCTCAGCAGGGAAGCTCCCAGCCTTTCTGGCTTCCTCTATTGGCCTCAGAATACCCAGCTCCCGCTAATTCTGCCCAGGCTGTGAGTCCTCATCCCTGGTTGCCCTGCTGCCTGGGTTTGTCCCTAGTCCTTTCCTGCCTGGCCTGGTGCATCCCCCTCCATCCAGCCTCCTGAGACACCTGTGCCCCTGCCTCTCTGCACGTGAATCCCCCTTTAGGCAGCTGCTGCTCCCCTAGTGGTCCGACTCCAGCTCGTTGGGCCCCGGAAGCTCTTCTCAGCCAGGCCTCGACTTCCTTCCTGGCCTCACCCCTGCTCGGCGCTGATCCCCCGGTTCCAGTCCCACTCAACCTTTTCCAACGTGCACAGTGCCCATGTACCCTTGTGCCATTTTGTACACAATTCTCTCCACGTGATTGTCTTTTCCCCACTACCTCCTTCGGGGATTGACTTAGCTTCTCTGAGTCTCAGTTTCCTCATCTGTAAAACACGATTAACAAAAGGCTGTTGTGCAGATTAAACAAGGTGCTATATGGAGAACACGTGCCTAGCTATAAACCTGAAGCTTATGGCAGGGGCTTCATAAATGTTGGTGTCCAAACTTCTCTTCCCTGTGAGTGATGGGGAGCCACGGTGGGCTGAAGAGGGAGTGCTTGATTGGAACTGTGCGGGGTGGGGGTTCTTCAGGGCAGAGGGGCTGTCGATGGGCAGAGCTGCTCAAAGGGCGAGCTGATGGTTCTGGGAGGCAGTGAGCAGAGTCTGAGGCAAGGTGGTTACAGCAGGAGGGAGGCACAAGCCGCAGGCCTGATGATCCTGCCTGGGAGGGGAGGCTGAGGGAGGGAGAGATGGCCAGTGCCACCGAGCTGTCCATTAGGGGCATTGAGGTGGGACTGGGGAGGAGGGAGGCTGGTGGCAGGTCTGGAAAGAAGCAGGAAGGTTTGGGAGGAGCAGGGGAGGGGACCATCCCAGTGGAGGATCTGGCAGGCAGCAGGGAATGTGGGTCAGGACCCAGGACAGAGGCCAAGGCTTTCAGAGAGAAGAAGTAGCCTGCCCAAGGTCCCAGGCCATGGCTGGGCAAAGTGCCTCTGGACTGGGAACTGACCCATCAGACGAGGCTGTGTCCAGAAATGGTAGAAACCTCCCATCTTTGCTGTTCTAGGGCGTGGATGGGTGGCCAGATTTGGGCAGAGCACAGGGTACCAGGGCTAGAGGCGTTCACCCCATGGGACCAAGCACTGACCTGGCAAAGCCAAAGCACCAGGCCTGGATGGGTTCTGGGGCCACAAGCTTGGCCAATGTGTAAACACATGGTCACCATGATAACACAGGTGTCCAGTATGTGGGACACTCCAGAGAGCAGGAAGGTCAGGGAGGGCCTCTTGAAGGTGACCCCTAAGACAAATCTTGCCACCTGTGCTATTTTCTGAAACTTTCTATACCATTATTAATGTAGTATTTTTCTTTAATTCACTTAAAAAAGGCCCTCTTGCATTTATTGTACAGGAAACCGTACCACTACCATCAACAGAAAAGCACATCATCTGCCCTGAGTAGAAGGCAATACACACAAGAAAGGCTAGCCAGCTCCCTCCTGACGCTGCTGCCTGCAGGACAGCTCTGAGGCCTGCTCTCTGCGAATAAGTGAGATTAATGAGTGCTAGAAAGATGTTAGAGCTTGCTAGCATCAAACTCCTTGATATAATTAGCAGCTGTTGAAAAGGAACTTATTGAAAAGGGAATAACTTTCTTCCGGTGGAGTTCATGTTATTTAACTGGGGTACCAGCCTCACACAGAGGGCAAAATCGTCTTACAGGGTGAGTTGAAATTTGCCAGCCTTGCATGAGTGTGCATGTGAATGAGTGTGTGTGCGTGTGTGCTGGTGTGTATTGGTGTATGTGTGTGTGTGTGTGTGTGTTGATGAGAGTGTGAGGGTGGGAGTGGAGGGCTCCAGGGAATGTGTCTGTGGCAGAGTTGAGAAATTGCTTGGGTGCATGGAGGTGACGTTGCTCCTTCCAGTGAGGCTGCAGTGACAGGTGCCAGGGGATCATGGCCGGGATGAGACGGGGTGCAGACCTAAGGCCCTGAAACCGACTGTCCCAGGAAACCTTGCTCTGCTGGAAACCTGGGAGACCTGGGCCTCATCAGCTGATGGACTGACTCAAGGTGGCCTCAGGCTGGTGGATCAGTGGGTTTGGGGGAGCGGGAGCCCCTCCCCCAACTGACTCCAGTGTGTGTTGTTCCCTTCCCTGTGTCTAAGTGTTCACATTGTTCAGCTCCCACGTATAAGTGAGAACATGCGGTGCTTGGTTTTCTGTTCCTGTGTAAGTTTGCTGAGGATAATGGCTTCCAGCTTACCATCCATGTCCTTGCAAAGAACATGATCTTGTTCCTTTTTATGGCTGCATAATATTCCATGGTGTATATGTACCATATTTTCTTTATCCAGTCTATCATTGATGGGCATTTGGGTTGATTTCATGTCTTTGCTATTGTAAATAGTGCTGCAATGAACATACACATACATACACACACACATACATGTATTTTTTAATAGAATGATTTATAATCCTTTGGGTATATACCCATTAATGGGATTGCAGGGTCAAATGGTATTTCTGGTTCTAGGTCTTTGAGGAATCACCACACTGTCTTCCACAGTGGTTAAACTAACTTACATTCCCACCAACGGTGTAAAAGAGGTCCTATTTCTCCACACCCTGCTTTCACTCTCCTGCCTCTAGAGGCCTCCCCCAGGGTCCCTGAGCCCAACCCATGCCCCTTCTCAGGAGAAGTGCCAGGCTTGGGGAGGCATTTCCCTCAACTGTGTCCAATGACTGCCCCCTGCCCTGCCCCGGGGGTTCTGTGACTGCGTGCACAAGCATGTGTGGGCATTTATTTGGGCCCCTGCAATTATGGCATGTGTTTGTGTGTGCATCCGAGTGCATCTGTGGGTGCATGTGTGCAGTGCATGTGTACCCCTATGTGTACACACACGCACACATGCAGTTGGACACACAGGGCCATCTTGCATCAGCCTAGGCAGCTAAGTCCCTGAGTGGAGGGACCTCTACTGCTCAGGAAGCTTCCTGACCACACCTGCTTCTCTCTGTCCATATTCACAGAGGCTGCACAACCTGCCCAGGTCCCTTGGTGCACACCTTATGTCTTTTTGCAGGAAGTTTATTTGAAAAATTCTGGAATTTCAGGAATTCATGGGGTTATTTAAGGCTTCGAGGCAGAAAGAGCAAATAAGAAAATGAGCTTGGGACAGGGCTTCCACCTGAGTCACAACTTCTCAGGGAGCAGGGTTGTGGGGGCTGGGAGATGATGGGGGAGGCAAGGAAATTCCAGGCACTGACTCCTCCCTATGCCAGGCCCCGGGGAAAGTGCACAGCATGGAGTCAGGGTTATTAGACAGAGCCATGGAGACAGAATTCAGCCAGCGATGCAGACGGATTCGAAAAGTCCAGCCTTCTAAGGGATGAGTACTTGGTCCTCTTGGAATTTTAGTTTCCTCATCTATAAAATGGGGCCAGGTGACAGAGCCTGCCCCTGGAGCTTGTGGGGATTGGATGAAATAGGCATGAGATGACTTGGCACAGTGCCTGGCACACAGCAAACTGTAGATAAAGAAACAGAGACCCAGAGAGGTTAAAAAACCTGTCTAGGGTCACGCTGCCCTGAGAAAGAGCTGGACTTCAAGGTCAGTTTGTCTCAACTCCCAGGCCCCCAGCCACCTACATTATTAGGTTGTTACGGGCCAAGATTGGTTCGCCAAAGCCCCTGGCAGGGTGTGTTCTGGACTTCCTGTGAGCCCCCTGGCTGCTCCTATGTCTTCAGCTGCCATAACAGAGAGCCCCCAAGGCTCCAAAGGGGAACATGTAGACCCCCAGGACTCTGAGGGAGGCCAGGCATCCCTCTGTGTCTTAGGAGAGACTGAGCCTGTGTGGTCAGCACACAGAGGCCTTCTGTGGGAAGCCTTCAGGTCAGCTGGGCCTTCTCTGATATCAGTCAGGGTCCACCTTTGGACTCACAGAAAGTAGCTCTTGAATACCTGGACAGTGGAGGTGGTTGCTAAGCACATCTAGACCATTGAAAGGGAAAGTGTCCCCAAGGACCAGAGAACCGGGCACCCATTCATCACCCAGTCGTGCTGATTCTCTTTCCAGGAGAGCTCCCCATCACCTGGCCCATAGCTTCCGGCCTGCATTTCTGGGCTGGGCCCCCCTGTCCAGTGTCCACATGGCCTTTGTAAGGCTGGAAGCCATGGGGGTCCCCATTGCCCACAGAATGAAGTTGAAGCTTCACAGGATCCTTCAAGTCCTTCCAGTCTCTCTGCGCCCATTGCCTTGAGCTTTATGCTCCCATCCAAGGGACCTAATTGGCATTTGCTCATGTTCTAGGATGCTCGTACCTCCGTGCCTCTGCCAGCTGGTCCCACTCCCTGGAGCGCCCTTCTCCCTAGCATTCTGGCATCTGCATGAGCAAATACTGTCACTGCTCAAGACATGGCTTGCCAACGATCCCTGCTCTGAAATTCTTTCCTGAAACCCCTCTTCCAGCGCTGAGGCCCCTACACACCCAGACACTTTAGGGCAGATGTTCCTTGGTGTGTCTACCGCTCCCATCCCCTGGCGGTTGTTTCCTTAGTGACTGGGACAGCCCCTCACACGCAGTAGGTGCCTGGTGAATGCATGTTGGCTGAATGAGCAGCTTACATATCAGCATGGGGCGTGGCATGCCTGGCTTGGTAGGGCCCCACTGGTACAGCCCTACCCACTTGGTAGGGCTCAGATCTGGTGCAGGGGGGCCCAGGTTATACCTGTTCTCACATCAGCAGAACCGAGCTCGGTCAACCTGAGTGCCTCTCTTCTGTCCGCTTGTGCTTGTGCCTTCCAATAATTTCCTATCCTGCCTCTCCTGAAAAGCAGAGAGCTCCATTGAACACAAAAGACAAAACAGCCGAGCCAGGCACACACCCCCGCTGGGGCTGGCCAGCCAGGGAGTATACTTCGGAGATCACTTCCCTCTTTGAGTCTCTGATCCACCTGTCTCTTGGGCTGTCCTGGTCGAGCAGGGCCGCACTCCACAACCTCCTCCCCGGATGCTCATGGAAGGAGGAGGCTGCCCTCCAGCAGGGATGTGCTTGGTCTGTGAAGGGGGTGCCCTCATCCTTTGCCATCTCCAAAGCCACCTCCGTCTCCACCCAGTGGACCTCACACTGGTCCTGGCCTCGGGTACTTGAATGTGGCTTCCCCTGGAATCAGCCCAGGCCTGGCAAAGGGGACTGTGACTCTTCCTCCCCTTGGTCAGTTTGGGACTCCTCCTGTGGAGAGTTGCCAGCCAAGGGGTCAGGGTGGGCTGTCCTCTGTGTAGCCTGCAGTGGAAAAGCAGGCTCCTGGGGAGGCGGGGCAAGGCCTTCCCTGCCCCTGCGTGGATGGGGTGGAGCACTCATCGTAACAACCAGGGCCATCATTTGGCCTCTTGTTCCTCTTCCTGGAACATTCTTCCCAGCTCTTTCTGCAGGTTCCTCACGCTCATGGCTCAGCACTCTGCCCAAGTGGCTTCTCCCCTGGGAGCCACTCCTGTGGCTGAGTTAGATGCTCTCTTGATGTGCCTCCAGACCAGAGGCCGAAGCCTGGGCAGCCACTGGTTACACCTGGCCCCTGGCTGGCAGGCTTGCTCTGCTTGTCCAGCACTGTGTTTCAAAAACGTTTGAATTAGTTACCAATGTGGTAAAATGTATACCTTCTCTTGAAAACTCAGGCAAGTGGGTAAGCAGGGCCTACGTTTCCAAACACTACCAATGGAGGGGCTGAGCCACAACTGTGGCCTTTGGATGGGGCAGAGTCTCACAGTCCCTGGGCAGCTGCTAACGTGTTCCTAGGACCTTCCTGAACCCTGTGAACATTTGAGTTTGCCACTCAGGCTCCAGAATGTAACTCTCGGGGAGAGCTGAGGTTGACCCCACGTGCAGCACAGCCACAGCACACAGGCAGCACCCAGTGTTTGCAGGATTATTGGAAGGAGGCATCCCAAACAGACCAAAGTGGAGAGATATTTTTAGGGGAAGGGGATTGAGCTGAGTCCTGGAGTGGCAGAGACGAGGGCCATCCAAGAAGTGCCTCTGGGTGGAGGGAACAGCTTGGGCAAAGGCTCAGAGGCGGGAGAGGGTGTGGCACAGCAGGGGTGCTGGAGATGGCACGGCCTGGCAGGAGTCCAGGTGTCTGTGGGGTCACGGCGACGGATGAGGTTGGAAAAACCTGAGCTGAATCTTGAAGGGCAAGTGGGCACTTACGAGAAGCTAGGTTAGTTTCAGGAGAAAATTCCAGAAGCAGGAGTCACGGTGCCTAAACACAGAGAGTGAGAGGGAGCGTGGTACTCCAGTTCATGCACGGCAAGGAATTCACTGTGACCATGGGGTGTGGGTCAGGGAGGCGGCGCTGGTGGAGGACAGATGACCTGATGGAGGTCTCATGTCAGGCCTGGGCAAAGAGGGCCTTACTGCAGTCTGAGCTGCACATGTTTTTTATTTCTAATTTTTTTTTTCTTGAAAGCAACGGGAATGATGTGGTTGAATTTTTGTGTTAGAAAGATTGCTTTGGTAAACAATTGTAGTAGTCAGTTTTAACATATACTTCACTGAACAGGTCAAGCAGACCAAGAAAGATATGATAGACACAATTAATAAACTCCAATTTACATAGGCATATAAAATGTTGCACAAGCAGAGAATGCAAATTTTTTCTAAGCACGCGTGATGCACTCAACAAAAATTGACTTCATCCTGGGCCTCAAAGGATGTCTTGATGCATTTGAAGGAACCAGCATCACATAATTTATGTTTTCTGATTACCACATAATAAAATCATAAATCAGCGGCAAAAGGATAACTGCAAATATTCTGTATGTCTGGAAATATGTAACATACTAGTAAATTACACCTGGATTAAAGAGGAAATCACCAGGGACAATTATAAAATACTTAGACCTGAACGACCATAAAAATGCCATATGCCCAAATTTTGAGACACAGCTAAAGTAAGTACTCACGGGAAAATATATAGCTTTAGGTACCTTTATCAAGAAGCAAGATATAATGAAACAAATGAGCTAAGGTTGGAAAATAGCAATAAAGCAAAACAAAGGAAAGAAGGAAAGAAATAATAAAATAAGGATAGAGAGTAAAAAAGATAAACTGCTGGAAACCAAAAGCTGTTTCACTAAATAAATATGTGGATCAAAGAAAAAAGAATAAATATGCAAACATAATGTGTAATCAAAAATAAAAATAACTATAAAGAAATGATATTCTAAGAATATAATAGTATAAATAATCACATGGTAATAAATTGATAAACCTAAGCAAAATGAATAAAGTCCTGGAAAACACAAAATGGAGAAAAAAGTCAAGAGGGAAAAGAAAACTTGAATAGATCAATAGTTACTATTTTAAAAATTAAAAGGCTTATCACAGGTCTTCCTTCAAAAAATGATAGGCCCAGACAGTCTGTTTTTTTTTTTTTTTTGAGTTGGAGTCTTGCTCTGTCGCCCAGGCTGGAGCGCAGTGGCACAATCTCGGCTCACTGCAACCTCCGCCTCCTGGGTTCATGCCATTCTCCTCCCTCAGCCTCCCGAGTAGCTGGGACTACAGGTGCCCGCCATCATGCCTGGCTAATGTTTTGTATTTTTAGTAGAGATGGGGTTTCACCATGTTAGCCAGGATGGCCAGACAGTCTTATAGATGAATTTTATCAGGCTTTCAAAGAATAAATTATTAGTCTCTTAGAAAATTTATACCAGAATTTGATAAAGGAGGAAAGGTGCCAATTCACTTAATGAATCTAGTTAGTATAATCTAGATTCTGAAACCTGAAAAAGATAGTACAGGAAATTATAGACATTTCACTTACAGCATAGTGAACATGGGGTTTGTCCTAGGAATGCAAGGATAGCTTAACATCAGAAAATCTGTCCTTGCACTTCTTCCCTTTAATGAATGAAATGACAAAATTATGATTATTTCAGTAGCACTTGAGAAATTTCAATACATTTTTCTGATGAAAAATCTCTTAGAAGACCAAGAATAGAAGGCAATTTCTTTAATTTGATAAAGGCTATATACCCAAAACCTACAGCAAAGTAATAATTAATAGAGAAACTTTAGGCTCATTTCCATTACGATTTAGAACAAGGCAGCTGTACTTACATTATCATTACTATTTTTTTAAAGGATAGTATTTTAGGGCCTGTCCAAAGATTTAAAACAAGGAAAAGTTTCAAGAGGGATTAAAAGGAAGATAAATGACTGTCATTTGTGGGAGATATCATCAACTGCATAGAAAGCCTAAGGAAGTCAACAGAAAAATTATTAGAAAACTGATTGGAGGTGGTGGCTCACGCCTTGGGAGCCACCCCAAGTGGCTCAGCACTTTGGGAGGCTGAGGCAGGCAGATCACTTGAGGTCAAGAATCACAAGAGGCCAGCCTGGCCAATATGGTAAAACCCCGTATCTAGTAGAAGTGCAAAAATTAGCTGGGTGTGGTAGTGCACACCTGTAATCCCAGCTACTTAGGAGGCTGAGGCAGGAGAATTGCTTGAACCTGGGAGACGGAGGTTGCAGTGAGCCAAGATCGCATCACTGCATGCCCAACCTGGGTGACAGAGCAAGACTCTGTCTCAAAGAAAAAAAAATATTAGAAAACTCATCAAGGTTACAAGATAAAAGATCAACTTAAAACATTAATAGCATTCCTTTATACCAGGGTTGTCAAAGTTTATCTATAAGTGGGCAGATAGTTAACAATTTTAGGTTTTGTAGGCCATATATGGTTTCTATAACACATACTTTTTTCTTTTTTTTCCTGTTTTTATTTTTTTAAACAAAAAACCCTCTAAAAGTATAAAAACAATTTTTAGCTTATGGGTCATAGAGTAACAGGGCATGGCTGAATTTCACCTGTGGGACATAGTTGCCACTCTCTGTTCTATAACTGCAACACTATGCACTGTATCATATGAACTATAAACTATCTAGGAATTAACTTTACAAAAAATCAACAAAACCTTTGAGAAAACATTCTCTACTAAAGAAAACGTAAAAAGATTTGAAAAAACAAACAGATATTCTATAAGTATACATGGGATGAGTTAACCTAATAAAGATGTTAACAACTTGCAAAGTAATCTACACATTAAAATCAATCCTAATAAGAAATTTAGTTGGATTTCTCAAAGATACCAACAAAGTCATTCTAAAGTTTATGTGGAAGAATAAAGATCCACGAATAGTAAGTCAATTTTAGACTTTTTCTTCTACTGTAGAACCTTTCAGTCTTAGCTAAGCACACAGTTGCCTAGCCTGCTGCCATATTTCCCAGCATCTCTTGCAGCTAGGTGTGGCTTGTAACCAAGTTCAGACCAATGGAACATTAGCAGAAGTGTGAGTAACTTACAAACATCTCTCTCTCCTTTCCACATGCTAGAACATTCAGCTATCCCCACCTGGTGAATGGGGATCATGTCCAAGGGAACAGAGGAGCAAGTTTGGTGAAACTTTTGTGAGTAACTTACAAACATCTCTCTCTCCTTTTCACATGCTATCCTCACCTGGTGAATGGGGATCATGTCCAAGGGAAACAGAGGAGCAAAAGTTTGGAAATTTGGGTGATCAGTGCAGTAGAATCATAGTCCTACCCTGGGAAAGAATGAACTTTGGTAAACCATATTGGGGCACCTGACTCACTCCATGGAGAAAGATAAAAGCTATATCCCTGCCCTTAACCATATACAAATGTAAACTGCAGATGAATATTTAAACGAAACGGTAAAATTACAAAGTTAATAGTCAAAAGTACACAATATTTTTTGTGTGCCTTAGCATAGGAAAATATTATTTTATATTTTAAAATTTTTATATGTACACAAAGAATGATGAGTGCAGTATAATGAACCTTTCTGTACTCATTACATCAACACATCCATCAATATTTCGCCAGTCTTCCATTCAGGCAGGTAAATAGCTACTGTCCTAAGATCCCTGCCACAACCTTGTTTTATTGATCTTTTCACTTTGTTTTGCTGTATTATTTATTTATTTAAAGTTCCAGGGTACATGTGCAGGATGTGGAGGTTTGTTATATAGGTAAACATGTGCCATGGTCATTTGCTGCATCTGTCAACCCGTCACCTAGGTATTAAGTCCAGAATGAATTAGCTCTTTTTCCTGATGCTCTCTCTCCCCACGCCCCCACCCCCCACTGCCCCAGTGCATGTTGTTCCCTTCCCTGTGTCTAAGTGTTCACATTGTTCAGCTCCCACTTATAAGTGAGAACATGTGGTGCTTGGTTTTCTGTTCCTGGGTTAGTTTGCTGAGGATAATGGCTTCCAGCTCCATCCATGTCCTTGCAAAGAACATGATCTTGTTCCTTTTTATGGCTGCATAATATTCCATGGTGTGTATGTACCACATTTTCTTTATCCAGTCTATCATTGATGGGCATTTGGGTTGATTTCATGTCTTTGCTATTATAAATAGTGCTGTAATGAACATACACATACAAGTATTTTTTAATAGAATGATTTATATTCCTTTGGGTATATACCCATTAATGGGATTGCAGGGTCAAATGGTATTTCTGGTTCTAGGTCTTTGAGGAATTGCCACACTGTCTTCCACAATGGTTAAACTAATTTACATTCCCACCAAGAGTGTGAAAGAGGTCCTATTTCTCCATAGCCTCATCAGCATCTGTTGTTTCTTGACTTTTTAATAATCACCATTCTGATGGTATTCATGTGGCATGAGATGGTAGCTCATTGTGGTTTTGATTTGCATTTCTCTAATAATCAGTGATGTTGGGCTTTTTTTCATATGTTTGTTGGTCGCATAAATGTCTTCTTTAGAAGTGTCAGTTTATGTCCTTTGCCTACCACTTTTTAATAAGGTTGTTTGTTTTTTTCTTGCAAATTTGTTTAAGTTCCTTGTAAATTCCAGACTTTGGTCGGGTGAATAGATTACAAAAATATTCTCTCATTCTGTAGGTTGTCTGTTCACTCTGATGTTAGTTTCTTTTGCTGGGCAGAAGCTCTCTAATTTAATTAGATCCCATTTGTCAAATTTTGCTTTTGTTGCAATTGCTTTTAATGTTTTTGTCATGAAATCTTTGCCTATGTCTATGTCCTGAATGGTATCTCCTAGATTTTCTTCTAGGGTTTCTATAGTTTTGGGTTTTACATGTAAATCTTTAATACACCTTGAGTTAATTTTTGTATAAGGTGTGAGGAAGGGGCCTAGTTTCACTTTTCTGCATATGGCTAGCCAGTTCTCCCAGCACCATTTATTAAATAGGGAATCCTTTCCCCATTGCTTGTTTTTGTCAGGTTTGTCAGAGGTCAGATGGTTATAGATGTGTGGTCTTATTTCCGAGTTCTCTATTCTGTTCCATTGGTCTATGAGTCTTATTTCTGAGTTCTTTATCCTGTTCTATTGGTTTTTGTACCAGTACCTTGCTGTTTTGGTTACTGTAGCCTTGTAGTATAGTTTGAAGTCAGGTAGCATGATGTCTCCAGCTTTGTTCTTTTTGCTTAGGATTGTCTTGTCTATTCAGGCTCTTTTTTGGTTCCATATGAATTTTAAATTAGTTTTTGCTAATTCTGTGAAGAATGTCAATGATAGTTTAATGGGAATAGCTCTGACTCTATAAATTACTTTGGGCTGTATGGCCATTTTCATCATATTGATTCTTTCTATCCATGAGCACGGAATATTCTTCCATTTGTTTGTGACCTCTCTGATTTCTTTGAGCAGTGGTTTGTAGTTCTTGAAGATGTCCTTCACTTCCCTTGTTAGCTGTATTCTTAGGTATTTTATTCTCTTTGTAGCAATTGTGAATGGAAATTCATTCAAAATTTGGCTCTCTCTTGTCTGTTGTTGGTGTATGGGAATGCTTGTGATTTTTGCACATTGATTTTGTATCCTGAGACTTCGCTGAAGTTGCTTATCCGCTTAAGAAGCTTTTGGGCTGAGACGATGGGGTTTTCTAGATATGGGATCATGTCATCTACAAATAGACAATTTGACTTTCTGTCTTCCTATTTGAATATGGTTTATTTCTTTATCTTGACTGATTGCCCTGGCCAGAACTTCCAATACTATATTGAATAGTAGTGGTGAGAGAGAGCATCCCTGTCTTGTGCTGATTTTCAAAGGGAATGTTTCCAGCTTTTGCCTATTCAGTATGAAATTGACTGTGGGTTTGTCATAAATGGCTCTTATTATTTTGAGGTATGTTCCTTCAATACCTAGTTTATTGAGAATTTTTACACATGAAGGGATGTTAAATTTTATCAAAGGCCTTTTCTGTGTCTATTGAGATAATCATGGTTTTTGTCTTTAGTTCTGTTTATGTGATGAATTATGTTTATTGACTTGCGTACGTTGAATCTTTTCCTCTAATATTTTAAAACAAACCAAGACACCGATTATTTCACCCATAAATACTTCAGTAGTTATCTCTAACAGATAAGGACTAAAAAATATTATAAACATAATATCATTACACACCTAGAAAAATTAAGAATTATTGCTCAATATTATTATCTCATAATCAGTCTGTGTTCAAAATGACAAGGACTTTTTAAAACAAGATGTAACTTCCTGTTCCTGGATTATTTCACTTAATATATTGCCCTCTAGATCCATCCGTGACATTGCATGTTCTCACTCACATGTTGAAGCTGAAAAAAACAAAAAACAAAAACTGATCTCTTAGAAGTAAGGAGGAGAACAAAGGATACCGGAGGCTGGGAAGGGTAGAGGGAAGAGAGGGGTAGGGAGAGATTTGTTGAAGGATACAAAATTACAGCTAGATTGGAGGAATGAGTTCTGGTGTTCTATACCGCTGCAGGATGACTAGAGTTAATAATACATTACATAGTTTCAGATAGCTAGAAGGAAGATACCGAATGTTCCTAAAACAAAGGCATGATAAACGTTTGAGATCATGATATGCTAAATACCCTGATCTGATCACTATACATTATCTGTATTGAAACATCACTATGTAACCCCTAAATATGTATAATCATGTGTCAATTTACATTTTTATAAAAGTAAAAAATTTTGAAACCCCAAGATCTAAAAAGCACAAACCATGAAGCAGAAGAAAAGGCTTGACAATATCGAAATTAAAGATTTATATGCAATAAAGGACATCAAAGTCACAATTAAAGAAAAATGGCAGGTTGGTAAAATCAATTAATATCTCAACCCATTGCTATTCAAAGCACGGGTCTGTGAGCACATGAGGAGTTGCATTGGAATGCCAGTCAACTATAGTCTGTAAGCACGTTGTTTAGTTTATCAGAGATTTTTGGTTGTTGAAGCAAGAAATTTGTTGATTGAAGAAGTGGTACTTTGATTTAACAAACTGTTCTTAGATAGGCGGCTAGTCCCCACTTTGAGCAACACTGATTAACACTATTCAAAGAACTCCAAATCAACGAGATAAAGGCAAAAAACCCAACAGAAAAAGGGATGATGCCTATGAATAGGCAATTCTCAGAAGACGAATCCCAAATGACTAAGACTTGTAGAGATGTTTCAGCTCACCAGTAATCAGTGAAATGCAAATCAAAACAAGGAGTTGCCACTTTGTATCCATCAGAATGGCAAATTAGAAGGGTGGATAATGGAAACCAGGTGTTGACAGGTGCGTGGGGAGACAGGTACACTCTGTAGGAGTGGAGACAGGAGTAGGAGTGTGAACAGGTACAGTCAGTCTGGAAAATATTCTTTATTTTGATTAAGTTTGCATATATTCTTTGTCCTGGAAATTCCATTCCTGGGTATATGTCCCAGAAAAATTTGTCAAACAGGGGCATGAATGAGGATGTTCACGATGGCTGGAAGTCACAGGCAAGCCAGGTGTGCATTCCGAGGGAGTGGGTATGTGCAATGTGATGGCCCACTGTGGAAGTGGAAGCAAGCTTGCAAGCAGTGAACGAGGCCTACGTAGAGTGCACAGAGGCCTCTGGAAGCACAGGGGAGTGAGGAGGGTCATCACGTTATGCCAGCAACTCTCAGACTTCCCTCTCAGAACCCCTTTCTAACTTTTCACAGTAATGGATGACACCAAAGAGCTTTTGTTTATGTGGGCCGTCATCTCTATCTGTATCATCTCAGAAATTAAAACAGAAATTTTAAAACAATTTCTTAATTCATTAAAAAGACAAGTCAGTTACATGTTAGCACATATAACATATTTTAAGACAAACAGTTATATTTTCCAAAATAAAAAGTGTAATGAGAAGTAGCATTAACTTTTTTTTTTTTTTTTTTGCAAATCTTTTAAATATCTGGCTTAGGAGAAGATAGCTGGATTCCCATATCTGCTTCTGCATCCAGTCTGTTGTGATATCACGTGTCATGTCGCCTCTGGAAAGTGCCACTCTACACTTAGAAGTTCAAGAATGAGAAGAAAAAGGCGGATAATGTCTCAGTGTTATTATGAAAATATTTTTGACCTTGTGGATCCCCCAGGGATTCCTTGGCCACACTTTGAGAACTGCTGCACTATGCCATTAATGTTCATTGATGACACATCAATATACACAATGTATCACCACTACACATTTTATAAAGTCTCAGGCATATTCAAGGCTGTATATCAAATACATTGACTCAGCCCCTGTGGAATACAGGAAGGGAATGGGATAAAAGGGGGAATGAAATAAATAAGATAAAGCAAGAAAGAATCTGTATGTGCTTTACTAAGAATTATGATTAACTCTGGTCTCTGCACTTGAGGTTCAGTGTGTGTGTGTGTGTGTGTGTGTGTGTGTGTGCGTGTGTACACGTGTGTTTGGAGGCAGGAGTGAGAAGTGGTGAGGCCTAAATTGAGGCAACACTGAGAATTCATGTGGACTCAAACCCAGGATGGTGAGCGGTGAGTGAGGCAGTGCCACTTCCATCGATCTCCTCTCCTGCCATCGCTGACACCCTCCAAGCTCCAAGCAAGGACTCCTACTACCCTAAGACAGACCCTACAGGCTTCTCATTCCCACTACAGGGAGGAGGGAAGATGTCTGGGTGACCCCAAAGGTCCTTCCAGACCTTCCAGGCCATGACACAATGATCATCTGGTGGACTTTGAGTGGTGGACCAAGCTCTAGGCTGTACACCAGTGCCAGGAGTTTGAGCCTCTCCTCCTGGCCTCCACCTGCCAGGTGAGACTCAGGCAGGGGCGGCACCATGAGTCCCTGTGTCTAGCTGTGAGCAGTACCCTCTGTGAGCCGACCACCTCACTTGCCTCAGAGCAGTGCCACAGCCTCTGCCCACCTCCTGGGAGGCCTTGAGGGCCCTCCCTGGCACTCAGGGGTGGGCAGAATTGAACTGAAGGTCCCTAGCAGATGTCCTGCTCTAAGGCTCACCCCAAACCTGGCCCACGAATCCATCCCTGGCTAGCTGGCTTGCCATCCCTGCCCTGCCCTCTGATTCTCTGATTGAGAGGCCCTGCCGGGAGATACCCTTCTGTGTGCTATACTCTAACCCCCTGCAAGCCCTTCATGGCTCTGTCCAGCTGTGCCCCTCTTTCTGGACCCACAGCTCCTGCTCCTGTTCTCTCGGTCCGTAGCCCACAGGTGTCGGTGTTTGGGGGCTCGTCTGTCCCTGGCTGCTGGGAGCGATTGTGAGCAGGGACGTTCTTTCACTCATTCCTGTGACCCTGGGCCAAGCCCTCGGTAGGGGCTCAGTATTGGAGAAATGAATGAGAGAGTTAGAGACTTGAGCAGGAGACCTTTGAATACCACATTTCCGGAAACCAGGGCCCTTCCCCAAACCTCCCTAGACATTTCCGCCATCTGACAATGAAAAAGTTAATGCCTGGCCCAGCCCCAGGTGGAATGTAGGGGTACAGATAGTTCAAGCTGTTTGAAATTTGAAACATCCCCCTGTAGTACCCACCTTCCCGCTTTGTCTGGGCTGAATCTATTTTATTTTATTTCATTTCGTTTATTTATTTAGAGACGGAGTCTCACTCTTGTTGCCCAGGCTGGAGTGCAACAGCGCAATCTCAGCTCACTGCAACCTCCGCCTCCTGAGTTCAAGTGATTCTCCTGCCTCAGCCTCCCAAGTAGCTGGGATTATAGGTGCCTGCAACCAGCCTGGCTAATTTTGTATTTTTCTTTTTTTTTAGTAGAGATGGGGTTTCACCATGTTGTTCAGGCTGGTCTCGAACTCCTGACCTCATGTGATCCACCTGCCTCAGCCTCCCAAAGTGCTAGGATTACAGGCATGAGCCACCACACCTGGCCAGGGCTGAATCTATTTTCATATTTATTTCAGATTTTCTTAAAAGAAAGACAACAACAGGGAACAGTGAAGCTCCCTGCAGACCCTTCCGCATCCTCTCCCTCCCTCTCTCCCCAGAAGTAACCACCATAATGAATTTGTTGTTCTTCATTCCCTTGCATGTGGTTATATTTTTGCTATATAGATAAGTATCCATAAACAAAATATTGTAGTTTTACATAATTTAAAACTTTACATCAATGTTCCCAAGCTGTACATATCCTTCTGCCATTTGTTTTTTGGCCCAACATTGTTTTGAAATCGCCCGTGTTGACACACGTAGCTACAATTTATTCGTTCTCACTGCTGAAATATATTCCATTGTATGAATATACCATGATCTTCAAAATCTGTTTTTCTGTTGATGGAGGTTTAGGTTGTTTCCAATTTTTTGCTTTTGCAAACAATGATACAGTAAACACTGTTGTACATATCTTTCGGTGCACATGTGCATAGATTTCTGTTGGATATGATTCCAGTTATCTGTGGCTGCATAACAAATTATCCCCAAACTTAGCGCCTTAAGTCAAACACCATTTTATTATATCTCACAATGTTGCATGTCAGGAATTTGGGGCAGGACCCAGCTGGGAGATGCTTTGCAATAGGATGGGGCCCTGGGGGGTGAGTAGGGAGGGGGCTGTGTGTGTGTCGAGGTCATTTGACAATAAAGGCCCTTTTTGCTCTAGTATTCTAAGATTCTTCAAGGCTGTGGCTAGCAAGGGAAATTCAGAGTTCCAGTTTGGAGGAAGGACAAGATATCAGATGTGGTCTTGTCCACTTTGACAGGGGAAAAGCCTGGGAATGTGTGAGGGACATTTGTTAGTTCCCCATATCTTTCTGTGATATTGGTGGCTCAGCATTCATTTGAGAATCCACCCCTCTGATGAAGCTGATCCCACACTGCCCCCACCCTCCCATATTTAAGGGTGGGCATGTGACCTCCAACCCAAACAGCACATTGCGCACCCCACCCCCCAACTTTCCCAGCCCCCCAAGAAAACTGAAGTCCAGGGCTTCCGTTTGAGACATTAAGGAAGTTGTCCAGCACCACTGGGCAAGGCACTGTGAGTCTGGGAGACGGGAGATGTGGGGTTCCATGAAGAGGGAGGGAGACATTGAGTTTGAGTCCTGGATCAAGTTATACCCGAATCCAAAATGACCCCCTGATTTTTCCAGATTTTTGAATGAATACATTTCCTTATTTGTGGAAGTCAGCTTGGGCTGGACTTCTATATTTGCAACCGTAAAGTTTTGGCTGTTACAGAAGTGAGCCTTGAGGGCTCGCAGCTCCACCAGAATGGGCAGGCAAGTCTTGAGGACAGGAGGCAAAGTGGCTACAACAGGCGTCTGGGGGCTGCGCTCCTGAATGACCGCAGGCCCCCATCCTGGAGACTTGGAGAGGGATGGCAAAGCGGGGGAAGGTTTGGGCTTCCAAGAGGAGGGGATGGAGGCGATGGAGCCTGCTGACCCTTCCTCTGTGCCTGGGAGTCAGGCAGTTGCTTATGGAATTGTCAGGCGTTCGGGAGAAGCACAGGATGGCAAGGAGAGAAGGCCCAGGCAGGAGTGTGGATGAAGGGGGCTGAACAGGCTCAGTGGAAGGACTTTGAAGAGGCGTGGGCAGGCCACTGCTGCAGAAAGCGGCTGTCCTCATCGTCAGAGGGGTGTGGGAGGCTGAGGAGGGGCAGAATGAGAATCCCTGGGCGTGAGGGGGCTGGGGCCAGGCAGTGAAGAGTGTAGCATTGGTTTGGGTCCAGAGTGGAGTTAGCCTAGCCAGGTGTTAGGAACACAACTCCTGGGCCACACCACCCAGGTTGGAATGCTCTTGTTCTTTTGGGCCTTGGTTGATTATCCATAAAATGGGACAATGATAATATGACCTACTTCTCAAGGTTTTGTGAAAATTAAACTTTTATTTGTAGAGCGATTAGAGCAATGACCAGCACAGAATAAGAGCAATTTAAGTTAGGCTTTTTTTTCCTTGAAAAACAAGGATCAATTACTCCGGAGAGGTAGATGGGGCAGGTTATATTCCTTACTTAATCGGTGGGGAACCTGAAGCCCTGGGATTAGATGGTGCTCTTCAGAGAGAGCTGGAAGCCACAGTCCTGTTGGGGCTGGCCAGAGGGCTTTCCCACGAGGGAGGGTGGGGAGGAGGCATTCTTGCCCGAGGTGGCTGCTGGGCACTGTGCGAGCTTCCATGTGCCGCCTGGCGTGATAACACAGAGTGACACCCAGTCTTCTGGCAGCAGGAAAGCTGAGAGCAGAGGGAGGGGCTGCCATCCGGTTTGCTCACACTGAGGCTGCCTGTTTTCCATTTTTCACTCTCCCCCAGGAGTGTGAGGACCCTGCTGCTTGGGAGAGAGACATTGCTGGCCTAGGGAAGGAAACCTTCTCAGTGCAGGGAGGGGATACTCCCACATCCTCCCAGCTCAGGGGTTGCCCTCAGCTCCCTGTTCCCAGCACTGTCCTTCCCAGAGCCCAGAGAGGGCACATTTGGTGCATGATTACCACAAGCTCAGACTACAAAGGGGTCCCTCCCACAGGCTTTGCCGTTTAACAGTGGGCTGCTGAGGGCAATGCTTACGCTGAAGGAATAAACTGGGAATTGTGAGATTTCAGGCAGCAGCAGAAAGCCTGAAGAGTGGCGGGTGGGGAGGAGCATTGGTTTCCAGGCATCTATTACCATTATATTTTTAACTCCTGACTCCTGCCCTCCTGGCAGACACCTTGGAACCAATTATTGATTGGCCTCAGTCATCAGCCCACTTCCTGCAGTTATCCATGCTTACCCATTCACCTATTCATTATTTTTTTTCGTGCTGTATCCATCCATCTACCTACCTAGCTATCCATCCACCCATCCACCCACCCATCCATCCACCCCTCTACCCACCTATCCATCCATCCCTCTACCCACCTATCCATCCATCCACCCACTCACCCATCCATCCCTCCTTACATCCATCCATTCAGCCACCCAATCATTCATCCATCCATTCACCCATCTACCCATTTACCTTTCCACACACACCCATCTATTCATCTACCCCTCCACCTATCCACACACACATTCATCTACCCACCTATTCACCCATCCACCCTTCCACATACATTCATCTATTCATCTATGCATTCACCCACCCACCCATCCATCTATCCATCCATCCATCCATCCATCCATCCATCCATCCATCCATCCATTTGTCCACCCATCCAGCCATCCAGTTACCCACCCACCAATCCATCCACCCACATATCCATCTGTTCATCTACTCAGCAACCCATCCATCCATCCATCCATCCATCCATCCATCCATCCATCCATCCATCCAATTCATCTCATCAAGGGACAGTAAGGACAAGGCTTCCAGAGCCAGCAGCCTGGGTTTGCAATCCTGGCCCCAGCACTTATACGATTTGACTGCCCTTAAGCATGTCACTTTACCTCTCTGTGCCTCTGTCTCTTGAAATATAAATGGGGATAAAACTAGTACCTACTTCCTAGAGCTTTCTGTGAGGCTTAAATAAGGTGTGCACCTGTAAGAGTGTCTTAAGTGTGAACTGTTATTCTTTCTATTGTTCCTCAATTCACTCATTTTTTCAGTTTCTCTGTTCCCTCAGTTCACTTATTCATCTGTTTATAATCACTGCCCTAGTCCAAGGAAACAAGCTTTGTTTTCTTCCCAGCCCTTAAAAAGTACTTTCCCACCTCCAGCTTTTGGTTTGAGGACGGGGGATTTTCTTAAGAAGCATTGCTCCAAGCTGATCCTGGAAGCCAGATTTTAACAGACACCAGAAGAGGGGAGGACCTCTTAGCAAACCCCCAGCACACTGCCCACCAGTCTTGGTGGAGGAGCAACTTGAGGCTGCTCTTGGGTTCCTGGGCCTCATACTCCTACCTTTGTCCTGTCTCTTCCAATGGGCAAAGATCCAAAGGCAAGAAGGACAAGAGGAGAATTACCAGTCCCTTTTGTATGCTGGGCTTTTTGTAGACATTCTATGATTTAATCTTCTTTATAGCCTTTTAAAGTATAGGGCCAGTCTCATTTTCCAATAAGAAAATGAGGTTCAGAGAAGTGAAGTGACTTGCTCAAAGTCACACAGCAAGTAAATAGCAGAGTTGGGATTCATAACCGAGTCTGGTAGGCTTCAAATTGCAATGCTCTCCTCACAACTCCCACCAGCCCTGCCTGCTGCCGCTGGTTAGGAGAGGTGCTGAGTTGGATTCCTAACCTCTGCTCTATCCCCCTGCCCAACCTCCTTTCTGTCTCTCTGAGCCAAGTCTTCATGCCCCTTGACTGGCCCATGCCTGAAGTCCCAGCCACAGATGAAGATCTGCAACAGTTTCAACTACGGTGGGTGGAGCCGGGAGAGTGGGTGACTCCAGGCTCTCCTGGGAAAAAGAGGCCACTGGAGTTCTCACCACGATGGAGAAGGGGGTGGCCAGCTGGCCTGAGAAGCTGATGGGAGGGAGTCTAGAGAGATTGTTTCTCTGCTTTTCCTCCTCACTCTCAGATAGGCCAGGTTTCAAGGGCCTGGCCCCAGGGAACAGAGACATGGTCTTCTGTCGACTGTAGCAAAAAGTGGCTCAGCATCCATTTCTGTCCTTGCCAGGCCGGAACCTGGCCTCAGGCCCAGGCGGATCCAGGCCTCTGGGAGCTTGGAAGTTATGTCCTTCTCATCGTCTTCCAGCCTGGGGCAGCATCTCTGTGTCAACTCAATTCAATCTCGTCCATTCCACACATATTTCTGGGGCCCTATCCATGTGCCAGTCCCGTGCCAGGTACGGACAGTGCCTGCTCTTGGGGGATCAACATCATCCCTGGGTCTGCAGGAGACCCCGATGTATGCACTGGGTGGTCAAGAATAGAACTTTCCATGGGCAGTCATCAGGAGAGGTTCCAGGAGCACTGCGCCAGGAGCCCAGGATGAGGCTGGATTTGCCTCGTCTATCTCACAACACATGCAACACCCACAGGTTCAAGACGCTGGGCCGGGGCTGGGCTGGGGTTGGCTCCAGGACACAGAAGGAAACGTGATGCCGGCAAGAACTGAAAAGCCAGGCTCCTCCTACTGCCCCGGTGCCTCCTAAAACAGTTTGGTTCAGTTTGACAATAAATGGAGCCCACATCACAAATTCCCATCACTAGAAGAACTGGTTAAAAAAAAGGGTGGTATATTCACACCATGAATATACACAGAAGCAAAAGAAAAAAAAAAGAACAAATGATTGTTACACATCACAGCACGAGGGACTCTCGCAGGCACAGCAATGAGCCAAGGCAGCCAGGTGCATGTCTACCCTTCCTGATTGCCTCTCTGTGTGGTTCAAAAGCAGATGCACTAGAATATGGGATGGAGGGAGGAAGAGTGGGGAGCTTTGGGGGTGTCTAGACTGAGAAGATTCATGAGGGGAATGTTTCTGGTGCCAGCCATCTATATCTTGACCAGGGTGCTGGTATAATTCTCTGAAAAAATATTGAGATGTACACTTGGCGTATGTACTTTAATGCATGTTTGTTTTATCTCAGTTAAAAAAAAAGAACAAATAGACGAAAAAAAAAAAGAACAAATAGACAAACAAAAAGAAAGCCCAAGCCCAGCCAGCTTGTGAAGAATGGCAGGGACATTTGCAGTGCTTGGCTTCCCAGTGCCCCTTTTCTGATCGCAGTGCCCTGATTTTCTCTGGGGAAGTCCTACCTGCCCCCGGTGGACACAGCCTCAGGGTAGGCACATGACGATACGTGGCCAACTGGACACTTTCTCCTGGAATGCACACTGTGGCAGAGTAAGGAAAGCAATCAAAATGCTGGGAACTGCCTCACTCTAGAGGCTGACTGTCAGTGGGTCTTGCTCTTGGAGAAGGATGAGGTCTCCTGGACAAACAGACTTCCCAGCCTGCCCTCCAGCATGGGGAACCATGAACTTCCAACCAACCCCACTGGCTTGGGTCAGATAGCCAGGTTCAGAGGCCCTGCCCAGTGGCACCTCTGCACAAGTGCCAGGCCTTGTCGGGGGCCTGTGCTAGGGATGGGTACTCCTGGACTGGATTCTGTAGCCTTTGGGACATCAGTTGCTGAGGAATAAAATCAGAGCCTTTCTGAGGTGTCTGTCTAGGATCCCACCTAACCCGCCAAGGACGTGGCATGAGTGAGAAATGAGCCTTTGCGGTTACAAGCTGCTCAGATTTGGGGGTTGTTTGTTGCTAGGTATAACCTGGCCTGCCTGACTCTACTGACAGCAGTAATTTGGTATCTCCGGCCCAGACCTCTTTTTTGTACTCCACACAGACATAGGCAAAGGCAACAGGGCATCTCCACTTCCAGCCCCACGAGCTCCTGGTCTTCTCCTCCCTCACCCCCTGCTGCTCATCAAGCAAAGAACACCACAGCCTTCCTCATCTCCAAGCCAGAAACCTTGCATCACCCCTGGCACCTCCCTCCTCCTCTTTCCATTGGTCCTTCACCAGCCTGTCCCTGGTGCTGGCTGTGCTGCTCCTAAGCCCTCATGAGCCCCTCATTCCCTTCTTCCCATCCCCACCACCTCTGCCTTGGCCAAACTCCACCACCTCTCTCTTAGATTGTTGGGACATTTTCTTATTCCCTGCTCTCAGCCATTCTCCTCTCCTTGGCCAGAGCGGGCTTTGTGAAATTCAAATGTCATCGTGTTACCTGCCTGTCCCAATCCCATCAGTGGGGTCCCTTTCCTCTCAGCTCCCACTAATGCAAGTGTCTCCAGCCTGGTGCCATCCAGCCCTGCTCTGCCCTTACTGGTCCTCTTTCCATCTGTCTCCTGGGCACATCCTGGTCCCTCAATGCCTGGCCAGCTCCTTCGCCTCCTCTAACCTCATCTTGGGTGTCCCACCTATCGTGCCCTCCCTCAGACCAGCACCAGAAACTTCCCCTCTTCCCTGTCAGCTGAGACACCCTGCACAGTTTGCATCATATTTTACTACCATTGATTGTTTTCAAACTCTGTCTTCCCGGGAAGGATCTAACCTCTCATGGAGCCACAGCTATGTTTCCTTGCTCATTGACAGTTTGCCTAGTTCCAAGCACAGGGTGAGTGCTCAATAAACACTAGCTGTCGAATGATGAAATGAACAAATGAGCATTGATCATAAGCCATGTTGTACTTAGAGCTTAGCTAATCCACACACCCTGGCCAAGAAGGGGCAGAAATGAGAATGTAGATCTCTATGATGGTGGACGAATGACAGCTGCAAAATTCTTTGCTCCTCTCCTCATCAAAAGATTGGGTCTATTTCCGCTCCCCTTGGATCTAGGCTACCTTTTGACCAGTAGATCAAGCCAATTCCAGTCCTTAAGAGAGCTGCAGCTCCTTTTTTGCATCTTGAAACACCCCTTCTTGGAACCCAGCAGCTACTTGAAGAGTCCCACTTGCAGGAGAGCTGAAGCCCCCACCTGACAACCACCGCTGAGTTCCTACTGGCTGCGGCATCGCCTGCCTGCCCACCCTGTGACTGAGACCACTCTGGACCTTCCAGCTCAGCTGAGGACCTGCTGAAGCAGCCGAGGAAGCCTGCATGGATGCTGCGTGGAGCCGAAGAACCGCTTAGCCAAGCCCTGCTAAAATCCCTGACTCATGTGAATCATGAGCGAGTAAGATAGCTGCTGTTGTAAGCCCGTTGGGTTTGGGGTAGATGGTTGGCTAGGCAGTGACAGGTGATGGGCACAGCCACCCTGAGGTGGGGTAGGGTGTATTCTCGCTTTATTTACGAAGCTCATAACAATCCTGCACTGAAGATACGATCACCATTTTACGGATGAAGGAGACTGAGGATCAGTGATTAAAGAACTTGCCTAACTTCACAGAATTAGAGAAGTGACAGAGCAGGATTTTGTCTGGCGCTAAGCCTGCCCTCTTTTCATTCCACCCTCCAGCTTCTCTCTGGGGCAGAGATGGCTCCAGACCTAGTGGATGAGCCTAGGGGTGTAACTGGGGCTAGGACCCAACAGCCACGTTGGTGGGAAGATGATGGGGAGAGGGTGCTGGGGGGAGACACCCCAGTGGTCGGGGCCACTTTGAACCAGCCAGTTCAAAGTGGCCCCGACCCTGGACGGGCATGAATGCTTGGCTGTAGGCCTGGGTGTGAAATCACATTTTCCCCACCAGGCCAATGCTTGGTCGCAGCGTGCCCCTGGCCTCACACCGCCTTGCTCTCGTCGGCTTTGTCTGGGAACAGACGCTGTCAGCCGGCAAGGGAACACCCCAAGGCTCGGCCACGCTTGTCGGGAGGCATTAGTGTGCGGCTTTGAAGTGGGGACCTCCGGGCCTTGCTCAGATGGTCTTTGCTGGGGTTTGCCCAGGACCCCTTTCTTCTGGCTCATGGGGGTGGAGGCTGGTCCAGGGCCTCTGTGGGCACTTGCGAGCAATGCTGGCTTCCTCAGATGCTCTTGGACGCCCCACCTCCCTTCAATCCCCAGCAGGGTCTTTGAGGGCTTGGTATTTCATCAGCCAGGACAGGCTGCCAGGCAGTCTTCACTGGCTCCTTAGTCTCCAGTGAAACCAAAAGTAATAGAGGCTGACTGTCAAGACTTGGACTCAACTGAGAAGAACAAAAAAGAAGAAAATCTACCTGTCATCTCTTCACCTTGAGGTGACCACTATTGAGAGGAACTTCCCTCCAGTCTTTTTTCTTTTTCTTTCTTTTCTTTTCTTCTCTCTGTCCCTTCCTTCCTATTTTTTTGTTTCAATTAAAATAAAATCATTGTTACACATGCACATAGTTTAGAATCAACGAGTTTTACAAGACTTGTTTGAAAAACAACAATCCCAGACTGTCCTTCCATTTCTTCTCTCCAAAAGATGTTTACTTCAACTATTTAAACTGATTACTTTGCTACCTATCTCCCTATCTCTAAATGGCATATGTATATTTTGTATGGTAATTAATTTTTCAGTTCATCCATCATCTATTAACTTCCACAATGCAAGAAGAAAGTTTAACTTTCTTTTCCTTGCCTGAGCACACACACAACACATGCACATTCATACACACACATTCCACCTCATCCTCAAAGTATAGTTACTTCATTATTTCGCTTATATTATTATTATTGTTAAATTATTATAACCGTGAACACTGGTTAGGCCTGAACTATGTAGAACGTTACAGATACTTTTCCTTTATTGAAGAACTTTGTTTTCCCTGATGTTAATAACTCCCTATCTCCCTCCATCTCTGTCTTTTTTTTGTCCCTGGCTCTCTCTGTCTCTGTCCCTAGCACGCTCTCTCTCTCTGTCTCTCTGTTTCTCTCTCTTTTGCTCTCAATGTTTGCTTAGTTTACTTTGAAATGCTTAGTTTACTTTGAATTATATCGGGAACTCTGCTAACGGCACATCTAAATCTTGTATCAAGATGTTCATTTACATCAGGTATTTTCCAATTTTTTCAAGGTGGAGAAGTCCCTTCAGAGCCTTCTGACTTGCTCTAGGCTGGACTGGCTGCCTCCTCCGCTGGGTACATAGCCGCCATCTTGCTGTCTCCCTTTGCTATCATCCTGGAGAATCCCCGGCCCCTGTCCTGGCTTGGATCTTTTGCTTCCTGAATCCCATCTCTTCCTTTTTCTTGGCTTACTTCCTCTTTTTGGTGGAACACATCTTCCAGTTCTTTCTGAAGAAAGCATGCATGGTAGGTAAACTTGCCGAGACTTCATGTCGCTGAAAATGCACTAGCTCTTGATTGGCGCTTTGGTTGTGTATCAGATTCTAGGCTGGAAATCATTTCCCTTCAGAATTTTGAAGACATTACTCCTCTGTATTGTGGCTTCCAAATAGTTGAGAAGACTGAAGCCATTCATATTCCTAATCTTTTGTATGATTTTTTTTTCTCCTTAGAGGAGAGGATCTTTTATTTGTCTTAGCGTTTGGAACTTCCAACTTAATGCACCTTGGGGTGGGTGTCTTTTGAACTATTGGGCTGGGCATGTGGTGGACCTTTGTTTTGTTGTTGTTATTGGTCTAGACACTCCTATTCTTCAGTTCTAGGAAATTTTCTTGAATTATTTCAGTGATAATTTCTTCTTCTCTGTTTCCCACGTTCTCCGTTCCTGGGATAGCTATTTTCTAACAGTATTGTGAGATAGGCGTCAGCTTTTCAGATTTTTCTTTTCTATCTGCTCTCTCCTTGCTTTGTGCTCTGCTTCCTGAGGGAAGGTCATCAACCTGATTTTCTAAGTTCTGCCCTCAAGTTTTTAATTTCTAAGAGTTTGTTTTTGCTCTTGGAATGTTCCCGTTCATGACATCCTTTTCTTGCTTCCAGGATGTCATGGGATCTCTTCTTTCTTCGAGGACATTAATGAAAGTTCCTTGGTATTTGGTGTTCCCTGCCAAGTTGCCCCTTCTCCCCATGTTTGGTTTGGTGACTTTTCCATGAGAGGTGAGTCTCAGGTGTCTGGAATCCACAGTTTCCTGCCCATATTTAACATGGAGGATTAACAAGCTGAGCAGAGTCATAGAGCACATGGTGTGGTTGAACACTGGGCCTTTTTTTTTTTTTTTTTGAGACAGGGTCTCACTCTGTTGCCCAGGCTGGAGTGCAGTGATGTGATCTCAGCTCACTGCAGCCTCGATCTCCCAAGCTCAAGGGATCCTCCTACCTCAGCCTCCTGAGTAGCTGGGACTACAGGTGCATGCCACCACACCTGGCTAATTTTTTTTAAGTTTCTTGTAGAGACAGGGTCTCACCATGTTGCCCGGGCTGGTCTTAAACTCCTGGGCTCGAGTGATCCTCCCATCTTGGCCTCCCAAAGTGCTGGGATTACAGGCATGAGCCACTGTGCCCTGCTCTCTGTGTCTTTCTTCTTCAGATTCCACAGAGAAGATTCTTCTGATTCCCTTCCTAGAGGATAAAGGACTGGCTACCAGTATTCAAGAAGAAAACTAAGGCACCAAGAGATTGAGTGACTTGTCCAAGGTCACACAGCTAGTAAATCACCCAGATAGACTGCTCGTGACCACCCTGGGTGACCTCAGGGTTGCACGTGGGAAGGATCGATACTGTACTAAAGGAGATGGATTTTTTTGTTTTGTTTTGTTTTTGAGATAGAGTCTTGCCCTGTCGCCCAGGCTAGAGTGTAATGGGGTGATCTCAGCTCACTGCAACCTCTGCCTCCCGGGTTCAAGCAATTCTCCTGCCTCAGCCTCCCGAGTAGCGGGGACTACAGGTGCGTGCCACCATGCCAGGCTAATTTTTTTTTTTTTTTTGTATCTTTAGTAGAGACAGGGTTTCACCATGTTGGTCAGGCTGGTCTCGAACTCCTGACCTCGTGATCCGCCCGCCTTGGCCTCCCAAAGTGCTGGGATTACAGGCGTGAGCCACTGCACCTGGCCAGGAGATGGATGTTTTTAAGGCTCTTCAAACTGACCTTCAAGTTAATGTTTAGGAGTTATAAAGTTTATACTCACATCTCTCTCTCCTTTTCTTCACTCTTGCCACCATTGAATATTAGTAGTAAAACAAACCAAACTTTGATAGCATACCTAAAACAATTAGAAAGATGGAGAACGTGCAAAGAAAAAAAATGCAGATTTTATAGATTGGATTCGTATTGCATCTGTGTATCTACTGAACCTCTTCAGAGAGGTTAATTCAGCTGCCCAGGGCCACACAGTGTGTAATCGGTGTGTGTAGCAGGGCTGGGGTCTGGATCTCGTGCTCCCAGCCACTGCCTTATCCATTCAGAAAGCAATTTTTTCATATAGTTCTCATTTGCCTCAAACAATCTGTCTTTTTTCCTCCTGGGGTGCATCTCACTTATCTTTGAACTCACCGAACTCCATGTAGCACCTGACACATAGTATGTGTTTAGGCCCTCAGTAGGTGTTTCTTGACGTGAACAGAGCCCATGTAGAGATGGAAAGAAGAGGCCCATGGAGGCCAGTGGCCTATTGCAGGCAGTTATATCACAGGGACTGTGTCCCATCACTCCAGGACGGGCCCAGGCACCGTCCCAGAGGCCAGATCAACACACTGAAACCTGTGTAAAACCCAGCAAGGGTCAATGGTTTAGCCAACAAAGGCCTTGAGTGCTCAGAGAACACCTGATTGGGTAGATTCTCTGGTAAGGAGAGAGCCCAGAGAAGTTGCACCAGCTCCTGGAAGCGGTGGCTTAGCATGGGGCCCAGAAGGAGGGGCGGAAGAGAGAGAGTTGTTCTTTTCGTTTTCCTAAGTTGTCAGCTTGGCTCTGCTGCTAGGGTTGCCAAATAAAATACAGGGCACCCAGTGAAATATGAATTTCAAATAAACAACAAATAATTTTTAGTACGAGTATATCCTGAATATTGCCTGGGATATATTTATACTAAAAAAAAATCATTATTTAAATGCAATTCCAATTTAGCAGCGTGTTCTGTTTTTTATTTGCTAAACATGGTAACCCTACCTGGTGCCAGCTGCCCCCAGGATGGTGAATGGGGCACCCCTGGGGAGAGCAGGGGTCTAGGTTTGTGGTGTGGTGCTGCTGTGACTTGGCTGTAGAGGCTCAGGCAGATTCATAGTCTGAGTCCTCACTGTACCTGAGGAGTCTGACCAGTTGTTCTGTGGAATCTCTTCCAGGCCCAGGAGGTGAGGTGGACCCT
This sequence comes from Homo sapiens, assembly GCF_000001405.40. Taxonomy (NCBI): domain Eukaryota; kingdom Metazoa; phylum Chordata; class Mammalia; order Primates; family Hominidae; genus Homo; species Homo sapiens. Next base: position 120,429,571 of record NC_000002.12, read on the forward strand.
GATCAGGACCCAGGTGTGAGCTTTGCTCCTGGCCTGGGAGGGGCCTTTCTTCAGTTTTAGAGACTTACCTTCCAATCGGGCCCCCATTCCAGTTGTTTCTCACTCCTCCAACACTGCCATCGCTCTCATCTGAGCCTCTCCTTCCTGCAGCCCTCCCTGGCCACCACCCACCTCTGACAGCCAACCCTAAGTGGCAGAAAAGACCCCTAACCAGGGAAGTCAGACCTTGCCACTCCTCCAAACAAACCCTGGAAGGGCTTCCACCTCACTCAGCAAAGAGCCCAGAAATCCTTCCAGGGGCCTCTGCCTTCTGTTGCCTCCCTCTGGCCAGCAGTCTCTGCTCAGGCCACCCAGGGCTCCTTGCTGTTCTTCAGTCAGCACGCCCCTGCACTCACTGTTCAAGACTCTGCTCACGTGAGCCTCCCCGGAGGCTCTCCTGTCACTTCGCTGCCTCCTGCCTCATCTCACTCTCTGTGATCACCTTGCTTGCCTTTTTTTCCATGGCAAGCATCACTCCTTGCAGTACATTTGCATTTGTTTGCCGTGGTTTTCAGTCTCCCCCAAGAGGGAAATCAGCAGGAAGACAGGGCTTTGTTTTTTTCTTTTTTTTTTCTATCTGAGCATCTATCATTGATCTGTGCACAGCTGTGCCCCCACAACCCAGTACACACAGCAGGACACATAGTAGGGCTGATTATAAATTGTCAAAGAAAGGAATCAGGAAGTTTTAGCTCCAAGAGTCATGCTTGTCTGTCCAAGGCCACGCAGTCAGCAAATGCCAGTGGGGTGCCCTTGGTCTGTCTGACTCCAGAGCCAGTGCACATTGATGCATTTCAGTTGCCCTTGAGGACTTCCAAATCTGACATTGGAGGAGAGAGTGTGCCCTTCTGGGATTCAGTCTGCCTGTCTGTGGCAGACTGGCATGATGCTCTCCAGCCTCTCCCAGTTGCCTCCTCTGGGATTCCTTACAGCAGATTGGCCGATGGCTGATCCCAACCTCCCAGACAGCAAGAAGGCAGAGGGGAGCTGCAGGGCTTTTCAGGAGGCCAGCCTGGGGCTGTCTAGACACCAGCCACTCCTGTGGACAGTGCAGCAGCAGCAATGGCAGAGCCGGGTGACTCTGATCAGAAGGGGTGACCTCCTCGGGGGCAGCACCCCAGGACTGACAGAGGAAGGCAAGTCAGGATATTGCCGAAGCCCGGTCCCCTCCCTCCTTTTAGGATGCCCTGGGGCATCCCCTGAGGCCCAGCAGCATGGGTCACAAACCCTGTCATGCAAAATTTCCCACTCCTAGGGTGTTGGGGGAGAGGGTGCCTGGACTGAGTTGTGGTCATGCTCACTTACTGCGGTGAAACACTTCCTCGCATGTGGGCACAGAGGCTGTCGAATATCCATCCCAGAGTCAGTGAATGACATTGCCAGAGGCTGCTGCAGGGGAGGTAATGGACTGTAGCCACTGAGGGGTCTGAGGGGCAGCCTAGCTGTGAGGGGTGTTTAGCCGCTTCCATGGAGCAGGTGGGGGCTGGGGCAGCCCCTGTGGTGGGATGTCAGTGGGGTCCAGACCAGGCTCTGGGTCAAAGCCATGTGAGGAGCTCTGGCACCAGAGTGTGGCTTGAGGGCAGTATCCAGCCTTCCCTCAGTAAAGCCTCGGCACCACAGGGACGGTGGTGGGAGTGTTGGATGAGGATCTCTGTGTCAGACCACGGCACACACATTTGCACCATCTATCCGATGACATGAAAGGCCTCACCAACCACGTCTGGGTGCAAGTGAAGGGAAATGTAGATGGAATTGGCAAGCAATCTGTTATAACTTGCATCACCGGGTAAGCAGTTTGGTGATCGGTATAGTGTATTTGGCAAATAAAAGGGAAAATATTTTAAAACTTTAGGTGGATATTATAATTTACGCAACAGTCCCAGGTGTTAAGCATTTTGAGTATTACACCTGCTGTAACTTAGCCTGTCCCTGTGGAGGCTGCATGGGCGGTGCCCAGGTCGCAGTGGTGCCCACAGAGTGCAGATCAGCCGGGGCTGCAGGCACTGCATCAGGGAACCCTGTGCCATTGTAACCCTGGGGCTTGGCAGTAGCTCAGGAGGCCTCTGGGAGCCTGTAGGTGGAATCATGAACCCCAATTCCCAGCACTGGGGTCTGGCAGAGAAAAACTGGCAGGCTGAGGCATCCTTGGTCAAATACCTTGGAGTACAGTCAAACCGAGGCCCAGGCTCCTTGTCCCGTCTCTGTGTCCAAGGTGTGGGTAGAGGCAGGGGACGGTCTGAACTTCTGAGGCAGAAAGCTCCCTCCCTGGACTCCTTCATGTCGGGGGCAGCCCAGCCTAAAATCCCCACCCCGAACTTTCAGCCTGCTGAGGGGCAGCTCTAAAGTCCCAAAGTCTTGGGGGAAATCCCAAGACTCGTGAACTTAGGAATGTGCCATCACCTTGTGGAGCCTCGGCTTCCTCATCGGTAAATGTGGTGACTCCCTAAATCATGGCGCCAACTGCTCAGGAGGGTTCTGAGAACCAGAGCCGAAAACCCTGCACAGGGCAGGAACTCCATCATGGCACAATTTTGTTTCAAACATCCGTTCACAGGTCTGCTGCCCTATCCTCACCCGTGGGAATGAGTGAAGTCCCTTCCAGTGGCTTCTCCCCTGCGTGTGATATAGTCTCAAGCTCTGACCCGGCCCCCAGGGCTCACCTCCTCTGCCCTGCACCCCTCTGAGCTCCCTTCCTCCCCCGGGCCCTGTCTGCGCTCCACTCCTCCCCGGGACGCCCCCGCCCCCACCCCCACAGGCTTGCTCTGCTGCAGCCACACAGGCCACCTCCTCATGGCGCTCAAGCCCGCCAGGCCACGCCGCCCCACGCCACCCCAGAGCCTTCACACCTGCTGTTCCCTCTGCCTGGAATGCCTGCCTCCTGGCTCTCCCTGAGGGCCGTCAGCCCTCCTCAGGCCTCTGCTGTGTGCCCCCCCGAGAGGACCTCACCAATAGCAAACATGTTGGGGGCTTGCTTGTGCCCCCACACCCAAATGTGTGCTCTGGCACAGGAGCGACCCTGCCTCACTCACTACCTGCCAGGGCCAGGAGGAGCAGAGCCAGCCCTCAGCAGGTGTCAAGGAAGTGAGAGGCTGGCCCTCTGATTGAGGAAGGAGTGGCTGGCTGCATCCAAGGGGGCAGTCGCAGGCACCCTGGCATGGCTGGGCAGGCCTGCAGCCCAGTGCTAGGCCGAGCGAGGAAGCTGGCACTTTGGCCGCGAGATCTGGAAGGAATGGAGGGAGGCTGGGTCTGCATGTGGGGCAGTGGCGGCTGTGAAGCTAGAAGTCTCAGGGTCGCCGCCAAATGCGGCAGGCCCCAAATGAGCACGCTGGGCTCATAAAGCTGGCGGCTGGCAGGGTGGTGTCCCCTTCACAGCCACAACTCTTCAAGAGCACTCGTGGCTCTGGCCTGCCTGGCCTGGCCACACAGCGCTTGCACCACAGCTCCAGGGCAGCGTCTGCCCTACTCCCTGATGGGGCCAGCCTGGAAGGAGGGCAGCCTGTGGGACCCGCAGTCAGGGGGTGGGTGGTGGTTGGGCCTGCAGTAGGGAGGGCGAGGCTTGGAGGACCTGGGGCTGGGACTTCCGATTGCTCTGCAGGTAGCCCTGCCCCTACCCCAGGGGACGTGCTGCCTTTCCAGGGGCACGCAGCCTGTGGCACCACCACGTTCTGCACAGCTGTCCCTAGGACCAAAGGCCCTGGGCACTTACAGCCGAGGGTACCACCTTCTGTGGTCACTGTGAACCGGACTCTGCAGCCTGACTTTGCCACATGGCCGAGGGTCTCCGCATCTCTGGCATAACCACCTCTCCCTTTTCCACTCTCCTCCCCTGCCCCTGTTGCCAAGGACTGAATAAAATGGGCAGGTTGTAGATGTCAAGGTTTCATGGAGACCTAAAGGCCCTCCAAAAACATAAGCAGGGGAGTAGGCCAGTGCTCACTGTCGTCCAGGACATGCAGGCCCTGAGAATAAAGGGGCCCGAGGTGGCACCGTGTCCCTGGGCCCCCAGTGACAACCAGGCATGTACCCCCAGAAGACAGGCCCACACTCTGGGCCTGAGGCTGCAGAGAGGCTGCGTGGGTCTCCTTGTGGGACACCTAGTGGGTGGCACAGTATCTCTTGGGCCCCCCAACAGTTGCCCTGCTTTGGGAGGGGGTTGGAAGGGGCTCTGGGGTCTGGACCCTGCCCTTGGACAATGTCCTCTGGATACTGCCTTTGGATTCTGTGTTGGACACTTACCTTCTACGGTGACCGCCGGCACAATCAACTGCCCCCAGTGGGCATACAGAGGCTTGGACAAAGGAAGGCTCCTGGTCACAAGTGGCAGGGCTAGGTCTGCCCAAAGCCAGGACTCTTTGAGCCTCCTTCAAGGTGGTTGAGCCCATGCCCCTCATTCTACGGAGCTCAAAAAGGAGACCCAGAGACCTGAATCACCTGCTCCAGGCCCTCTGCAAGAGAGGGCTGAGCCAGCCTGGCCACTGAAGCCTCCCAACCCATGGTGATGTCGCTGGGAGGGAAACCGAGACACCACTCTCTGATCTTACCCCATTCCTGGACCCGCTACATCCCTTCAAGGCAGCCAGTGCAGGCTTGGTTCTCACCCCCATTTTGCAGGTGAGGAAACTGGGGCCTAGAAAGGTAAAGTGACTTGTTCATGATCACACAGCAAGTCAACTGCCTCTGTTCCCAGGATGCTTTCTGTTTTGTGGCCATGGTTAAGAACAGGGCCTTTGGACAGAAACCTAAATCAGTAATCTTGACTCTGCAACCAACTAGCTCTGTAGACTTTGGCAAGTTGTTTGAAGTCAGTTTCTCCCTCTTTAAAATGGAAAAGGATGTTATAGGGTGGTGCTGGGGTCCTTAGCCTGGTACGTCTGCCTGGTACTTTGAAGCACCCCACAAGCAATGACCATTACCATTCCCCGGGAGCCAGCCAGGGCCAGGGTGGGCGCTGGGTCTGCCTGGCTCAATTCCCTCTCTGAATCCAGGCCCCCACTGGACAGAGGCTGCCCCGGGTCTGGAGCTCCTGGCGGAGGTGCACCGCCTGTCTCTCCCAGGAGCGGGAGCGCGCTGAGCCTCTCCGGGGGCCATGCCATTGTTTTCTTCTGCCCCAATCTGTTTTGAATAAACCACGTTTTCATCATCTTGAGCAGTAATCCCCAGCATGAGAGGAATATTGTGAAATGTCAGCCCTTTCTGGAGGAATCTCAGCAACATGTTTTTTAATGTTCAGCATCACATATGGGGACAATAAATACTGAAAATATGTGGAACAGAACAGAATGGAAGAGTGCTTGGCACTCGGCTCTGCTTCCTGCCGCCCTGAGTCTGATTTTTGCATCACAATAAATTAGCCAAGGGTAGGAGAGCCCCAGAGGCTCCCTCATGAGCCCCCTGACCCCAGGAACCAGGCTTTGAATTCCCGGGCTCCAGTCTCCGGGCCCATCCCCAGGTGTTCCCAGGAGAACTACATGCTGGTCCCTCACAGGCCATGCCCCACGGGTGTCACCTGCATCAGCGCTTGGCACACCTGCTAAGCCGAAGCCATCTCCCCGCCTGCAGATGCGGTGCTGAGACTCATGAAAGGGGCGCTGGCTGCTGGTCACAGAGCTGGGGCCAAGCCTGGCTGTGAGGACACAGCGCCTGGTGCTCTTTTCCGGTGAGGGCACAGGCTTCCAAACTGCCAGAGCTGGGAGGACCTCAATGATAAATTCACCTTGTCCATCCTCCTCATCCCAGAGGTGAGGAGGTGGAGGCTGGGGGAGGGAGGAACTCACGCAAGGTCACATAGCATGCTAGAGAGCCCATGTTTGAATCGAGTCTAGACCCTGATGAGATGCTTGACCTTGGACCAGGCATCCAAGCTCTCTAAGCCTCAGTCTCCTTATCTGCAAAATGGGGATGATACTCACCCTTCAGAGCTCCTGGGAGGATGAGGGGAACCACCCACAAGAGGCTCCCAGAACTGAGCTTGTGGCAGGAAGGTCAGCTTCTCTTCCTTCCCCACCTGCATTCTTGTCTGCAGCACGGGATATGAATATTTGCCCTGCCTGCCCTGTGGAAAAGCAGTTGAGGGAAGGGGATGTTCCTCATCAGTGATAAAGCAGTGGCCTACCTGTACATTTGCATCAGCATCATGGCCGGCTCTCCAAGGTGTCCGGGCCCTGGGCAGTTGGCGTCAGCCAGCTGGACAGGCTGACCAGAAAGCACAAATGACCCCAGGGAGGGCCGGCAAGGAGGGCAGGCGAGCTTCTGCTGCTGACTGCATCCAGCCCAGTGGACAGAAGGTCACTCTGGGAGCGTGTGTTCTGCCTTTTAAAGATGCAGAAGTTCAGGTTCAGAGAGGGGAAGCCACTCACCTGTGACTGTCCAGAGGGAGTACCAACCCCACAGGCAAAACCCAGGCATCCCCAGAGGCCAGGCCTCCCGCACTGGGGTGTCTTGGCCACCCAGTGGTTCTTCCCTGCTGGCTTATGCTCTGCAGGCACCTGGGAGGCTGCCCTGCTGCCCACCTCCCTCCATCGTCTGTTCCATGCTGGTCACCATCTCCTTGGGTCTCTCCAAGAATGCATGCGCTAGCTGACAGAGGGGCAGGTCCCAGCCAAGAGAGGACTTGGGTCAGTCTCGACTCTGGCCCTTGCTGTTGGGTGGCTGTGGATCAGTCATTTTACCACTCAGCTTCTCTTTTTCTTTTCTGCAAGGTGAGGGTAACTCTCCTGCCCAGGACTGTTGGGGCTTAGGACTGATTTATAGGACATCCCTGGCAGCTAGTAGGTGCTCAATAAATGAGTCACTGCTGCTTTCTGGGATGAGTCTTCAGGCTTTTCTTCCTAATCTGCACCGGTTTCCATCTGTGCAGGGCCTGTTTTGACCTTGTCTCAAGCTCCCCAGGGTGCCCCCACAGCACAATTTTGGTTCCAGCACCCCCCTCTGCCCCGCCCCTCCCCTGCAGCAGCTGGTTCTCCAAGGCCTTACATATAAGTGAGTCATCTGTTTTGGTCTGGGTCCTGTTGGGGACACTGCCTCTCTCAATCCCTGGCCAAGTGACCTGGCTCTTCCCCAGCAAATCATGAGAAGCACTCACCTACCCACCCCTCCAGCCAGCCACCCACCCCTCTGCTGGTCCCCTCCTCTGCTCCGTTTCTCCAGCCATTCCTGTGTTTGGGCTTTCACATCCCCCTTTACTTCTCTTCTTCACTGATTCATTCACCTCCTGGGCCAGCACAGGGCCTGGCACATAATAGGTGCCCAGTAAAAATGTGTCCACCGATTAGTCCCTCAGCCATGTGTTTGCCCCTTTCCCAATCTTTCATTCAGCAAACCTTTATTGACCTGCCTCCCGACTGCTCAGGGAATTTTTGGGACTGGATCTTGGCAGGGGGAGTCCCATGAAAATGGCCAGAAGAGGAGAGGAGGAGTCCCAGGGCTGGGGGAAGGCAGCAGGGGAGGTGGTTTGAGGTGCTGGCCAGGAGTGGAGGAAGCGCTCAGCCTCTCAGGGAAGCTCAGCTGGGCAGGGCTGGGATGAGCCTGGGAGGGGCAGAGTGGAGCTTCGGCTTGTTTCGGATTAGGAACTCCTGACCCTAGGATGAGTGGGGTAGATGGGGCTACAAAGAGAGAGAGATAAAAGAGCAGGAGAAGGGGCTGGGGGATACCCAGGCGGAGGAGGCCTGGTGTTCAGGTGCCCACAAGGGGCCAGCATGAGTAAGGAGAGAAGCCCAACATCCTCTCTTCTAGGACAGAATCCAAGGTTTGCTCAGTAGTTGAGGAGAGAGGGCCTTAAAGGGGAGCCACCTGGTGGCAGCATACCCAAATTACCGACTAAGCCCTCAGATGAAATGGTATCTGGAGTGGGAGGTGTCATCCCTGCCACACCTGGGCAGTGCTGAGCAGCTGGACTTCCTCTGAAAGCCTGAAGGGACAGTGTCCACACAGCCCTCCCTGCTCTTATCTGTGTTACCCCGGAGGCCTGAGGCAGTGACTGGTGATGGCTATGTTCACAGGGCTCCTGTATAGCCCTGAAGCGTCTGTCTGGCCCTGAAATCTTCCCCATACTACAAAATGACTACCCTTCAATCCCCCACACACAGAGCTCCTGGAAACCAGGCCAAGGAGCCCGGGGACGTGGGTGGGACAGAGTGATGGGGAAATCATGCCAGGGAGGGCGTGCCGGGTTGTAAACGCTTCCACCCTGGATCCCCATTGGGTGGATCCCTCGGAAAGGGCTATCCCCCACCACATACTGAAGGATAGCAGGAAGGCAGGTGGCCCCAGTGTGGGGTAGGGTCCCCTTGGCCAGGGTAGGAACTCTGACGAGTCAGAACCCAAACCCGATCAAGCCCACTGCTGTCCACGGCCCCCTAGAAATTGTGACTGTGACTTCCTTCCAATCAGCATGGCTTCTGGGCTGGGTCTCTGGACAGGCCTTGAGGACATGGGATCCCATCCGGCCAGGCCACAGAGGAGAGCGAGACCCTGCAAAGCTGCATGGTCAGTCCAGGCCACGCAAACTCTTGGATCTCCACTTTTTGGCTCAGCTGCCCCCAAAGTCATCCTTGGCTCTATTTGCTCTCTAAGCCTCAGCAGTAATATTAATAAGGATAATGATAGCAATGGCTCCCTGGGTTCTGGGCTCTATTCTAAACTCTTACCCCATTCAGATTCATTTCATCCTCACAACCACCCCAGCAGGCAGGAGCTACTGTAAATCCCATTTTACAGGTTGAGAAGTGGAGGTAATTTGCCTGGGTTGCACGCTGTTGCTACGTGCCGGCGCTCCACACCCAGCCCTCTTAAACATGGTGTGGCTGGCAGTGGGGGGTGGGAGCCAGGTGGTGACCCCAGTTGCATTCTCAAACAGTGGCTTTATTTCACAGGGTGAAAGGCAGGGCACTGGGTGGTAAGACAGCCTGGAGGATGATGAAATGTCATTGGGAGCCTTGGGCCTCGGGGTCTGGCTCCACTTTGGTCCAGTGGTCCAGGAGCAGTGTGGAGTGGGTCCTGCAGGCCCAGGATGGGGCCACCCAGGGGCTTTAAAGCGGGTGGCTCTATGCCCTGGTGACCACCCAGTCCCTCTGCCCTGCTCAGAGCCTTCCTCTCCTGGGAAATTTAACAGACAGCTGGGCTTCTGCCCAGTCCCTCCAACCCAACAGTCTTCACTCTGGCTCGCCCACACCTCTCAGGAGGCCCCTTGTGACGTGGTGTTTTCACACGTGATCTCATCAGCGCCCAGACCCAGCCTGGAGACCTGCGTTCCCTCTGCCTTGGCCCCCTTCCTGGGGGCCCCTCCAGCCTCTCTCATCTCCCAGCCCTAGGGCCCCTCTTCACGGTCCTTCAGGCCTGTAGAATTATGTCCTGATTCCTTGCCATTCAAAGCCTGCTGTGGTCAGGCCCCAGCCAACTGCATCTCTCCCTGTTTCCACCAAACCAGTGGCAAGACAACCCTGAACCCCCTCCCCTAGCGCCCTGCCAGAGCCAATGCTGTTCCCATTACCCAGAAATTCTCCTTGCTCCATCCCCCACCTTAACTCACTGACACCCTGCCCATCCCTTGAGATCCATTCCAAATGCCCCCTCCTCCAGGAAGCCTTCCTTCACTGAGGATTCTGAACCTCTGCTACATCTTTTTAGCTTTCCCAAAGCCTCCCTCATCCTTCAGTAGTTTCTTGAGAAAGAGTATATGGGAGGTAAATTTTTGAGAAGTTTTATGACCCACATTTTTATTCTACCCTTATGCTTGATTAATTTACCTGCATACAAAATTTCAAAATTTTGCTCCACTGTCTTTAAGCAACCATTGTCCAGTGCTACTCTTTTGCCTGATCCTTCATAGGCAAAGTAATTTTTTTAAAAATCTCTGTACATGTCTCCAATTTAGGAGCTTTTTTGGGGTTCTGGCCGGCTTTTTGGACTTCCTGTTTTTCTATAAACCTCGGTTTCAGCTTTCTCCACAGGGCTAAAGAAACGACCCTTCTCCTATCTGCATTCAAGCTTCTGAAATTTTACTGATGCCTCCTCTATCATACTCTTTGTCTTAGCAGATTTTCACCTTTAAACATCTCTTTACTGTCATGCCAGGGTGTCTCAGGAGTAGGCAGGGATAAATTCGTGTGCCCCATTAGCCCTATTTGAGAAGTCCCTTGGGAGCTAGCTTTGAAGTGCCTCCTGGCTACAAAGGCTTGGCGCTTTGCTCCCAGGCACCCGGGCTGCCCTCTTGAGTCACCTATGTAGGGCCCTGGTCTACGTGGTGAACGTCCCTAACCAGGAGCAACTACAACAAATCAATGAGGGCCTGTTTGTGGGTCTGCCGTGACGTAAGCGACGTGCTTGTTTAAGTGAGGCCCTCCACAACCTGCATCATAGCCGTTCTTATGGTGAAATGTTGACTGAGGCTGGATCCCAGTACTCAGGGAAAGACAAAAGTCTCAGGCCTGGATGGGTAGGGAATCACTTTGCAATAGGGGAGGAAGGGCTTGTCCACACAAAAGAACGATTCCAATGGACAGTGGATGCAGAAACACGGCCCTACCCTGTTGTTTGTCAGTAGTAGCCCACGGTCATAGGGGTGTCGAAGGCCTTACTTCTCTTCCTATGCCCTGCCCTGCTCTAAACCCAGCGGGCAGAGGGCAGTCCGCTGCACCCAGAGTCCCTGAGGCAGCTCTATTCCCGGGCAGCTGTTAAGCCACTGAGTGTCTGTTGCGCATTAACTACTATTACTGTTGCACATGGTGTGACGGACATCAGGGAACTCCAGGAGTTTCATGCCAGGAGTGCAGAGAGGGTTGGAGTAGTGGAGCAGTGCGTCAATCAGACAATCAAAGAGGGAAGGCAAGGAGGAAGGGGAGAGAAGAAGAGTTATTGCGGCCCCACTTATATTTGGGGTAGCCATATAATTTGTAATCCAAAGCGGGACATGTTTGAGAGTGTGGGGCACTATGAATAATAATGCAGGACCCCAGGCGTAACCTGGGCGGTCCCAGGCAAGCTGGGCTGTAGTATGGACTCCCTCCCACTTCAGTACAAGATCTCACTGAAGCCCTAAAACAGTCCTATAATTGGATGGCATTGTCTCCTCATGAGGGGACAGTCTCTCCGAGAGCACAGGCTCCCTGGTTCTGGGCTGTGTGTGAGTGAGGTTATGTGTGTGAGGTCATGAAGCCGGAGCTGGCACTGGATCTCAGGTTGGTATGATTCTGTCTTTTCAGCCTAAAACCTGCCTGTTCAGAGACGAGGTTGTTTGACGGGCTAGGTTAGGGGGTCAGGGCCTAATGGAAATAGGGGACTGGAAAGATTGGGAAGATTTTCCAGGCAGCTCAGGTACCCAGCGAGCCTGGGGGTTAGTTCCAGGTCCAGGCTCCTTAGGGCCACAGGAAACCTCGAGGCCATGGCCTGCCTGTGCTGGTGGGATCGAGTCAGCAAATCCACATCCCCCTGACCCAGCCATGCTCTTGGGCCCCATCAGAGAGGCCCCACGGGATTTTCCCCACTGTCTTTTCACACCTACATAAATCTGTGCACATGGTCACAACACAGAGAGTTAGGCCAACACAAGCTATACAGGTGCAATCCACTTGAAATGTGGATGTCTGCAACTTCACAGATATGACAAGAATACGCACGCGCAGACGTCAACATGCTCCATACACACACCCAGTAACCCTTACTTCGGCTTCATGTGCAATGTGTGCATAGGGGCCTCGGGCGGAGACTTTCAACAGTTACCATGTGCCTCACCCCCATGACACTCCCAACCTCTCTCCTGGGAACCCCTGCCCCCCTCTCGAAGGGTGGCAGCTTTGGGGCCCAGCCTTTATGCAAATGCCAAGCCACAGCTCACTCCATCTTTTCTCTCCTCTCTAATTGACTGTTTTCCCTCCTTGCTGGGACTGCGGGAGCCCCGGGTCGGCATTCAGAAGGGCTCTCCCCCCACTGCCCGGCCCCTCCAACCCGAGCTCCCGGCCCTTTTAATCTAGTTACTTTTCCATCAACACACTGGGAGAAAGACACAAAGGGGCATAATCGTATCTGTGGCTGTTGATGTTCAATTAACCACATAACCTTTAGGCGCTCTCTCTCTCTCTCTCTCTCTCTCTCTCTCCCCCCCCTCCCTCTCTCTCTCTCTCTTTCTTCCCCCCTCTCACCTCACCCCGCTTCTTCAACCCAGCTGCCCCTCTGGTCCTGACACTGGCTCAGAAGCCCTCCAACACCCCATACCAAAGACCTGGCCTCCTGGCCCCTGGGAGATGCCCCACCTTTTAGGGAAGGTAAGCCATCAACCCCAATTCCAGCTGCACTCCCCATCTGACCCCTGCCTGCCCTTGCCCTGCCGGCCCCTTCTGCCACCCCTCCGTCCCTCTCCAGGCCTGGAGGGAGGGGTGCCTCTGGGAGCGGGCACCCCGCAAAACTCCGCTTTCTGGACCTTGTCTGGGGCCAGCAGCTGTCATTTGCCGGGCGTTCCGCTTTCTCCACTGTACCATGCTAATTTTTCGAGGGACAATTTTTTGACAATGAGTCCTCCAGCCCGAACAGAAACCCTTTATGGGGCCGGCCCCAGGGAGGCCGCGGCGCTGCCAAGGCAAACAAAGGCTCATTGCTGCCGCGGAACATGCCTGCGCCTTTCAGGGCCGGGTTCGCAGAGCGCGCCGCCTCCAGCCCGCGCCGAGGTAACACCTGGTCCGCCAACTCCTGGCGCCTAATCAAGATATCAATCACGGCGCGGGGGCAGGGGGGCGCACGGGCCCCGAAGGCTCCAGAACCCGGCAAGTGCAGGTAGCCGGCCGCCTGGCCGGCCAGGGCTGCTTGGCAGGGAGCGCCGGGATCTGGGGGGAAAGAAATCAAGCCCCGAAGCTGAAGGCTTAATTAGGCTGATATCATCCCGCACAAATGTTCCTCCGAGAGGAAGGCTTCTGGGCACCAAAATTATTTTGTGATTAAAAGCGAAAAGGAAGGAGAAATGATTCGGCCTTTGGAGGAGTTCGGAGGGCTGGGGGTGGCAGCAGGAGGCTGGGGCGCAGCGCAGCGCCAGGGGCGCGGGACCCAGCCAAGCTCCCCACTCTGCCCCCACTGGGACAGAGAGGCGCAAGAGTCCACCAACCCCTGCCACTTGTGGCCTTTCCTGACTGCCCAGGGCTTCCAACAATGTAGAAGAGTGACAGTAAATGTCCAGGTCCCTGCATATAGGTGTTTCTTTAATCTGCACACCAGGCCGGAAAGGCCATGCACGTCGTCGTCATCCCATTTCGTAGATGGGGAAAATTAGCTCGGAGAGGTGACATCTTGCCCGAAGTCCCACGGCTGGTCAGTGGCAAGTGGACAGTGGCAACTGCGCCTGGAAAACGCCGTCCGTGGCGCGGTCGCGGCGCCAGGGGCATGCCTGACAGCCACCTTCTCTCCCGTGACCGCCGGGCTCCGCATCAGGGCGAGCCACTCGGCTCGGGAGAGCAGGAAACTGGGGAGGGCCGAGCCTCCGGCCACGCCTTGTCAGCCCCGGAGCCTCCACCAATCCCGGGCCCGGAAAGACCAGGCCCACTGCCGGCCCCGCCCAGCACCTGCGCAGGTAGCGCGCGCAGGCGAACCGCAGGCCCGGGCTTCTGGGGCCTCACGCTGCGCGGAGAGGCTGCCCAGCAGTTGCTAGGCAGTCCTGGGCCAGGTCGTGGTTCCGCCACTTACTCGCTGTGCGACCTCTTGTGCCTCACTGTAACATGGGACAACGGTAGTCCCAACCTCATGGTGCTCTTTGAGGATGGAATGAGCTCCTGCAAGTCAAGCTCAGCCCAGGGCTGGCCGTGGATATGCTCAGAAAACTCCACATGCGGGCCTGCATCCGCCAGCAGGCCCCGGTGCGCCACACTGACATGCTCCCGCAAGGTTGATAAGGGGCTGTGCGCGAGCTTCTCCAGTGCCGCCTGTGCCCTCCGCCATGTTAGTTTTCTCCTGGGACACGCCCCCAGCCTCCCAGGATCTGGCACTGAAGGGGCCCAACGGGAGACCCTCTGCCTGACCCAGCCTATGGAGGCATCCATCCTGAGCGGTTGGTGCCCATGGTGTACTGTTTGTTAAATATTTTGAATACTATTCTCGATCATCTATGTAATAAAATATTTTGCTGTTGGCAAAGACACATATACAGTCTCAGGACCCTAAATCTAGGCAGTGTCCTATTCAATCAACCCATCATTCATTCATGACGTAAGCCACACATTTAGAAAGCTTTTCATTATTGATTCATTGAATCACTGATTTCTGAGCATATTCACTCATAGACTCAGTTATTAATTATGTGACAGTCACTCCACCCACATACGTAAATCCTTTCCCATGGGTCTGTGTGCACCAAGTGGGCCTTGGGCGGTCTCTCCTTTGAGAACCCCACTGTCTCCTGTGGGAGATGGAATGTGTGCCCATCTCTAAACCAAGAGCAAATGGGTAATTACCAGGAGAGAAGATGGTGTTCAATGAGAGGTGTCAGGCACAAGGAGCAGCAACTGACCTGAGCTTGAAGGATGGACAGGACAGGGGCACTGGGGTGGGGGACTTTTGTCGGCTTTTAAGCAGGGCAGGACAGATGGTCGGATCTGCATTTTAGCCAGAGCTGAGCTGCCTTGCCTCGGTGCCCACTGGTGAAAGCACATGGGCTTTGGGGCAAAATGGTATTCTAGTTTGATTCTCTAATTAACCTGCTGGGGAGGGGTTGGGCACTCAGGCAAGTTACTGAGCATCTCAGAGTCTCAGGTGTCTCCACTCTAAAAACAGGGACAACAAACTTATTTCTTCCAGTTGTTGTGACTTTCTGTGAGCAAACTCAGCACCAAAAACAGGGCATGAAGTAGGTACTTTGTCACATGATGAGTGTCCAGTAAAAGGCTGTTATTGCTCCAAGAGTAATGGGACAAGAGAACAGAGGCTGGCATCAAGAGATGTCCAATCAGCAGATTGGATGCAGCAAAGAAATGAGACTGCAGTGAGTGAGCTTTTGGGATGAGGAGGAAGGGAATGGCATTCCCTGGAACAAGGACGTGTTAGGACAGACAGGTTTATATAGTGTGTTAATTTGCTGTGGCAAATTACTTCAACATGTAGTGGCTGAAAGCAACAATCAACATTTTATATGACTCCCAGTTTCTGTGGGTTAGAAATTTCGAAGCAGCTTAGCTGTGTAGTCCTGGCTCGGGGTCTCTCATGGGGTTAAATCAGGATGTTGGCCAGGGCTGTGGTCACCTGAAAGCTTGACCGAGGCTGGAAGGTCCGCTTCTGAGATGGTGCACTCACATGGCTCCCAAGGCAGTGCTAGGTGTTGGCAGGAGGCCTCAAGTTCTCCCCACTTGGCCTCTCCACAGGGCTGCTTGAGTGTCCTCATGAGATGGTGTCTGGTTCCCCTCATGAGATCCAGGAGACTCCCTCATACTTACTTGGTCCTGCAGACCAGCTCTGATTCACTGTGAGAGGAGGGCACTCAGCGCTGGAGTACAGAAGGCTGGGGGCTTGGGGCCACCTTGGAGGCTGGCTACCAGAGATGGCGATGTAATGGGGTCACTTTCTGCCATACAGACTTGGAAGTGTTGCTCGGGGATCCAGACAGGGAAGATCAGCAGGCCGTTGGCGATGCCAAAAAGTAATAATATTATTATGATGATTGCAACTACTATCATCGCTGCTGCTGCTACATCAAATGCTACTCCCATTTTTAGCATCTAACAGGTGCCAGTGGCTATGCTGGGCACTTTGTGTGCATCCTTCCATTTCATCCTCACAGTGACCCTTTCTGCTCAGTCTAGTCTCCTGCTGTGCTAGATAAGAAAACTGAGGCTCACTCTGGCCTCTGGCTCAAGTTCATATAATAAGGAGGGTGGAGCTGAGGTTAGAACATCAGGAAGGTTGGAATCAGGGCAGCTCTGGAGACCTGGGCAAGAGCAGTTGTGATCTTTCCCATCAAGCAAGGCCATCCAGTACCTGATGCTTGGTTTCACATTTCTGTGACAAAGAATCTGATTGGTTCAGCCTGAGTCAAGTGCATTCTCCAAGACCAATGAATCATGGCCAGAACACTAAATACAGCACGGGAATGACACTGTGTGCTGTCCCTGTGCGTGCCTCTGTGTGTGTGTGTGTGTGTGTGTGTGTGTGTGGTGTGAACTCCTAAAGGAATCATCATGAGCTAGGCTTCCATCCCCAAAGGAGTCAACTAGAGCAGGGGTCAGCACACTTTATAAAAGGCCAGTTTGTGGTTATTTTTGTCCTTGTGGGCCATATGGTCTCTCTCGAAACGACTCACCTCTACCTTTGTAACACCAGAGCAGCCAAAGACCATAGACATCCACCAGAGAAAAAGAGCGCGACTGTGTCCCAATAAAACTTTATTTTTAAAAACAGGCAGGGGGCTGGATTTGGCTTGGGAGCCATAGTTTGGCAATCCCTGAACTGAGTGCTAAAATTGTTCCCTGGTTGTTTTAATTTTAATTTTTATTTTTGAGATGGAGTCTTGCTCTCTTTCCTAGGCCAGAGTGCAGTGGTGCGATCTCAGCTCACTGCAACCTCCTCCTCCCAGGTTCCACCTCAGCCTCCAGAGAAGCTGGGATTGCAGGTGTGCTCCACGACACTCGGCTAATTTTGTAGTTTTAGTAGAGATGGGGTTTCACCATATTGGCCAGGCTGGTCTTGAACTCCTGATCTTAAGTGATCTGCCCTCCTCGGTCTCCCAAAATGCTGGGATTACAGGCGTGAGCCACTGCACCTGGCCCTTGGTTGTTTTAAAATCTTCCTTTCCTGTCTGTGGTGGACATGACATGCATCACCAAGAGCCCCGCCTCTGCCACGGAAGTCCTTGCTGCCCAGCTGCAGCGAGTAAGGCCAGGACACAGCTCCAGCTGTCAATTTCCTGGGAGGCCTCTGCTGTGGAGGGCCACCTCATCCAAGGCCACAGCCTTGCTGGGCCCGCCAGCAACAGGTTACAGTGCTGTGTCTGGAGGCTCAGCTATTTTGGTCCGCAGCTCCCCGCTAGTCCTCCTAGTACATCATCCACCTCTGTCCAACCCTGTTTTTACTATCAAACATGCATTTCTTGGGCCAAATGGGGAAAAAAACCCCAATCTTGTAATATGGTACATTAATTGATAAATATCACACAAGCGTGGTACAAAGACTAGTTTCTGTCAGGGGCTGGGGGAGGAAGAGATCTCTAAGGGCCAAAGCAGTCCGGGATGGCTTCCTAGAAGAAGGTCATGGGAGCTGCCTGTCAAGGATTCCTTCCCGAGTTAATTTGCTGTGCCAGGTGCTGGGTGGGCTGGCACTGGGTGGGCAGGGTGGCTGGGGCAGTCAGTCTTAATCGGGGGGTGGCCATGTGGGCAGATACTGCTGCAGAGATGAGAAGGCCAAGCTGGCCTGAAAGAAGGGCCTGTTTCAAGAGGGAAACAGGTAGAGTGCGCAGAGGGAAAGTGAGGGGCTTGTCCCAGCTCAGGGCATAGTTCTGGAAGGGGCCTGGCAATGGCTTTGCCCACATCTCAGAATTCTGCACGTTTCCACCATGAGTGAGGTCTTGGTGGCTAAGAATCTTCTACCCTTGAGTCTTCAGTTCTGTGTGCATTTCTGTGCTTCTGGCTTTGTAGTGTCACTGGGACCGGTTTGGGAAAACAACAGACAAAACAAACCCCAGCACACTGCCCTCCCCCATCATTCTTGGTCATTCAGTCCCTGCCAGGGAACCCAGCCATGGCCACTGCTTTCAAAGAGAGGTGACACATCTGTACACTCACCAGGGATGCTGTCATAGGGGCCATGGCTTAAAACGCAAACCAGGTTCCCTGAAAGTGGTGCCTTCAGAAAGGCTTTGCGGAGCAAGGGGTGATGTGGAAGGATGGGTGGGATTTCTACAGGCAGGCAGATGGGGGCACCTTGGAGAGAAAAGTGGCCAGCCTTGGACCCGCCAGGCGATGGGGGCAGCTGTGTGGCCAGCCTGCTTTTGACCTTCAGGAAGGGTGCTGCAGAAGATGAGGCTGGAAGAGCAGGTTAGCACCAGGTCACACCGGCCTGGCCACCATGCGGAGGGCCCCAGTTGTGTTTCCTGCTAGAGCCTGAGCCCCTGAGCTGTCAAAGAGGCAGCTGGGGTCACACTCAGGGGCAGTGGCAGCCACAGAAAGAGGAGCTGCATGTTTCATCGTGCACATTTTATGAATGTGGAAAATGAGTCCAGAGGGGAGAGGAAGCTGCTTCAGGCCATGCAGCCAGGCGGTGGCCAGGCCAGTTCTGCCTCAGGTAGTGTGGGCCCCACTTCTTTGGCTCTGTAGGGTTGGGACTCCGAGCTCTGCAGCTTGGGACTTTCTGAGCAGCACCCTCCAATCACACAGGAACAGGGACAGTCTGCCCTTGCCCCAAATCCTCTGGGTTCAGGCACACCTGAGGGCCCAAGACATCTGTCCCCAAGATCATCATACCCCTGATTCATCTATTGTCCAGTTGCATACCATTTCAATTGTACAGCCAAGTGGGGGCCGGGGGGAGGCACGTTTGGCAATAATCCATTATTCAGCAGAGGGTTACTAAGTGCAGGTGTGTGACAGGTGATGGATTCTGTGGTGAGCGGGCAGATGCAATGGACCACAAAGCCCTACACTTGGAGAACCCTTGATCCTGATATTCCTTCTCCTGAAAATTACCCAGAGGTAATAGTCATAGCTATGCAGAGACATCAGAAAGAACTAGCCTATGCGGGAGGTGCCAGCAGAGCAGGGCTATCCCCCAAAAGCAAGAAATACATTTGAAAATTAATGTAATACCTCAAGCAAAGCAGAATAGCCCTTGTATTTAATGGTGCACCTTGTTGCGGGACTGCACCAAATAATTCCAGTGCTTGGAGGCCTCTCGGTTCTTAATCTGGCTCTGAGGAGGACCTCAAGGATGCAGCTACAACCGTGGCTGGGGAGTATTGTGTAAAATAATGAAAATTAGAAACGACTCCAATGCCCAGCAAGGGGGGATTGATTAGCTACCTCAGGGGATGTTGTATGATTTCACTCTGGGTAATTGCTAGAAAACATGAGGAATACTTAAAGGCTTAGGGGAATAGTATCACACAGAGCTGCCTCGGCTTAGCAGGTATCAAAACAGTGCTTAATATAATCCGCTTTGGTGTTCGTTTATTTGTTTGTTTTTAAAGTATAGAGGCATAGAAACACCTGAAAGAAAAGATCCCAGAATGTAAGAAGCAGACATCTATAGCTGGTGGAATTATAGGTGATGCTTCTTATGTGATATTACATTTTTGCTTTTATGCATTTTCCAAATTTTCTTTAATGAGTATATGTTACTTTGGAAATGAATTACAAACTTCAAGTGTGTCATGTAGAGCACCAGCCCAGCATTTGCTGAGTTCTCTGGAGCGGATCAGATGGAGTCCCAACCTGCAGTAACTCCCAGCCTGGTGCTGTGGGCCGGGCAGGGCCCAGCTCTAAGAGCAGAACTGCCCAGAGCCCTTCCTTGCGTGAGAGCTCCTGGCAAAGGGGTTGGGATTCCCAGTATGAGGTGCCCCTCAAGGGAAAATGAAGGAAAACGTGAAACCAAAAACTGCCTGAGTTGGTTGTGATCACAAACGCATGAGGCTGCAGCCCCCGCCGGCAGGTTTTCACTCACCTGCCCAGGGGAGCTCAGGGCACCTTGCCAGGCCCCCTGCAGCCAGACTGCAGCCATGATTGGTAGTTCCGCCCACTGCATCCCTGATGGAGCAGGCCCGAGGGAGGTTCCTAGGAAAGCCATGGCACACCCAGACTGGGATCTGGAGGATGCGGAATCCAGTGGGAGGAAGTGAAGGCAGGGAGGTGAGGGGCCAGTCCAAGGCCTCAGCGCTGGGCAAGCACAGCTCAGAGCACCAGCCACCCATTCCCCACTGCTCACCAACCTTCATTTATCCTTGGAGTCTCAGCTAGTGCCTTTGAGACATGATGTTTACGTCGTCATCATAGTTAATGTTCACTGAGGGCCTCCCTGACTTGTGATCCCTGGGATGCAGGGAATCCTTCCCTCCTGGGGCCTCCTGGCCAGGAGCAAAGAGCCCTGGCCGGTCTCTTCATGTGGAGCTGTCAGGTAAAGGCACTTAGACTGCAGCCCCAAATCGGCTTCTCTTCATGCCTGCCTTGGTTTCAGGCTGAAGTCCTTGATGCAAGAAGGTGGCAGAAGAAAGGGGATGAATTTTAGTTCAAGTCCAAAGAATAGTTATGGACTACTTGCTGTATGCCCACTGTTATTACAGATACCTGGTAGAGTTCAGGGGAGTGATTTAATAGGAGAAACTTTTGGAAAATAATGTAGGATTGTGTATACTCTGGGGGTGGGTGGTGTGTGTGTGTGTGTGTGTGTATGTAGGAGTATCAATATCTAATACCTGTTATGATGAGCAGGGAGGGCTTCCTGAAGGAGGTGGGCTTAAAGTGTGAGATGAGTGGAAAAGGCAGGGGAGA
This sequence comes from Homo sapiens, assembly GCF_000001405.40. Classification (NCBI taxonomy): domain Eukaryota; kingdom Metazoa; phylum Chordata; class Mammalia; order Primates; family Hominidae; genus Homo; species Homo sapiens. The sequence goes on from NC_000002.12 coordinate 120,450,048, forward strand.
CCTGGCCAAGCAGGCAGATTGGTGAATGCCATGTGGGAGGCCAAGGAGGTTGAAGCAGGCCGGGAAAGGCGGGCCTGTGTAAGGCCATGGATGCTCTGGGAAGGGCATGGGTTTCTGGGGTCAGGCAGATCCTGTTCCCATCCCTCCTCTGCCCATTGTCAGCTCTGTGATCATGGCCAAGTTTCCGGGCATGTCTGAGCCACATTTCACTCATCTGCCAAATGAGGCTGGTGATCTGGAGAAAGCCCCTGGCTTGGTGTGGTTCAGAGCAGGACCCTTCTCCCAGAGAATGACAGGTCCAGGAATCTGGAATTGGTGCCCAAGACCTGCAAGGAAGTAGCAAGTGGAGCCGGGAAACGAGTGCTTGGAGTGAGACAAATGAGTCAGTGGGAGTGAGTCTGCATGACCTGGATCACTTTCCAGCTGTGAATTCAGGGAGGCAGAAGGCAGGATGCCCCCTGCCCCGCTGATGCTGTCATTTAGGTGAGTGCTCAGCACTCCAAGTTCATGCTCACGGGCCCCCAGGCCTCTCTCACCTTCGTTCCCATCTTCCCTCCCTCCCACCTGGTTCACAGCAAACCTGTGCAGGGGTGGGTTTGGATCCCCCCAGACCCTCTGGGGCTTGCTGTCTGGTCAGGATGCTGCTCTCAGCCAGTAGAGGCCTCCGAGGTGCCTCGTTCCTGCGGAAGTTGCTCCATCCAGCCCACCAACGGGGTCGGGATGATCTCTTCTCTTGCCATTCCTCTTGCGTAGGTGTATATTCCACAGCTGGTGCCCTGTTATTTGAATTCCAGGTTTTAAAATATTGCTTCCAGCCGGTCACAGTGGTTCACACCTGTGATCTCAGCACTTTGGGAAGCTGAGGTGGGAGGATTACTTGAGCCCAGGAGTTTGGGACCAGCAAGGTGAGACCCCATCTCTACAAAAAATAAAAACAATTAGCTGGGCATGGTGGTGCACGCCTGTGGTCTTAACTACTTGGGAGGCTGAGGCAGGAGGAGTGCTTGAGCCCAGGAGTTTGAGGCTGAGCGAGACCCTGTCTCAAAAGAAAAAAAAATTGTTTCAGTTTCATTATCTGTAAAATAATATTCAACTCAGTTATCCGGGGGTCCCAATGGGGATTTGTAGAAGTTCACCACCTGGTGAGTCCCCTGGGACACCTGGGGCCTGAATGGATGTGGGGAGGACTCCGGTTTAGAAGCCAGGTGGATACAGAGGTAGAGCCAGAGTGTGGGGGTGGGGCTCTTGGAGGGACCTAGGGTACTGCGGGAGCATGTGGGGACAGCACTGTGGTGTGGACGTTGCAACACTCATGGCAAGGGGGTCAGCATGAGGGGTGGACAAGGACCCTTGATGAGGAGTCCAAGTGGAGGAACAGGGCAGGTGTGCTGCTGAGGGCTGGGGACCCCCTGAGTTACTGGGGCAGCGGGCGGCAGGCTGAGGTCTTCAGGCATGCAGAGGCAGCTCAGAACCATTCTGTCTTGGCCCTCAATGCCAGCAGGGTGTCACCAATGAGGCTGGAGGCTGTTCAGCTTGCGTGGGTCGGAGAGACATGAGATGATGCACCAGCCAATAGCAGCTCCCATTTCTGAAAATCTGCCTGGTTCTGGAATGTGTGAAGTCTCTGTGGCCTGTGTGGAAATTACTCCAGGCTACAAGAGAGGGTCTTTCGGCTGTGCTGGGCCCAAACCTGGGATCCTCAGGGGAGCGGCCTATCTGACTCTTGGCAGCAGGGACCTGAACAGTATGAGGCTCCCGGCCTCCAGAAGGAGGGACCTGGAAGAAAATAGGGAGAAAGAGGCAGAGAATAGAATGTGGGGAGACTTAGAGTTTCTGGGAAAGCCGGCTTGCTCAGCAGGGCTAGCGTGGGCCTGGAAGATGGGGAAGAAGGGAAGGTTCTATTGTATTGTTACTGTTTGGAACTAATTTGAACTTTCGTATCGTTAGTTCAATCCTGCAAAAATACATTGCCCAGGGCCATAGAAGGGGATTTGGGCAATGGGGTTCAGGGCACCTTGGCTGGAATCCCAGGAGAGAATTGTCCTCTGTCCCCCAGTGGCCTCCTGGCAAGGCAGCACAGAAGGGCTGTGAACCTCAGTGTTGGTCAGAAATGAGACTCTGGGTAGAAAGGGGCCTGGGAGCCCCGCACCAGGGACAAGAAGAGCTTCTCCCCACTTTCACTCCATCCCCACTGCCCAAGCAGATGCAAGGGCCCTCTCTGAAGCAGGGAGTGCTCTTCAGGACACGGAGCCAAGCCCAGCTCCACAGGTGCCAGGTCAGGGCGGGTTCTCCACCAGCAGCTGAGCTGCAGCACGCAGGGGTGCCCACCAGGGCTGGGGGTCGGCTGGCAGTGCCACAAAGCTGAGTCCCCCCACCACCCCTGCCACATGGGAAGGAGCCAGTACCTCCCAGACGCTGCAGGCACAGATGTCAGGGCCACAGCCAGCATGAGAGGGACAGCGCTGCAATCATATCCTGCCTCAAAGAGTGAGGGTAGCACTTTACTTGGATGAGATCTGCTTTTGACCGCAGATGTGTGTAGCTGGTCTCTTGCCCCTCTATGTAAATTTTGTAATTTTCTCATTAACTTCTTGTCCCTTCCGACGTGGGGCTGCCTCTTCAGGCCCTGCAGGTCTAAAGAAAAGAGGAGGAGAGGATATGTTCACTGCTGTATTTCTAACACAAAATAATGCTTGGTGGATGATTTGAATGAATGAAGTCACAGCCCAAGCTGGCCTTGGAGGATTCGGTTTACAGGTTGGCTCCCAGCTCCCCTGGGTTAAGCACAGTTCTTGCATTCATTAGAGGGAGGGAAAAGGAGTCTCTGAAAAGACAGCCTCTCTTCCCCCTTACCAGATCATCACACTTTACTGTGACTTTGTTTTGCACGGAGCTCTAAACTCAGGAGTATCCAATCCCACCCTCCTTTTTCTAGAAGGTCCAGAGACAAAGGTGACACAATCCCAATTGTGCAGCAAGAGAGTGAAGCCCTGGGATTCCTTGTGGGCATTTGGAGGGTCCGAGGGCAGCATGGGCCACAGCTGCCTGCTGGGATAGGGGCTGGGTAGCTGTGAGCTGGGCGGCCCTGGCCTCACTTTACTGTAAGGATTGAGAGAGGGACGCAGCAAGTTGTCGTGAGGAAGGTGAAGGTGGGGCCTGCCTGTGGAGACCCCTTCGCCCTCCACTCCCACCCCCACCCTAGCCAATGCCTCCTTCTCTACATGAGCGTTTGGGCCAGTCACAGTGATCTTTGAGTGGGGCCTGCTGGGTGGACAGGGTCTGCACTGGACGTTGAACTTCCTGTGAGCGATTCTGGATCTTACCTCCTCTGAGTCCCCAACCCTCACCCCACATGCCTGGCCCCAGGCGGGGGCTGTGGAATCAATGAATCAATGAATGAATGCATGCATGGATTGTTGTAGGTGGAGAATGGGGACAATTCACAGACCGGCATTTACAGATGACTGAGCAGGTGGTCACCGTGTCCCCAGGCACATAACCATGTCTCGTTAATGACAAAGCTTCCACCTCACATCACAACATGGGCGGCAGTTCAGAAGATCATGTGGCAGCCCATGTTCTTTCAACACAAGGATCCGTCCCACTGCTTACTGGAAAGATTTCAGACGTGGCTTGTCCATAACTATATGAACTAGGCCGTGAGGCCACAGCAACTGTACCAGGGTATCAGTCAGGCTTAGAGTCTGTCTGGGCCCACAGTACAGAGGGTGGCCTGAATGTGGCTCTGATAAGGCATGACATCTTCACTGCAGGTGATGAGTCACCCTGGGGTGCTGGTCAAGAGGAAATTCCTCAACCCCACCAAGTCATAGTAGGAGACCTGAAAATAGCCAACATGATCTGCTGTAAGGAATTCCACTTGACCAGGGTGGAGAAGACAGCCAGAAGATAGTGGGAAAAGCAGGGTTTCTGCAGAGAAGCTTCTACCCTCCCTGTACCCCATCCCTCCAGGTCAGCTCCACTGCTGCACTTTGGCCACAAGGATGGTTGTCAGAGGAGACACAGCCAGGGTCAAATCTAGTCTCTCTGGTTTGAGACCAGCCTGGGCAACATGGCGAAACCACGTCTCCACAAAAATGAGCCAGGTATGGTGGTGCACCTGTAGTCCTGGTTACTCAGGAGGCTGAGATGAGAGGATTGCTTGAGCCCAGGAGTTGGAGATCATGCCACTGCACTCCAGCCTGGGTGATGGACAGAGGCCCTGTCTCAAAAACAAACAAAAAACAACAGACACATGGGCAAAGAAGATAAGCAGTTGGCAAATCAGCACATAAAAAGATGATCAACACAATTAGTTGTCAGAGACGTGCAAATTATAACCACAGTGAGATACCACTACACCCATATGAGGACACCTGAAATACACAAGCAAACCTGACCATACTGAGGGCTGACAAGAATGTGAAACAACTGGCTCTCTCATACATTACCAGGAGGACCACAGAAAGGTACAACCACTTTGGAAGATAGCTTGAAAGCTTCTTAAAAAGCTAAACAAAACACACCATATGATCCAGCCATTTCACTTCTAGATATTTGCCCAAGTAAAATGACTTACGTCCACACAAAAACCTGCATGTGAGTATTTACCGCAGCTGTATTCATGATCAACAAAAACTGGAAACAACCCAGAGGCCCTTCAAAAGGAGACAGAGAAACAAACCCTGGCACATCCATAGGATGGCATGCTACTCAGCAACCGGAAGGAAGAAACTGCTGATTCACAAAACAACAAGGATGAATCTTAAATGCATTTTGCTAAGTGAATGAAGCCAGAAAGAAAAGACAACATATTGTGTGACTCCATTTATATGACATCCTGTAAAAGATAAAACCAGTGGAATAAAAAGAAAATCAGTGGTTGCCAGAGTCGGGAGAAGGCGCTGACTACAAAGGAGCCTGGCGAGGGAAGTTTGAGGGTGATGGAGCTGTTCTGTTTGATGCGGTGGGGGTTGGATGCATGACTGTAAGTACGTGCTAAAACCTATAGAACTATTTGCCACTAAGAGTGAATTTTGCACTATGCAAATTTAAAAAAATCAACTACAGTGTGGGGGTGGGGGAGCCAAAATGGAATGCAGACGTGACCAGTGAATCACGCTTATCACAAGTGAGTAACACTGAAGGAGGTGAGGAACGAGGAGGCAACCTCAGTAACGTTGGAAAATAGTGTTTTGTTTGACAACAGTAAGGCTAAGTAAAAAAGGACTGTTCACAAACACTGCCTTCTAGTTGGTAAATTTGTTTCTCACGGGGGTACAAATTAGCATTCTGAAACTACTGTACATGTATGCTAGGGTTGAACAAATAAGTAAATCTATTGTAGATATTGAAAGCCAGGTGTCTCATTTCAGAGAAATAACCTACAAATAATCAAAAGGAGAATGCTATAATGAATCCCGTGATGTTGGATTGGATAATGAATTCTGTACATACACAGATGCACAGAGAGAGAGAGAGACAGAAATAAATGTAAACACATGTGTGTATGTGGGTTAGTGTATAAACATGTGTTTCCTAACTCTGTCCACTATGAGGGCCTAGAAGCCATTGCAATGAGCACATGTAGCCCACAGTCCTTGGTTTCTAAATACAATTCTCCAGTAAAAGCTACCAGGGCTCCTTGAAGAAGTGGTTGACTTCAGGGTTGAGGCAGAAAAAATATAGTACTGAAAAAAAAAAGAGTGCATATAAAAAGAACACAGGAGACAGGAGGGGCTTCAGATCCTCCTGTAGAGGAAAATGGGGTAGAGGTACTTGCCCAATTCCTCCTGCTAAGTATAACAAAAAACCCTGGACATGATATGTAAAACAAACATAAAAGGATTCTGAAATGTGGAGAGGTGGCAGACTGTCCAGGGACCTCTGGATGACATGGTGGTAAGTCCCATGGATTTTTTATTTTTTTCCTCATATATCTCAGACTTGGAGATAAAGAGCCTTCCAGCCCAGAAACCCTAACTGGCACAGTAAAAAAAAAAAAAAAAAAAAGCCCCTCTAGCCAAAGGATCAGAAAAGGGGCCAACTAACAAGACAAACTTGTTTTCTATTTTTCTTTTCTGGTTTTTTTTTTTTTTTGAGATGGAGTCTTGCTCTGTCACCCAGGCTGGAGTGCAATGGCGCAGTCTCGGCTCACTCAACCTCTGCCTCCCGGGTTCAAGCAATTCTCCCGCCTCAGCCTCCTGAGTAGCTGGGATTACAGGTGCCCACCACCATACCTGGCTAACTTTTGTATTTTTAGTAGAGATGGGGTTTCACTATGTTAGCCAGGCTGGTCTTGAACTCCTGACCACATGATCCACCCGCCTTGGCCTCCCAAAGTCCTGGGATTACAGCTGTGAGCCACTATGCCTGGCCTGTTTTTTATTTTTCTTATTTATTTATCTTACTTGTATTTTAAGTTCAGGGGTACATGCGCAGAATGTGCAGGTTTATTACATAGGTAAATGTGTGTCATGGGTGTTTGTTGTACATATTATTTCATCACCCAGGTATTAAGTCTAGTGTCCATTAGTTATTTTTCCTGATCTTCTCCCTCCTCCCACCCTCCACCCTCCAAACACTCACACCCAGTGTGTGTCATTCCCCTCTGTGTATCCACGTGTTCTCATCATTTAACTCTCATGTATAAGTGAGAACATGCAATATCTGGTTTAAGATGAAAAAATTTTCAACGGTAACCCCCTACTCCAGCCAAACATCACAGAAGGAAAATGTGGTTCCGTCTCCAGCCCTCTAGCAAAGGCCAAGGGGCCTTCAGACTAGCAGTCTTGCAAGGCTGTAATAAGGCACCCCAACATTCTCTCTGAGTGGTGTTAGAGAAGGTCTAGTGAGGGTGGGGACTTTCGTCCCCACTCATCCATAAAGAGATGCCTCACTTTCTTCCCCTTCCCCACACTGGGGTGATGCAAGAGGATGCCTACTGGAAATTCATGGCTTTCACATTCTCCATGACAATGATGCCACCATCACCTCAGTAGCAGTGGAGACCTCATGGGACACAGAACTCCCACTCCACCACTGGAGGCCAAGGGAGGAACCTGGACTTCTATCTCCACCTGGTGGTAACAAGGTATTGCCCCCTACTGTTGCTGATAGAGTGGTGTCAGAGAAAGCCAACTAAAACAAATGGTTTAAAAACCAGGAAGATCTCAGATGAGTGACAAAAGACATTCAATAGATACCAACACCAAGATGACAGAGACGTTAGAATAATCTGACAAAGATTTTAAAGCAGCCATGGTAAAAATGCTTCAATAAGCAATTACAAACACAGTTGAAACAAATTTAAAGATGGCAAGCCTCAGCAAAGAAATAAAGGTATAAAAAAGAGCCAAATGGAAAATTTTCAAACTCAAAAAGTGAATAACTGAAATTTAAAAACTCAGTGGATGAGCTCAACAGTAGAATGGAAGTGGCAGAGGAAAGAATCAGTGAACTTAATGGTAGAACCTATCTGCATAATGGAGACAAAATAGACTAAAGAAACAAAAAATACAGAGCCTCGAGAACCTGTGGGACTATATGGAAGTTCTAACATTTTTGTCATTGGAATTCCAGAAAAAAAAGAGCAAGAGGATGGGGCTGAAAAAATTACTCAAAGAAATAATGGCTAAAAACTGCTCAGGTTTATCAAAAGACAAGTCTGCAGAATCAAGAAGATGACAAAATCCTTGTCATAGACAGAATGTGTGTTTCCCAAACTTCGTGTGTTGAAACCCTGCCTCCTAACATGATGGTATTAGGTGGTAGGGCTTTGGGGAGCTAATTAAGATTAGATGAGGTCATGAGGGCAGCACCACTATGAATGGGATTAGTGTCCTTACAAGTGTTCTGCAAGAGCTTGCTTTCTCTCTCTGAGTAACATGTGAAGACATAGTGAGAAGACTGCTGTCTATGAGCCAGGAAGCAGGCCCTCAGTAGACACTGAATCTGCTGGTGCCCTGGTCTTGGACTTCTCAGCTTCTGTAACGGTGAGAAACAAATTGTTGTTTAAGCCACCCAGTATGTAGTATTTTGTTATAACATCCTGAGCTACTAAGACAACCTCAAATTGAAAAAAAAAAATCAATGCCAGTTGTAATTAAATTTCTGAAAACTAAAGACAAAAAAAAGTTGAAAGCAGTCAGGGGAAAAATGACACCTTAACTATAGAGGAAAAACAATTTGAATGACAGTAGAATTACCATCAGAAACTATAGAAGCCAGAAGTGGCATAATATATTTTAAGTGCTACAAGAAAAGAACTGTCAACCCATAATTCTATACCCAGTGAAAATATCCTTCAGGAATAAAGGGGAAATCAAGACATTTCTGGATGAAGAAAAACTAAAAGAATTTGTCATCAGCACATCTACCCTAAAAGAATGGCTAAAGGAATTTCTCTAAACAGAAAGAAAATGATAAAGTAAAGAATCTTGAAACATCAGGAAGGAAGAACATAGTAAACAAAAACATGAATAAATATAATGAACTTTCTTTCTCCTCTTGTGTTTTCTAAATTATGCTTGATGATGGAAGCAAAACTATAACATTGTCCGGTATTGTTCTAAATGTATTTAGAGGAAAAATTTAAGACATTTACAAACAGGATGTAAAGAAAAGTAAGGTCTCTATACTTCACTCAAACTGATAAAACGATGATACAAATAGATGGTGATGAGTTATGTATATAAAATGTAATACCTACAGGAACTATTAACGTTGCTATACAAAAAGATACATACTCAAAAACACTATATGTAAATCAAAATGGAATTGTAAAAAATGTTCCAGTGACCCAGGAACTTTTTTTTCATTCCAGGAATGATGGTAATAGAAAACACACATCTGAGAAACAGAGTATTAACAGAGAACAGAAATAAAATGATGGAATGAAGTCCAAAATATTAATAATTACATTAAATATAAAAGATCTAAATACAGCCATTAAAAAAACAGAGATTGGTAGAGTGGATTATAAAGCACAACTCAGCTATGTGTTATAGGCAAGAAACTCCCTAATAATAATGATACAGGTAAGTTAAAAGTAAAAGAATGCAAAAGCATAAATCATGAAAGCATTTATCATGGGAAAGTAGGAGTGGCTATATTAGTATCAGATAAAGTATTTCAGAGCAAAGAATATTTCCAGACACAGAGAGGGATATTACATAGTGATAAAAAGTTCAATACACCAAAAACGCATCGCAATCTTAAACATGCATAGCAATGGAGCTGCAAAATAAGTGAAACAAAAACAACTGAAAGAAGAAAAAGACAAATCTACAATTATAGTTGGAGATTTCAACACTCCCTCACTAAACAATGGATAGAACAACTAAACAGAAAATCAGCAAGAATAACTCAATGACACTATCAACCAATAGGATTCAACTGACGTTTATAAAACACACCACCTAAAGGCAGCAGAATACATATTATTTTTTAATGCTCAAGGAATATATGTCAAGATAGATTACACCCTGGACCATAAAACAAACCTCAACAAATTTAAAATAATTCAAATCCTACAGAATGTCTCCTCCAATGGCAATGGAATCAAATTAGAAAGCAATAAATAATTCATGAGAACATCTCAATGGGGAGTAAAAGTGCTGGCTCCCCACTGGGCCTTCTCTGATACCACCCAGTGGGGTATTGAGGCTCCTCCGTATAGCTTGGGTGGAAATCTAGGCTCCCACTCAGCTATTGATGATGGGTTTGGGGTGGGGCCACACTTTTTCTTTGTTGTTTGACTAGAATGGAGTGGTTATTGACTAAAAGTTTTCTGTCTTGCTAGGCTTCTCCCTTGTATTTCCTTTGGGGCATGTGTTAGGCCGTTCTTGCATTGCTCTAAAGGAATACCTGCAGCTGGATAATTTATAAAGAAAAGAGGTTTAATCAGCTCACAGTTCCGAAGGCTGTGTAGAAAGCATGGCACCGATACCTGCTCACTCCTGAGGAGGCCTCAGGAAGCTTCCAATGATGGCAGCAGGCGAACAGGGAGCCATGGTGGCATCTCACATGGTGGGAGTGGGAGCAAGAGAGAGTGAGTGAGGGGGAGGTGACACACACCTTTAAACAACCAGATCTCGTGAGAATTCACTCGCTATCATGAAGACAACACCAAGGGGATGGTGTTACAGCATTCATGAGATAGATTCTGCCTCCATGACCCAGTCACCTGTTTCCATCAGGCCTTACCTCCAGCATTGGGGATTGCAATTCCACCTGAGATTTGGCAAGGACACAGATCCAAACTGTATCAGGGCTTTTTTCTTTTTTCCATCTGTGTTCATTGGTGTTTCTGGGTTGCTGGCTTGTTTAGCTCCAAGTCTGGAATTTATAAGGCAAAAGAAAACCCAGGCAATTCACCACCATCTTGTTTCTTGGGTTCCGAGGTCCCAAGCCAGTGCACCTACTTCTTTTCACCTTTCAGAAGTGAAATTCTTGGTCTGCTGTATTTTGAGCAGTTCTCTAAGTAACGCCGATTTCACTGAAATTCGAGGACTACTGAATTTGCATCTGAGTCCCATGTTCCCTGGGTCAAGGCCTGAGTCTCCCGTGTTTACAACACATGCCCTGAGCAGAGCACAGGCGGTCCTGGTCAGTCCTCACAAGGGTCCCCCAAACCCTTGCAGGGTCTCCCAAGCAGCCTCGCCCATGCTCAGTGCTGCACACATTCAGCGGCTGACTCGCCCACTCCTCAGTCCCCTCCTGCTGAGCTTCTTCTTGTTTCCTCAAGCAAGAGCTCAGACTCTCCCCTGAGGCCTTCAGAAGGTGCTTGAAAGCTCTGCATCAAATGCACTGTGGAGAAACCCCTTTCTACTTCTCCCCAAAAAGCCAGCCCTCATCCCTCAGCCAGGGCCACTCCCTAGGCCCCAGCCTTCAGCCCAGCACCCCTCCTGTCTTCTGCGTCCTTTTGGTGCCTGTCTACCACCCACCTTTCCTGATAGAGGGAGGATGGGCCAGTCCGGGGAAAGCACAGCACTGCCCAGGCTCAGCCATTCAGCAAGCTCTGTGGAGGGAAGTGACTACTCCATGGGTCTTCTCTGTCCCAGGCTTTTAGTGAGTACAGCCTCACTGAATCCTCCCAATTCTTCAAAGATAGGACTCAATAGTGCCGATTAACAGAGGAGGAAATGGGGACTCAGGGAGGTTCAGTCACCTGCAAAGTTCACACAGCTGATGAGTGGCAGGTCTGAGACCAGGAGCCAGGTGGCCTGACTCAAGCCCAGGCTCTTCCACATATGAAACGTCCCAGATGTACTCTTCCCTTAGACACCCCAAGCCTCACCGAGGCTCTGAGTGTCAGTCTAGAGACCATGATCAGACCCCAAGGGACAGCAGGCACAGGCCCTGATCTGACCTAAGCCCTCTTGGTGGTAACCCTCGTTCTGGCCCATTTGGGCAGCAGAGGAGTACCCAGTAACTTGAAACGGAGAAGCAAGAAGCTGGCTGACATCAGATTTTCTGAGGGGCTTATGGGTTTCTATTTTCCCCTCATTTGAAAAGCCAAGTTGGGTTTATAGTTAGAACCACCCTTTCCTCTACAACACGATTAAGCTGCTTCAGAGAAAAATTGCTTTGTTTGGCCCTTGGATACCATTTCTTAGAAATGATGGTAGCAGATAATGTAGGTTCAGCAGACGTCCTGTCTCTGGTGCCTGGCTGGGTTTGGATGTGGGCCGAGAACTGGTGTGTCGTTGGTTTCCAGACCAAGCTGGTCCCGGCTGCTGTGGGTGAAGGCTTTAGCTAGGTGGGATTCTTAGGACTTGATTTAGTACATACCGAGTTGTTTGGGTCTTCAGAAAAAGAAATAAAAATAAAAAAGAGAGAGAGAAAGAGAAACATTTCCAGGATTTCAGTTATAGTCCTCATGTTAATGATACTAACGATAATGACAAACCAATTTTCACTGAGGTCCACAGTGTGCCAGGTCGCTCTAGCGTCTGTCTGCTGGTCGTGTGAAGTAGGCACTGTTATTGTCCCACCCATTTTACAGATGTAAAAGTGAAGGTCAAGAGCAACTTCAAAGTAGCCCTGTTTTCATTAAATGCTTCCGAAAATCAGATTCTTTTCTTAGTGTGAACTGCATACCCAGGAGAATAAATGGCACAGAGGTCGGTGTGGCTAGGAATGCAACAATGAATATGTGTTGAATGAGGGAAGGAATGAACTTGTTTCTTCTTTGTGATGAGCTTACATCTTTGACGTCATTTAGTTCAACTTTCCACTCAGTGTGAAAATCCTTTCTATAACACCCCTGGTGGGTGATCATCCACCTTGAATGCCTCCAGAGATGGGGAGCTCATTACCTCCCAAGGCAGCCCTTTCTACCCTTGGACAGCTTTAAGCCTCAGGAAGGACAAAGGTTTATTATTCTGAGCAGAACTCCGCCTCTCCATGCTGGGTAATGATTGGTTCCCATTCTACTCTTTGCTGTGGTCAAGCTTCTCTCAGTTCTGTAGATTTGTCCTAAAAATCAAAAGAGGCCTCCTCCTTCTCCTCCAGATTTTCCCTTTGGGGGACTTGAGTAAAGTCTGGCCAGAGAGGTGAGAGTCTGAGACCTGGACACAGAGTGGGTATTTGAAGGAAGGGGCTGTATGTTCAGCCTAAAGAAGCTAAATTGTCACAGAGGTGAGGGCGCATGAGTGGAGCCCTCAGCTATTTTTAAGGCATTGCAGATGCTTAATGAACAAATAGCAACAGCAATAATAACAAAAAGTAATTTACTGTGGTTCTGGGTGCCGGGCTGAAAGCTTTCCTCGTATCATCTCATTTGAACCCCTCAACAACCCTCTGGGGTGACTGTCAAACTCCCCACCTTACAGAGACAGGAACTGAACCCCCAGAAGCTCAATGCCCCCAGCTGGGATGCAGACCCCAGGGGATCTGGCTGGAGTCGCCCTTGTGCCCCCCACACCCCTGCTCTGTGGCTGACAGGTAGAAGCTGCAGGAAGACAGGCAAGTGTCTGCTTAACTGAAGCTCTTTCTAGAATGATAAATGGTGGGCAGGGAGAACCAGCTGCCTGGCAAGGAAGCGAGTGCCCAGGTGGCATCGCAGTTGGGAAGGACCTGTGGTGTGGACGGCCTTTGGGCCACATGAATCCAGTTGAATCTGATGGAAATTGAATTGCTGAGGCAGCCTTCGTGAGAAAAAAAGGAGGCTGAGGAGTGGTGTGTGTGGCTGTGGGGTGGGGTGGGGTGGGAGTGGTGCTTGCTATGAGTCTCCCGACCAGGTGTGCTTCAGCTGCAGCTGGAAACTCCTTCTCCTTTGGTGCCTACATCTTTAGGTCTCCCCGAGATGCCGGGATTCCCCAAAATGGTAGTCCTCAGGGGGCAGTCTTGACCTTGTTTCCAGGAGCCAGTTGTCAGAAGCCAGGAAGGGTAGAAGGGTCGATGGGCATTTGGGGTAACGGGTCATTTCCTTGGGGACGTCCAGGCCTCCCATCTATGTCTGTTCATACCCCAATCCCCTACCTGGAAGGAATCCTCACCCCTCTTTCCAACCAGGGTGCCCCTTGGAGCCCCCTGTTCATCCTCACGACAGGCAACTCCAGGGAGGCAGGTTGTGTGGGCGCCTGGAGACGGAAAGGAAGTGCCAGGGTGCATCGTTGGTGAGGGCTTCCCGGCTCACAGGGAGCCTGGTCCTGCCATTGGCAGGGCACTGACAGCTCCCTGGGAACGATGCGTCTATGGTGGCAGCAGCGAGCAGGAAGGGAATCCCAGAGCATGCAGGACTGAGTCCCTTCCCTGCCGGCTTCCCGGGTCAGTCACCACCCAGACCTCCCATGCATCCACGCACACTCAGTGGGGGACACTGAGTCTTTCTGGGCTGAAGTTTTGTCCTCTCTGTGGCAGGGACCGCAGTGCCCAGCATGTGGAATTCAGGAGGTGATGAACCTGGCACACAGTTTTGCTCTGTAAGTCAGAGTTGTTTATCACCCTAGAGAGCACAGCTAAGGGCATCTAAACTGGGTTCATTCAAATCCTGACTCTATCCCTTCCTAGCTGGGGGCATCTAAGTGCTCTGTGCCTCAGTTGCCTTCTCTATATAATGGAGATAAAACACTTATTAGCACATGGCCTGGCTCATAGTATGTTTGTAATAAATGGTTACTATGGTCATTGTGATTCCCATGATGTTTGCCCCCAAAAACACTGCAGCTTCAGTTGGAGGCTTGGGAAGCTTAACGGGAAAAGGGAAAGAGCAGGAAAAGGGGACATGAAAGCAGTGTGGGGGACTCAGACACCACAAATATTCATGGAGCCACTGATGTTTGCCAGGCACTTTTATAAACATGTGACTTAATCTTTCCCAAAACCCATGCAAAGGGCATCCTTTTGTCTCCATTTTCTATTATATGTGCTGAGATGAGCCTCAGGGAAGGCAAGTAACTCACCCAGGGCCACACAGCCCGTCACAGCTCAGTCAGGGCCCCAGGAAGGACAATCCCATGGCTTGGGGTGTTGGGAAGTTTGCCTTCATTCAGTCCTGCGAAGCCTCGGAGGAAAGGCTGAGCTTGGTGCTGTCACCCTGTCTCCCTCCAGGTCACCTCCAGGTCACAGTGTGGCTGGGGCTCTTGGGCCTTCAGTTTTCTTCCTGCCGAGTGGGTTCAGGAAGAGCAGGCTCTGAGTCACTGGGGCCCCGGCTGGTGATGGGGGCTTAGACACGTGTATGGTCCATTGCTGCCCTCCAGGGATGAGGCTCATCTCAGGACCGTGCCCTGGCTTCTGTCAAGGCGGCTCTGTGGTTGTTCGGGGCCTACTCTGTCCGGCCACAGCTCTGGGCCTTTTTCCACCAGCCTTCTTTGAGCTCTCCCTTGGCTTTGGGAGCAGCATGAGATTTTTCCATGCTTCCGGCTCCGTTGCCCACAAGCTGAACAGTGACTTGGTGTCAGGGTGGCAAAGAGAATAGGTGCCTTACTGGGAATGGGCAGTGGTGGGGGATCAGGGAGAGGGAGGCTAGAGGGTGGACAGGACCTCCCAGCAGCGGCAAGAACAGCTCCAGCTCCTGCCTTCTTGGAACCCTTCTGCCATGGAGCCCCCCAGGCTGAGGAGGCCTCATGGGGGCCATTTCGCACACCAAGAGGCTGAGTCACTTGCCCAAGATTGGGCCTCTGGTGAGTGACAGGCAATTGGACCGGTCAGGGTGACCCGGGGCATGCGGTCTCACCACCTCACCACAGTGCTCTCTTCCCACGGCAGCACCCTGCCTAGAGGATGGTGGCTGGGCCAGGCGCTGCCCCCACTGCCTCACAGGCCTCTTGGGGGTCAGAGATGGACAGGGGTTTAGGTAGTCCCTCCTCCATCCTGTCCTCATGGATGGATGCCTGTGCCCTCCCTAGATTTTTCTCACGGTCCGAAGGAAGGGCTAGCCCCTGGAGAGCATCTTATCTCTTGTTTGATGGATGGCCCAGAGAGGGTGAGTGGCTTGCCTGGGGCCACAGAGCAAACTGGAGTCAGGGCCACCCAAACACAGGAGTCCTGACTCCCAGACACTCATGCACTGGCGGGGCAGGGCCTACACTGTCTTCCCTGCTTCCCAGGAAGATACCTTGTGGGTAGATGTGGGAGGGAACAGGCCGGCCTTGACCAGTGCCATCCACTCAGCTGTTAAATATTCTGGGAATCCATAAAACTGACAGCCAACTCGTGGGGATGGTCGTGGCTCCTGTGTTCCCCACCAACCAGCAGGGGCACCTGGGGAAACCTCCAGTGCAGAAATCGTACTCTGCCATTTCCTGTATCTCCAGCTATTCCCCATCTGAAGAGTGAGGTGGTTAGACCAGGTCCCTGGTTTTCTTCCAGTCACCCCCTGCTGGAATGCCAGGAGCTCTCTTCTGTGCTGGGGGAAGCTGCCGCTGGCCTCAGCTTCCCCATCTGTGAGATCGGGCTCCATGCCCGTCTTGTTGGACTCATCAAGAGACCCATGGGGAGGAAAGAGCTTGCAAGGAGAGCAGCTAAGGAAAGACCGGAATCGTCCGAGCCCTTTGTCCCTTCCTGTATCAGCAGCAGGCGACCTGCCCACCAGCCGGGGCCTCCCGTTCCGTTCCATTCCGTTTAAGTAAGCTCTTTCCCTGTGCAAGGGAGCAACCGACCTCAAAGGCCCGGCCCACAAAGGGGCCCCCGACATGGCTGGGAACAATGCGGCCTGTTTACCTGACAGATTGTCCGCTTTCTTTTCATCTCGTAGGAAAAGAACTCCCACGGGGAGCCGCTAATCCCAGAGTAAACAGATGACCTCGTGGTGCCTTTCTCCCGGAGGTGGGGTTCCTAGCGCAGCACCCCAACTGTGCAAACAGACCCTGGAGGGCTCGATGCGCCTGCGGGGGCGTGGCTGGGGACCTGGGCCTGGGCCAGGAGGGGCCTTTCCCTCTCGCCAGCCCTCTTTTCTTCCTTTGTGATTTCAATTGAATGGGGAGAAGCTCAAAGGCAGGGGCATGAAAGGTCAAAGCCAATTTGCAGGGCCAAGTGTGGGGGAGGAGAGAAGGGCCCAGACCAAGCATTCTTTTTGGAGGCCTGACCTTGACCTGGAAGCAACTCCTCCCTCTCTCGGCTCTTCTGAGGACACTGCCCTGGCAGAGCTGGCTTTGCCTTCTGGCCACCCCCCTTACTAGCTGTGTGACAGAGGCCAGAAAATGCTCCTTTCTGAGCCTCAGTTTCCTCATCTGGAAAGCAGAGATACAGGGACCTGTCGGGTAGGACTGCTGTAAAATATTGTGGTGTGCTTTCCATAAGTGATGGCTGTTTATGATTAGGGAGGGAGTGAGGCTGAGTCTTGAAGCTGGAATGCCAGTGGAGGCCAGAGGGTATTCCAGGCTGGAGGGACAGGCAGAGCTGGGACAAAGGCACTCAGATGGCAATGAATAGTGTTTGTCTGGGAGACTGAATAAAATAGGCTCTGAAGCAACATATTATTGTAGGGTGGTTATTTCTGGGAAGGAAACAGAATTCCCCCTCTTCCCAGCAGTGTGACCTTGGGCGAACCATTTGACCTCTTGATCCTTCAGTTTCCTCGTTTATAAATGGGGATGCAAAGTCTTGTATCGAAGGACTTTCATGAAGATGAAAAGAACCTGATGTACAGCAGACACTCAAACATTAGCTTTTAGGGCTTTAGAAAGGTCAAGTTCTCCCAGTACTTTGGGAGGCTGAGGCAGGTAGATCGCCTGAGGTCAGGAGTTTGAGACCAGGCTAGCCAACACGGTGAAACCCCCTCTCTACTAAAAATACAAAAAATTAGCTGGGTATGGTGGCACATGCCTGTAATACCAGCTACTTGGGAGGCTGAGGCAGGAGAATTGCTTAAACCCGGGAGGCGGAGGTTGCAGTGAGCCGAGATTGTGCCATTGCACTCCCGCCTGGGCAACAGAGTGAGACTCTGTCTTGAAAAAAAAAAAAGAAAGGGCAGGTTGTAGGTTCTTTATGCCCTGAATGAGGCTGTGGGAGTCTGGTGGAGTCAAAGACACAGGAGACCCATCACGCCCACTTGGTCACTAGCAGACAGCCCTTTCCCTTGGGCTGCAGGGAGCCAGGGTGGGAGCCTCACAAAGGGTGTAGCCTTGAGCACCCAGCTGGCCCAAGGGCCTGAGCCTGCAACCCCCCTTTCCTGGGCTGTATCTTCTGGTCTGTTCCTTGGATCTCCTGGGCCTGCTCCTCTCATCTTAGCCCTCAGGAAGTCCTTGATCCCCAGCCCCTATTTGGGGTAGAGAAGGTGAGAAATGCTTAGGGTAAGTTATACTGCCACTGGCTTCTTCAGCATCAGACCCCTGATTCAAACATGTGGTGAGTTCCTGGGCCCCTTGGCTTTCCCTAAGGGCCAGCAAAGGGCCTTTTAAAGAGAAAGAAGAAAAGGTAAGTAGGGAGCATAATATTTGATGAGCACGTTAAAGCGTTCATTCATGGGTATCAGATAGAAACGTTTGGCTTCACTTAAGGGGAATCTCAACTCACTGTGGCTTAAACAAAATTAGGTTTATTTTTCTGACATCATAATTCTGAAAACGAGTGGTTGATGGCCTTGGTCAGCTGCTGGTGATGCCAAGTACTGGGCTCTTCCCAGCTTTCTGTTCATCGTCCTTAGCACGTGGGCCTCCTCGTTGCCTTGTGGTGGCAAGATGGCAGCCTCGACTCCCTGGGAAAGTAGAGGGTCTCCCAGGAGCACCCTGTTGGTGTCTCATCGGCCAAAAGTGGGTCACATGGCCAACCCTGGCAGCAAGGGATGCTGGGAATGCAAACACTTGGATGTTCTTCTGCAGTGTTAATGGCAGGGCCAGGCAAGCATGGGTGGGAGGTGTGGGAGTGAGCGAATGGGAGTGGAGTCATCCAAGCAGCCACCTGCCGGAGAAGATAGTACTGTAGTACTCACAGCCCAGTCTTACATATGGAAAGCTGGTGCCAAGGGCAGAGAAATGCTTACTCAATAGCAGTTTGATTGATCTACTTAGATATTCTGGGCCCACAACCAGAGATCCAGAGATAAAAGTAATTTCCTTGCCTTCCAGAGAGAGAAGGAGAATAATAATAGTAATAATAACAGTATAATAGCTTAAGTTCACTAAGTGTGTAGTGCTGGGTGCTTATTGAGCACTTTCCAGACTTTATCTTGCCTCATGCCCACCCAACCCCAAGCGACAGGCACCATTCTAACTGCTGTGGAGGAAACAGAGGCTCTTTGAGGCTCAGTGAGGACTGAGGCACACAGGCCTGCCCCCCTCCCACAGCATGAGGTGGTGGATTTGATAATCCAGGTATGAATCAGGCCATTGGGCAGCCTCCTTGCTAGGGACTGCATCGAGGATTTCTGAAGGTGGGGAGACACGGAAGCACCAATTAGAATTTCCCAGTCAAAGAGGGAAAGGTGTCTTGGGTGAGAAAAGACACCTGGAAGGACACATTATTAGTGACCTAGTAAAATCTAAGGCATCCCTAGGGTCTATCTACTCACACTGTAACAGGAATTTCTGTATTTAAAGGGAGTGTTGGAAATAAAATACTTGTAAAATCAGTAAGTGACATGAATGCAAATATTTTGAAAATAAAGTTCTTTAGTTTACAAAATACTCAAAGATGGAAAAAATAAAATATCCTAACATTTGATGCTGGTGATAGTGTGGTGAACTAGACAACATTTGCACATTGCTGGCGGGAGGGTAAATTGGTATAAACCTTTAGAAAAGCAGCTTGAAAAACATTCTTCAAAATGTGCTGATCTCTTGGTTTTACTCCTGGAAATATGTCCTAAAGAAATGATAAACAAAATTAGACAGTTATTTCTGTGCAAGGCAGATAATTTGTTGAAATATGAATTTATGGCGTTTTCCCTTTGTATTTTTCCTTTCAATGTCCCGTATATGTAGCCAGACTTCTTTCTGTTTCCTAGTCTCAGGGGCATTTGCAGATATTTGCCTGAATCTACTTGCAGGAAACATCTTTTCCTGTCCTTTGTGAAAGAAGAAGGCCAAGAAAGAAAACACCAAAAAAAAAAAAAAAAAAAAAAAAAGATGAGTGGGAAGGAAAAGGGAAGAAGGAAGGTTTCTAGTATCTGGGAAGAACGCCCAAGTCCCAGAGGCCTGACCTAAGCCCTTTCCATAGCAGTGCCTTGGGATGTGGCATGGTTTTCCAAAAGTTGCTGTCTGTCCAGAGAAGCTGGAGTCAAAACACAGCTATGCTCCAGCATTCTGAGCCCTCAACCTGGCCCCAGCCACTGGGCGTCAAGGAGCATGCTAAGTGGGAGAACAGGGACCTCTGAGGAACCCTCCCTGGTGCCTAGCAAACTGTGCAAACCCCAGGCCCTTTGCTTGGCCTCAGAACCTGGGAGTCCTGAAAGTAACTAAGGTGGTTTTTTCCGGCCAGGCTTCAAATAGGATTTAAAGAAAACTTTGAATGTGACATTTTCACATATCCGCGTTCATGAGAAAACATATTTCCAAAGACAATTGAGTACAGAGTTATTATCTTATTTGATTTTTCAACTAGTGGTTAAATATTTTCCATAGGAAGATACCGAAGTCTCCTGCCCTGTGTTCCCTGAACTCCAAGCACATAACTCATTGTACCAACCTGGCCGGGAGAGTCATTCTCTATATTTAGTGTCTCACTGTTCTTCGAGGTTCTTGGGTCCTGGAGACTTCTCAGAGCGTTATCTTGTTTACCTCTGTGTCCCCAGTGCCTTACACAATGCCTGGCAAACACTATGGGAATGAATGAGGAAATGAACATGTATGTGAATGAATGAATGAATGAACAAATGGGTGTCTGGTGTCTGAGATAAAGGGCCTGGTGAGATCCGTTCCTGTTGTCTCCACATAGACGCTGCTGGCAGCCCTGAGGGCTGTGCACACGGGCCAGGCGGATGGAGTTAACTGCAAACACACTTGGGAAGTGTAAACAGCCCTCCTCCGGGCCAGGCCGACTGGCAGCCTCACGGGCAGCTTGCACAATCCTGTGGGCTGCTATGATACTCATTTTTTGGGCATGGAGTCATCTCTGCTTTGGGCCTCTCCCTCCTTGCCCTGGATTGTCTTGGCAACACAGATGGAACTGCGTGTCTGTTGTCAGTGGGAGGAAGTTCAGACCCCCAGCCCCTCCAGGAACTCCATTCTGATTTAGAGCTGCCCAAGGACCCAAGGAGGCTGGAGCTGAGAGGGAGCTTGGGGATTACCTAGCCCAACCTCTTCATTTTCCAGATGAAGGATCTGAGACCTAAAGAGGTGGGGACACTAAGGCCACTGTAAGTGTGTCAAAGCTTGCCACAGAGCTGGGTGTCCTGGGATGGCAGCTGGTTTCAGAACCAGCCAAGCAAGGCCTGTAAATCCTGGCACAACAGACTGTCCAGCCATGTGAACTTGGATCAGGGACTTCTTCCCGAGTCTCAGTCCCTTCATCTGCAGGGCACTGCGTGCAAGGGTGTTGTGCAGACCTTAGGGAGCGCTGATGGTAAAATGCCTAGCACAGTGCCTGGCTCAGACTAAGGGCTTCCTTCTGCCTCCCTCTGCCCTTTCTTTCCACACTTTTCGTGCTCACCATTCCTCCATATCTGGGCATGAAACGCCGCTGCTTCCCTCAGAACCTCCACTTCAGGGCCACCCCCTTCCCCTGTTGGCTCTGTGTGATGTGGTTGCCTCTGTATTCGTTAGAATCCACTTTCTTTCATGCTTTTTCTGTCTTCACACAACTGTTGATCCTGCCAAAATCATTCATTCATATTTTTCTTCTTTTCTCCCTTCTTACAGGCCTTCCCAGGCCCCTGCTATCTGCCAGCCATCTGCTGGGCAGAGATGCTCATGGCCGGCGCCTGCCCCTACAGAGCGCGACTGCTTCTCTGGAGAGGCTGCATGGGCAATGACAGTGCAGGGGAGGAGAGCTGGATGGCAGGGGCAGTGCTGTGTGTCCTCAAAACCCTGTGCCATCTCTCTCCTTTCTGGAATGCTGTGCTAGGCAGAATAATGTGCCACACCAAGAGGGTGCCTTAGTTCAGACTGCTAGAACAGAATATTATAGACTGGGTGGCTTAAACAGCAGGTATTTATGTCTCACGATTCTGGAGGCTGGAAGTCTGAGGTCAGGGTGCCAGGATGGTTGGGTTCTGGGGAGGGTCTCTTCTGGGCTCACAGATGGCTGCCTTCTTGCTATGCATACCCATGGAAGAGAGCAGAGTGAGCCATGGCAAACTCTTCTGCCTGTTCTTCTAAGACTGCTAATCCCATCATGGGGGCTCCAGCCTCATGACCTCATCACCTCCCAAAGGCCCCACCTCCTAACACCATCACAGTGCAGGGTAGAATGTCAACATTGGAATTTTAGGGAGACACAAATATTCAGTCCATAACAGATGGCCATGTCTTACTCCCCCAGATCTGTGGATGTGACCTCACATGCCAAAAGGACCTTTGCAGATGTGGTGAAGATACGGACCTTGAGAGGGATGGTTATCCTGGATTACCAGGGCGGGCACAATGGTCCCTGTTAGAGGAAAGCAGGAGGTCACAGGGAATAGAAGATGCTATTCTGTGGTTTTGAAAATGGAGGAAAGGGGTGAGCCACAAGCCAAGGAATGTGAGCACCCTTGGAGCCTTCCAAAGGAACAATTCCTACTGATGCCTTGATTTTAGCCCCAGGGAACTCATTCCTGACTTCAAGATACAGAATGCAAACACAGAAGACTACACTTCCCGTTGCCCCTGCAGTTTGGTGGGGTCATATGACTAATTCTGGCCAATGAAATAGGGCACAGGTGACACCTCCCTTTAGCCCGAGGCTTCACCCTCTGCCTTTTCTCTTCCCCTGCCACAGCCACTGAGGACATTCTAGCTGCTCAGGATGCAAAATGATGGAGCTGCTGGCAGCCTGAATCCCCAAGTGACTGTGTGGAGCAGAGCCTCCACCTGACTACCAAAAACTACCAGGATCTGGTGTTACTTGTTACAGCAACGTAACCCAGGCTCTCCTGATGATGAGTACTCTGATGAGGCTCTTGCTTCACAGAGGAGGTGACAATTAAGCCTTGAGGAGACACACATGTGCATGTGTGGTTGCGACCTCTGTGGGCACGGGTCTGTATGAGCACACATCTTTGTGCAACTCAGGTTGTGTGTGCGTTTGTGTGTGTATCTATGGGTTATCTCTGGGTCTAGCTCTAGTTCTGTGGGGTCTGGCACAAACTAAGGTGTCAGTATGTGAGTGGGTGTCTGGTGTTGAGGGGTCAGATACAGTGAGCACAGTACAAGCGAATATGAGGGGAGGATGTGATGACAGTGAATAGATGCTTTCAAAATCATCAGGAAGAAAAAGACGTGGGACACACTGGTAGCTCCAGAGGTGAGTCCTGAGTCCTGCGCCCCTGGGGGCCAGCTTTAGAGCCACGCCATGATTTATTAATCTGTAGTTGCTGTGGGAGCGTGGCTCTTTCTGGAGGGGCAAGCATGAACCACGTCAGTCCCACCACGGGTCGGGTTGGCACGATGTGTTCATTGCCCACATGACTCACTGTTTTGTTACCTGAAATACATCTAATTCCTATTAATAACGAGCACTGTAGGGCATACATTTCATCATTAGCATTAAATGACTTTATTGCAGGATACAAAGGAGCTGCCTGTGATGTATGATGCAACTGCTGGAGCGAGGGCCTTTGGAGAGAGGGCGTGTGTGCACACGAACACGCACACACATGAGCTCTCTTATGTCCTGGTCATTGTGCAATGAGGGTGTGTATCACAGGCAGACAACTTTTCTTGCACACTTCAGCACCTCCTGAAGCGAATATTTTGTTTGCTCGGCTTACCAATGGGGTGCCGGGAAGGCCACTGTGCCCCTAGTTGGTGTGGTACCCTAGGCCCAAGACAGGAACTTGTTTTCCTGAGAGTCTGTGCAGGCCAAGTGCAGGGC
The DNA here is from genome assembly GCF_000001405.40 of Homo sapiens. NCBI lineage: Eukaryota > Metazoa > Chordata > Mammalia > Primates > Hominidae > Homo > Homo sapiens. Next base: position 120,473,445 of record NC_000002.12, read on the forward strand.
TAAAGGCCTTCAAAACTCTTACCTGAAAGAAACCCAGGACCTATCTGTGGGTAGCAGTTGCAAGCCTCATTTTACGTATGAGGAAACTGAGACTCCCAGAGCCCAGAGGACCTGCCTAAGGTGTGCGGTGGAGCAACTGCTTAAATCCTGCCAGGCCTGGCCCTCTATGCTCTTCCACGTGAACTTGAACCTTTGTTAGGTGCTCTGCCCCTCATTTTCCCAGTCAGCAGGGCTGGCTCATCTTCCCCTCCCTGCCAACCTCACAGGGCGCTTTAAGATCAAGCAAGATGAGGTGTTGGCAACACGGAGACTGCAGGAAGCATGATGCACGGATTACCTGAGCGGGTTTGAACTGCTGTTTGGGAGCTTTATGACTGAGATTACTCATTCTCCTTCCTTTTTTGTTTTGTAACAACTTTGTATCTTTCACTCACGGCCGTGAGAGTCTCCCCTCTGGCCTCTGTCGTTACTAGTAAGAACTGATGTCAGAGCCCGGTTGGGGCAAGTGGTCAAGGGGCTTGGCGGAACTGCTCTTCTGCCCCCCAGGTACACACTTGCCTTTGCAAAAACAACTCCCTATTTGGCAAAAGGCAGTGTTTGCCCTGGGACAGGGCCTTGCAACCCCATGCCAGGCCCTGTTTATTCTGGCATAAGCCACGGTGGTGGCCAAGCGCTCTGAGTTTATTGAACTTCCTGGATTTCTTATCACATAGCCTGCTCTGCCAGGGAGCCGGTGAAATGCTGATATGTGCCCACGGGAAGATATTAAGGGGGCTGCAAACACCACCCCTGTCCCCCGAGGAGCAGGCAGCTCTGGGCAGGGCTGCTGGGGCCAGTGGGGGGACGGTTGAAGGGGTAGGTCAGACATGGGGATAAACCTTCCCTCTCCTTAACCTTGCCTGAACCTAGGCTCCCCATGGCTGAATTCCCGCCCCTGAATTCTTGGTGGTCTCTCCCTGTCCAGCCTCCACACCTTTGCCTGGGTCTTGCCTCCCATTTGGATTTCCTTCCCCAGTCTCTCCAAATGAAATCCTACCTGCTTGGTAAAATAAAAGAATGACGGAATGAGCTTCGAGGCTGGGACTGGTAGGTGACGGACTGTGTCTCTCCTACCACATTTTCCTGTGCACTTCCCTGCTTGTAGGCATGGAAGCTTAGGGGCTCCTCAGGGAGCCTCACGGAGCTCGGGAGAACTTCACACAACACTGTGTGGCTGCAGAAGGCTGGGTGGCGGTTGCAGGAGTGAGTGGGTAGGGGAGGGGCTTCCAGGGTCATGGGTGGGAAGACCCTTGCTCGCACCCTAACTCCCAATCTTCCGGCACTGTGGCCTTAGGGAGTGGCCCCACCCAGGCTTCCTTTGCCTGAGTAGAATGAGTTTCATGGCAGCCCTTTCTTCTTTTTTTTCTTTTATTTATTTATTTATATTTTTGAGATGGAGTCTCGCTCTGTCGCCAGGCTGGAGTGCAGTGGTGCAATCTCAGCTCACTGCAACCTCCACCTCCCAGGTTCAAGCGATTCTCCTGCCTCAGCCTCCCAAGTAGTTGGGATTATAGGCACGCGCCATCATGCCTAGCTAATTTTTTTTTTTTAGTAGAGACGGGGTTTCACCGTGTTGGCCAGGATGGTCTCCATCTCTTGACCCCACAATCTGCCCGCCTTGGCCTCCCAAAGTGCCAGGATCACAGGCGTGAGCTACCGCGCCTGGCCAGCAGCCCTTTCTTTAGAAGGCTTACTGTCTACGAAGCACCACTGTGAGAGTGGCAGGTATCTTTTATCAGAGCTTATGTAGCCCTAAGGGGACTTCAGAAAAGTGGTTGGGCTTCAATAGCCTTTGCACTGTGATTGCACTGTAATTGCACCATTCCTAGTAGAATACAATTCCTGAGTCTCCTTCCTGTGCCTATCACCCAACAAACCCACCAGTTGCTATTGTTTATCCTCTTTGCAGGTGAGGAGATTCATCGAGATGATGCCAATGGCCCCAGGTCACACAGCTGATGGTGGCAGAGCAAGGGTTCAGCCCAGGCTGGGTCTTTCCTCCCTGCAGGCTGAAGGAAGTTCCTTCTTCTCCACGCCACAGGTCCCTCTTGCTGGCCAGCAGTTCCCCAGCCTGCCTGCCCTCCTGTATCTGGGGGCTGTGCTAATGTGGAGTGAGTTGAGGCCTACCTTAGGGTCCCTGATCATTATCTGTGTTCTCTTGGTTCCTGTCATGTTTGGGAAGACCCTGTGATTATGTAGTCCACTGTCTTCCTCCAGTTGCAGGGCACAGCCATTGACAGACACATCAGCACCTATATCTGAGGGAAGGAGTCTCAAGCCAAGACCTTTGATGCCGGGGAGCAGCAGCTCCAGGTTGGGTCCTAGAGTGGCCACACTGGGAATTCAGGCTCATTGTCAGAATAAGGAAAGGACGTGCCGTGGGGAACAGAAAGAGGGAGGGAGCAATGATGAATTAGTTCCCACTGCACACAGGCACTGCGAGGATTCATTATGGTGCCGTCTCATTCCATTCTCTCCACAACCTTGTAAGAAAGGTCTTGATTTGATCCCCATTTTGCAGAAGGGGAAATGAGGCACAGAGGAAGTGATTTTCCCAAAGCCACACAGCTAACATGGCAGAGGTAGGGGTCAACCCAGGCCTGTGACAGCTTTCTGATTTTGCCAGGGCATAGTTCCCTACACTGGAAACATGGTTATCAAAGGGACTTATCTTCAGGCAGAGCTAGAAGAGAGGTCTGGGGAGAGAAGAGTCATTGTTCCCATGAGTCAGGGGCCCTCAGCTCCAGGCCAGCAGCCAGTCTGGTCCTGGCAGCTCCTGCCACCCACCTGGTATGGCCAGAGGCCTGAAGGTGCTTCAGCGAGGTTAGTCAGCCCAGGTGAGTGGCAAGCAGGCACCCATCAGGAGGTCCGCCTCCACCCCCTGCACTTCTGATGAGAAAACAACCTAAGTACTGCATCTGGCCTCAGTCCTGAGCCTCCGCCCAGGGTGCATTACTCACTGCCCCACTGGACCCGTCGCCCCCCTGGGAGGGGCCGCCAGTTCGGCTGGCCCTGTGGGCCATGTGTCTACAGGGGTTGTGTGGAGGAGGGGCTGGGCAGCACCCAATCATTCATATCCCCTCACTAGACTTTATGGGGACCCAGGCATTCAGCGACATCAGGCTGGGCCTGGGGCACCTCCAGCCTTGTATATTAAACAAGCATAAAGTTATTTGGCTTCACTTTAGAATTAAAATTATGTTCTGTAGAGAAAATTTGGATGAAACAGTGAAATAAAATAAAGAAAAATAATGTACCCCAAGATAAGAACTGGGTTCATTTCTTCCCAGACCTCCATACATGTGTATTGGGTGGTTTTGCATAGTTGATGCGATCGTCCCCTTTACTGTGGATGGAGTGCCCCCAGCTTCCCTGGGCCTCATTCATTTACCTGCACCTCAGCCTGAGACCTGTCTGACTGCAGAGCCCAAGTTCTGTACATACTCTTATAATTCCAAGTTTTGTACCTAACATCTCATCAGAGGTATTTCCTCTATGATGAGAAATTTGTGTAAACATCAGGTTTAACATCCATACGTTACTCCCTTGAGTGACAGTTCCACACATACAAAATCCCGCCCCTGGGGCTGGACACCTTAGTTATTTCTAATCTCTCACCATTATAAGTGCACTGCGATCAATGACTCTGGCTACATATATGTATTTCGGGTTCTTTCCCTCAGGCAGCTGCTTAGAGGTGGGATTGTGAGATCAGAGGGTAGGGGCACCCCATTTGAGTGCCTGATTTCACCTGGCTGGGCAGACCAGCCACAGCCCAGCCCCACCCCACCACCGCTAGGTGAGTGAGAAAGTGGCTTCAGATGCTCCCCCTGGCCCAGTGTGGAGCCCCTGTTTTGATGCTGAGCACACAGCTGTTTTTCCTGGGGAGCAGGTGTGATGCCATCTGCCATGCCTCTGGCCTATTTGAAGACAAGTCTCAGAGAGGCAAAGCCACTTACCCAAGGTCACACAGCCGGCACCAGAACCCACAAAACATGGCATCTCACACAGGATTTGCAAAGCACCTGCCACTAATTCTTTGGACTTTGCAGTGGACTTTCCTCTGGGGCTCAGGATCCACGTGCACTGATGTCCTTCCTGCAGCATCTTGGGAGGTTTCCACCAAGGCTGGGTTTTGGTCCACCCCCTCCTCTGGCCAGCCTCCTTCTGAACATACTGCCCACCTCTGCCCATCACCTCCTGCTGGGCTGCTGCAGTAGCCTCTGCCAGCTCCACCTGTGCCCACTCTTGCTCTATTTCCCACTGAGCAATCAGAGTGACCGTCACAAAACCCAAATCCCACTGTGCCACTCCCCTCTCCACTCCGAAGACTCCCCTGGCTGGGTGTGAACAATAAACTCACCTGAAAATGTGCAGAGGAGGTTCCAATCTGGCAGCATTGGATTCAGCTCCCAACCTGTGCTAGGCACAGGGCTGGCATTACAGTGAACCAGACACAGACATTAGAAGGAAGACTGGATTCCTTAGCCTAACTTACCAGCACCTGCATCCTCTGTCCCCTGCCTCATCCCCTGTGGCCTGCTGGGCTCCAGCTCTTGGCCTCTCTTGGGCCACTCAGGCAGCCAAGCCCTCTCCACCTCACAGGCTTTGCGGTTCCTTCAGCTTAGAATGCTCTTTCCCTCTTTTCCTCTGGCTGCCTCCCTGCCTCCCCAGAGTTCTCTGCACACCCAGGCATCCTCTGCACTATTTTCATCAGCATCCCACAAACACCTGTCCCACAGCTTCCCCAGGAGGATTCTCAGCCAGGAGCATTGGAGGTTTTGGGAGAGAAGGAGTTGGGGGAATAAACTTACTGATAATTTTTCTGTGTGTGGTAAATATTTTCACATTTGGCTGGGCACAGTGGGAGGCCTTTGGGAGGCCAAGGCGGGTGGATCAGGAGGTCAGGAGTTCAAGATCAGCCTGGCCAAGATGGTGAAACCCCGTCTCTACTAAAACTACAAAAATTAGCCGGGCGCGGTGGCAGGCCCCTGTAATCCCAGCTACTGGGGAGGCTGAAGCAGGAGAATTGCTTGAATCTCGGTGGCAGAGGTTGCAGTGGGCCGAGATTGCACCACTGAACTCCAGCCTGGGCGACAGAGTGAGACTGTCTCAAAAAAAAAAAAAAAATTACTTTTGCTTTAAAAATCCAACAAAGGCATCACACCCAATGAGGAGAGTTATGGGACATGGACATGTCTAAGTCAATAACAGCTGTTAATTTCCACGGATTATCCCCAGATGACTGGAAATCCTTCCAGATCTCCTTCCCTACAGTTTCAACAAGACCTTTTTAAATTAGTTACTTGGCCGGGGGCGGTGGCTAGCACCTGTAATCCCAGCACTTTGGGAGGCTGAGACTGGTGGATCACCTGAGGCCAGGAGTTTGAGACCAGCCTGGCCAAGATGGTGAGACCCCATCTCTACTAAAAAAAAAAAATGCAAAAATTAGCAGGGCGTGGTGTTGCGTGCCTGTAGTCCCAGCTACTCGGGAGGCTGAGGCAGGAGAATCGCTTGAGCCTTGGTGGCAGAGATTGCAGTGAGCCGAGATCACACCACTGCACTCCAGCCTGGGCAACAGAGTGAGACTCCATCTCAAAAAAACAAAAAAGAAAATTCACATTTGCTTTATAAATCCAACAAAGGCATCACACCCAAAGAGGAGAGTTATGGGACATGGACATGTCTAAGTCAGTAACAGCTGTTAATTTCCATGGATTATCCCTAGATAGCTGGAAATCCTTTCAGATCTCCTTGCTTAGTTTCAACAAGACATTTATACATCAGTTACTTGACCGGGGGTGGTGGCTCGCACCTGTAATCCCAGCACTTTGGGAGGCCGAGGCAGGTGGATCACCTGAGGCCAGGAGTTTGAGACCAGCCTGGCCAAGATGGTGAGACCCTGTCTCTACTAAAAAAAAAAAAGCAAAAATTAGCAGGGTGCTGTGGTGCATGCCTGTAGTCCCAGCTACTCGGGAGGCTGAGGCAGGAGAATCATTTGAACCAGGAGGCAGAGGTTGCAGTGAGCCGAGAGCAAGCCACTGCACTCCAGCCTGGGTGACAGAGCGAGACTCTGTCTCAAAAAAAAAAATTATAAAAAAAGGGGGCCGGGTGTGGTGGTTCACGCCTATAATACCAGCACTTTGGGAGGCTGAGGCAGGTGGATCACTGGAGGTCAGAAGTTCAAGACCAGCCTAGTCAACATGGTGAAACCCCGTCTCTACTAAATATACAAAAAAATTAGCCAGGTGTGGTGAAGGGTGCCTGTAATCTCAGCTACTTGGGAGGCTGAGGCAGGAGAATCGTTTGAACCCGGGAGATGGAGGTTGCAGTGAGCCGAGATTGCGCCATTGAGCTCCAGCCTGGGCAACAAGAGCAAAACTTCATCTCAAAAAAAATCATATTAAAAAAAATTAGTTACTTAGTGAGCTAAGAGGCCTTTTTCCTCCTGTGTTTGGTCTTCTGTGAACTGGACCCACTAACCGCTACCCCAAGTCCCTCTGTGGTCCCAGTGACACAGCTTGGAAAAGCTCTTGCCAGAAATCTGACTTGAAGCCATCTTGCTGTGGACAAGGCCTGGACCTCCACTGCAAGGTGGCCATGCCACTGACCCAATCCCTCAACTGGCTCTTTCACTGGCTACCAGCTTTTCAATAGCTGCCTTCCTCGCACCTCTGCCCCCTCCCAGTTCACATGCAAAGGAGTTAGGAAGCCAAACTCCTTTTTCTGTCCCTACAGGGCTTCTTGAGGCTTCAGTGCAAAGAGCTCTTCAGCTGGGCCGTCCCCTTTTCCTCTCTGCTGAAATCCTCGCCCTCTGCTTTCCTCTCTTCATTATTATCATCAGCAGAACAGAAAGGTGAGTTAAGCCACATGTGCTGAAATGTGGTGTAAGGGGGGCATCGGTGCAGAGAGGGATGACGGCTCATATCTGCCTCCTGAAAACTGACTGGCTGCCAGGCTCCAGGGCAGGAGTCTTTCTTCATCAGCCTAATGACAGAAAAACATTTTTTAAGGAAAGGAGGGATCACAGTGGACAAGTCAGATCTGCTGCTGTGACCCTGACCAAGGCCAGGCCTCAGGGAAGGACAGTGAGTCTCCCGGGGCAAGCTCAGCACAGGGGAAAATGGCAGTGATCTGGAGTCAGCCCCAAATCTCATGGTCAGGAAAGAGCTGTCACCACCCAGCAGGGGATGAAAGAGAAACCCATGCAGTGCCGGTGGCCCATGCATGAGGGAAACGTGTGTCGAGGCGTGTGTGTGTATGTGTGTGTGTGAGAGTGTGTGACAGTGTGTGTGAATGTGTGAGTGTGAGTTGTGTGAGTGTCAGAGTGTGTGAGTGTATGAGTGTGTGAGGGTGTGCGAGTGTGTGTGAGGGTGTGAGGGTGTGCGAGTATGTGAATGTGTGTGAGAGTGAGAATATGTGTGTGTGAATGTGTGTGTGAGTGAGAAGTGTGTGTGAGTGAGAGTGAAAAGTGTTTGTATGTGTGAGAGTGAGAAGTGTGTGAGAGTGAGAGTGTGTGTGAGTGAGCGTGAGTGTGTGTGACGGTGTGTGAATGTGTGTGAGTGTGTGAGAGTGTCTGAGTGTGTGTGAGTGTGTGCATGTTAGTGTGTGTGATTGTCAGTGTGTGAGTGTGTGTGCGTGTGAGACTGTGTGTGTGCTAGTTTAACACTGTGCAGTCCCAACTGCATTGATCCTCAATGACACTCAGCTCAGCTGTTTGGCTCTGGAGGCCCCACTGCTAGCTGTGGCACCAGCTCTTGATGCCTGTGACAGAGCAGACACACAATCAATATTTGTACACTGACAGCCTGGGCAGGTTTCTGTCTCCCGCATAGGGCAGGGGCAGCACGGCTAGTGGTGGTGTTCCCCTTTTACTGTTAGCAGCAGTGGCCCCCAAACCCAGGGCCAAGGGTGCATGGGTGTCTGTGCCCTGCTCCCCAGGACTGGTGGTGGGGAACTGCTCCTGCTAAGGGCAGGTGGGCAGCAAGCAGTGCTTAGGTGGAGTTCTGGGCACGGGTAGGCACCCCTGGGAGCTCTGATAGACATGGGGGAGAAGACCCATAAGAAGCCTGTGCCGCCTGTAAATCAAGCAGAGTCTTGGAATAGTTGGGGCCTTCATGGGACTGTGGCCTCGTTTGGCTGCCCCAGCTGATCTGGGCATGCAGTTCCGTTCATTCAGCAAATATTTATTAAGCTCTAGCCAGATGCCCTAGAGAGCTATGGTGAGGCTTAGAGGAGGTGACATGGTGGCAGCCCCCAGCCAGGGCCAGGAACGTGCATGTTTGCGTGGAAAGGCATGCTGCCCACCAGAGCCATGAGCCCATAGGCCAGACGCTCAAGAGAGGGTTGGAGACAGGGTCTCACTGCACCACCAAAGGAGCTCTCCACAGCTCCCTTCTCTCCTCGGACCCATCGCGGCTACAGAATCGACAGACGTGAGCCTTGGCCAGGTGAGAGCGCTAACGGAAGAGGCCAGAGCCTGACCTCTCACAGGGTCAGAGTCCCCCCATGGCCTTCCTACTGTAGACTTCTGGTTCCATCTCTCTCCTTCAACTGCAGCCAGCTTCCCGGACAAAGGGCCCTTCTCGGGGAATGTCCACATTGCAAAAGACTTTCACTGTCTCCAGTCCTGCGTTGCCTTTGCCCCTGTTCCACCAGACACTGGAGTGCTTTCTCCCACATGTCTACTACAGAACAGCCTGTGTTTGAAGACCTCCAAAGACAAGGAGCTCACTACCCTCTAAGCACCAGGGGACACCAGGCGTTTCTTTCTCTTTGAGTGTAGTCATCCAGGTTGGTATTCTCATGAGAGTGGCTGTCTCAAAGGCCAAGCATGCAGCGAGAAGATTGGGGTGGATGGGAAGCTGGTGGTGCTGTGGGAGAGGCCACAGAAGACAAGGAGAGAGGCTCCAAGTCAAACCCCAGGGAAAGCCACTCATCTGACCAGCTGGGGGGGCCTTATGCCTAGGACACTCCGCCACAGACCGCCTGGTATCTGAGTCACCAGGGTGGGACTTCCTCGGGATGTGGTGTGGGAGTGGGATGGGCTGACTCTTCTCAGCCCCCAGCACAGCACACGCCTGTGCACACACCCAGAACACACTTGGTCATGCACAGGCCATGCAGGAGGCCGAAGGACAAATGGCGGTAGGGTCTACTGTGCCGAGAAGGCCTGAGGCATCAACAGAGCCAGAGCTATCCTGCTCTAGCAGACTTCGCAGCATCCACGTGTGTTGACTGAGCAGTGGAGAGTGTTCTCAGCTTCTGACAGTCTCTAACGAGTAAGGGAGGTGAGCAAATTTAATTTCAACAAACAAGCGATTGACCTTAAGAGCATTAAGGTAAACAGGACCCTGGATAAGGAAGTCTCCCATTCTCCTGCTGGAGGTGATGGGCAGAACCTACGACCGGGAGGAGCAACTGGGCACTTCTGGCTGCCTTTCTACTTGACCTTCCCTTCACAAATCCGATGGGCAATTTTGTGAGGAGTCCAGATTTGTTCAGTGGCTGCTGGAACCTGGCTCTGTTAATGGTTTCAAGGACTTTGCTGAGGTCAGGGCTGCTGTATAGGGCTTGTGAGCTCCTTCTGGCCCCATAGGTACCAGGCAGACACAAAAGTCATGCCTGCCATTCGGGGATGGGAATTTAGATTCCAAAGTCACCTTTAAATAATCCTTTGTGCCACACCCCTCACCTCGGCTCTGCCTCTGTCTTAGGCTGTCCGTAGGCAATGTGGTAGTGCAGGCTGCACTCACGGAAGCGTGAACTTTGGGGTTTCGGGAACTGCGTTCGAATAGAGGCTCCCTTACTTATTAGTTGCTTGCTGGGCAAGATTTCTCATAATCCCTCAAAGCCCCATGTCTGTGACTGCAAATGGGAATCATAAAAATGCCCAGCCTGTGGGCTGTTAAAGGAAGCAAGTGGGATCACACATATGAGAGCCCCCACCCAGCTTGGGTCTCCACTCATGCTCCAGCAGTGCTGGTGCCAGCCCCTGGCCCAGGGTGTCCTGCAGACACTCCTTCACTGGCATCCCTGGCATCCCTGGATCGTGGCAGGGGGTTAAGCCCCACGCTGTCAGGCCGGGCCACCTACCTGGCCACATGATTCTGTACCTGCACCCGAAGTGCCCTGTTTCAGCTCTCTAGACAGCCTGAACCCAGCATGGTCTTCACGCCCACCAAATGGCTTTCCCTGAGAAGAAGCTGGTGCTCCAGAAGCTGGAGGCTCCTGGGGCCATCAGAGCATGTCCACCCCACATGCTCTCTCTCCCTGCGTGGGGAGGCCATCATCATGGGGAGGTTAATATATATTGGGATACATGTCTCCCTCTCCTTGGGAGACACTGGCCCAAGCACTCTGATTCAACTCAGGTCAGCATTACTGAGAATACTTTTAATTGTGTACCCAGGGCTCAGAGGAGCCCAGAGGAGGAGAGAACACAGAGTCCACCTCGAATTTGTAGTCTCCTGAGCCAGATCAGTTCAGCACACACAAAACAGAGGGCAAGATAATGTTCCATTACCAACTTCATGGGCACTGGTGGGTACAAGTCACAAGCCCACATTTTCTCAGTGTTGAAAGGTTGGAGTAGCTCAGAGGTTTTAACGTCTCATTCCCCAGGGCCCCTGGGCTTCAGTAGGGTGGGCCTCAGGGGAGACAGAAGAGTCAATCGGCAGGGATAAGATCCCTCACTGCATAATTTTTCAACCAGAATGGACCGACAGCTATGATTCCTTTATTGGGATATGATGTTTAATTTTCTTGGGAAACAAGTGTGGGAACCACTGGATTAGTGGAGCTCTGAGTTCTCTGAGTCTAGAGTTCCTATCAGAGAAAGAGCATCAAATGTGCTTTGAACATAAGAAAATTTCACTATCCAGGAGTAAAAGTGAGAGTGGTGCATGTGGTGCAGGGGAGCCAGCCTGCCCCAGGACAGGCAGCATCCTTTCCACCATCTGTGTGACTGACCCCCTGTGCTCCACTGGGTAGGAGGCTCAAGGCTGCCTATGTCTCTGCATCTGGGGTGCAGCTCTTTATGCAACCTGGCCCCTCACTGCAAGCAGCCCCTTCACTGGCTGCTCCATGGAAGACACAGCAATGGGCTCTTCTGCTGCAGAGAACGCTAGAAGGAAGGTGCCTCTGGGGCCCCTTGCCCAAGTTTTCAGGCCCATTCTGGCTAAGAATAATCTTTATTTCTTCTACTTCACTGTATCAAAAGACAACAAAAGATAGTGCAGTGATAACGCTGTATCTTAGTTAATATGGCATGTGGAAGCGTGCATACTGTGAGCGCTTGATAAACACAGCATGCGCCCTCTCTTTGTCCCCACAGGGGCCAGGGTGGCATTGCTGAGAAAACAAGGGCACTGTTTACCAAATGAACACCTTGGCAGCCTTGGGCTCCTCAATGGCTCGTATCATTTCAGCCGTCTTCAAACAACCCCATGAGACAGGAAACTTTTAGATGAGGGAACTGAGGCTCAGGGAGGGTAAGTGACTCGCTGAGGTCATCAGAGCCTGCATCTGACCAGGGAGTGATCCAAACCCTTGCTCTTTCTGTGATGCCCCCCTGGCTCTCTCAACATGGCAGGGCTGCCCATCTGAGGATGGGATTAGGAGAAAGCTGGGCTGCGGAGAGGTGAGGGTTGGATCCCCCATTTGCATTCTGGAGTTGAAAGTTCTAGAAGGTTGGGGTGGGGTCAGGGTAGAGCCAAGCTCTGGAATCCAGGAAGTGGCAATGCAGCTTAGAAAATCCCGGGCAGTGGGCCACAGCTGGCAGCAGGGACTCGGCCCAGGAGAGGCAGGCCAGGGGCAGACGAGCCGGCCTGAGAGGTCTTGGCAGCCAAAGGTCAGGCAGGGCAGGGCACAGCACCACCTGAATGTTGGCCCACAGCGAGGGCAACTTTGATCAACTGGCACCTGCAATTCTGCAGCTGAATCATCAAATGGGGGAATTGACAAAACAATGAGATGCCCAACGGAGCTCAGCAAGTTAGGGGCAGAGCCCATCTCCTGACCTCTCCTGAGCTCTTCCTGCAGCCCCCACTGTCCCCAAGGCTTCTTGTGCCATGCTTTGAGTTCTCGTGTTTCTTGGTGAACCCTCCTGTCGCTCTCTCTCTTCTGGCATATGGCGTGACTCATTTCTCCACCGTCAGCACGTGCAAAGCAGCCCTGCTCATTCTTTTCCTGGTGTCCATCCTGCAGCTCCCAGCCCCAGCATTTACAGAGAAGCTGTTCAATAAACACCATGCATTGGGTCCATGTGTGTTCTTACGGTTGTCGCCTGCCCTGCTGATATCAGGTCCCTGGAGCCAGGTACAGATTCTCAAGTCAAAGGAGGGTGAGGAAGACAAGGTCCCAAAGGCAGATTCCAGGGATTCGAATCCCAGCATAGCTATCTACATGTGAGCCTGGACGAGCTCCGAGACTCCAGGGAGCTGCGTTTTCCTTCTGCCGAGTGGCACGTGTGGCGCGAGTGAATGCGTGAATAAACAGAGAGCCTTCCAGGAGGTGCCATTCACTGTGGCCTCATAGTGGCTTTCGGGGAGCTGAGTCTTCACACAATCCAGCCACCTATGGTCGTGATGTGCTGGTGTCTCTGGCTCTCAGGGGGTCCTTAGGAAGCGCGAATTGCCAGCGTCCCTCCCCATCGCCTCAGCAACGTGGTCAGCTCCGTCTCCCTCTCCTGCTTCATTGCTGGCTTTGAGCTCTGGGACCCCAAATTTCTTGTGGCCCCAACACATGCCTGCTCACACCATTCCCTGGGCCTAGAGTGTCCTCCTCTCCCTCTGTACCTGCCTCTCCCTCATGCATCCTTCCAGCCAAGCCCAGTGATCCATCTCCAAGGAGGCCTCCTGACATCAGCATTGCCTACCTGACCCTTATCCTGCCAGAGTCAGAGAAATGGCAGAGTGTAGGTTGGTGTGGAGAATGTGTGTTGTGTATGTTCATACGTGTGTGCACGGTCATGTATGTGCGTGTGCTCTGTGTGTGTGTGTGTGTGTGAATGTACATGTGTACCCGGGTGCAGGGTTGGCCCAATTCTCCTCAGCCTGACTTCCTCCTGGCCGGATTATTTTGGCCTTCAGCTTGAGCCTCAGTGACTTCCCGGTTCTGTGGGCTTCCTTCCTCCTTCGGGCCCTGTCACCTGGCAGGACAGGTTTTCATCCTGGCCAGGTGGCTTTAGCAAGGCCAGGAATCCAGCCGGCCTAGCAGGGGCCCAGGATGATCCCCTGGCCAACTGCTCCCTTCTGGAGCCCCCACCCTCCCTTTCTCTTGCTCTCCTTCCCTGGGCCTGGCTTGAGCAAGGGGAGCCATCGCCTTCCATTCCCTAGGCTTGGCCTGGGCCTGTCCACCCCTGTTCCAGATCAATGACTGACTGTGGGTTGAGAAAGCTGTCTAGAGGGGCATGACCCCAGATACAGTGTCAGGTGGGGAGGGTCTCTTTTCCAAGACCACTCTTCCGGAGCTCAGGGAACAAGCCAGAGAAGACGCTAATGTTTCTCTGCATGGGCCGTGTGCCAGGCATCGTGCTAAACACTTCACCGCAATTGTGACATCTGGTTCTCACCATGGGAAGGGGGCCCATCCGTAGTCCCATGCTGAGGACAGGAAAGCACCTGACGCCTGAGCCTGTGCTCAGGATCCCAAAGCCATGAGCTCATGTGAAAACAGGCCATTTGGAAATTGCACAGCAGTGCCGGGGAAGTGACAGTCAGAGGCCACACTGAGTCATCAGGAACTCCCACATTGCCCTCAGGAGCCAGATGATGGCTGATGGCACTTGTGAAGGTGTAACTCTCCTGGAGGTGCCCCCTGTGGAAGCCGCCAGGGAAGACGTTACGTGGGAGTAACAAGGTCACTTTTCCTCACCCCTACAGCTTCAGCTCCCAGATGTTCTGTCCTGCTCCTTAAGATTAGCTGAGTCACAAGTCAGTCCCCCTAATGTGATGAGCCCTTCCTAGGACTCGGGGACTGATGGGCTTTTAAACCCTGGGTGTGATGCTGTGACCAGAGATGAGAAGTCGAGTGTCTGGCTTCCAGCTGTGATCTGGCAATGTTGAAGCTTGAGTAGGTAATCCCCTCAACCACCTGGACCCCTGTTTTCTCACAGGTAAAGGAGTGACCACAAGAGTTGCTGTTCCAACTGCAGGCAGGGATAGTTGTGAATGGCAGATAAGAGATGATGATATGCCACACGAAGGCCTTAAAAGGAAAAGCACAGTGAGAGACTTGGTATCATCGTCAATTCTCAGCATTATACGCAGCACCCCTGCTCAGAGCCTAAGGAACACAGCAAAATGGACGAAGACGTAAGTAAAGTCCCTGGTGCATGGCAGGCTCACGGCTGGCCCTCAGTAAATATTGGTTCCATGCTCTTCTTACCTCTTCAGAACCTCCTCAAACTAGGGGTAAACAAATGCCTGGCCTGCCTGACGGCTCCCAAAAGAGGAGCTGATATATCACATACTGTTCCCGCGCTGGCCGGCACCTCAGGCTCCCAGAAGCATCTCTTCCTGGCAGCCGGGTTTGGACCACGTTGTGATCCACGGGGGCATGTGCTACCTGGGGCCATTTCCATGCGTCTTTCCAGCCCAGGCAGCCACGAGCATGAGCTCAGGTCACCATGCTGGCCACCAGGCCCACCCTCCCTCTGAGGTCTGTGGTGTGACGATGTCTGCAGATGTACAGTGTCATCCCTGGGGATGCCGTATGGGTCCTCAAACCCTTAGTCCCCAGAGCAAATAGGTACACCCAGCAAGCCCTCTGTTTTTGCTCCACGTCTTTCCAAAGAGGTAATGTCTTTCTCTTTCTCTTTCTTTGCATCCTCAGTGCAAATACCAATGGTAACCATTGAACCCAGGCTCTTGTTGTCTGTGTGTGTATGTGGGGATGGGGGCATTTTCTTATCAAGATCAAGAATTGTTTTTAAGATGGACGCTCCCACACAGGTACTGTGGACTGTTGGTTGTTTGGTTTGGCTGTGTGTGTGCTGTGTCCACCATGGATCTTCCTATTCTTAGAACCTAGTGAGTGTTTTCAGAAGTCCCAGAAGACTGGTTTTGGAATTGTTCCTGACTTTTGGGCTTCGTGGGTGGGAATCACCTTGAGGGAAGTGATCCTTTCCTCTGCTCAAGTCCCTGGCGCGCCACTGCTCTCTCCTCAATGTCATGTGCTCCCCTTAAACCTGTGGGCTGGACCGGGTACCTAGAGGAGGCAAGGGCAGGCTCTCTCTCCAGGGAGCATCTCAGGGTCTGCCTCCTGGGCATGTGCAGATGGACACACCTTCATCCGGAGGCAAACAGTGCCTGCCAACAGCAGGTGCCAAGGGCATTGGAGTTCTTGGTCTGTAAGCAGGGAGTGGGGGTGTGAGACCTGTGGAGAGCCTAAGGCACTTGGAGAATGGCAGGGGGGCCCTCCTACATGTATCAGGCGGGAAGCAGAGGATACCTTGGCTGGGATTTTTGAAGAAACTTGTAAGTGAAGGGACAATTTGCAGAGATGCTATTGGGTTAACGGAACTAATAGGATGTAAGGCACCCAGGGACTGGCCACCGTGGGAGCTATTAGCAGCCTGCAGGCCAAAGGGACAGAGGAGGAAACAGAGTTACAGGAGTTGGCTTCAAAGTGTGAGATGTGGGAGGAGGCTGCCCTGCAGAAGCCGTGGCTCCCTGGGGCACAGCCAGTCCCAGAGCAAGACAAAAGTGGGAGGGCAGGAACTCTGACCTCTCTCCCCTCCGCCATCCAATATCCTGCCAGCACTCCCCATTGGCTGGAGCCAGCTGGGGCCAGCGGGCAATGAGCCCGGGGATATGCTCCATAGAGAGTATCTTCCTGGGGCCCAGAGCAGGGCAAGAAAGGCACACAGGGGTGCAAGGGACTCATGGAACCATGGACTCAGAGTGCTCTCAGAGTTAGCCGGGGTGTAGCCCCGGCTGTGCTGCTCATCTCACATATAGTTTTCAGCAGCTGGCTTTGCCATGCTCAGTTTCAGCTTCCTCTCTGGGAGGGAAGATGTGGCCCCAGGTCATTGTGCCTCAGAGCATGCTGCAAGTATCGCTCATGTATGCAGGGAAGTCCTGGGAGCCACACAGCTTCTGCCTAATAGTCAGCGCTCCTGTCAGCATAAACCCACTGCCATCTCGGGTGGGAGGTACTTCTGGGCCCTATCACCCCATCATGTGGCCCACCCCAAGGCACACTCAAAATTGTACCTGGACAGCTGGGAAGGGAGGGCTCATCTGTGGGCCCGTCCCATAGGGCTAGGGGCTGTGGGGAGGTGACTGTAACCAGCACTCCTCAACTGTTAGAGCTGGAGGGGCAATGCCACTGGTTCCATGTATGATGGGGATAGAAAGCTTCCTTACAACATACCTCTATTGAGATTGTTAAAAAGATAGACAGTTTAAAAAAACACATGGTTATGGGTATAGGATGGGGATGCGGCAAAAGCCATAATGGTGGTGGTAATTAGGTGATTCGTGACTGAAATTTAAGGAAGAAATAATACCAGTTATGCACCAACTTCCAGAAAGCTGAAGAAAAAGGGATATTTTCCAGTTCATTTTATGAGGTCAGCACTCATAAAATTACTTTGATACCGAAACCAGAAAGAGACATCACAAAAAAGAATACAGACGTATCCCTCATGAACATAAATGCAAACATTCTTAAAATTTTTAGCAAGTTGAATCCAAATATGTATGAAAGAGATAATATACCATGACTGAATGGGATTTACCACAGGAAAGTAAATCGGTTTAACATTTGAAAAGCCAGTCAATGAAATGCACCATATTAAGTGAGTAAGCAAGAAAAATCATATGATTATCCCAACAGCTGCAGAAAATAGCACGTGACAATAATCCAACAGCCATTTATGATAAAGACTCTTAGCAAACTAGGAAGAGAAGGGGGCATCCTCAGTCGGATACAAAGGCTGGTATAGAAAACCCACAGCTAACATCACACTCAGTGGTGAAAAGTTGAATGATTTCCCCCAAGATCAGAAATAAGAAAACAAACCGGCAAAAGATTTGAACAGACATTTCGCCAAAGAAGATACATAGACAGCAAGTCAGCACAGGAAAAGATGTTCGGTACATTAGTCATTAGGAAGATGCACATTTAAACCACAAGATACCACTACACACCTCAGAAAGCCCCTTTCTTCAGGTTTGTTGTTCCAGGCCGAGGCAGGCGGATCACTAGGTCAGGAGTTCAAGACCAGCCTGGCCATTATAGTGAAATCCCGTCTCTACTAAAAATATAAAAAATTAGCCAGGTGTGGTGGCACGCGCCTGTAGTCCCCAGCTACTCGGGAGGCTGAGGCAGGAGAATTGCTTGAACCTGAGAGGTGGAGACTGCAGTGAGCCAGATCGCCCCACTACACTCCAGCCTGGGCAACAGAGTGAGACTGTGTCTCAAAAAAAAAAAAAAAATCTTTATTTTTTAATATTTGCCCTGGCTGGGGGATACTTGGCTGCTCTACTTTATCCTGGAGACAGCATACTATCTCCCTAACCCTCCTGGTGAACCCTTTCAGCTTCCCTCTAAACCTCTATATCATCCTTCATAGGTTTTTTGGCACATCTTTAGGAAAGCAGAAAGTTTATGGCAGTGGGATAAGTGCAGGAGGAGTTGTGGGGAGACTGGGTTCCAGCCCTACCACTCTGTGCTAACTTCCTGGGCTACCTATTCTGACCCCTGACTTGTTCCCCAGTGATGAACTCCATCCCAACTATGAGCACCTCCAGCACCCACCTGCCTTTCCAGCACCCCAGGGGCCTCCCTGACTCCTCCTGCTCTCCTATATCCACATCCAGTCCTTCCCCAAGCCACAGGCGCCACTATTCTAGTGTGTGTACAGTGAGTCCTCATTTCTGTCTCACTGCCAGCCACAGCCCAAGCATCTCTTGTGTACCCTTTTGCCAGTGTCTCTGGTGGGGTCTGTTCTTGGCCCCCTGCCTGAGGACCCAAACTTCCTATCTCCTTGCATTGGGGGACACTGGCTTTAGGGCTCAGGTCAGGCACCAGCTCTTCCAGGAAGGCTTTCTGGCTGCTCCACCATCCCCTATCACTGATACCTATGCTAGGGATGCAGTGACCCAGGCTGTCTTGTGGGAGCCACCAAGACTTTAGCAAAAGTATCTGAGATCCCTGGCAGGGCTGCAGCCCAGTTGGACTTTTGGTCCTTGGCAAAAACAATTCATCACAAAAACTTTCAAACATACACAGTAGTAGAGAGAGCAGTATCTATCACACAGCATCTGTCACGCAGCTGCCACAAAGATCTGCTATGGCCAGCCCCCAGTCCCTGGCTCCTAGCCCCCAGCCCCCGTTGTGTTAATTCCCCCTTAGGTACTTCAACATACACCTCTAAAAGGTAAAGGTTCTCTTTAAAACTCTACAATGATATTGAAGAAAACCCAGGCAATACCATTCAGGACATAGGCATGGGCAAGAACTTCGTGTCTAAAACACCAAAAGCAATGGCAACAAAAGCCAAAATTGACAAATGAGATCTAATTAAACTAAAGAGCTTCTGCACAGCAAAAGAAACTACCATCAGAGTGAACAGGCAACCTACAGAATGGGAGAAAATTTTTGCAATCTACTCATCTGACAAACAGCTAATATCCAGAATCTACAAAGAACGCAAACAAATTTACAAGAAAAAAACAAACAACCCCATCAAAAAGTGGGCAAAGGATATGAACAGACACTTCTCAAAAGAAGACATTTATGCAGCCAAAAGACCCATGAAAAAATGCTCATCATCACTGGCCATCAGAGAAATGCAAATCAAAACCACAATGAGATACCATCTCACACCAGTTAGAATGTTGATCATTAAAAAGTCAGGAAGCAACAGGTGCTGGAGAGGATGTGGAGAAATAGGAACACTTTTACACTGTTGGTGGGACTATAAACTAGTTCAACCATTGTGGAAGTCAGTGTGGCGATTCCTCAAGGATCTAGAACTAGAAATACCATTTGACCCAGCCATCCCATTACTGGATATATACCCAAAGGATTATAAATCATGCTGCTATAAAGACACATGCACACATGTGTTTATTGTGGCACTATTCACAATAGCAAAGACTTGGAACCAACCCAGATGTCCATCAATGATAGACTGGATTAAGAAAATGTGGCACATATGCACCATGGAATACGATGCATCCATAAAAAAGGATGAGTTCATGTCCTTTGTAGGGACATAGATGAAGCTGGAAACCATCATTCTCAGCAAACTACTGCAAAGACAAAAAAACAAATACCACATGTTCTCACTCATAGGTGGGAACTGAATAATGAGAACACTTGGACACAGGAAGGGGAACATCACACTCTGGGGCCTGTTGTGGGGAGGGGGGAGGTGGGGAGGGCTAGCATTAGGAGATATACCTAATGTAAATGACGAGTTAATGGGTGCAGCACACCAACATGGCACATGTATACATATGTAACAAACCTGCACGTTGTGCGCATGTACCCAAGAACTTAAAGTATAATTAGAAAAAAACTCTACAATGATATTATTATTAAGCCTAAATATATTAACAAGAACTCCTTAATGTTAATTAATATCCATCAGTTGTAATTTCCTCAGTTGTCCCATAAATGCCTTTTTATAATAATTTATGCAAATCAGGGCCCAGACAGGGTATACACATTGCCTTTGGTTGATAGATCTCTCAAGTCTCTTTAATCCATAACAGTTTTCCCCTCGCTCCCCTTTTTATTTTTTTAAAAAATTTCTTCTATATATTAGAAAAAAGCCGGGTCATTTGTCCTCTGAGCTTTCTATATTCTCAGTTTCACTGATTGCTGTTGCATCTCTGTGTTCTTATTCATCACGACCCCGATCTTGTGCGTTGCTTGTGAACTTACGGTTACATTCAGAAGCTTGATTAGGTTTGGGTTCAGTTTTTTTGAAAATAATTTTTCAGAAGTGGTGCCAGGTGCTTCCTGTTGCATTTTATTGGGAGGTGCACAATTTCTGATTCTTTCTGTGAAGTGACAACTCATCAGTAGATTCAGATGCTGTTGATTTCATCTATCCATTGTAAATTTCCCACAGCCTTTCACCTTATGGTTCTAGCAGCCATTATTATAATGTGATTTAATATATAATATATGTATATAAAATATGTAATTTAGTGGCTCATTATTTTATTAGTTCTGCAAAGTGGTGATGGCCTATCATTCTTTCTGCACTTCCTAGGTGAAATTCTTCTATAACATTCTTCACTTCATTGATTATTTCCTTAGACTGAGGTTTATACAGGAAAGGCAGGGTAAATGCTTGATTCTTTCTCTTTTAAATGTTTTCAAAATAATATATTGGTTCCCTAGCATCCTCCAAAAGTAACAAATAAGTTTTATTTATTTATTTATTTTATATTTATTTATTATTTATTATTATTATTATTATTTTGAGATGAAGTGTCGCTCTGTCACCCAGGCTGGAGAGCAGTGGCACAATCTCCGCTCACTACAATCTCGGCTCACTACAATCTCGGCTCACTACAATCTCTGCTTCCTGGGTTCAAGCGATTCTCCTGCCTCAGCCTCCCAAGTAGCTGGGATTATAGGCACGCACCGCCACACCTGGCTAATTTTTGTATTTTTAGTAGAGATGGGATTCCACCATGCCATGTTGACCAGGCTGGTCTCAAACTCCTGACCTCAAGTAATCCACCCGTCTCAGCCTCCCAAAATGCTGGAATTACAGGCTTGAGCCACTGTGGCTGGCTGAGTTTGTAAAAATATTATGAACTCAATATTTTGTTTGCTTCGAGCCATTTTAGTCTTTTTTTTTTTTTTTTTTTTTGAGGCAGGGTCTCACTTTGCTGCCCAGGCTGGAGTGCAGTGGCGCACTTCTAGCTCCCTGATACCTTGACCTCCCGGGCTCAAACAATCCTCCCACCTCAGCCTTCTGAGTAGCTGGGACTACAGGCAAGTGCCACCACACCCAGCTAATTTTGTTTACTTTTTGTAGAGATGAGGTCTCCCTATGTTCCCCAGGCTGGTCTGGAGTTCCTGGACTCAAGTAATCCTCCTGTCTCAGCCTCCCAAAGTTCTGGGATTACAGGCATGAGTCACTGCTCATTGTAGTCATTTTTTAATGGTAAAATTGTCCCATCATTGGCCAGTATGAGGCATTTTGAGTTGGCTCCTTCTAACTTCCTTGCTTTTGTGTGTAACAAGAAACCTCATCTTATATTTTTCCTTCCCTAGCCCTGGAATCATCCATTTCTCCAAGGTGCCCTGGGTCCTTGGAGAGCCCAGTCTGGAATGATAATGCTCATTGCCTCTGAGTTGGTGTGACTTATAGGGCTTTTTGGTGGCTGGATCTTTTGAAAGAGAAAATCCATCATGAGCTCATATTGATATTTCCAATTCAAGTTGATGATGACAGGGCTTTTAACCTTATTTTATCTTACAGTTGTATTTCTTTTATATTATGCTGAAAATTTTGGTTCCTAACTATATTAACATCATTCCCTCTCTTTAAAGCAGCAAGGGTTCTTAACCTCAGGTACATGGAAGGACTTGGGACTCTATGCACCCCTGGAGTTAGATGGTTAGATGTAAAATGGCATGTGAGCATGGATGAAAAATGTGACTGTGAGCATATGTGTGTGCCAGTTGAGTGCCTATATGAGTGTATTAGTAGATGAACACACACACATTTGACAACCCTCCCCCCCCCACACACACACAAAGAATTATCTGGTGGTCCAAAACATCAAGAGTGCCAAGAATATGCCTGACGAGGTGGCTCACGCCTGTAATCCCAGCACTTTGGGAGGCCAAGGCAGGCAGATCACGAGGTCAAGAGATCAAGACCATCCTGGCCAACATGGTGAAACCCCGTCTCTACTAAAAATACAAAAATTAGCTGGGCGTGGTGGCGGGCGCCTATAGTCCCAGCTACTCGGGAGGCTGAGGCAGGAGAATTACTTGAACCTGGGAGGTGGAGGTTGCAGTGAGCCGAGATCGCACCACTGCACTGCAGCCTGGGGACAGAGCGAGACTCCGTCTCTAAAATAAATAAATAAATAAATAAAATTAGTGCCAAGATTAGAAACCCTTCTGATAATGTAATGAATATATGGATCCTTTCCTAAAAAAATAATGGGGAGTTGCATTGGGAAATGCCATAGAAAGACTATAGTGATTGTATTAATTTCCTAGGGCTGTTGTAACAGCACCACAAACTAGGTGGCAAAACAGCAGAAATGCATGGCTTCACAGGCCTGGAGGCTACAAGTCTGAGATCAAAGGTGTCGGTAGGGTTGTTTCCTTTTGAAGGTGGTGAGGGTGAATCTGTCCCGTGCCTCTCTCCTAGCTTCTGGTGGTTTGCTGGCATTTGGGGCATGGCTGGGCTCCTAGAAGCATCACCCTGATCTCTGCCTTCTTCTTCATGTGTGTCTATTTGTCTGTGTCCAAATTTCCTGCTTTTATAAGGGCACCAGTCATATTGGATTGGGCTAACCCTAATGACCTTATCTTGATTACATCTGCCAAAAACCCTATTTCCAAATAAACCCCTAGTTCACATTCTGAGGAACTAGGGGTTAGGACTTCACTGTATCTTTCTGAGGGGACACAATTCCACCTATACCTACAATGGTACTGCTCCCCTCCGCAGCAGTAGGGTAGTGCAGTGGTTGAGTGCCGACACTGGGGGTCACACTTCCTGGGTTCAACTATGGAGGTGGCATAAGTACAGGAGAAGTTGTGGGGAGACAGGGTTCTAGCCCTGCACTGATAATACGTTCAAAGATTTCTTATCTGTGCCTCTGTGAAGTGGGATGAGGTCAGTATCCACTTCCTATGGAGGTTATGAAAAATAAATGAGTTAATCTGTATGAGGTCCTTGGTCCAGCATCTGACACACGGTAGTGTGACACTCTGAGTGTCAGCTGAGTAAGCACGGCCATCACTGTCGTTTTGCTGGGCACCGAGGGTGGGCTGGCTGGGAAAGGTGTCAGCATGAAGGAAGTCATGGATGACATGGGTGCAGAATCCAGAGCCTGCTTACCTCGCTATGCTTACGGGGCATCCCTACCTAAGGATAAGAGGGAAGGGGGACTTCCATTTAGTGCCAGACACTGGGGCAAGGGCTCACAAAGATCACCGCTGATGCCCATTGCCACCTTGCCAAGGAGACCTTTGTATCTCCATTTTCCTAGTGAGGAATGTGAGGTTTGCAGGCCTTGAGGAATCGGCCAGAACTCCGGCTACTGACTCAGTTCTCCTTCCTCTCCAACCCTCCGCAGGGGTGAAGGGCAGGCTCAGAGGACCCTTCTCCTTCTGCTTCAGCCCTTCCCCAGCTTATCCTGGTGGGCCAAGCCCCGCCCAGGTAGGAAGAGCCCTCTGGTCTCCGCCACACTCAGCTCTCCAGTGCTCTGTCTGTGAAATGGGGGCCAAGGCACCTGCCGATGTGCCCCAGTGGGCTGGGGGCAAGGGCATTGTGAAAGCACATTGGGAATCCTGGCCAGCGCCCATGGACAGAAGGTGCTTGCTGGGTGCCTGCAACATCCCAGCCTTTCATGGTGGAACCCCTTGGGCGCCTTTTCTTCTTACAGTTGGTACATTGGCTCTGGCCTCAAGATCACCACATCCCTCACAAAAGCTAGAGCCCACGTGATTTTTTTCCGTTAAAAAAAAAATCCTTAGTTTAGGCATGTGGACTGTTTGCTTACACATCTGCAAGATCAGCTGTCTTTGCAGTTTAAGTTCAGTGATGCTTGGGGCTGTGGTACCTGCCCTTGGCGGCCCTCAGCTCTGCCCCAGGTTGTCTGGTGAAGCCGCTGGGCTCTGGTCACACTGGCCTGACATCTCTCAGCATCCCCCCAACCCCCACTGAGGCTCTGACTCTTTCTGCCTTGGGCCTTCACATGTTGTCCCCAGCCTGCACACTCCTCCCTCCCCCAGTGTAATTCTCTGCCACCCTTCACATGGCAGCTGTAGAGTCTCTGCTGGGGATACATGTCAGCCATGGGGCAGGGGCTGGGAGGACATTCCCTGGAGACCTTCCTTCACAGCCTGCATTGTTGTGGGATGGATCTGTGAACTTCTGCCACCCAGCTCAGGGAGGTGGTGTCAGGAACGGGGCTGGGCTCTCCTTCCCCTACCATATCCCCAGTGCCCAGTACGGGGCTTGGAACCCTGGAGATGCTCTCTATATAGACAGACGAATGCCTCTTTCCAGGAAGGGAGCTGGCCTGTGTTCCCCTGGCTCTGACAGCTGGGACTCCATGGGCCCAGGGCTGCTGGGCCAGGCCATTGGAAATGACAGCTGACACCTTCGGAGCATGACTAGGTGTCTGGCACCCCTCTGAGCACTTTGCATGTATTAACTTTTATATTCTCCCCAATTACCTACCAGAGAGATACTATAATTAGTCCTACTTTTAAAAACTTTTTATATTGAAATAATTTCACGCTTGAAAAAAATATTGCAAAAATGGTCCAAAAAGTTCCTGCCACACCTTCCCATGGCACAAACGCATGGCACAGTGACCAAAACCAGGACACTGATAACGGTATGACACTGTTGACAATCCATAGATGAGTTTTCCTGTCAATATCCTTTTTCTGCTCCAGGATCTCATACAGGACCACTTTGCACTTGTGGTCCCGTGTCCTTAGAGTGGAGGGTTCTAAGGAGAACCTTGCCTCTGTCCTTGTCTTTCATGACCTTTGCACTTTTGAAGAGTCCTGATCAGTTGTTTTGTGGAAATGTCTCTCAGTGTTGATTTGTCTTATGCTTCCTCATGTTCAAATTCAGATGATGTATGTATTTTTGGGCAAGAAAACCACAGAAGGGAAGCCATGCCCTACTCAGTGCATTGCATCAGGAGCTACTTGATATTGCACGAATCCCATTTTCAAGATGAATAAACTGCAGCACTGAAAAGTCAAGAAACAGATTAGAATGCAGCTAACAGCTCACATCTGTCGAGCACTTGCCCATGCACCTGGGGCATGTATTCAGCCACTTCTACCCCTGGGGCACAGCGAGTGGATCCCCAACTCAGCAGTGAGCAGGGGAGGGAAAGGGTGAGGACAGAGGGTGGTGGATGGGAGCAGCCAGGGTGAAGGACAGAGCCAGCTCCTGCAGCCTCCAGGGAGGGGCCAGGCCCACAGAGGCAGCACTGGGCCACTGTGGTGCCTCTGACCCAGGCAGATAGGGGCAGAGCTCGGGATAGGGGCCGGACCAGACTAAACAAGGCACAACCTGGACTCTCGTTTGGGTGAATCCTCGGCCCCAAGGCTGAGGTTGGCGATAGCGGGGACACAACTGAGGCTTTGCAGGGGGAGCTGAGCTTGCTCTGCAGGCCACACTGAAGGAGTGCCCCCACCGGCCCTCTCCACTGGGCTCTGCTCATGGGGGTGGGTGAGGGGAGAAGGCAAAGTGGGGCAGGGCCCTGGGCCCCCACAGTGTCCCCTGCCAGGCTCCCCCAGCCCAAGCTAGCCATGGGGTTGGAGGGGTGAAGGACGGAGTGACCACAGCTGCCCTGCATTAGGAAAATATGCATTTTAATACAGGTTGCCCACTGCCCTCCCCAGCCTGTTCCCCCGACCACCTACCTCCTCTCTTCAGCTCAACTCAGGGCTCCCCCATGTGGCATCCTGCTCTCCCTCTGTCCAGCCTCCACTCTCTTCCTGCCGCCTGCTCTTCATCTTTTTGAGTGCTTCTCTGGGACCCAACCCATGAGACAACAGCCATCACAGGGCCCCCAGTGCTCCTAGCTCAGGGCACCCTCCAGGAGGCAGCTCCTGCAAGCCTTGCCCTCCACGGTCCCTCAACTCCCCCTCGGCTGCGGGCAGCATCCTGCTGTACCCCAGGGCAAGGGGCAGGATGGGAGATTTAGTTCCTCATAGCCACGGGCAAGGCTGGTAGTATCAGCCCCGCTGTAGGGATGAGGAAACTGAGGCTGCAGCTTCTCTTCAGAGGCTGACAGCGGTCTCTCCTGCTTTTCTTCCTTTTGCCTTGGCAGGACCAGCACAGCTGAAGTTGCTGCCACCTGACTGTGGCCTGCAATTTCCCGATTCCCTCTCCAGGCTTCTCCCCTTCCCACCTCGGCCTCTCTCTAAATCCTACTGAGAGAACCCCAGGTTTAACTTTTCTATTTTTGTCTTCCCATGGTTTTGTTTGCTGTTTCCCTCCCTGCCATCTCTCTTTGGGAGGGAGTGTAATCCGCATAGAGAGGAGAGTCTTTTATATGACTTGAGATTCACAGTAGTTCACAACTCCCACCTTTGTCACCGTCACCCTGGCATCTTGAACCTAAAGTCACTTTCTGCTCTCCATGGCATCTTGAACCTAAAGTCACTTTTATCTTTTGGCCCCGCCTTGCAAGACCCGCCCACTGCTGTGGCCCACTCAGGAATCCCGGACACCAAGTCTATCCCCCGGCATCCCCCTGCACTCCATGCCTTTGAGCATGGAGCATACATTGAGTGCTGGCTTCAAGTTCCCCCACCCAGTCTGAGCCAGAGCCCTGGAGAGAGGGTGGCAGGGACCGATGGACCCTTCTCCAGATGCACACAGCCCAACGTCAGTGCCTCTGGTTGTGACTGTCCCCTACTGTACAGGCATTGGTAGCATCTTTGCCACGTGTACACAGGCTTAGGGCAAAAGTCCCGTGGGCTGATTGGTAAGCTGAAATAGTGCCTTTCAGCCTTACACGTGCTCTGTAATTGCAAGGAAAGCAGCCCGGAGGCCGGCTCCTACCCTCTGGTGCCTCTGCGGTCCCATCTCATCTCAGGTCCCTCCTCTGCTTGTCCCTCCTGGCCCCATGCCCAGTGACCTATTTCCACCTCATTCCCTTCTCTCATCACCTGTGCCCTTCAGCACTTTGCAGTTGAATATGACTCAGTTCCGGCCTTTAAGGGGCCCACAGTGCAGTGGGTTCTCAGGCAGCCTGTGGCCACTGTGCCATGCTGATGTCTTTCCCCTGTGGGCTGGACAGTGGGGACTTTCTGGCTACTGGGCCCATCGTCACATGCACATGCCTTCTTGCTTTTCTCCCTGGAGGCTGGGACAATGTCTTGCCATGGTTCTGTCCCTCATCCCTGGTCCTCAGCCACGGCCATTGCCAGTCAGTGCTTTGTGTATTAGCTGCTTAGTAAATATGCCCAAGGGATGGATTGTAGGCTGTGGAGCAACAGACAAGGGAAGCCCCAGGTTCTGGAGAAGCCTGTGCCCAAAGAGGGGAAGGTATTTGCCCAAGATCACAAAGCTACGGTGGATTTTGTATGTATTGATTGTAGTGCTTTCCAAATGCTCCATTTACTCTGGGATTAAATGAGATATTCCTTGAAAAGCAAATGCTTGACCATAGTAAGCTCTCAATAAAGCTATCTGCTATTGTTGCCATCATTACTTTACATTAGCCTGAGCTACACAAAATTGCCATTTCTGTAGGTCAGCAGTGGTTGAATATTGGCAATTTCATACAGTTCAATGCAATATTTTTCCCCCTCAAAATTGGCGTACTTTGTTTATTAAATGAATATATTTTAAAAGGAACTTTTCATCCGTGTTGTATTAATTGCACTGGTCATAGTAGACGGTAACATGCCCCTACGCACAATGAAAGTAAGGTAATGCTGTTAGATTCTGCTTAGACATTCTTGCCTTCTCAAGACACTGTACTCCCCTTGTTTCAGATGGAGATTAGCAAGAATTCAAGAGGGGCTGAAAGCATTCAGGCCCCACTTTTTCCTTCATGGATCTGAAGAGTTAACAAGACTCTTAAAAATGGAGTTAAGAGGCCGGGTGCGGCGGCTCAAGCCTGTAATCCCAGCACTTTGGGAGGCCGACACAGGTGGATCATGAGGTCAGGAGATCGAGACCATCCTGGCTAACATGGTGAAACCCCGTCTCTACTAAAAATACAAAAAAATTAGCCAGGCGTGGTGGCACGTGCCTGTAGTCCCAGCTACTTGGGAGGCTGAGGCAGGAGAATTGCTTGAACTTGGGAGGTGGAGGTTGCAGTGAGCCGAGATCGCGCCACTGCACTCCAGCCTGTGCAATAGAGTGAGACTCTGTCTCAAAAAATAAAAACAAAACAAAACAGAACAAAACAAAAAACGGAGTTAAGAAACTGTGAAGGCATAACACTCCATCAGGCAGTCAGTGTCACCCCTGGGACCCCCTGAAACTCCTGGAATCTGCCTTGCTGAGGGAACCCCTGATTGGTAGGAGATGCTCTGGAAGGTCGCCTTGAAACGTGGCCGGTACTAAGGCAGCCGAAACAAGGCCTCCCGTGAGCCTGAGCTGAGGCCTGCCCATCTCTGGCCCCAGGCCCACAGCGGAGGGAGGGACCTTCTCTTTGCAGGGTCCAGGGCTGGAAGGAACTGTAAACAGTATCCCATTCAATATTGCGGCTTCCCAGGGATGGACAGCAAGACTCAGAGGAAGAAGGACCTGCCCAGGGTCACACAGCAAATCAGGGTGGTGGGTAGGGACCTCCCAGAACCCAGCCCTCTGAACACTAACCCCTACTCCTTCTGCCCTACTCTAACACCTCCCTCCAAGACCCCTCACTTCTGCTGCCACCACCTGCTCCCCGCCAGGCAGGAGCAGAGGTGCTGGGGGCTTCCTAGGGGATGACTCCCTAGACTGTAACTGTTCTTTTGTTTGTTTGTTTGTTTGTTTTTTGAGACAGCGTCTTGCTCTGTTTCTTAGGCTGGAGTGCAGCGTCATGATTGTAGCTCACTGCCGCCTCCATCTGTGCTCAAGCGATCCTCCTGCTTCAGCCTCCTAAGGAGTTAGGACTGTAGGCATGCACCACCATGCCTGGCTATTTTTTTCATTTTTAAATTTTTCATAGAGATGGAATCCTGTTATGCTGTCCAGGCTTGTAATCGTTCTTGATGAGCCAGTCTTCTTCCCCTCAAGAGGAAAAATGGGGGGTCTCACTCATCTCTATGCCTAGCATAGTGGCTGATGCTGAAAAAACATGTGCTGGACAAAACATCAAAGACCGACCAAGCACCATGAGGTAAGTGCCATTAGCCCATTTTAAAGAAAGAAAAGTTGAGGCCCAAAGAGGTTACATAGCTCACCCAAGGTCACACAGCTGCTAACCAGCGCAGTCAGGCTTAGAACCCGGCTTGGTCCAACACCAAACCCATACTTTTCCCAGCTGATGGTGCTGTCTGACCTCCTTGCATGCCTGCAACGTAGACAGGTCAAAGAGTAGTCCCAATAGCAGACGAGGAACCAAAGCCCTGAGTGGGGACATGCTCTTCCAAGGACACAGAGGTGAGGACCTGAGGCCTAGCCCTAGTGCTCAGCCCTGGGCCCCCAACCAAAGCCTCCTGTCCCCAGCCCCACCCAGGCTAGGTCTCCTGCTAGGTGCACTCTACTGTTCCACCAGCTCCTAGGGGTGTGATGTCACTGCCCCATCCAGCTCCTCTTGCCTGGCCTCTGCTGGAGCCTCCTTCCTGGCCTCTCTGCCCTGACCCAGGCCAGGCATTCTCATCTCCATGCACTGAGCCTTGTGGAAATCAGACCAAGTTCCTCCTGGATGGAACCCCTCCGCTGGCTTGCCTCTCTCCTAAGGACCAACTCATCTGAAGTCCCTGCCGTGGCCCTGCAGGCCATGTGCCATCTAGCCCCACATCCTCCTCATCTCATCTCTTTCTCCAACCCAGACACTCCTGAAGATACCAGACATATTCCACCCATCCTGAGGACTTCGTGTTGGCTGTCCCCTCGACCTGGAAGTCTGCACAGCATTTCATGATGGGGCCACTTCTTATTCATTGATTGCCTGTCTCCACTGCAATATGAGCCCCAGGGAACATCACCCCGGCCTTTGCTGAGGCTGCACCCCCTGCCCCCACCCATCCATGGCCTGCCACGTGGTCACCCTCATTCCACAGTGCAGATCCTCGGCCTCAGCCTGGCACAAGGCTGGGTCCCAGAATCAGCTGCGCCCTTGTCACCCCACCTGGGGCCCCACACACAGGACAAATGACAGGCGTGTCTCCTCGGGTGCTGGGGACCAGCCCTGGAGTGTCCCCCATTGTTCCCAGAAATTAGCAGCGGTTGCCGCATTCAGGGGAAGCACTCCACCCCACGGGCTATGGCACTTGGGGGAGAAGAGAAAAAAGACAAGCAAGATCACCAGGCGGGCCAATGCCGGTGCCTTTTCCCTGCCTGCGATGCACACTTCATTTAATTTTTATAGTGGAGGGAGATGTGGGGTCTTTTGAGCATCGATATCCTCGTGGGCAAGTCTAAGTGTCAGACAATAAGCGGAGGAGCGGCGCTCGGAGCGCGTTGGCCCCGCTGTCAGTCTTGCCCAGATTAACAACTTCATCTGAGCCTTTGTTGATATTGACACTCGGTTGCTAGGTAACATGTTTACCGCTCAATGAATAGGACTTGAGGGCCAGTGGGGGCACAGTCAACAGATTGGCAAATAAGGCAAACGTGCCATGACTTGATGTGCCCATCGTGGTGCCCAAGGGTGCAGAGGATGCTGATCTGCACTGACCCCCGATAGGGCGAGTGGCTGTGGCCTCATGCCCAGGTGGGGAAAGTCCAGGAAAGCAGCGCTGTTTACACCCAGGGCCCAATCTCGTGATGACATAGATGCCCCTGGCCTCTTGACAAGGGTGCTTCTCTCCAGCAACGCTGTGACACGGTGTCCCTGCAACTCTGCTGCCCTGGAGAGGCCCTGCCCGCCTATTGCACCCTCAGCACCTTTGGCAGCTCCTGCCCCCTACTTTATCCCTATCCACAAGGGGTGTGCTGTCCTGAAAGGAACCCACGGCTGGGAGTCAGAAGACTTTGTCACTTCCCTTGGCTGGGAGGCCGTGCATGTGTGACTCAGGCCTTGTGTTGCAGGGCCTGTATGCTGCGAACGTATCCCCTGCCCTGCCTACCTCATCAGGGCATTCAAAGGAAAGGGAGGGCCCACCGTTTATTGAATGCCAGCCCTGCGCCAGGCCCTGTGCTGGGCCTGCTAGTCATTCCCTTTAGGCCTTGCAGCCACCCTGTGAGGTGGGCTGCTGACTGTGAACTCCTTTCTGATGAGTTCCTGTTAAGTGATCAGCCTTGAGGAGTAGTCGGTCTGCAGACTCCAGAACCCTCATTCCACTGTCCCACACAAAGACTTGCTCCTCTGTTCCCCACCTTAAGCTACCTGTTGACTCAAGGGCTGTGTGGAAAGGGGTCAGTCGGTCTGGCGAGCAGACGGCAAGGCCACCACAGGGCTCAGCAATGGGCATTTTGCTGAGCATGTTAGAGAAGCAAGGCTCTGTAAGAAAATCACACGATGTACCCAGGTAACAAACCTGCACGTGAACCCCCCAAATCTAAAATGAAAGTTGAAATTATTTTCAAAATAAAAAATCCCAAAACAAGACCAAAAGAAAATGGTTGGTCAAAACTCAACAAAGAGAAATGAGAATAATCAGACTCTGCACACAGCAGTCAAGACTGCAGGGCACAGAGGGCGCTTCCATGTGGGAATAGGAGGGGGACAAAGAAGCTGAGGAATGACCAGGAGGACAAGGAGGAGGGGAACCTGGACCTGCATGGAGCCTGGGGGCTGCAGCTCCACCATGCCCACCTGCACAAGAAGAAGCGGACACGAATATGCCAGGCTCCGTGTCTGGCGGCAACTCTGCATCCTCCACAGTCAGGCTTGCCCAAGCCACACCTGCGCTCTCCAGTTCTCACCTGAGTGGAGGCCCAGACAGCCTCCACATAGAGCCCTGATGGAGGGTCTATCATTCATTCATTCACTCCACACATATTTGGACCTTCTGTCTGCCAGGCTCTGCAACTGTTGCAGCTGTCGCTATGAAGGACACAAGCCAGGTCCCCACTTTCACGGAGACTTCGATGTGGCAGAGAAGGTGGACATGAGACACCTGATAATTACATACCGACATATCTCATGACAATTGCGCTATGTGCTGTGGGGAAGCTGTGCATTAAGGTGGAGGAGCTCACCTCACCCAGGGGCCACAGGCAGCTCCCTGGAGAAGCCGCGATGAAGCTGAGACAGGAAGGAGGAGCTGCAGGTGTCCAGCTGACTAGGGAGGGCGGGGACGTCCCTAGGGTGAGAAAGACACTGAAATGTTGGAGGAACTGGGAAAAGCCCAGTGTGATTGGAGCCAAAATTCAAGGTGGGAAAAGAAGTGGAGAAAGAGTCAGGGGCTGGATTCTTCAGGCCTTGCCGGCCATAGTGAGCACTTGGATTTTGTTCTAATAGCAAAATAGTGATGGGGAGCCATGAGGGGCATTAGCAGGAGGAGGATACACTGGGATTCCAGGTGCTTTTATAGGCTCTAAACGAATGAGGTCCACGGCAGCCAGGATGCAGTACCAGGGTGGGCTGACCAGGTGGGATGCCCCTGTCCACAGGACCTACTTTTGGGAGCTACTCTAGGACAGGGAGCCCCAGCCTTGGTTAGGTCTCTGTTTATTCCTACTGTCTGGCTGGAAACCTGCAACACAGAAAAGCTTAGTACATGATTGCTAGGTTGTAGGGAACAATTTGAGAGACCCCCACGCTTTAAATATACTGTGTAACTATGAGGTATCCAGCCATATTGCCCCCAGTCCCCACCCCAGCTTTATTGATCCGTGCCCCTGGCCTCTGTCAAAGCCTGCTAGAC
Source organism: Homo sapiens (assembly GCF_000001405.40). NCBI lineage: Eukaryota > Metazoa > Chordata > Mammalia > Primates > Hominidae > Homo > Homo sapiens. Next base: position 120,506,160 of record NC_000002.12, read on the forward strand.
GCCTATGCCTAGGGCCCTTCCCTGATACCCCTGACTGCTTCAGTCCTTGAGCTGCACCACCACCCCTCAGCCTTCCCGCAGGCTCCCAGGGCAGCAGGCTCCCTGTGATTGACATTTACATATAATGGATGATGTACCCTAGAAGGCCAGCAGTTTTTCTTGCATCTTTTTTGCACCAAATACTTTCTAAATACACAATTTCCTGACTTAAAGATAACTGAACTATATCTATTCACCCACACATCATCTTCACATCAATACTTAAACTGTCTTAAAGACATCATAACAGAGAGGCAGGAGGGCTGCTTGCAACAGAGATGAATAAACCCCTTACTGTGGCAGGGTCCCTATGGTGGTCCCACATATGTATGGGACATGCGCCACCGCTCCATTCCCCACCCTTGGCAGGCATTGCTCTTTCCTGCTGCGTCTGGTTCAATGTCATGACCCTTGACACTTCACTGGAGGCAGCCACAACTAACGAGTTGGTATTGATGCTTGAGACTAAACGTCTCGCCTTCAAGCTGCTGTGCTGGAGTTTCTCTCAGCCATCTCCCACTCTCTAATGATCATCCCCGTGTCCTCCTGCCGTAGGTGGGTCTGGTTGCTGCCCCCTTCTTCCTATTTTCTTCCACAACTCCTTGCGCCTCTGTTCCTCCTTCTACTACTTCTTTCCACCTCTCTCAATCTTGGCTTCTAGAAGCAGCAACAAGCCCAGAGAGGTGCTGGATCACCCGTGTCTCCTTTAGCCGTCAGAGTTTGGACCTTCAGGCAGAAACGGCTTCTCCTGGGAGGACGTTCAGCAGCTGAGAGCTAGATGAAAGGCTCAGGTTTTTGGTTTGCTGTTTGGGTAATTTACTCCCTAGAAACTTCTTTAGTGCTTTTATGTGTTCCTCCTCCTCTGCAACCTTTTTCAAGGGAGGAAAAAAGAAGGGAACGTGCAGCTATTGAGAATCATATTTTCATATGTCATTTATTCCTTAAGACAACTTTTTCAGATGCGGCTTCTTCCCCCGTTTTACAGATAACAGAGCTGAGGCTCAGACAGATTGAGTGACATTACTGAAGGTGGCTTCGCTTGTGCCTTGCCTGGAAAGGCAGTCCCAGCCCACTGTGTACTGCCTGCCATGGTTCCAGCCTTCACTGCTTCTCTCGACCAGCTTCATCCTGTCATTGTGTCAGGTTCCCATTGCTGCCATGGGTGTCACAGGGCTTTCCAAAAAGCAAAGGTTCTTCATTTTGGTGAAATCCAATTTATCATGTTTTTCTTTTATGGGTGTGCTTATGTGTCATAGTAAGAGATCTTTGCATAACCCCTGGTCACAAAGATTTTCTCTTATGCTTTCCTCTAGATGTTTTGTGGGTTTAGGTTTTATATTTAGGTCTATGATCCATTTGAGTTAATTTTTGGACAAGGTTTGAATAGCGGTCCAGATTTATTTCTTTGGACCTCCAATTGTCCAAACACCATTTGTTGAAAAAATGACCTTCATCGAATTGCCTCTATCTTTGTGGAAAATCAATTGACCATACGTGCGTCCTACTATTTCCGAACTATCTGTTCTTTCCCATTAGTCTATGTGTCTATCCATCTGCCAATCTCACACTATCTTGATTATTGTCTCTTTATAATGAGCCTGGAAGTCAGGGAATATGAATCCTTTAATTTTGTTCCTTTTTGAACTTGTTTTAGCTCTTCCAATGCCCTTGGGTTTTCATAAAAATTTTAGAACTACCATGCCAATTTCTAGCTTTTAAAAACCTTGCTAAAACTGGTTGGGTTTGTGTTGACTCTATTGATCAACTGGAGGAAAACTGACCTCTTAAGGCCTTGGAGATTTTTGTTTGTTTGTTTTGTTTTTGAGACAGAGTCTTGCTCTGTTGCCCAGGCTGGAGTGCAGCAGCATGATCTCGGCTCACTGCAGCCTCTACCTCCCAGGTTCAAGCTATTCTCATGCCTCAGCCTCCTGAGTAGCTGGGATTACAGGCACGCACCACCACGCCCAGCTAATTTTTGTATTTTTAGTAGAGTTGGGGTTTTGCCATGTTGGCCAGGCTGGTCTCGAACTTCTGACCTCAGGTGATCCACACACCTTGGCCTCCCAAAGTGCTGGGATTACAGGCTGGCCTTGGAGATTTTAATCAACATTTTATTCCTGGCTCTTGTCCCCAAGCCACAGTCCTTAAAAGGCTCAATTGAAAAAGACAAGTAAGTCAAGCTATAGTGGAGAAGGCTGGGAAGAAAGGTTAACGCTGGCAAGTCTGCTGTGTATACAGATACCAAAACAGAAATCTTGTTAACATTCGACAATCCTGGTGTCAAAAATCCCACAGCCAAGCCCACTTTGGGGGAAGCTCCGAAGACTCTGGTTAAATGCCAATGCTGAGGGGAAAGGGTCACCCAGGGCATTCTTTATTGGCCTTTAGTAACTCAGCTGATGCCATGCCTCAAAGGGCTCAAAGGAGAGCAGATGTTGGTGGGGGCGGGAGCATGGGCCTTGGAGTCCTGCAGGGCCTGGCTCAGACCCCAGTTCTGTCTCTGCCAACTGTGTGACCCCGGGCAAGCCACTTAATCTCTCTGAGCCTCGATTTCCTCTGCTATACCCCGAGCTGCAAGGCTGTTTTCAGGAATAGATATATAGTGCATTTAACACAAAGTAAGGTCATCATAAGCAGGAAGTATTTTATTATTATCATTATTATTATTGGCCTGGGACCCAGACAGCATAAGGAGCGAAGGAGCTTGGGGTGGACGGGCCTTGGCTGGCCCTGCAGGTGGGGTGTGGAGGCCACAAAGCAGCAGAAGGAACCTGGTGAGTCACTCTTCCTTGGGCGTAGCTTTTACTTGCTTTTTTCAAGGGCATTTGAAGAGGTGAGAGGAAGGGATGAAGAGAGTGCAGGGGGCTTACAGGATGGGGATGCTGGCTTTGACCTCCTGGGCCTTCCTTCAGTACACATCCACTGAGCATCTACAACACAGCATGTCCTGAAGCTACTCACTGTGTCCAATGATGCTGAGAGGCAGGCCCTGGCCTGTGGGGTCCCCATGACCTGGGTGAGCAGTGTGCTGATGGAATGGGCCACCACACTGCAGGACCAGAGAAGAGGGACTCAGGCTGTGCCCTCTGAGACAGCTTAGAGCAGACCTTACACAGAGGGGAGGCTTGGCTGCAGTCATGAAGGGTGATCAGTTCACCCAGGAGACAAGCCGCAGAGGGCCCTCCAGATGGCAGGAGTGGCATGGGCAGGGCTTGGGATCCTGCGTAAGTGTGGAGGCTGGAGTGCATGCCTTGGGGATGCCGGAGCCTAGCTGTGCTCGGTGAGAGGGAGGCTGCAGGGAAGGAGGATCGGGATGCCGGTGGAGCTGCTTGATCCTCTGAAGACAGGAGGCCATTGAGGGCGCTTCCACGGGGATTGGTGAGACCAGATCCAAGTACCAAAAGCATCATTCTGGGGACCAGGACTGGAAGGGGAGGCTGGATAAACAGCTCAGGGGAGGAACAGAAGGGCCAGAAGATAGATGGATGCGTAGTTTCCCCGCCCAGCAATGTCGCCACCTGGCTGTGCGCTGCACCCTCAGTTTCCCCATCTGTGAAGGGGGGATTGCCCTGAGGGATCTTAGTAGCCCCTCCCGCTCCGAGATGCTGCAGCACTCCTCTCTGGGCCCCCACACAGCTTTGCCTCTCAGGCCAGCCCTTGGAAACGATGCTGGGTGAGGCTTGGAGGGTTTCAGGAGGAAGGGTTTCTGCGTGACCCTGCCACCCCCTGGCATGGCTGCAATGGCTACAACTGAGGGGCCGTAGAATCTGGCTTCTGTGAGTTATCCCATTAATATTCCCTCCAGGAAGCTTTGCCAGACAGGGAGGAGGCAGGGGGCAGATGGGGCACTGAGAGGCCAAGTAATCTGCTTAAGGTCACCCAGCAAAGCAGCAGCAAGCTGGACCGGGCCCCAGGCCTCCAGATGTCCAGTCTGATGCCCTGCCCACTGGACCATGAGGCCTTTAATGAGGCCACCTCCATGGGGGCTGTGGGCTGGCCCACCGCCCAGGGCCGATGACTTGCCAGGCATCCCAATCAGCCACTCCGGAGAGGCCCTGCCCTTGGCGGCCATGCACAGAGGCTGGGTGTGAGCATGCCAGCTGAGACTGGAGGCTCTGCAAGGTAGCCCCTAGGTCTGAGCATGCCCAACCCTCCATCCAGGACCCCTGAGGAACAGGGTTCTACATCCAGAAAGAGGCCAGCCACGTCTCAGGGGCTGGGGTGCTGCAGGCATCATCACTCACAGGTCCTCCAAGCTGGGCCTCGGCACCTGGGCCAGGGTCCTGGGGGGATGACCCCAGCCCGCTTGAGCTGCTGAATTTGCAGTGCGTGTTGCTGGCATCCATGGCCAGCACTGTCTGCCTCTATACTCCATTCCGGAGCCCAGAGCCAGGGCTGCATGGTGACCCCTGCACCCAGCCCTTCATGGACAGAAGACAACACAGAGTGTCAGAGGGGGCAGGACTGGGCCTGGGTCACATGGGGAGATGGTGAAAAAGGCAGGGCTCAAATAGGGTCTCCTGGCTTCCAGGCCAGCTTCCTGCATTGCCCTATAAAGTCTCAGCTTTGTCTTCATCCTAATAACACCTGGAAAAGCCACCTCCGCTGAGCCATAACCAGGACCCATGGGCACTGGCTGAGCTTCTGGGGGCTCCCTGTTTCTCTCTGGGCCTTGTTCTCAGGGTGAAAGCAGACCGCCCGGGACTTCTGATCCTGCAGCCCAGGGCAAAAGCACACAGGGCAGACCAGAGCAGAGGGGCTGCAGCCTCACCCTGGTGCTACTGGTGGGATATGGAGAGTAAACAGGGGAGGCTGCCCAGGCCGCACAGCACTGTCAGGGGCCTAGGTTTGAATCCGAGCTCTGCCACCTCTTCAGCTCTCATACTCTTGGGTTGCATTTGCATTTGGGAATTGGACAGTGACACACGACAGAAGGGCCTAGGAGACCCCTTTCTCCAAAGTTGAGTCTCCTTGGGACAGCCTGGGGGGCGGGTCCAGGTGCCGGGGCTCCAGGGCAGCCAGGAGCATGGCAGACCTCATGGCCGGGAGGTGGCTCTCTCTGCCTGCCTCCCGCCCCAGCATAGCTGGCAGCCGGACCCAGCAAGGGCTGGGGGTGCCATTTCTTTCCCAGGGCTTAACCTCCCCCTCCTCTTCCCTTTTCTCTCTTTGGTTTCAAGACCCCCCCCCCACCCCCCCAACACACACACCTCAAAGAGACTCAATTCATTTAATCCCCTCCCCCACCCTATCCCGGGCCCTTCCAAGAATGCTCCCGGCCTGCCCCCCATTTCCCCTTGCCCCAGCCGTTTAGGGGGTGGACAGGAGCGAGTCACTGAAAGAGGGCAAGGGAGGGGTAAAGTAAAAAAGCACATGCCCAACCACAACAACAAAACCCCCCAGCACCCCACATTATGCTCCACAAAGCTGGAAATACACAACAAGCCGGCATCTGTGTGGAATAATAAAAGCGGGTGTGGACGTGTCGTTCTCACAGGGCATTTGGCTGAGCCCGGGCAACGCGAAAGCATGCATAGTTAACGCTCCTGACTGTGTGAAACCCTTTGTCGCGGCACCGGCTCCGCGAGGGACCCAGGGCCCGGGGCTTGGCAAGGGCCCGAGACATTTCTTGGAATGGTTTCGTGTTCATCACTGACACTCGTAATGAGAAATTTATACACCATCCTAAGCGGATAAATTAATTTCAAACACTTTAGACTTTGGAAGACAATGGTTCCTGGCAGGACCCTTTATCACCCATTTTATTAAAAAAAAAAAAAAGAAAGAAAGAAAGGGAAGAGAAAAAACCCTCAGGACGTTGCAAACAAAACCCCTATGCCCGGCTCTGGAGCTCGCTGTCCAGGGCTGGGGAGGACCCGCTCGGTCCCCATGTGGGCTGGGGGCCTGTGGGTCACTTTGAAACTTCATTAAAGGGTGTGCAGCTCCCCAGGCTGTCCCCTCTCCCCTGGGGAGCACAGCTTCCGCTCACCCCTGGCTCCGTTTGAAGTTGGCATTCTGGCCAAGGAGTTGGGTTTCTCAGGCTGCGTTTGTGAAAGGTAATTAAATTGTGATAATGTTTCCATTCAGACCCCAGCTTGGGTGAAGCGTGGGGACTCGTCAGATAGACATGTTCTCGCAGTCCACTAAACACGCAGGCCAGCCTGGCAGGAGCCCCTGCCAGGGCCTGGGGGTGGGGTGTCCTGAGCTTCCCACCCAGCCAGGGACCAGCCTGCTCGAGCCATGTGGAAATGAGGGTCGTCAGGAGGAGCAGGCAGCAATGCAGGGTCTCTGCCTAGAGTCCCCTCTGGGTGGCACTGCTTGATGCACCTGCCGGTGACCCGGCCAGTCACTGTGGGTGTCAGAGGGAGGAGGAAGGGTGCTGGTCTCTGCGTGGGCATGAACTGGGTTCTGTCTCAGGCCCCAGACCCCTCAGCTTCCTCCCTCTGCTGGTCAGAAGGGTGTGCGGAGCTCCTTGAGTCTGCACCCCACCTGCCCGAGCTTCCCTCCTGCAAACCTCTCCTCCTGGCAAGCCCCTAGCTCTACTCTGACCCTAGCTTCCCCGTGTGCCACCCACCCTTCACTTCCACACCTACCCCTTCAAAGGCCCCCAGTCACCTCTGTTCAGCAGCTCTCAACCTTTGCCAAGTTGGAGCACACATAGAAAATTAGTGACTTGGCCAAGCACAGTGGCTCATCCCTGTAATCTCAGCACTTTGGGAGGCCAAGGAGGGGCGGATCACTTGAGGTCAGGAGTTCCAGACCAACTTGGCCAATATGACGAAACTCCATCTCCATTAAAACACACACACACACACACACACACACACACACACACACACACACACACACACACAAGCCAGGTGTGGTGGTACGCACCTGTAATCCCAGCTACTCGGAATGCTGAGGCAGGAGAATCACTTGAACCCAGGAGGCGGAGGTTGCAGTGAGCCTATCGTGCCACTGCACTCCAGCCTGGGTGACAGAGTGAGACTCCGTCTCAAAAAAAAAAAAAATTAGTGACTTATTCAGTGCTTTGGAGTCAAGAGGAAACATTAAGGGTGCTACAGGGGAAAATTATATTTTCTCTACTTTATAAAGTGATGCTAAGAAAATGAAAGTAAAATGTAAAAGGGAGAATAACATATAACACATTTATATAAGCTTCCAAAACAATTTTTAAAAAACTATTAAATGAGAAGCAGCTTCTTCCATGAACAAAACTTGCTTTTGTATAAGGCTTAATGCTTAAGGTGGCCTCATGGGATTCCAGAGCAAGAGGTTTCTTATTTGTTCTTTATTTTTTTAAATTTTGAAATAATTACGGATTCACAAAAAGTGGCACAAACAGTACAGAGAGGTCTTATCCACCCATTACCTAGCCTCCACCCGTGGTGATAGCTTACATCACCACAGTGCATTTCCAAAACCAGGAAACTGATCAAGAGTTTTTAATGGCAAGGCCTTCAAACTCTTGATCATGCCCTTGAATGAGAAATGTAAATTCACACAAGCAGGTGATACAAATTTAAAACCAACTTATAACCGTTGAAGCTAGATTTAAAAAGCCTAACAACTGCCCTTCCTTTTCTCTCCTTGACAAATGTGACATGGAACTGTCTGGCTGTACAAGCGGTTGTCCTGTTCTGCTGGATTTTTTTTTTTTTTTTTTTTTTTTTTTTGTGAGAAGTGTTTTTCAATGATGATGAAGCAGCTCTGGTTTTCACAGTTGGCTCAGTGGCTCGCCCCTGGCGCAGGCACGGCTGAGGGGGCCCACGGCCTACTTGACTGCAGTGGGGCCTTGGGGATGGCCCAGGTCTGTGCGCCTGGGAGCTCCTGCTCAACTTCTACCCCTGTACCCCCACCCCTAACCCTTTTCCTGCCTGGCCACCCTGCATCTCCAGCTGCGACGTTATGAACCCTTCAGCCATGCTGTTAGCCAGCTCCTACTGTTTGACATCTTTGCTTCATCAGCATCTCCTCCAGGAAGCCCTCTTGGATTTGTCCCATTTTTTCCCTCATGCTGTGGTGACCTCTGTCATCACCAGATCATACTACATGGTTCTTTTTGTTAATTGGTCTGTCTGCCACAGAAGTGTGGCATCCTGAAGGCAGGGCCGGGCCTGATTCTTCTTGGTGCTCCCTGCACCCTACTCACGGCCTGGCACACAGTAGGTACTTGGCGTTTGTTAGATGCAGAGCCAAGGGCTCACTGTGATCACTCATTCTCTCCCTGAACACTGCCTATGACAGAGTGCTCCCTGCTTTGCAAACCCCTTCAATGTGCACAATTGTTAGAAGATTCTTCCTGTAATGGCTTGAAGTATCCTAGTCCCAGCTCTGCCCTCTGGAGTATTTTCCCAGGCAGCCGTGATTCCTCAAACAAGCTCAGCTGAGCCCCCGTGCTCCTAACACCAAGTCCTCTGGAACCCAGCGCTCTTCTCTAGGCTGCTCAGGATGGAGTGGCCCCCATGCGGGAAGGGGAGGAGCAGTCGTGAGCCTAGTGCCTGGGCCATCACCTGCTTCAAGCATCCCTCCTTCTCCAGGGTCAACAAAGTCCTGCACTTGAGGAGCCCTCATCTAGCAGGGGACAAGTGGAACAAGTAAATGCACAGAAAAGCAGAGCGTGGCATGGCCGGCCTGCTGCCTATCGCTGTCTGTTCCCCTCAGTGTGCAGTTGCCTCTATTCCTGAGGCCTTTTCCTTGAAGGCTTCTGCTGAGCCAGCTGCCCCCTCCCTGGCTGCCCTCGTCCCTAGCACCCCTCCTCTGCAGATCCTTCTCCCCAGCTCTCCCTCCTCCCCCATTCCCCCTCTTCTTTCACTCTCCCTTTTCCCTCACTCACCCTCCTCCCCAGTTCATTCCTCCTTAGCTCATAGTCCTCCCTGGCACCACCTTCTTCCCAGGTCCCCGCTTTCCAAATTTCCTTCCTCCTCTCCAATTCCCCTTCTGCCCCACCTTCTCCTCCTCTCCAGCTCACCCTCCTTCTCAGTTCTCCCCACCTGCTCCCTCTTCTCCTTGGCTTTTCCTCATCTCCACTCTCCCTCCTCCCTGACTCTCCCTCCTCCCTGACTCTCCCTCCTCCCTGATTCTCCCTCCACCTGGACTCTCCCTCCTCCTGGACTCTCCTTCCTCCCTGACTCTCCCTGACTCTCTCTCCTCCCTGACTCTCCCTTCTCCTGGACTCTCCCTCCTTTCTGACTCTCCCTCCCCTCTGACTCTCCTTCCTCTCTGACTCTCCCTCCTCTCTGACTCTCCTTCCTCTCTGACTCTCCCTCCTCCTGGACTCTCCCTCCTCCCTGGCTCTCCCTGACTCTCTCCTCCCTGACTCTCCTTTCTCCTGGACTCTCCCTCCTCCCTGACTCTCTCTCCTCCCTGACTCTCCCTCCTGCCTGATTCTCCCTCCTCCCTGATTCTCCCTCCACCTGGACTCTCCCTCCTCCCTGACTCTCCCTCCTCCTGGACTCTCCCTCCTCCCTGACTCTCCCTGACTCTCTCTCCTCCCTGACTCTCCCTTCTCCTGGACTCTCCCTCTTTTCTGACTCTCCCTCCCCTCTGACTCTCCTTCCTCTCTGACTCTCCCTCCTCTCTGACTCTTCTTCCTCTCTGACTCTCCCTCCTCCTGGACTCTCCCTCCTCCCTGGCTCTCCCTGACTCTCTCCTCCCTGACTCTCCTTTCTCCTGGACTCTCCCTCCTCTCTGACTCTCCCTCTTCCTGGACTCTCCCTCCTCCCTGACTCTCCTGATCTGCCCTGAATCTCCCTCTGGTCAGTGTCCTCCCAACCCTGTTGTTGGGCCCTGCACTGCCGAGGCTCAAAATGTAAATGATCACCTTGTATTAGGAATGATGTGACTTTGACACTCAAAGTCTCTGTGCCTCAGTTTTCCTTATCTACAAAGTTAGAATAATGACAGCACTTGCGTAATAGGATTGTTGTAAGGATTAGACTAGGGAATATATGCAAAGAGTTTAGAACAATGCCTGACACTCAATACATGTCTTAGCTATATTAGCATTTTCCAAAATTGCCTAATTCATTTTCTTATGTATTTTGTAATTGTTTGCTTCCCCCAGAACCTTACTTTCCCTGGCCTGGAAGGGCAAGATCCCCCTTGGGTACCCCTATTCCCACTGTATAAACAGGACCTAGAATGTGCAAGGCACATATTAGGTGTCCATTGGATATCAGTTGAATAAAGGATTGAACAAAAGCCTGAAAATGATTCCTTCCTGGCCTTCTCCAGGCTCTTGAGAGTCTCAGATGCAGCAACAGGAGCTGCTGTTTCACACACAATTCCAGGAAAAGCTCTGCTGGATTTCCATTCAAATTCTGCCTCCACTCCCTCCTAGCCACGTGGCCTTCGGCAGGTCACTTAGCCTGTCTAAGCCCCTCAAATGTAAAACAAAAATATAAAACTGCCCTAATCTCATGGAGTGGTTGTGAGGATTACGTGAAAGTAAGTTTATCAAAAGCCTGATAATTTTTGTCTTCTGCTGAGTAGTTCTTTCTGTCATCTGAACAATTGATAAGTGGATTCTCTAAGTCCTTATTGGATGCATTGATGATAATACTCTGGGGCAGGAGTAGATCACAGGAACCAAGCCTGCAGCCACTCTGCTGGACACCTCAGCCGGGCTGACTTGGGGCCAGTGGTCATTCCCGTTTGAATACAATCATTTAACCAGTTCAAAGTCCAATGACCTGTTCTAATGTCCCCTCAGCATTTCCCCACTTCCTCCACAAGCCCAGTGGAGCCTAGGAATGATCCAGGTGGATGGTATCACGGATCCAGTACCTCTAACATGAGAAATTCTTGCAAATGCTTGCTTAAAATAGATATACTTTCTGTTGGCTGCTGCCCCTGACCTCTGAAGCTCATATGTTCACCGCGAGAGGAAAAGGGGAGTTTGTTGCGGTCTATTCTCAGAAGAAACACATTCCTTCCAAATTCTTTCCAAATCCTTCTCCAAATTTTAGAAGAGAATGTAGTGGGCTTATGGGGGAAGGAGAAGAAAAGTAGTGGTTTCTTTTTCCAGCTCTCTTGGAAAGCCACATCTCATGTGAGTCTCACATGCAGTATTTATTATCCCATTTCACAGATGGGGGAAGGCAGGCTCAGGGACTCATACAAGGTCACACAATCCAGAAAGATTCTCTCCCAGCTCCATCTAGTTCCAAACCCTTTTCTCTTTCCCCAGTACCATGCTGCCTCCCACCAGCTGTAGTTACTTAAAATGTGCTTGCTTCCTGTCTGGGGGATGATCAATTTGGTTGTGTATCCAGGCTCCAGCTCTCCAGGATTCCTCCAAGGTTTTTGATGGAGGGGCTGAGTTCACATCCACAAATTCCCCTGGTATCCTGGGAGGTCATTTGTCTGGGCCAAGAAGCTGGAGCTCATTTGAGGCCACCCTGTGCTCTTCAACCCTCCCCTCCCTATCCTGTGGCTGCACTTCCCTCTTTGCGATATGGAGGCGGCACACCTGCACTGGACGACCCTTCTTTTGACTGCCACAGGGAGCCACAGCCCTCTCTGCTCTGAGTCCCCACCATGTGAAAATTACTAAGTCTTCAACATGCTGTTACTCATAGGAGCAATGGCCAGTACATGAGAAAGGCCTCATTTCAAATAAATAATGGCCACCGTTGACAATGGAAGTATAAACATGACCCAATACATGAATTGCTCATCATTGTCCCTGTTAATAGACACTCATCTTTACTGTGCACACAGGTGGTCTAAGGCTGATGCTCACAAGAGGACAACGAGTAACATTAGCTGGGAGGGGCCAGTGAGTGCTGAGGTCAGCTAAACTGCAAATCAAGGGAGAGAGGCTGGCATTCCCTCAACCCCAAACCCATATAACAGGGTGACTGGGTCAACTTAATTGGGTTGCTCAGGAGAGCAGCAATCAGGAAGTGTGGGCTATGCTCACATCCTGGGTGGGAGAATGCTTTCTCTGTTTAGTTCAAAACAGATGGGTCCTTGGGAGACAGATACACACATGCCCACTCACACACACACACATGCGAACACACACCCATGCACACACGCATGTACTCATGACACTACACATGTGTGCACATGAGAACACATGGATATGCATGTGTTTGCACACACACCTGTGTGAGGTCCACTCGGATTTTTCAAAGGACCCCATCCAGTTCTGTGTTTCCTTACACTTTATCGCCCAGTATTGATGTCTCTTATAGCCAGAAGAGGTCTCAGGAATCGACCAGTTCAACCCTCTTCTTTAGTGTTTTATTGGCAATAAAATGAGGCCATGAGAGGGGCGGCGACCCTCCCAAATGACATATGACGAGTTGAAAATGCTGAGTGGTCCCTGGGTCTCCACACCTGCAGCCCAGAGCCTCGCGTGGATGCCCTCAGGTTGCTAGTGTGTCCTGGCTCCAGGCTGCAGCCTGTCTGTGAGGGGGAAGAGAGGTCTGCAGAAGAAGGTCATGAAATGGTGAATAGTGGCAGGAGAAGTTCCTGAGAAGCTGCTGGAGGCATAGACACTGAGCTGGACAGTTTCTATCCACAGTCTTCTTTAAAACTCCAACAACCCTATGAGAGGAAAGCCACCATTAATTTACAGATGGGGAAACTGAGTCTTGCAGAAGCTAAGGCTCTTGCCCAAGGTCAGAACTGTTCAGCAGCAGAGCTTGGTGGGGATTTGGGGTGTACTCAGATCTGCTTCAATCTTTCTGCTGCACCTGGGGATGGCCCCGAGGCCAATAACATCCCTGAGGCAGAGCGGCCCCTTGGGCAGCCTTTCACCCTGCACACAGAAGTGGGTGTGAGCCCCAGCATGGTCATCTGCCTTCAGGCCCAAGCATCTTCTCTCCAAGTCCCTTCCATCTTGGCAGTGCTTCTTCCCAAGGCCAAGCCCACGCAAACCCAGCGATGGCTCTCCTTGCCTTGTTCCTGGCCATTCAAGAGCCTTCTGAAAGCCCAGCTCTCCTATCCTCAGCCAGTTGACGGTATCTACTGAGTTCAGAAGCATCCAGGCACTGTACTTCCCATGTGACTGTGGTCTCGTGGCTGTTCTGAGCTTAGTGCCCCTATCTACTAAGTGGACACAGTAATACCTACCTTGTAGGTCTTCAGGGAGAGCAAACGAGGCCACATCAGCAAGCAGGAGCTCTGCCCACAAACCCTCCTTCCCTCTCCTCCTTCATTCTCCCCAGTGGGAGCTGGAGTGGTCAGAGCCACTGACCCTGCACTGGGGTCAGAAGAGGGCCTGCCGCCTGTCAGGACCCTGCTGGGGGTTCTCAGGGCTCCCTGAGGATTGAGGCTCCCTCCTGTGCCCCCTCCTTTCCCTGTGCCTGGAGCAGCCTTTCTGACCGCCTTTGACCAGGTGTGCCCTCCTGTCCTCATGGCTCAGATCAAGTGCACCTCCTGCAGGGAGTGCCCTGAACCTGCTGAGTTAGGCCCCCTCCACAGGGCTCTCCCCGCCCCAAAAGAGTCATCCTCTTCATCGGAGCTGTCACTGTCTGGGTCCCCCTCCACTGTGAGCCCCTGGGGAACACAGGCTAGGCCTGGTGAACCCCTGGGGCTCAGGTAAGGTCTTCCAGATGAGTGCATGGAGTACTGAGGCCTGGAATAAAGTGAGTCCTGGGCACGTGTTGGCTAGAAGCCTGAATGGTGCTGGTATGCATGTGGGAACGAATGACGCTTCCAGAAAACAGGGGTGGGAAATGCCCCAAAGAAGTAAACACGCACCTCATCTTCACTCTGGTTTTACCCAGGACCATTCCATTTACCACAGCAAGGGGTAACAATAGTGGATGCCTATACTCTACTGCTTCCTACATACAGGACGCTGCACAAAGCACTTCGTACAGAACCCATGAAGTCCTCACAACGCCGTTATGACAGAGGTGGGAGAGCGTCAGCTTGGGCTGCCATAACCAGATACCACAGGCTGGGGGCTTTGACAGCAGAGGTTTACTTTCTCACGGCTCTGGAGGCTGGCAGTCCGGGATCCGGGCACTAGCATGGTGGGCTTCTGGTGAGGCCACCATCTCTAGGCTCACATGGCCTCTCCTTGGTGTGCTCAGAAAGGGAGGACAGAGCAAGCTCTCTGGTGTCTCTTCTTCTCATTCCAAGCCAGGTGTGGTGGCGTGCACCTGCAGTGCCAGCCACTCAGGAGGCTAAGGTGAGAGGGATCGCTTGAGCCCAGGAGTATGAGGCTGCAGTGAACTATGATTGTGCCACTGAACTCTAACCTGGGTGATGAAGTGAGACCCTATCTCTAAAAAAAAAAAATTTAAAATTTAAAAAGTTGTAATTCCATCATCAGGGCCTTACCCTAATAACCTCATCTAAACCCAATCATCTCCCAAAGACCCCATCTCCAAACACCATCACATTGGATGTGAAGCCTTCAACCTATGAATTAGAAGGGGACACAATTCAATCTGGAACAGTCATAAATGGTATTGGTCAGTACGGGCTGGGTTGTGCTGTGGTGACAAAAAATCTCAGTGGTTTAAGACAACAGAGATTTGTTTCTCGCGTGTGCTGCGTGAGTGGTGCAGGCTGACAGGGGGCTTGTGCTTTTCACCAACGTTTCATGGTTGCCATGGAGGTGGTGGGTGGAAGGGGGAGTGGTGAAGATGTAACAAATCACTTATATTTCATTGGCTACAAAAAAGTCACAACACCATGGGTAAGTTCAAAGTAGATTAGGAAATGAAATTAATTTTGTGACTGTTCCAAGTATGCTTAAAAGATTATGTTTCTTTAAAAAAAAAAAAAGGCAGAGAAGTGTGATCTTGCCATGTGCCCAGAGGAGAAGCAGAATATTTGTGAACAGCCCAAATATCTCATATGCAATTTTATCCCCATTTTACAGATAGATAAACTGAGTCACAGAGAAGTTAAGAAAGTTTTCCTAAGGCCACTCAGGTAGTAAGTGGTGGAGCCGGGATTGCCTCCAGGAAGCCTAGTGGCAGAGTTTGCACCCTGCCTGCCACTCTGGGTGATGCCAGCAAGGCAGCTACCAGTGCTCTCCAAGGCCCTCCAAGGCCAGGCCATTTTCCATGGGCTCAAAGAGAAGGCTCAGGAGAATGGCATATTCAGGCACCACCTACCCCATCAGTTTCTTCAATCTCATCCCCGACCCTGGAGCTGCGGCTGTCACCCAGAGCAACGTGGAAAGTGTATAGTCTATCAAACTGGATTAAACGGCATTGAAGACAAGGCCCTGACTCCACAGCTCCCCCTACAGCCAGTCAGTGGCACCGCAGCACTGAAGCACCTGGAGTGTTCCCTGACAGTCTCAAATTCGAAGGCAATCCCTTCTGTTCCCACAGGTACCCCCACAGTCCTCAGCACATGCGTTTCACTTCTTAACACAGAAAACACTGTGGTTCAAATCCATGGTCCTTTAGAACCACCATGTTCTTTTCTCCATACGCACCGGGAATGAACCCACTGGCAAATCCAAATAAACAGGAAGGGCTGGGCCCTGGCTGCTGGGGCATCTCTGCCCCCTCCACCTGCCCCTTGCAGCTTGGGGTTGCTGCCCCCAGCACACTGCTGGTCTTCTTGGTAGCTTCTTCTTAAGTATGGGTACCTCAGTGCTCAAGTCCCGCCTGGTCACCTCTCTGTTGGCATCTCCAGGACCCAAGGAGTCTCCTGATGTAAGTGACTTGAATTTCAAGCGTGCATAGAGTTAGACTGAAGAGCACTGCATAAAGAAGAGCCCCTCGTCAAGATGTAAATTGCTTCCTAGGCTCACTGCTCAACAGGGGACTGGATGGGATGCGAGTGAGGCTTCTGGCCACTTCTCTTTAAGTCTGTGCCTGGCCAATCTGGGAGCCTAGTCTGGAATGGATGGGCAGATGGACGGATGGATGGATGGCGGTGGTGTAATCCTATGCAGGTACCTACCATGCCTTTTCAGGACTATGAGCTCATCGCATCCTGGCACATGTTAGATCAGTAAATGCTTCTTGAGTGAATGAATGAGACCTCACCATTGAGGGAGGTTCTTGAAAGTTCCCCAACTCCGATCACAGCCTCCACCGAGTGCGTGACTCCTCCTGACTGAAGGGAATGTGCTGTACCCGGCGTTATTTACCGCAGCTCTGCACGTGAGGCGCAGCGGAAGCGCATGGGAGTCGCGGAGAGCGTCTTTTGGACAGCTTATCTCTTGGCAAGATTAAGCCGGCTCTCCGGCTCTCCACAGAGGGGCCCGTATTGCAGGCCTGCGGGGAGGGCTGGGCCCGCCGAGTTTGCACCTTTTTACCCGGCATCTGTCCCTGGGATCAGGAGAGCCGGGAGGCTGGATTAGATGGGTCAGCGCCCTGATTGACAGTGACACTTCCTCCCGTGCCCCCGCCTGCCCCCCGGCCTCTCCCGCTGTTCCTCTCCTGCCTCACCCGGGCCCCATCCTGTTCCCGAGAGCGGGTGATGCCTTCTAATCTCCTTACCAGGAAATTATTTTCCTGGGTGTGAAATCCCTGTCCGAGGGGGAGGGCGGCAGATCAGTGCTGCCCTGGCCTCCAGGCTGACCGCAAGGCTGTCTCCTGGAGACATCTGGCATGGCAGCGGGCACAGTCACAATGTTAGAGATGGGCAAAGCCTGGGCACTTCTACCCCCAAATGTGACCCTGACCTCTGGGGTGGGGTGTCCCCAAACTGCTCCCTCCTGTCTCCATTCAAGGGAGTTTTAGAAAAGGATCCACGTCTGCCCGTTGGTGACTGTTCCCTCCAAGAACAAGCAGCATGGGGCTGGGGCTGGGGCTGGGCAGAGCCTGGCCTTGGTGGGGGTGAGGACTGGGACCCATTCTTGGCCCTGCACCAACTACTGTGTGATTCTGGCTATATCCCAACCTCTGGGACCTCAGTTTCCCTCTGACTTAACCATAAACAGACTCTGAGGGCAGGGGTGGGCTCTTCTACACCTCACGTCCCGCAGTATCCAAGCATGTAACATTGCAGAGAAAATGGCTGGGGGAGCAGAGGAGCAGCCACCCCTTACTACATTCCCCAAAGGGGCTCAGGTCACCCCAATGGGATGTTTTGAATGAACATGTCACTCTGATCATTACTGAGATCATGAAGAAAAGCCTTAAAGGAAGCAGCCTGAACACCAGGGCCAGTCCCTGTGATTCACAGCATAAGAGATCTGTGCCTAGACCAAGAGATGAGCTGATAAGGAGGAGGAGGGATCAGCTTTTGAATGTGCTTGCTTGCGCCCCACCAGGCAAGACCCTCCACTGAATGACGGGGGCTGAGGAGGCAGCACAGGGCACCAGTGAGGCCATTTATTGGCTGTGTGACCTTGCACTATTTACTTAACTTCTCTGTGCCTCAGTTTCCTTCCTTATAAAATGGAGGTAATAACAATATCTACTCATTGAGAATTTCAGTCCATTAATATATGTAAAATTTTTAGAATGGTCCCTGGGGCAAAATAAGCAATTTGTTATGATAATACCACTATTATTATGCTTACTGTAGAGAAGCGCTTAACACACTTTTACTGTAAACCTGTTGGGAGTTTAATTGTGTCCCCGCAAAAGAGAGGTGAAAGTCCTAGACCCTGGTACATGTGATCGTGACCTTACTTGGAGATGGGATCTTTGCAGATGCAATCCAGTAACTATGAGTAGATCTTCCTGGAGTAGGGTAGGCTCTGTGCTATGTGACTGTGTCCTTGGAAGAGAAGAGACAAGAGACACACGCACAGGGAGAAGTCCATGAGACGACAGGGGCGGAGGTGGGAGTGATGTCACTATAGACCATGGAGCACCAAGGACTGGCGGCCACACCAGGAGTTAGGGAGATTCAGGGTGACTTCCACCCAGTCTCAGAGGAGGCAGGCCCTGCGGCCAGCTTCATCTTGGACTTGTGGCCTCCAGAACTGTGAGACAGACATTTGTTTGAAGCCACTCTGTTTGTGGCACTTTGTTACAGGAGCCTAGGAAACTAATATGATAACCAAACAAATGACTACAGGCTGGGAAGGAAGTCCCCAGCAAATGGTAGCTGCTCATTTAGGGCTGGCGGATCCATGCTGTGGGAGGTGGAGGATGTGAAGAAGCCAGACTCGAAGAGGGCTGAGCATCTGCTCCCTGCTCCCGGGTCTGGCTGTGGGCTCCAATGTGGCTCACAGGGACCCACGGGGCTGGCCAGCCTGTGGAAAGCACTGCTTCTGCTTTCTGATGTGCATGTCTGACCTCGAGGCCATGGGTCAGCCATCAAAGGTGAAGAGGGTGCGGGCACGGAGTCTTGCTGACAGAGTCAAGGGTCTCCAGATCAGCAACACCTCCAAGAGGATGCAGCTGCCTTTGAACCAAGCATTCTGGACAGACAGAAAACAGGCCCTGGGGCAGGGTCTCCTCCCTCCTTGAGCCTCCGTCCCCCTCGCTAAGGCCCCCCTTACAGAAGACTGTGCCCACTCTCACACCTACTTGGTCCAAACACCTTGAATCTTAGCAAGAGCCCTGGAGAAGTATTTCGGAAGCCCTGTGAGGGGGTGCTGAGACCCCGGGTTAGAAGGAGCATCCCCGTGTGCTCCCCGGGTTTGGAGTGGGGCATTTACACAGTGTAACTTCCTTAACCTTCACAGCCGACTTGATAGGAGGGCACCACTATGCCTATGTTACAAATGTGGAAACTGAGGTTCACTGGATTAAGTAACTTGTCCAAAGGCACAAACTAAGCCAAGGTCAGAGTTAGGCTTTGACCCTGGTTCCCTCTGACCTCACAGCCTGAGCCCTCTACCTGCTGTTTCCCTTTTTAAGGAGAAAAATTTCCCTTCTGGCTCTTCCGATTCCATTTACTTACCTTGAAACCCCTTTCTCTTCCCAGTAGTTAGGGATGCCAGTGCCATTAATAATTCTTTGTAGGTGCAATTCTGAGTCC
Organism: Homo sapiens; assembly: GCF_000001405.40. Lineage (NCBI taxonomy): Eukaryota > Metazoa > Chordata > Mammalia > Primates > Hominidae > Homo > Homo sapiens. Next base: position 120,525,072 of record NC_000002.12, read on the forward strand.
CTTCCCAAACCAGTCAATATTTTCCCCCAGGGCCCTTGAAATGTCAGGCTCTACAGAAAGAGCAGACGCAGAAATTGGGGAAGGCAGGAAAAATCCTGGGGTGTGAATCCTACACTTGGCTCAGCCATTAACTTTTTCCAGAACCCTAGGCAGGAGACAGGAACTTCCTGTGCTTTCGATGTCCTGTGTATGAGTTACCTGTTGGAAGTGACAAACTGCCCCAAACTTGGTGACTGAAAAACAGATTTGCTCAGGACTCTTGCCAGCCCCGTTTATTCAGTCATCTGGAGGCCTTCTAGAGGTCCGCGATGGCCTCTTGCTGGCATCCAGCCAAGGCTGCCAGAGGGCAAGCCCCGGCTCATCAGCCCTCTGCTGGCCTCACCTCGGCTAATGCCAAGCAAGTCACATGGCCAAGTCCAGGGTCAACGTGGGAGGGTCACAGGGCATGTATACCAGGAAGTGGGATTGATTGGGGGCATTTATGTAACAATCTGCCGCTTCCTGTATGTCTCAAATTAAACATTCTAAAATGCAGAAAAACATTCCTAGATCAAGTCGTTTTGCTGTCATTGTCTCTGCGTGAAATAACATTCATGTAGGGCTTTACGATTGACAAAGAAACCACTTTTGACATAATGATGCTGTTTAATGTATCCACCTACCCTCTGAGAGAGAGGTCATTTTGTAAATTGGAGAAGCGAGATTTGGAAAAGTTAAAGCAACTTGTACAGGCACAGGTTAACAAGTGGGGTGGGGGCAGGACCCAGGCCAGACAGCATCTGAAGCCCATTTACCCTTCCCACGTGGACGCATCTGTCCCTCTGAGTTACTGTCGTCCCTGGACCCTGCCAGAGCAGGGCTCAGCACGGGCTGAGGCCCTCTCCCCTGGCAAAGGGGCTGCCTTAGGAAGAACCCAGAGCCATGTGTGGTTATCCAATCGTTGTGAAGTCTGGGAGAGAGGTGAGATGGGCATCTCACGTCGGAGAACCAGCTTTGCTGCCCCACCCAGGGGCCATTCCCATGGGAAGGGCACAGCTGCAGCGACTCACACACCCACTGTCTGATGAGTCTCCACGAGAAATGGCTCAGGACCTGTGGAAGGAGAGGGTCCCGGAGGTTAGGCTGGGGCCCCCGGGGAAGGCTGAAAAAGCTGCGATTCCTCAGCTGCAGCAGCCAAGTTGAATGGCCTGGTGCCCTTGTTTCCCTGCTGAGTGTGGTTCCACAGCACCGGAGCAAGCTGCGACTGTGCCGTCACCAGCCTCAGAAAGTCCCTCTCTGGACCAAGGGCTGCTTCCTACTATAGACTTGGGCTTCCGTCTCATCCAGGGTCTCATTTGGGACGCGTTGTTCCTTCTGGCAGTGACGCCATCACCTGCTTCTAGAAGGGAACCTGCCCATTCATGTGGGCGGGCAGCTGCTGAAGAGGGAAGATTCATTGTTTAGGACCATTTGCATAAGTAACGTGTGCTGCCTGCAGGAGGAAAAAGAGGCTACTCTGCGCTCCTGGGCTACTTCTCAGAGTAGATTCCAGCACATCTTCCTTTCCAGATTGACTTCAGGTCACACATACATATGAACACAGATGACACACTGGAGTGAGGCCCCAGGCACACATCTGATGTACAGGCGTCCATCTGTGGAGCGAGCCCACACAACATACAGTGACACTTTACACGGGTGTGTATATGTGTACCTTAACATGAAATCTGTATATAAGCACCACGTATGTGCATACTCTATGTAAGTGTGGTTAGACACACGCACCTGGTATTTATGTGCCATTTCTATAACTAGGCAGGTCAGCTCTGGACACGCGCACCTGTGTGCACTATGTCTGCACCCACACCCGCATAGCATGTGTTTGCATATGCTGTAGGAGCATCTGTCTATAAACACACATTGTAAGTCCTGTATGTATGTTGTGTATGTACTCATAAATATGCAGTCTGTTTACTCTAAATTCCTTATAAACGCACACAGCACACGGGCATGGGCACCTGAATGCCTGCGTGTGTGTGCACGTGGACACTGATGCGCCCATTCCTGTCTTTTGGAGTCAGTTGTTGCCTGGGCTAGCCCTGCCTCGGCCCCAGGTTCCACCTTTGTGTTTGTAAACAGTTCTGGCGCCGTCCCTCCATCACAGCTTAATAGATATTGTGCCTGAGCTCTTCTAATCCTCCCATGATTCAATCCCCTAATCACAGAGCCTGATCTCTTGGAATATCTGCTTGGAAAGGAGAGGGGATGTGGCTGGTCTCATGGCTGTTGGAAAGAAGGGACTCATTCCTCCCTTGTCCCGCCCAGATGCTGTGGGGCTCTCCAGGTGTGACTGAGCTTGGGACCAGGGCACACTGAGCCTGCCGCTGGCTCTGAGAGAGGGCTCTAAGGGCCAGGCCTGGATCTCCATGACACCTGGCACCTCCTCCAGGAAGCCCCTCACCCCGCTCTCCCTGGCACTGCTCTGACTGGACCTAGCACTCCACTGCACTGAAGTCTCTTGGGTCTCCTTGTCTGTCACCTAGCAGCTGTCTCTGATGTGCAGGCTGGGGGTGGTGGGTGGGGGTACAATGCCTCTTCTCTACTCCTCAGGTCCTGTGAGGAGGGATTCCTGCCAAGCACCCCCAGCCTCCTGCCCCAGCTCCCACCTCTTACCCCAGAGCGGGAGGAGCGCCCGGGGAACACACACTCAGCAAGCGGCTGCGCTCCTCAGAGCTGCTGGTGCCTGGGGATGAGTCCTGGGTGGGCCGTGTCCCGTTGCTGCCCCTCACCAAACCACAACCTCCACTCCAGCCTCTTCCTGTCAAAACTGGTGTTGTTATCTCCATCTGCCAGGATTTTAACCTCCCAATTAGTTCCAAAGTTGAGTTGAAACAATGTTTTTTGTTTTTGTTAATTCAGTCTACTCTAACCCCAAATTATTGAAGCCCGTTGTGTTCCAGTCACCACACATGACACAGGAGACCCCTGACAGTGAAGCAGACATAGTCCCTGTCCTCATGGAATGCAGGGTCATGTGGGGAGGAGAACAGCAGGCAAAGCAAGCCACACCCGATGTGTAATTACACTGTGGCAAGGGCTTGGAAGGAAAGGGAGAGGCTACTGAGACAGAAGAACGGTCTGGGCAAGGAAGGGTCCAGATAGAGCAGTCAATGAAGACCTCTCCTGGGAGAAACAGGACAGATGAGAGTCAGTCTTGCAAAAAACTAGAACAGGGAGTGCTGGGGTGGCGGAAAAGGCAAGTGCAAAGGCCGTGGGGTGGAGTGTGGCCGGCACGTGGTGAGGGAAGGAAGAGGGGCAAAAGCCGAGGCTGGAAAGGGAGGCAGGCTCATCCATCCATGGAAGCAAAGTGGGTTCTGTCTGAAGGGGGCTGGGAAGCCTTGGAAGGTTTTGGGGTGGGCAATGGGCAGTCACGTGATTCTTGAGTTTAAAGAGCACTCTGGCAGCCCTGAGGTCAGAGAGGAAGTGGGCTGCAGGGAGAGGATGAACTCTGTGCTTTCCATGAGCACTGCCTGGCAGCCACTGAGCTGGCCTAGACCTCCATCCTCTCAAATCAGCCCTGCAGAGTGGCGGCGCTGCTGCTGCCTGCCCCCAGCCCACAGGCGAAGGCAGTGCTAGAGAACAGGGCCAGCCGTGCTGCTATTCAGACAAGAGAAACACCACCGGCAGCAACAGGCATTTTCTCCTTCAGTCCTCACACCCTCTAGCAGGGGACACTATTTGTATCTCCATTTGTCAAACACGAAGCTGAAGCCCAGGGAAGTTAGGTGACTTACCCAAGGTCACACAGGCCTTGGAGTACCAGGCATGAACCACAGCTGGCCACCACCCACACAGCTGGAGAGATTGGGATGCCTGTCCTCGCTCTTCCCGAAGGGCTGTATTTTGTCCATGGTGAAGATGCTCTCCTTTCATGCCTCACCAAGCTTGTTCAAACATTCGTAAAAGACACAATAACTGCTATCGTGTTTGCTTATTTCAGAAAAAAACCTGGTCTTTATTCTTTGGAGGGATCGTCCAGGTCAGGGTGGAGACATGCGTGGGGAGACAGGGATGCAGTCGCCACCTCCCCCAGCAGGCTCCCTAAATGGTGCTTTTTCCATGGCTGTTAAGATGATGATGAAAAGATGAGAACAGAGTGGGTGCAATCGGTTGGGAGGCAGCAAAGCAGGAGCTGCAGGGGTGCCTCTTTAATGTGCTCACTCCCTGCCAGCTAGCGGCGGCCCAACCCCGATGGCAGCACACAGGCAAGCCATTAATGGGGACCCTATGAACCCACAATATCCCAACATCGAGTCCTGACAGCCCAGAAGGGGGGAAACGTAACTGCTGGAGATTTGATAGACTTGTTAAAAATACTTGAAGCCCACCACTTAAATGGTGAAACATGCTGGAAAATGTTCTACTTGATAACACAAAATCTCAAAGCAAGGTCATGATGGTCATCTGCTAACTGACTGAGACCACAGTGTCATGTTGTCTGTGACTCCTTTCCCAGCCTGCATGGGTACACAAGTGCGCACACACACATATCCTTCATGTGCACACACACACACATGCAAACTCACACACACCTCCATACACGTACATGCACATACATATCCTTCATGTGGACACACATGTGCACTCATACACACACACACATCTCCATACGTGTGCACACACACACACTCACACAGAGACATACTTTTTCCTTGCTTAGCTTATAATTCAGAGACATGGATTCAGAGACATCTCATCAGGCCTCCATGCAATGCAAATTTTTCTGCCCATCACACTTCTTTTTCTTCCAGTTCATCAATTCTCTTTTCGGCTGTGGCCATTTGTTTTTCATTTCAGTAACCATGCTTTTCATTTGCGGAAGTCCTATTTCATGCTTTTGCAAGTTTACCTCTTCTTTTTTTAATAGTGTCCTGTTTTTAATTAATTTTTCTTGTCCTTTTATCTGTAATGACTTGAAGTGCAATTAGTTTGCAGTCTCTTTCATGTTATTCTCGTTTCCATTCTTGGGGTGCCTGCGTGGATCTGGGGTTTGCTTCCTCATGGGGTGTGTGCCTGTTTATCTCAGCAGGGGTTGTTTTCAGAGTCCCACGTGTGGGTGGTGGAACAAGCTCTGCAGAGAGGTTTGGCTTTCCATTCTTCCAGGGCTCCAGGGGTTTCCCTGGCTCTGCACTGGGTTTCACGTTAGTTTCTTGGCTGGGGATTCCTGCCAGGCATGCCTTGAAGCTCCACTTCCCCGCACAGCATAGGCTTGGGCCTTCAAACTCTCACCAAAGACTTTTTAAATCCCACTCAGAGCCCTACGCAGAGGGAACATACTCTCTTTTCTGGGTGAGTGGGTGGCATTTTCAAGTCCCATTGTCACAGACTGGGGCTGCCTTTCAAGGGTCTTAGTATTCTGTAAGGGTCTCCTTTTTCAGTTGCCCACCTGCACAGGCCAAGGCCATAGCCTGCTCCCACTGGGCATTCAACCCCAGCTTCCAGCACCAGCAGACTCTAACTGGGCTGGAAACAGCTACGGGCATCTGAGGTGTTGGCCCGAGAATTTGTGTTATGTGTTTGTTACTGGCCCAGGGAGTTCCCTTTAAGATCAGCTCTATATTTAAAACATGAAAATTAAACCATTTTGTGCATCAAAAGACATTATCAACAAAATAGAAAGTCAGCCCATAGAATGGGAGGAAAATCTACAAATCATATACGCAGAAAAATTACAGCATTCTTAAAATCAGCAGAAAAACCAACAGCCCACTTCAAAAATGAGCAAAGGACATACACAAATATTTTTCCAAAGAAGATATATGAATGGCCAATAAGCACATGAAAAGATGCTCAACATCACAACTCATCAGGGAAATGCAAATCAAAACCACAGTGAGATGCTACATGACACCTGTTAAGCCGGTCACCACCAAAACAGAAAATAACACGGTTGGCGAAGATGTGGAGGAACTGGAACGCCTGGACTCTGTTGGTGAGAATGTAAAATGGTGCAGCAGCTGTTGCAAACAGTATGGAGGTGCCTCAGAAGATTAAAAATAAAATTACTATGTGATCCAGCAATTCTACTTCTGGGTATATACTCAAAGGAACTGAAAGCAGGGTCCTGAAGAGATATTTGCACACTCATGTTCATAGCAGCCTTATTCACAATAGCCAAAAAGTGGAAGCAACGCAGGTGCCTATCGACAGATAAATGGATAAACAAGATATGATCTATCCATAGAATGAAATACTATCCAGCCTCAAAAAGGAAGGAAATTCTGACACACACTACAACTTGGATGAACGTTGAGGACAGTATGCTAAGTGAAATGTGGCAGTTGCAATAGGACAAATACTGTATGATTCCACTTATCTGAGGCACCTAAATAGTCAAATCCATAGAAAAAAAAAATGATGGTTTCCAGAGGCTGGAGAAAGGGAGAATGAAGAGTGATTAATGGGTGCAGAGTTTCAGTTCTGCAAGATGGAAAAAGTGCTAGCATGGATAGTGGTGATGATTGCACAACAATATGAATGCACTTAATGCCAGTGAACTGCATACTTAAAAATGGCTAACATGGTAAGTGCTGTGTTATGTGTATTATACCACTGCAAAAAACTGCACAAAAGATATTCCCCCAAAGATCTGTTAGCTTGTATATAGCATTACTCTATGTTTGTGTCAGAAGAGAGGGGTCTACATTAATTCAGTCTGCCATGTTGTCAGAAGGTCAAGTTCTTGCATCCCTCCCTTCCACTCGTCCTTTTTAGTTTTTAAAGGATTTGTAAACATGAATTTAGTGATTACTTCTGTGATCTTATTTGTGGTAAGAATGATCACAAGATTGGGATGAGACTGAGCCATGTCAAGGGAATGGATGCTATAAGCCCATCAAGCAGGTGCAGAAACTTAGCCTCAGAAAGATTTTGTAATGTACCCAAGCTGCACACCTGCCAAGCATTGGAAACAAGATTCAAATTCAGGATGTTCAAGTCCATGTGCTTTCACCTATCAGATGCCTCCTGAGCAGAGCCCTGCTGCCCCTCCTGTGGGAAGCTGTGGAATAGCACGTGGAAGGTGGGCAGTTGTTGGATAAACAGTGTGGGTGGACCTCTGTTCAGGAAGACTTCCTGCAGAAAGTGAACTTGGTGAAGTCCTCAAGGGGCCAGAGGCCTTCTTCAGAGGCTCCCCCTCTCCCTTGGGTCACTCAGTCTCCCCTCCTCCTCAGCCTTCCCCCTCCACTGCCCCAAAGGGAGACACATCTCGGTCAGCTGAGTGTTGTGTTGCCTTCCCAGGAAGTCTGCCTCTGCCAGAACATTCTGTCCATCAGTTCACATGTGTGTCTGATCTTTGTGGACGCATGAGTTTGGACAGCTGTCCTGGACTGCGTGCAGCTGAGACCACTTCTTGACCTTGAATGTCTCCAAGAGGGCCAGCCTCTCCCTCAAAGACCTGCAGACCAGAAAAGCCCAGGGAAGGCCAATAGGGCAACTCATAGCTGGCTGGGCCAGAGCTCCTGGAGCCAGGCCCATGGCCACCAGAAAACAGACTAGTTTCTTGAGACCAGGAAACCAACGTGGGTAGGGAAAGGCCATCAGCTTCAATGGGGGCAGATCTGAGTTCGAATCCTGGCTTTGCTTTAACCTCTCTGTGTCTCAGTTTCTCATCTGCGAAATGGTTTATAGTGCCCGCTTTGTAGAGAGGTCTAGAGAATTACAGAATCATGTACGTGAAGTGTTAGACCAGGAAGAGAGTAGGCGTTCCATGCACAGTAGCCCGAGCCTCTCAAAGCACCCTGAGAAGTCACCGCGCTCCCAGAAGTGTGAGGGGAGCTCTGATAAGCTATTGTTGACTTCAGCTTTGGGGTGGGAGGGGGATCGATTGGAGCTGGGGAAGGACAGGAGGTGGAAAAGAGCAACCTTAAACTTGAATGGGCTCAGAGTCGCAGTAGGGCGGACCGTGTGGGAACTCTCTATGCTCTCTTCCGAACTGTAAATCTAAAACCGCTCTGACATAAAAGTGGACTTAGTGTCCATGGGTCTTGTTAAATGCAGATTCCGAGGCAGCAGGTCTGGGTGGGGCCTGAACGTTTTTTTGTGTTACTCAGCTGTTCCCAAGTCTTTGGACCTCATTCTGGGGGCAAGGGAGTAGTGCATCCACGTGAAGGGTAGGGGACTCTGACAAGAGGGAGGTGCCCTGGGTGGAGGTGCGGCTCCCCCTTCAGTGAGGTGGCATGGCCTCGTAACACTTTCAATACTGGGCTCACCTCCTGCTGCTGCTGAGGAGGAGGATGAAGATGAGGACAAGATGAAGGCCCTGTGGGGGCTGGGGAGGGGCCCTGCAGAAACCACATGTGAGTTGGTTGTCCCTCCTGCCTGGCTCCCAGCCCGCCAGCCCCTCCCCTCTGCACCCCGAGAGGAAGGCATGGTGGACACTTGACATTTGTGGGAGGCAAGAAGCCACTTCCCTGAAAGTCACCTGAAGCCTTAAATGCCCCAGCTGACCCTGGGATTTTCCAAGTCTGGATCCTTCCCCTTCATAGTGGAAGCTGGGAGCTGTCCCTGGGACCCATCTCCCCACGGGGACAGGGGCCAGGAAACGGCTGCTTCTGCCCCTGGGAGTTGAAGGTGGCACCTGAAGCCCTTGGAAGTCTGGGTTCCCATGGAGAGATCAGGGCCTGGTCCCCATCCTGAGCCCCCGGCGTGGACAGGCTGGGGCCTGGCCAGGCCAAGCAGGCACAGCCTTCCCACAGCTGCCGGGGACCGGCTGCCTCCTCCCCAGCCTTTGTTCTTCCTCAGCCCTTCTCTCCATCCACTGCATCACCACCTGCCTGAGGGGGTTTTACTCCAGTGGGCCTGCTCAGACAGCTGCCTGCCACAGGGGCCACAGCCCGGGGTGGGGAGTCAGGGTGCCTGTTCCCAACCATCCGTTTGGTCTTTCCCCTTTCCATGCCTCAGTTTCCCAGCTATGATGCAGGGGTTGGACAGGATGGTTTCCTCGTGCTTCTCCAGCTCTAACCACCTCGGGTCTGTGGCAGTGAGTTGGAGCCAGGGGGCCTCCCAGTCCCAGCTGCCTGCTCCCAGCCCTGCCTGTGCCCATACCTCTGTGTGCCCCGCCATGCTGCTCTATCCATGCTCTTCACCTGTGTCCAGGGCAGCTCTGGCCAGGCCAGGAGGTGGGGGAAGCTGAAATGCAGCCTCCCTGGCCTTGCGCCCTGGCTCAGGGCCTGTCCTCCTACAGGCTGCTTTGGACTGCTGGCACCATCTCAGCCTTGAGAGTGAGCCCCTTGGGGGCACTGACACTGGCATCCCTGCACCTCACCAGCCCAGCTCGCTGTGGGGCTAAGGGAAGGCTTGGGATGGGCAAATGACGCTGCCTCTGCCCTGGAGTTAGGATGCTCCTGCGTCTGCCCACATGGCCCTCCCAGAAGGGGTCAGCAAGTGGCTGCGGCAGGGGGTTCCAGAACTAGAGTGAGAGGGATCCCCCAGGCTTCAGGGCATCAGTCAGGGCTTATAAATGTAAAGCACAGTTAAAGCCGAGGAGCCCAAGGCCAGATCCAAGGCACAGAGGCCACCATGGTCACCACATCAAACCACTGGGCTGGGGTCAGCCGAGGGCAGCCTAGGAGCCACCAGGACCAGCAGGGCAGTGGGTCTCACCTCAGAGGCTGTCCAGACAGCTACAGGCCTGGGGCTGGGCTGGCTCAGAGGCCCAAAGGGAGAGCTGAGAAAGAAATGACACCCCCCTGGTCACCCCTCAAAAAACATCCATGAGGGCATGTCAAGGACCTTCCTCTGGGTCCTCCTTGCTTTTGGCTGCATTTTCCTTCTAATCCTCTGGGACCCCAGGGCCCCCAACCTGAGGAACAGTGACAGGTGCAAGCCCGAGGTTTGCACCCCATCGCAGTGAGGCAGCTATCAGTGCCGGGGTTCCCTGCCCCAGGCAGGCTTAAGGCAGTGCATGGGCGGTGGGCAGCAGCCTCCCTCCCCAGAACTGAGACACTACCTCAGCCATGACACCAGGACGAGCCCAGCCAGCCCCTTCCCCCAAATCTTCCTCTTGTCGCCATCCAGAGAGGCCAAGACCCCCTTCCCCTTGGAGTTGGGAGAGTATCTCTTCCCACTGGGGGTCCACCAGGACAGAGGAAAGCCTGATGCTATCTCGAGAGGGTCTGCCAGGCTGCCGACGTTAGGTACTCTGGGACAGGAGCCTCAGGCAGCCTCCCAAACTGCACTGGGCCCACCCAGAACCAACTTCCACTGGGGTCTCAGAGCCCCTGAGCAATGGGGAGTGACCAAGTTCTGAGCCAGTGGAGCCTGGTTAGAGTCAGGGGGGCCCAAAGGCCAGATGGTCCCAGAAAAGGTGACTTTTGATTTGACCCCGTAGTGTTGCCCCTGCCAGAGGAGAACTGAGGCAAAAGGACAGGGATCCCAGCATGGGGGAGCCAGCATCCGTGGGGCAATGAGCATGGGGTGCCAGAACTGCTTCCCAGTGGAGCCCTGGTCTACCCAGACAAAACCGGAAGAATATGAGCACTGGCACCCCATGGGCTGGACCCCCAAATGCGGCTCCCCACCAACTGAGTGTCTGTGGCAGGGGGGCTTTACCTCTGCATCTCAACTCATCGTCTTCACAATGGGATGGGAGCATCATTGCCTTCCGAGGGTTCTTGGGAAGGCCCAGCAAGATGATGCCTATAAGGCACCCGGCAGTGTGACCAGGACGGGGAAGATGCCCAATAAATGGAAGATGATGAAGATATAACAATAACAACCACCACAACAGTAATCATCATCATCAATATGGTGATTATCATTTTCTCATTATACAATGATACATTAATCCAGCACAGGATTCTGTCTCCAGCAGAAACTGAGGGATAGACCCAAATGGCCTTAAAATATACTGTGGTTAATTATTCTGGTCCTTAATGTTTATGGCAACCTTGACTGCTTGCTAAGTGCTTTCCCATATAGGATGGTCCAAAACAGGCTTCAACAGGTGAGTCTCTACTGTGTGCCAGACACAGCCACCCTTTGCCTGGGATCAGGGTGCATTGAATGCCCACCGTGCAGCCCCCTTAAAGGTCACACAAGACAGCCATGGTCCTTGCCTCGTGGAAGGGGACAAGAGAATGAAGAGGGGTTTACAAAGAGCACAGAGTAATGCTGACATAAGAGCTAAAGCTACAGAAGGAAAAAAAAACTGAGACTTGGCAGAGTCAGTCACTGGCCCAAGGTCACCCCCTGGTCTTGGCAGAGGTGAGGGCAGCACAGGGTTTGATTGCAAAGCCCAGGCTCTTTCACAGAGCGTCACAAAGTGCTGGTTGAATTTATGCCACCATCGCCACACTACAGGGCTGGCACCTTCCACTCCCGCCTTGAGGCAGGGCTCATGGCCTCCACTGCTGCTTGGACTGAATGAGTCCACCCACAATCCATAGGTTGGAACCTAGTCACCAAGGTGATGGTATTAGGAGGTGGGGCCTCTGTGGGGGGTGATCAGGTCATGGCAGGGGAGCCCTCAGGAATGGGATTAGTGCCCTCATACAAGAGCTCTGCCACCCCTTCTGCCACATTAAGGATGCAGTGAGAATATGGCTGTCTGGGAACCAGGAAGCAGGCCTCAGCAGACACCAAACCTGCTGGTGCCTTGATCTTGGACTTCCCAGCCTGCAGTACTGTAAGAATTCCATTTCTGTTGTTTATAAGTCACCCAAACAAAGTACTATCTATTTTGTTACAGCAGCCCAAATAGACAGAGACAATCACAGTGCAACCACCTTGAATCCACCAGCCCCTAGGGACCCCAATTTCCCTGTGTTCTTGGATCCCACGCCATGGAGACTACACAGAGTAAATGCTCAGGAAACACTTGCTGGGAGAAACTTCTTCAGAGCAAGCTCCTTCCAGCTCTGACAGGCCATGGGTCTGGCAGGGTCTGCCATGTTGACTGGGCTTTAGCTTGGCAGGTTAGGCAGTGAGCAGAGAGCAGAACCCCACAACAGGAAGGCGGGGGGCATAAGTGTGGCGGCCCCCCCTTCCATAGCCACACGTCGTCTCTAACCACTCGTCAGTCAGAGATCTTCCCAAGGAATAGAGGGGTGGCATTGGAATCCTCCTGTCGTCAGTGCTTCAGGCTGCGCCGTGCCCTCAGTCCGCTAGATTCGAGGGGAGCATGAAGCTTCCCTCCATCCCTGCCCTTGGTGGTAGGATGGGGGTAGGCAGAGACAGGAGAAATGTTGGGGGAAGGATGAAGAGCAGTGTGCAATCATCCAGAGAAGGGTACACAGGTGGGAGGCAGCACATAATAGGGACCAAGACTTCTCCATCCTTGAAGTCAATATCATCTATTTGTCATCCTCTTACGAGTCTTCAAGAAACAATAGAAATCAACAAGAATGAGCGGCAATAAGCCCATTAGCAAACAAGAAGGGAAATGACCAAGCTCATCAGTAATTAAAGAAATGCAACCAACAATCTTTCTTTCTTAATTATTGAAGAGGCAGTGATTTAAAAAATAAAATAAAATGGAAAACCCAGAGCCGCTGCCATAATAAGGTTAGTGCTGTGTGCTTGCTTGGTGGGGTGTCATTCTGCTGGCAGTTTGACCATAGGTATCAAGAGGCTTAAGAAGGATGATGGCTTATAATCCAGCAGCTGCATGTAGGGTATCTGAAATACAGACCAAACTTATGAACAAAGATGCTCACCATAGCGTCACTTATTATTTTGAAAAATAAGAAACAGCCTCAATGTCTTATAATAGAGGGTTGGTAAATAAATTACGGCCCATCCATTAGATAGAATATCAGGCAGCCAATAAGACGATTCTCAAAAAGGACTGCTAACAATGTGATGTGCCATTGGGATGGTCTGAGTAGAGCAGAGGGCTCTAGTTGACTTAAACAGTAAGGGGTGTGCTGTCTCTCAGAGCCAGAGGCAGGTCGTGGGACCTCATTCCCTCCAGCTCTCCCCTCGGATACCTCCTCTTGGCTCCTCCTAAAGCTGGTCTTGGGTTGCAAGGTGCAGCAGCTGGCCCGGGAATCCCATCCAGCTGCCACTGTGCCCAGAGGAGGAACAGGGACTTTCTCTTTCAGGATTGAGAAAACCCAAGAGGCCCCCAACAAACTTCCCCTTGGTCTTGTAGCCTGCAAGCGGGTGTAGGCCCATATGTAGACTAGTCCATGGCAGGGAGGGGACAGGCTCTACCAAACCTGGCTGTAGATGATGTCCAGGGTGGCTGCAGGCAGGACCTCCCACCTCACGTGGGAAATCATGTTACAGTGTAAAGCAGGAAAAGCAATAGCACCCCCAAAAAGTATATAACAGAAATTACCTCTACTGCCCTGGCAGCTCTCCTTTAATTTGAAATCATTTCAAAATAAAAAATATCTGAGATTACTTTCCTAGGTTACTTTAGCAAATCAGTGAGAGGTGAAGAGAGTGCACTGATGGTAGTAACATCTGTTTCTGTCATCATTTCCTTTTATTTTCTTGATAAAGAGGAATCAACTGTAACAACCTCGTTGGACTGTCTTGCAAGGGGTGGGTATTTAGTCAATACTAAAGCTATAGAACTGAAATATGCAAATAACAAATGTTTAAATTTGTTGCCTCCCCTTCCTAAATTGTATGTATAGCATGACCACAGTCTCAAACTGGGAGCAGAGCCAAAAGCTGGTGTGCAGGTAGTTTATTTGGAAACAGTTACCAGGGACTAGCCTGAGGGAACTGGAGAGAGAAAGGGGAGGAGGGAAAACGAATCCACCAAGAGCACATGGTTCTGTTGACCATCACTGTGGACAACTGGAGCTCCACCCCACTGGAGCCTTGTAAAATGTGGCTCAGACCAGCCACCCAGGAAACAAAATGGGGAGCGTTTGTCCACTGGGTCGCGTTCATGGGCAGAGCACACCGCACTTCTGGGCTGGCCATGCACAAAGGCTGAGGGCTGCAACATTGGAGAGGCACCAAGGGTGGTCACAGGCAAAGGGCCGTCACCTCTGCACAAAGCTGCTGCAAACCCACACGGAGCCAGTCTCCCTTGAAGTGGTGCCCAAGAGGTGTCTGAAACATCCTATAAAATCAAAAGCCCTGCACCCCGGCACACAGTGAGCTCGAGGGCACAGATTCTACCATAATCAGCTCTTCGGCACCACTGAAGGGAGGATCTCAACAAATGTTTGCTGAAAAAGAATGAAAAGCTGATAGAGGAAGGCACAGACAGGTTAATGGTTACCTTTGGGTGGGAGGTTAAGGGCTTCCCCCGACCCCATCTCTCTGTATTTCCTATGCTTTCTCTAATAGAAACGTTCTTTTCATGAGGAAAACATTGTATTTTCCTGTTTTAAATCCCCTCAATAATTTCAGAAGGTATTGCAGAGGAAGAGTGAGCCTCTGACAGATAAATGCTCTTTTCTCTCGAGTGATCTGATGACAAAGTCATCCACAGAGACTGGTGTTTCCCACTGGTCATTTTGATCTTAGCCAGCCGGTTGTCATAAATAAAAGGGCCGTCCCTCGCAGCCCAGAAGACAGGCCATGGGTTGAATGCTTTTGTTCTTTTTCTGGGAGTGAGGGGTACTGTAGACTGAACCAGGCACGTGGGCTAGAGAGGAAAGAACGCTGGCTTCAAAGCTGGCCAGGCTCTACTCCTGGCGATGCCCCCACCAGCCGAGTGACCTAGGGCAGGCATACAGCCTCTCTGATCCTCCAGTTGCTCTTCTCCAAAGCAGTTCCCGGCAGAGCTGGAGGAGGATCGGGAGCGAAGGGGCCTTCCTCACCCAGTGGGGCTCAACAAAGATCAGTTCTTGTGCCGTCCTTCCTGGTTTGTGATCAGACCATGCGAGGGAAAGCCGGCCCTGACAACTGCCTGCGGTGGGGAGCCAGGGAGGACAGGGCAGTGGGCGGGTGCAGCAGGCACAGCAGCCAGGACTCCCAGTGCCCGGGCCTGGGCCCATCCCCTTCACTGCATGGAGCACAGGTCAAGTGCCAAGTGTCCCGCGATGACCATTGATCACACAGCCCAAACAAGCCCGAGATTTGGTTTTATTTCTCCTCTGGAAATTTAAGGACAATAGCAGTCTCTTCCTTAGGAAACTTTGGAGTGGACCAAATCACATGTGCGTGGCACTTGATTAACAATGGCGCTACAAGGGAGTGTTTGATGTGCACCAGGGACTCTCAGCGTTTCAGTCCTCACCATAGACCTGCCAGCCCAATAGGAAACTGAGGTGGACAGCAGGGAGGAGAGTAACCTGTCCAAGGCCACATGGCTTAGTGGCTCAACTGGGAATGAGACCTGGTCTGACTTCAGAGCCTGAGCTCTGATCCCCTACGCTGTGAGTCTCTGGACACGGCGGTGCTGCTTGTTTATTTTTGCAGCGGGGTGCTGTTGTTGCTGACACGTCTGTGCCCATGTAAGGCTGGGCCTGCTGCTTCTGCTGGAGCTGGCCCTTTAAGCCTCCCGGGTGTGGGGAGCCTGCCCTATGGTGCAACCCTGTTCCCTGGAGCTGGCGGCATTACTGCTACAGTAAGGAATGTCCCTGGGGAGATTTAGTGCCTGGTGATAGACATGTGGGCTTGATTTACCCCCGCACTGCTCCATTCAGCCCTAGGCAGGCAGTGCACCGGGGCAGAGTTGGTGAATAACTAGAGAAACCAGAGGGGTGCACAGGGTGCTGGGCGAGGGGGCACGGAGCCCGCAACTGAAGGGCACTTTTCTGTGCCAGGCCTGTGATCTCAGCAACTACTCAAAACAAGCCTATCAGGTTACACATCCATTTTACAGAGGAGGAAACGGAGGCTCAGCGAGGTGAAGCCACCTGACCCAGGGAGTAGTCAAAAGAACTGAGGAAATCTTTGCTTACTGCAAGGAAGGGCCTCCTGGGACCATGGCATTTGTCTGAGCCTCTGGGACCAGGCCCTGGGGGCTCCGAGCCACTATCCCAGCCCTGCCAATCTTCCTGTCACCAGAATCCAGACCCTTCTCACAGGGCTCTCAGTTCTGCAAGCCCCCTGTTTCCAGTTAGTGAGAGACTCCCTTTATCAGCCTTGGCAAGGAGCCCTTCAGTCTGCCAAGCCCACCCCTGGGCCCTGGCAGGGTCTCTGGCAGGAATGGCTGGAGGGGCTTCCCTTTCTGTCTTCCATGCCGTCTGGGGACCTTCCCACCTCCTCCCCTTTGTCCTTGCTGTCTGCCGTCTGCCACCCCCTCTGCCCATCCCTCCTGTCCTGCCCAGGTGCCGCCTCTGCACAAGGCCTTCCCTGACTGTGCGCTCAGGGCTCTCCTCTTCTCTCTGGCCTTAGTGCCTGGTGACTGCACAGGATGGAGAGCTCAGCTCTGGCCTCTGCGGTTTTGCCCTCATTTCTGATCTCTCTCATCTGGCCACCTCCCCAGGAGATCTCAGGAAGATACCCTGCCAGGGCACCTTGAGAAGTCAGATGGTGCCATGGGCTCTTCCTCGCCTCCCAGCACCTGCCCAAAGCATCAGCCGGTGAGGACCTTAGCGCCCCAGTGCCCTCAGCTTCAGCAGCTGAAGGAGGCTGCTGGGCCTGGAGGGGAGCAGAGCTGGGCCAGCCAAGGGTGCGCATTGTGTGGCTATGCAGCCTGGGTGTGTCACCGCCTGGTACGCCCAGATGTAAGATGAGTGGGCTGACCCAATTCCTTTAATTCCATCCCTTTAGGAGACTGAGGTTCAGTCTCCACACTGTGCTCATTAAGGCAGGAAGGAGGGAGCTGCTCATGGCCCACAGTGGCCTATCATTTGGAGTTATTGAGCACAGACTGTGCCTGAGTTAGCCACAGAGCCCTGAAGGTGCTCCCGCCCCCCGGTGTCCTCATGAAACCTTGAGTTTCACTCATCACGGTGCTGCTATTGCAGATACTCTACTGGGCGGATGCCACCTGCCTGCTGCTTGCAGGATCGTAAATGGGCAGTGCCCAAGCAACAGAGCAGGTAAGCAAGGGAGGACATCCCCCGATTCCTCAATGGAGGAATCACCCCTTTCCCAGGGACACTGCAGATCTGGCTTAACTGGCCCTGGCGGAAGAGGACCTGGGATCCTTGATTCATTCACAATGTATCAACAATGCACCACATCTGTTGTGTTTGCTATTGCTTCTATTGCTTCCACTGCACCTGTTACCATCAGTATTAGTTCCCATGGGGCTACTGCAATGGTCACTGGATGGGAATCTGGAGACCTGGGTTCTAGGCTAGCCTCTGTGTGTCCTGAATTATTCACGTCACCTTTCTGTTGTGTTTGTCAGCACCCTCTCTGTTATAAAGAACAAAATCCCCAATAACACATTTCAAAAAGAGAATTTGTTGGTCACATAATTGAAAGCTCCCATAGTCTTGTGGGCTTGAGGTACAGGTTGACCCAGTGATTTTCGGAAGCATCAGGCTCTGGTGCTATTCTGCCATTCCTTTTGTCCTTCCTCCTGCAGTATACTGGGCTTTCTCCCTAGGCGCAGGCCCTTCAGGAGATCAGAAATACCTGCAACAATCCCAGGCCACATCTTCTCACATCCCTGATCCTGAGGAAGAGAGGGCCTGACTCCTCTCACTCCTGGCAGAAAGGATGCCCGTTGGGCTAGCTTAGGTCTCAGGCTGGTCCCCAAATCAATCACCATGACCAGAGGAACAGAACGTGGGGGTTGGCTTAGCTAGAATCAGAAGCCCACCTCTAAGACGAGGTGAAGTGGACTTTCCCAGGCCACATGGAGCAGTTAGGGAAGGCGAAGGTGGTTACGGATGGAGAGGATGCAACACAATTTACTTTGTTTGATTTTGGACAAATCAGTTACTCTTCCTGTCTCTACTTTTTCATTTACAAAATGAGAGCATTTGTCCAAAGTCCGTTTTCTTTATTTTTAAAAAGTATTTCACCTACCAAAATCAAAAGGATCCAAAGTCCCTTCTAAAGCTAATATTCTGAGACTGCCCGTCATCTTCATCTTCCGTGCTGAACCACTGAGACCACAGCAAGGGCCATAGCTTGCCTCATGCTGTCCATGAAGAAAGGGTTTCCTGGGCAAAATACTGAGACCAGGTCTTCACCAGCAAACAAGCATTGGTTGTGTTCTCGTTCTGTGCATGTGCACATGCTACTGCTGTGAAAAATCCTCGGAGGTATAAGGCCCAGTCCATGGAATTCGACAAACGTTGACTGGGTACCTACTGTGCACAGTGCAAATTAAACATAACAGTGACATGGTCCAGTTGGGAGATCTCCAGTTGCAAAGTCCATTGGTGCCTCCCAACAGTCCTGCGAGGTGGACAGATGACAAGAGAATAAGACAAAAGAGAGAGAGGCAAGAATGGCTCACGGTTGGTACGGCCATGACTGTTCTACGTGTTCAGGGGCAAGGCCGTGGCTCCAGGCTTAAGTGATTATGAAGGGGGAGTCACTTGAATGCACTTTGAAGGCAGGGCTGGCTACATTATTTGTGAGGCCCAGTGCAACGGGAAAACATGAATCCCTACTCAAAAAGCAGGAAAAAGTGCCTCTCAAGGTACTAACATATAAAGCTTTTTTCTTTCTTTTGTGGTTTCTCTCTCAACTTGTGATGTTTGTTTTGTTTGTTTGCTATTTAATGTTACTCTAGGTAAATAAAAGTAAAAACTAAATTATTAGTAAAGTTAAACTATTAGAATACATTTTACTCTTTATCTTTATAGTATACAATGGCAGTTTTAAATGCAAATATAAAAACATTTAACTCCTATGCAGAATCACTAAAATTACACACTTTGTATTTCAAAGCATATACAGCATATGTGTTTTGTTCTCACCAGAACAGTGGAAACAGTAGAATACTAACTCGACTGTTTTTATTTCACTTCTTATTATGCACACATTCTACCAACGCTCTCCACCTCAGCTCGCTGATGAGGAAGGAAAGACGTCAAGGAAAAGGAACTGCGGGTGGCCCTGTCTTTCCCGGTCCTTCCTTGTCATCATTTCCAGCACAAGTGGTTGCTCACACGGGGAAGCGATGCAAGGAAGAGAGGATATGACAGGGCTCCTTCATCATGTGTGTTTCTCAGAATGCCACGGCCTTCTGTCTGCGCTAGGAGCAAGTTCTGGTTGGAATGGAAAGCGAGACCTTTCGCAGTTGCCAGCGCCCCCCGTGCTCAGCTGCAGGAGTAACTCACTTCTCTTGTACTCAGTGAATGTCGCTGAACTCTCCTGCATCGTGGGCTCCCTGGAGTTCTGTGCTCTGGGGCATCACAAACGCTGGAGGTGAATGCAGCAGCCAGGAACGGGTTTGTGCGGATCTCCTCTTCTCCTTTGCAGGCCCCAATATCCCATTGGATTTCACTCCCAAAACACAAGATAAAAGATAAAATTATCAAAGAGTTTCAAGATGGCAAGATCGGAGCAATCAACCGAGCTTGGGATCCTTCTGTGCATAGGGCCCTGTGAAACTGCTCAGGTCCTATGCCCGTGAGGCTGGCCCTGTCTGAAGGACTGGCAGGATGTGTGTGGGCAGAAAGAGAGGACAGAGGGCATCCCAGGCAAGAGGGGCTTCAGCAAAGACGCAGGGGTAGGAACATTCCTGGAACACTTAAAAGAGAGAGAGGGAAAGCCTGGTTAGGAATGGGGTCCCGTTGGTGAGCATGGGCCAGGAGAGAGGCTTACCATCTTGGAAACTTCCGTATCACTCCGCTGGGCCTGTGGACCCTGAACATGTGGCTCCCGTGCCTCCCCAGGCCTGAATCAGCTCTGCCTGAGGCTCCCCGCACTGTTTCCCCACTGGACCTTTCACGCATGGGTGTAATTATTTGTTAAATGAGGGCCAACTGCACTGGACCCCACGCTCGTTGAGAAAGGAGTAGATGCTGCTCTGTGTTTCTGAACCTCCCTTAGTGCCTGACATTATGGAAGGAAGAAAGAAGAGCTCACTCCTCAGGAGTTACACTTTTTTAGCATGGGATTCAAGTAGCTGATTCCTTAAGCTACCAGCAATTTCATCTTGAAAAATGACCTAATTCTCTAGTTTCCCATTAATTTAGACTGGCTTTCTCTTTGATAGAACAAAAGAGAGCCGCACCTCGTCAGAAGAGTGACTGCAGATGCACGAAATGAGTGGGCCTTTCTGCCTATGGGTGACATCATCTTAAAGCTTTAGAAAAGTCACAGACGTGGCCGGGTGCGGTGGCTCACACCTGTCATCCCAGCACTTTGGGAGGCCGAGGCAGATGGATCACGAGGTCAGGAGTTCGAGACCAACCTGGCCAACATAGTGAAACCCCATCTCTACTAAAAATACAAAAATTAACTGGGCGTGGTGGCGCATGCCTGGAGTCCCAGCTACTCAGAAGGCTGAGGCAGGAGAATCACTTGAACCCAGGAAGCAGAGGTTGCAGTAAGCCAAGATCCTGCCACTGCACTTCAGCCCGGTTACCGAGCAAGACTCCATCTCAAAAAAAAAAAAAAAAAAAAAGAAAAGTCACAGACGTTATGCTCCTTCGGTAGTGGTAGTGTAAGCGATGAGATCTGGCAAGGGCAAAGAGGATGACTGGATGGATTATAATAAGGCAGATAAATGTGGAAGATAAGACCCCAGACCCTAGCGTCTTTCCAGCTCTGAAATGCCTTCGTTCTCAGTGAGGCTGGTTGAACAACTATGTTGTTGATTCAGGTTGGTTTCACATACCTCTGAGAGGAGAAGAAAGAAATATTTCTGGGCTGTTTGGTGAATGCGTTTCATGGATAGAGAGAGGGCAAAGAGGGACAACCTTTACAGATTATATATTGGCTTAAGTCTACTCACCACCAAGCAATTGGCTAAAGATGTCAAGTTTTCCTGGTTCGGTTTTCAAAGTTACATTGCAGAACAAACATTTAAATTCCTGGTGGATTGTCTCCCGGTTTCCCTCCAGATGTTTGGTGTGGTGTAGATATCACAGTAAATAAATGTGTTTAAAAGTCTAATAAATTAGGCTAGAGGGTGTGTGGGGGAGGGGGGTGCTATTTTGCTGTGGCCCTGGGACAAAGACACAGTGGGGATCAAGAGGTTCCTTGCACCTTCGGCTTGGTAGGTATGGCGGGGAGTGCTGTCAGCAGGCTCGGGAGCAGTGAGGTGGTGTGGTGAGGAATGCACCGGAGAGGCTGACACTGCCCGAGCTGTCAGAATTCACATTGCCGGAAATGCAGGAATGAGTGGAGAGGGGGCTGCGGGGGTGTGTGTACGTGGGAATGTGCAGAAAGACAGTGCGTGTCCTCGTTGGCGGCGGCCGTGGCTGGGCTGGAACTGAACAGGGCGGGAGGCAGGGCCCAATCCTGGAATCCACTTGTCAATCCCTGGCTCCAGATGTCTGCACTGGGGGATTGGGGCTGCCTGGATGGGGAAACTGACAAGCTGTGGTTACGTCACCGTCCAAAGGCCTGATTGACTCATGCCGCCCACTAGATGCCTTTTATGACTTGTGGCGCTGGGGCCAAACGAATTTGCACGGTCATGTGTTACTGAGCAGTTGAGGGGGAAAAAAGTCGCTTTTGGTGGTTTTAACTGTGAGATTAAACATTCTTCAGGAGGACAGCAGAAAAACAGGCTGGGAGATTAAACGAAACAAACCCAGCTGTGTTTGGGGAGTTGAACGCTTCTCTTCCAGTCTCCTACTCTCAGAACAAGATCAGGTGAGGCGCAAGACATCTTCTCTGGGAAGGTCCCTCTCTGCTGGGGAGGCAGAAGCTGCAATAAAAATGACACACACTGATGAAGGTTGGGACCTGGGGAATGTGCCCATCTGCCGCGGGAGCTGCCTCTGTTGTGCTGCCGTCTAGCTGTTTCCCAGGGTCATTTGCCAGCTTTGATATCCCAGAGGGAGTTATTTAAGTTGCCACCTTTGAGACAGGTGAACTGTCGCCTCATTTATGACTGACTGAGCCCCAAGCTAAGGTGCCTGTCGATCAGGATCACTTTTTCATACACCCAGGGCCTGTGGCTGAGCATAAGTGTGTCAAACACCTGTAGGCCAGAGCTGACTGCCCGAGGGAGATGCTGATCGGGCAGGCCTGGGCTTCATGAGTTTAGCCTGCCTTCTGGTAGCTAGAACCTGCCACTCTGCAGCTGGGAAAACTGAGGCCCAGAAGGAATCAGGCCTTACTCTAAGAACCACTACATAATGGGCGATCCAGACTTTGGACCTGGAAGCAAAACTGACACTGCCCTACTCACTAGCCATGCGACAATTGGTTAATCCTTCTAAGTCCATTTTCCCATCTGTTAAACGGGGGTGATGATGATACTAGCATCTTCTTGGGGCTTTCCTGTGAAAGTTCAATAAAGATTCATATGTAATGGGTGATTTTCTGAGAAAAATTCGCATCTTAGCCTTTTTACTGTTAATGAATTGTTCTCTGGGGCAGCTGGGCATCTGAGTCCCATGCTCCAGCCCCTAACAGCCTGTGGGTTTAAGGGCTTTAGGGTTTTGGGACCCAAAAAGGATAATTCAACCATGGAATCCCAAAAAGACAAGAAATGGAGGCTTTGGTATACCAAATGAGAGAGAGAGAGAGAGACAGAGAATATGTGTAGCTCAGCTCTATGGGGCTGATGAGGAAGGAGGACAGAGATATAACAGGATGGGCCATGGGACCTGGGACTTCCAAATCCATAGCCACTCAAGTGGCCCAACCTATGGTGGAAAAGACCACCTTGGTACCTGGGACTCATGAGTCCAACCAAGGAGGCCCCATAGCCTGCATGAGGTCCCTCTAGCTGGCTGGCTTCAAGGAAGTGTGGCCAACAGCAGGAGATGCCCTTCACAGCAGGGGCAAAGCTGAGCTGGGCAGGAGGCCAGGCTGGCAAACCTTACCCCAAAGATGCCTGCCAAACATGCCCAGAGAGGGGACACCACTGCCCACTATGCAGCAGAGCTTCCTAATATGCCTTAGGGCTTACGCAGGGAGGGAGGGAGCATCAGTGAATGACTGACATTGTCATGTTTGCCCAGCTGTATCAATGGGGAGAAGGTCTGGAAACAGATATAATGGATTAGATAAATCGATGTGACATTTCTTACATTCAAGCATCATGGATAAATTCACCTCAGAGTCTAGGACACACTAGCCTAGGTATGCCCTGCAAATGACTATTAATAAAGGACTGTTAAAAATGGACTGGCAACTGGGTGCAGTGGCTCATGCCTGTAATCCCAGCACTTTGGGAGGCTGAGGCAGATCACCTGAGGTCAAGAGTTCGAGACCAGCCTGGTGAACATGGCGAAACCCCGCCTCTACTAAAAATACAAAAATTAGCCAGGCGTGGTAGTGGGTGCCTGTAATCCCATCTGCTTGAGAGGCTGTGGCAGGAGCATCGCTTGAACCCGGGAGGTGGAGGTTGCAGTGAGCTGAGATCATGCCACTGCACTCCAGCCTAGGTGACAGAGTGAGACTCCATCTCAAAAAAAAAAACCAAAAAACAAACAACAAACAAACAAACAGAAATTGTAGTCATGCACAACCCTTAGGCTGCTTCTAGTTTCGGTTGATGAGTGTAGCTCCTGTCAAAGTTTGAAGTGAGCGAGGGCTAGCTTCTTCTCCAAACCTCACAACGACGTGAGAACGGAAGCAGTCTCTCCAAATTCTGCCACATGGAGACATTTAGAAAACAAGCATTCATTCACGAGGAGCCCCAAATGGCTGTATAAACTCCTGAGTGCCACTGGTGGAATCCGGGCCCTCTGCCCTTTGAGGAGCTCCTACTCACTTGCATGTGCTTATCTGCAACAAATACAATGTTCCTGGCAGGACTTCTTTGTCCCCACAGGCCTCTTACTCAACATTAGGCAAATGGAAGTCCTCCCAGGTGAAGGACTACACCCAGGACTGACAGGCATCAAGCTTCGGGCAGCAACGCCACAGGGCAGAGCCTCCAGGCCTCACTGGCTTCCTACACAGTTCTTGCAGCCCTGCGAAGTGTCTCTAAATCACACAGGCCTTGAGTACCTCGACTTTCACCAAATGGAAGCTTATTTCTCATGTCATCATGCTGCTTAACAGGCAACTATTTTTACCAAAAAGAAAACACACCCTCGAACACCCATTTCTGACATTCTCTATGATTGTTGGCCAAGTGTGGGGTGTCGATGGAGAAAACAGAAGTGGGTACAGTCATCATTCTGGTGTGGGGGCTTCCTCATGAGATTGCCACGCCCACCTGGCCTGGGACGTGTGGTCAGTGACTCGCAGCACCCACCTGTGGCTTAATTTTTTTTTTTTTTTTGAGACAGGATCTTGCTCTGTTGCCCAGACTGGAGTGCAATGGTGCAATCCTAGTTCACTGCAGTCTTGAACACCTGGGCTCAAGCCATCCTCCCACCTCAGCCTCCCAACTGGCTGGGACTACAAGCATGTGCCACCATGCCTGGCTGATTTTTAGATTTTTTTTTTAGAGACAGGGTCTTGCTATGTTGCCCAGGCTGGTCTCAAACTCCTGGGCTCAAGCAGTCCTCCCATCTCGGCTTCCCAAAGTGCCGGGATTGTAGGCGTGAACCACTGTGCCTGGACTGTGGCTTAACTTAAGTGGCATTCTCCAAGTATCACATTGGAGCAGGCCCTCCAAATGTGAGGCAGAAGTGGAACTAGAGCTCTGGGCCTGAGCTGGTGGTCCCTTAATTAAAATATAAAATAAGTTAGGAAACAATGCCAGGTTCCTTTTCTTTTGGTATCTTACTGCTCCCAATTAGCTTACGAGCTTCTTAGGAACAGGGCCAAGATTTTCAGCCACATAATGCTAGATGCATTGTATTTTCTCTTTCTTGAAATATTTATTAAGTGGCTCTTTGGATAGTGGAAAAGTTGGCTGAAAAGACATTTTGGGAAATGAAGGCCTCGATGGCCAGGTTCAAGAATCTGGATTGCATTCAGGGGAGCCAGGAAACCAATGAACCCTTTTGAGAAGGGAAGTGGCTTGATCAAAGGGATGCTCAACAAGGAGCACTTAGCTGACCAAGCAACCATCCAAGGGCACCCAAGTCCACGCACGAAGTCATGCTTCTCCCTGGCCGTGCTTCAGTCAAGCTGTTGATTAAGAACAGGGGCTACGGCATATCTATTGTATGCCAGGCACTCTGCTAGGAGTCTCAATTCCCAAGGCATCTGAGTGAACCATCCTCTTCCCATTTTCCAGAAGAGGAAGCCAAGGCTGAGAATGAGGAGTGACGTGCTCAGAATCACACAACAGGAAGGGTGGAGAATCTCTGCCTGGCACAAAGTGCTTCTTTCTATGTTCTGCCTCGACTTGTCCCCAACCCAAGGGATTCTGAGCTGCTCTGGAGGTATCTGGAATAAGAAGAGACAGATGCAGAGCAGGACAGTTCCAGCTCTTTCTTGGGAACAGCAGTACAGAATGCGAAATGCTTTCAAGCAATAAAACCCGTTATCTGTGCAGAAACCCATCTGTGCTAAGGAGAATTCCGCAGGGATTATTGTCCCCTGGAGACAGGAGAAGCCATTTGGTGGGCTAAAGCATCAAGACAAGACCTTGGCTGATTATAAGTCACATTAGACAATTACATTCTTAGCTCCTGGGAGTAATGATGGCTGGATTTGCTCTGATTTCTTCTTGTTGCAAAATAATGCCTGTTTAGGATATTTTGGCCTTCTGTGTAATAAACCTGTGTATTGGATTGAGTCGAAATATTTGGCACATTAAAAATTACTTTCAGTCAAGGTTTTTTAAAAGCCCCATTTTTCTGTCCACATTCTCCTTCATTCCAGAGACCCTAAATGTACTCTATGTGGAGACTGATTAGTCATCCCGGGTGTAGGACCAGCTCTGGGGCAAACAATTAGGGTTTTCATTTTACTCTTTCATACCCACCATGTTGTGAGTGGGGAAGAAAAGCAGGACTGAGGGATGTTATGGCTCAGGCTAGCTATGTGTGCCCTCTTTATCTCTGACCTTGGGAAGCCCACACACTGCAAAGAGGCCAGCAGGGATCTGGGGACAGGCAGACTTGGATTCTGATCTCTGCCCTGCCTCTTCCTAAACCTGTGACCTTGGGCAAGTTGCTCAACCTCTCTGAGGACTGATCTGTTTCTCTGTAAAACAGGGCAACTAATTGAATTCTTAGGGGATTAAACGAGGCAATGGATACAAAAGCATTGTGACTGTTCAGGAAATGTTAACATGTGGCTGGTAGTTGACAACTTCACTGTTGAGGAGTTCCCAGTCCCCAGCCACAGAGACAAGATTAGCAGAGATTATCTCTCATGGGGCAGAGGAGAATATGGGGGGAAATATGGGCTTTGGGGTCACCCAGACCTAACTTGTGCTCTCCTATCTCTTTGTCCTGAGCCGTTACAATAGCTCTCAGTGCCTCTCTTTTCTTATCTGCAAAATGGGCTTATCATAATACATGCCTGGCAAAATGTGTTAAGATAGCTCATGCCTGAGAGCCAGGTTTATATTAAGACTTTATTGGATGGCGACAAAACTGGTGCCCAGCAAGGGGGCCTGCCAGATAATTCATCAGGGTCCCAGGCATTATCCATGGACAGAATATATTCTCTCACACGCACTTGTCTGCATGGTTTTGAAATGTAAACAGAGGCTATTGCAATAAATGAAATAAATTCTTGCCAAGACACTAGTGAATTCATTTCCTCTCAGCCAATGGATTCTAAGAGGCCGAAAAGGAGAAGTGAAAATTTTGTTTTAGCACTACATAAGGCTTCTCGTACTTGCAGCCAAAGAGGTCAGAGATTTGGTCCCAAGACCAACTTAGAGTCATGTGTGACACTGGGATTCAGAGGCTAGTTGTGGGCCACAGGGAGGAAGCTGACCCCTGGGCTCACCCAGCCCACCCACTCACCAGCTCTCCTTTCCTTCCTGGGTCCCTTGGGGAGGAGAAGCCATCCACCTCATGGAAAGTGCTTTAGAGGCTCCTCTGTGGGTGCCCTACTCTGCACCCTTTGCGGGGACTCTCTGCTTCAGTTCGCAGGACAACCTTAATAGCTAACTGCAGAGAGGACTGAATGGTTAAGTAGCTCCTCCAAGGAAGCAGAGCCAAGTATCAGAGGCCGGTTTCCATCCAGGGATTGAGAGAAGAATCAGGAGCACATAGGCTGTGGCAGTAAAAAGCAGATCCCAAAGACAGTATAGGGCGGCTCGAAAGGGGCCTTCCTACATAGCCACCACCACGTGCTCCGGCGCTACCTCCAGGGGGCTGGGCGCAGCTGGAGGACACAGTTCGGCAGCTTGCTAGAAGCCTCCAGCTCTTCCTTTTCTGTATCCTTCAGGTGACTGTGGAAGGCTGGCCGTGCAGCCTGCCATCAGCCTGGCCTCAGCCGGGGAGGGGGACCTTTCTCCTGGAGGCCACAGAAACACTGAGGACCTCTCAGCTGAGAAGGTCAGATGGAGGTGCTGGATGATTGGAGGAGATCAAACTGATGAGGAAAACGCAAATGGCATCCTTCAGGAGCAAAAGCTGTCTCCTCTTTTACTTCACATGTCCACCCAGCAGCTCTATGAGTTCTGATTCAGCATTGCACTTACCACCCACCCTCCCCGCCTTTTACAGAAAAGGAAACTGAGGCTCCGAGGTTGCGGAGTTGCTTGCTCCAGCTGATGACAAAGGCAGGTAAAGCCAGGGCTAGAGTCCCTTCCCAGCCCTCCAAATGCCGTTAGCGCCATGATCCTACAGCCTCCTCAAAGTCCAGTCAGGCAAACTCTTGCCCTTGTTTCCATTAAACACATATCTTCATCTTTTTCGTACTTTTAATAATAGCAGGAAGTAAATCTGGCCATGTAATGTGAGAAAGGTAATAGTCCCAGGTCAGGAAATCCTGTTGCTTGGAGTCTCTTGGGAATGTTAACTTTCCCACTCTCACCCTACCGGGATCCTGACCTCCTGCACAGTTGGCTTCCTCAGGCAAAACTGGGCCAGAAATTCTGGGCCGTTGGCCAGAGTCAGACCTTCGTCCTCTGGTAGCGTCCGCTGGAAAAGAGGAGGCGAGAGTCACCAGGAGGCTGGCCCCACTCGCAGGCCCTGCCCTCTGCCGGTGGGTCCTATGGATGACACGAGGCCGCACTGGGCTGGAGAAGAAGAGAAGCTCCTGAGACACGCCCACTCTGCAGAGGGAGGCAACCGCACAGGTAATCCATCCTCTCTAGGCTTTTCTGTTCCCGTGCAGTAAGTGAAGTGAAGCAAGGTGAAGAAGTGAAGTGAGCATTCAGGACATGAATTGGCACGTGGTCGGTGCTAGAGGAGCTGGCAAGGTAGACTCTGGTCTCTTCTGTGGTGCTGAAGCTGGGGAAATAAGGAACAATCTCATCCACAGGCCAGGCCTCCGGCGTGCTCGGGAGCTACTGACGGAAACTCCTAGGGAACTTCCCTTGTGGAAAGAACGTAAGCTCCGCCCACTCGGGCAGCTGAGGCCATTGATTCGTTCACTCATTCGCTGGACTATTTCTCCAGCCCATGATCTTATTTTATAACAAGTACAACATTCATTCATTTTTACACATAATTACCTCACTTATTCCATGGAAGAACCCTGCAAGTTTGATGGTTGTAGCATGCAATTATCGATGGTTGCTCATGCAATTATTCATTCCTTCAACATGTAGCAATTGAGCTTCTTCAAATTGCCAGGCATGGGCAGGTGCCCAGAACACAGGCACAGTCCCAACCCTTGAGGAACCTACAGCCTGTTAGGAAGGCAGACCCTGATAAATAAACCATACAAGAAATTAGATCATTACAAGGCCAGGTGCAGTGACTCACGCCTATAATCCCAACATTTTGGAAGGCTGAGGCAGGAGGATTGCTTGAGCCCAGGAGTTCGAGATCAGCCTGGGCAACAGAGCAAGACCCTATCTCTAAAAAAAAAAAAAAAAAAATTAATTAGCCAGGCATGGTGGTGTGCCTGTAGTCCCAGCTAGACATGGTGGTGTGCCCGTAGTCCCAGCTACTAGGGGGGCTGAGGCGAGAGGGTCGCTTGAGCCAAGAAGTTTGAGGTTGTACTGAGACATTGTCCTATGAGACCCTATTCCTAAAAAAGAAAAAAGAAAGAAAATAGTTAATTACAGTGACAAGAAGTGCTTCAAGGGAGAGGTGCTTGGTGTTAAGTGAGCCCCTAACAGAGAGACCTGATGAAGTCTGGGGTCTGTGAACACCTTCTTGAAGAGGTGACCTGTGAGCTGGGGACTGGCAGGGGCTTTTTTCTCCAGTCTGGCACAGATCCCACCTGGGTCATTCATCCAGCATCAGTAAATTACATCACCCTCTGGCCCCTCTGGGTGCTGTGTTTGTGCTCCCACTTTATCATCCCATTGTGGCTGTCCTTTCTTTCGAGGTGCCAAACTTAGCTTGGATTTAGGGTTGTGGATGTGGTGTCTATCCTTGGAGGCAGATGTCTGTCTCCCAGACCATGATGTCTACTTTCTAAAAGTTCAGCACCTGGTTCTGATGCTCCACCAGGTTTGGGAATGTCTGCTGCAGAGATCTCAACCTCCTCTTCTCATATGAGTCCCCAGCAGAATGATAAGACACAGTTCCCATCCTCCAGGAACACGCAGCCCTGCAGGAAAGCAGTGTCATGGAACCATAATGTAACCTGATAAAGGTTTGCACAAGGTGCTAAAGAGGCACACAGGAGGATGCCCAACCCAGCCAAGGAATCAGAGAAGGACTCCTCCCTGGAGGAGGTGATGCCTGAGCTGAATCTGACAGAGTGAGAGGCAAAGAGAGGCAACATTCCAGGGAAAGACAGCAGTGGGTACAGAGACTCAGAAATGAAAGAGAGCAAGGTCCAGCCTAGGAACAAAAGGTAGTTCTGTGCAGCTGGAGAGTAAAGTGTAAAGGACACTTAACACAGCTGGGGGCATTCAGGAAGCCTTCCTGGAAGTGGTGCTCTATGAAATGAGACAATCCAAAGAGCCAATGGGAGCTAGCCAGGGGGAGTAGGGGAAGGATATCATAGACACTGAAGAAGGGAATTATATTAACTAATAATGCTGCAAAACAAACCACTCCAAAACTTAGTAACTTAAAGTGATGATAATCATTTATTATCTCTTTTAGTTTCTGTGGATCAGGATTTGGGGAACAATCTGGATAGTGGTTCTGGCTAGGGGTGTCTCAGAGTTACATTCACCTGTTGACTGGGCTTCCTGGGGCTGTGAGATGTGCTCACTCACAGGCCTGGCACACTGGTGCTGGCTGTTGGCGGGAGGCCTCAGTTCCTCATCCTGTCAGCCTCTCCACAGGGCTGCGCTCAGTGTTCTCACTGACAGGCAACCAGCTTCTGCTGGAGTGAGCGAGGCAAGAGACCAAGGAGAAAGCTGAAATGGCTTTTGTGACCCAGCCTCATAAGTCACAATTATTATTCCATTTGTCAGCTAGGTCAGTCCTGCTGCAACGTGAGAGGGGACCAGGGCCAGAACTAAGTGAGGCACTTGCTTGGGTGCAAAATTTAAAGGGGTAAAAAAAAGCCTCTGTGGTGAAAACAAGTAATATTTTGAAAAATAAAAATGAATGTGAAAACATCCATGGCGACAAAATACCAATCTTTTAAATAAAGACAGGACCCAGCACAGCTGGGATTTGGGTGGGGCGAGTGAGGTGGGACAGGCAGGTATGAGGCTGGACCCTACCCATGTGCATGCATTCCAGGAGGCAGGGGTCATTGCAGGCCATCCTGGAGACTGGCTGGTACAGGGACCAAGCTCTGGGAGGCACGGTCCTAGTTCAGAGCCTGTGAGTCTCCGACGCAGGTGGCCCAGGGGCAAGGAGGTGAGTGGCAGGGAAACCTGCTTCTCCATTGTGAGTCACCAATTGGAGAGGAAGAAATCCACGCACACCACAAACATAAATGGCAGCCTAATTTCCAGGGAATTCGGGTTGGATGTTGTATTCATTTCTTAGAGCTACTGTAACAAATTATCACCAACTAAGTGAATTAGAACAACAGAAATGTATTCTTTCATAGACTCTGGGGGGTGGAAGTCTGCAGTCAAGGTGTCAGCAAGGTTAATAATGCTGTAAAACAGCAATAATCACCATATTATCATTATATGATTATCATATTATTATATGATTACTATAATAATATAATAACATTATTACATCACTGTTATTATACTTCTGGGGCTTATGAAGACGAATCTGTTCCATGCCTCTCTCCTGGCTTCTGATGGCTGCAGGCAATCCCTGGGGTCCTTGGCTTGCAGACTCACCACTCCAACCTCTGCCTCTGTTGTCACAGAGTGTTCACCTCATGTGTTTGTGTCCAAATTTCTCTCATCTTATAAGGACACCGATCATTGGATTAGAACCCACTCACATCCAATGTGAACTCATATTAATTTGGTTACTTTGGCAAAGACCCTACATATCTTTGGGAGACGCAATTTAACCCACCACAGTAGTATAAGGTTATTCGAATGGTGGATTCACTACATCATTGGAATTGGAAGGAAGACAAATATTTAAAAATTCACATTTCATGCATCTGCTTTTTAAAGCATGAACAGGAAGCATAAAGTGCTTTTGAATAAAAGTGAAAAAGCAATAAAATATCTACTTCCACTCTGTTATGAGCTGTCTGGGGACAGTGACAGAGAATGCATGGATGAGGTGAAGGGGGATTCAGTCACCCAGAGACTGAGGCAGACAGTCAATCTCAGAGACACATCAAGCGAGAGGGGGAGACAGCAGCAAGGACCCTGAGGATGGGGCAGCCCCGAGGCCTCTAGGAGTCTGTCACCGGAGACTTCCAAAGCCCTGTTATGTTTTTGCAACAACAGGCACGCAGGAAGCGCTCTCCTTGGGGTGGAGGACATGGCAGGAATGGGACTGGCCTGATGGTTGGGGAGGCTCCTGGTCTGCACACTGTTGCTCAGAATTTATCAAGCATACTTTGATTGTCATCAAGAAAATGTCAATGTTGTGGTAAGTTGGAAGGGCTTGAAATGAATTTCAAGTTCAGTGATGGCAAATGGGTTTTCTCTCTGACACCCTGCCTCCACTGCCAGCTGTCCTGAAGCACTGTGGGGAGAAGACTCCAGGCTCAGAGATCTGTGATTGATTAGCTATGTCTGCCTCAGGTGCAGGAAGGAGAGTGGCCCCTTTGCATATCTGCTCTTCTAGATCAAGCACAAATATTGTCTTTTGAGGGTGAGAAAATCGAGACCAAGTAGGAGAAAATAACGTGCCTGAGATGTTGCTAGTTCATGGCAGAGCACAGATATGGCCAGTTTCCCGTGCTCACTCCAGCCTGGACTGTGTTCTGCCATTCTCCATGCCAGCGAGGGGCACCCACATCCATCCTGTGGCACGGAGTCACCCTCAGCACCTTCCCTCCCACTCCCACACATTCAATGGCCAATTCCTGTTCACTCCCCGCTTAACTTTCTTCTCTCCAGCCATCCACTTCTCTCCATTTCACCACCCTCCTCCTGGTCCAGGGTTCTAACAGGGGTCAATGCTGTCCACCAGAGGACTTCCAATAATGTCTGGAGACATTTTCAGTTGTCACAATTTTGGGGGGTTATACTGGTATCTAGTGGGTAGGGGCCAGAGATGCTGTTAAACATCCTGCGATGCACACGGCAGCCCCCCACAACAAAGAAGTGTCCAGCACTCCATGTCAGCAGTGCCGAGGCTGAGATATCTGCCCTAGTCCAAGCCACCATTGTCTCTTGCCTAGACAGGCTCAAAGGACTTCCCACCAGCCTTCCTGCCCCATCTTGCCCCTACCATCCATTCTCTACCCAGAAGCTGGAATAATCTTAAAACATAAATCCTAATACTATACTTGCACAGAGACCCTTGCTCCACACCACAGCTCGGTAGACCCTGAGCACTCTGGCCCCACCACCTCTCTGTATCCCCTCCTCTCACTTGCCCCACTGCTGTGTTCTCTCCCACTGGCCTGCTTTCAGGGCCCAGAGGTACCGCGCTTCTTCCTCCTTCAGGGCCCTTGCAAATGTTGCTCCCTGTGTTGGACACACCTACCCTCAACCCCAATCTCTTTGCCTCATTGACTCTTGCTCTCCCTGCTGATCTCATCACTTCCTTACGGAAGCTTTTCTTCCCCTCCTGGCTGGCCTAGGTCCCTCTATGCCCTCTTCGTATTATGCATTATTATCTGTCACAGTACAGTACATGTCACAATACATGTATTTGTGAGATTGCTTGATGAATGTCTTCCAACTCCCATGTCAATGTAAGTCCCGGGGAGGCAGGAGCAGTATCTGCTTTAACCAATCTGTTTTCAGCATCTAATACTGTATCTGGTGCTGGGTGCAGTGGCTCACACCTGTAATCCCAGCACTTTGGGAGGCCGAGGCGAGCAGATCACTTGGGGTCAGGAGTTTGAGACCAGCCTGGCCAACATGGTGAAACCCTGTCTCTACTAAAAATACAAAAATTAGCTGGGCGTAGTGGCGGGCACCTGTAATCCCAGTTGCTCAGCAGGCTGAGGCAGGAGAATCACTTGAACCTGGGAGGCAGAGGTTGCAGTGAGCCAAGATTGTGCAGCTGCACTCCTGCACTTCAGCCTGGGCAACAGAAAAAGACTCCATCTCAAAAAAAAAAAAAAAATTTCCTGGAACCTAGTAAGTTCTCAATAAATATTTGTTGAATGAATGAATGAATGAATGAACAACCTCAGGTCTCCAGACGCCTTGATCTTCTATTCACTCTATTACAACCAGGGTCTCTCCTATTCCTCTTCTTTTCTATGTCTCTGCTTTTCACGCTTTTCCTTCTACCCATTATTTCTCTATTAACTGTAAACACACAGCAAATGGCTGCATGTAAGTGTTTATTGTGCTGATCAAATGTCATTCTTTGTTCTGAGAAACAAATTCAGTTGATTTTCTTATTTGCATATCCTTCTACTAATGTTGCCAGAAATGAAAAATAGTCAAATATAATGAGCTGTCAATGCTGGATGGACGCCTGGCTCTGCCTGAAGACAGGCACTGAACCAGGTGGCCTTGGCCTGGGAGTCAAAGTCAGTGGCCAATTGTTATCCAGCCCCAGCCCCAGGGGGGTTGCAGGTCCTGGCTCCACAGCAATGGAAGCTGGTCATTTCCTGGCTCTGCTCAGGGTTGGCACCTTCTCTCGAACTCCTGGCCTCACACAATCCCTCTATCTCAGCCTCCCAAAGCACTGGGATTACAGATGTGAGCCACTGTGCCCGGCCTGGGCTGGCACCTTCTCAAGCTACAGGTCTTAGTCAAATGTCATTTCCTCAGTGAGACCCTCCCAGACCACCCATCTAAAGCTGTCCAAAGACCAAAAGCCCAACTCAGGAAACAGTGCAGGGTTGGGAAGAGGTAGGGCCCTTGACATTCTGCAATTCTACGTTCTTCGATTCTACATTCTACAATTCTACGTTCTTCAGAGATGTAGAATTCTTCATCTCTGCGCTTCTTGCTGCATGAGGTCATTAAATGTTTCTGTGGCTTAAGCCACTCTTAATCAGATGTCTTGTTATTTGCAGTTGAAGGTACTCTAACTGATGCATTTTTTTAAAACCACATGTATTAGTCTGCTAGGGTTGTCATAACAAAGTACTACAGACTGGGAGCTTAAACAGCAGAAATGTATCGTTGCACAGTTCTGGAGGCTGGAAGTCCTAGATGAGGTATTTGCAAAGCTGGTTGCTTCTGAGTCATGAGGAAAGGCTCTGTCCCAGGCCTTCTCCCTGGTTTGTAGGTGCCACCCTCCCTCTTTGTCTTCGCGTGGTCATCCCTATGTGTGTGTCTGTGTCCAAATGTCCTCTTCTTATAAGGACATCAGTCATATTGGATTATAGCCCACCCCAATGACCTCATTTTAATTTCATGACCTTTTGAAAGACTCTCTCTCCTAATGCAGTTATATTCTGAGCTACTGGGGTTTAGAACTGCAACCTACGAACAGGAGACAGGGAGGTCACAATTTAGCCCATAACACCACAGATCCAGAATTATTTTCTGTCAGCCAAAACCGGCTCCTGGGGCTGGAGACAGACAGGGCGTGGAGCCACCCACAGAGCAGGAATGGCTGTTGGGAGCCCGGGATGATGAGCTGACTGCCCAAGGTGAGGGAAGGCAGGAGACAAAGGTTCTCTCCAGGATTTAAATCTCAACAGCCAGTGGGAAAACACACCAATAAAGTTAAAAACCACCATCATAATAATAGCGGCCGCCCCTCATCCACACCATGCAGTGGGCCCTGTGTGAGGGCCTCCTTGACACTGTCTTTGACAGCCCTAGGACGGAGGCACTGTTCCTCACCCAATGACGAGGCTGAGCTCAGAGCTGTTCCTCACATGCCAAGGGTCACACGGCTGGGATGGCAGCCTCAGAGGTGCCTCTTTAATCTCCTTTTAAGAGAGAACTTGCCCTCAAGCAGCGGAGAGCACAGGAGCCACCAGGCTCCCTGCAGCACTTTCAGGACCCTCCTCCACTTCCCAGCCAAGACCCCGCATCCTGGGTAGCACTGGGCCACGGACTGAGCAGGGTGGGGCAGGGCACTAGGTCCTGCTACTCCTGCCCACGTGGGACTCTTCTGAGGGGCCATCCTTGCTCTGGATCTCCCTGTAAAGCTGGCCAAGAGGTTGGCATGTCTACACTGCAGTATCAGTGCCTCCTGCCCATCCCACTCCCCGTAGCCACTCCCCATAGTTCACAGGCACTATCTACAAGAAATCTTTCAGGTTCCTAAGTCAGTCTCAGTGCCTGCTTTCCAGAGGACCCAGCTGGCTCTGGCTGGGGAGGGCAGACCAGCATTAGGACCATGACCTCCCCCTAGGGATGCGTCACCACCTCTCCCATCACTGCTCAATCTGGAAGGCAAAGGCTAGAGGGTTTGAAGACAAGAATTGGAGCTGGGCCCTGTGAACCATGAAATGCGGAGCTGGTGGTCAATTTCACCTGGTCTAATGAGTGTGTGGCCCAGGCATCCAGGGCCAGGTACCAGGGAGGGCCAGCAGCATTGCCCAAGGCCAGCAGCTGCTTGGTGGTAGAGCAAGGCCAGAGTCCCAGGTCCTTGGACCCCATTTGAGCCCCTTACATGGGTGTGGACCTTCTGCCCAGCCAAAGTGACTCAGAACTGTGGCCCTGAGGTGTTTCTGAGGAGGGATGAGGCGGGATGGTGGAGGAGCCAAGGGCTCATCCCTCAGCTGCAAAGGCTGCAAGGACCCTTTAAGGCCTTCCACCAGGACCTCCTGACGATGGAGGGCAACCTGCCCCCAGGAGCAGAACTCAGACAGGCGGCTTATGCCCCTCTGCCCAGCCCTCATTGACTTTGCCACTCATCTAAAGTGGGCACAAAGCCATCTTCTTGCTGGGGAATTGGGAGTCTTCAAAAAGCTGGTGTGGAAAGAGCCCCCGCCTGAACCAGGACCCCTGTCCTTGCCCATTCTGACAGTGCTGCCCAGAAACTCAAGTGCTGGCCTCACCACACGCTGATTTATGACTGTGATGACCCGAGAACCCTCTGAAGGAGCCCTGGTACTTGGTTTATAGCCTTTACCATCTCCAGGGCTAATTAGTTTTATGGCCAACAGGAGAGAAGGGAGGTTTAGCGGCTTGACCTGTCTCTTTGGTTCAACAGCACAAAGTGCAGCTGTTTATTTTCCAAGGGGCTCCAGGCAGAGTCCCTCCCTCCCTTTCTCTTTCCTGCGGCCGCTGGCCTGGATGACAGAGGTGTGATGGGGCACCACGGGGTCTCTCCAAGGCTGGTGGAGAGCAGGCAAGGGGAACCTTCCCGTTTCAGGGATGTATTCTCACCTAGGGCTCAGGACTACACTGGGGGCCCTCCAAGCAGGGGCTGGGCTTGTCTTCTGGATGGAGGGAGACTGCTCACTCTCATTTCAGGGTATCTTCAGCACGATGTTCCCACGGAGCCCTAACGTCCACTGTCTGCCCACCCTTTCAGGCCAGTTTTCCAAGTTAAGCATTTGCACTCAAGTCTGGCCCTGCTCCTCCTTCACTGACCTTCCCAGCAAAGGCTATGCTCCTGATGTCCTCACAGACGATAAGAGCAACCGACTGGTGCTGGGTCTGCACTATTAAATGTACAGTGTGTGTGTCTCTGTGTGTCTATCTCCAATCACTGTACCCAAACAACACAAAGCAAACACTCTGAAACCAGTCAGATGTGATTCTGCTGCTACTTCAAGTTAATCTGTGGGCCTTAGACCCTTCATCTGTGAAATGGGGATAATAATGCATCCTCAGGTTGCTGCTATGATTATTAGATGAGATGGTGCAGCAAAGCACTTAGTCTGGTGCCAGATCTGGACTCAACAGATTTATTAACATTCTGAGGAGTGGGAAAACAGAGGGCACAGGACAGCCCTCCAGGCGGGAACTGTCTCCTCCACTGACACAGCAGGGCTCCCTTGGCCGTCTGCATTCCCGAACATTGGTCTGACAGCTGAGGTCATCACTCACCTGGCATCATCTAAGAGTTTGTATAGACAGAAACCTCTTGCACACGCACCCTTGCACACTCATGTACATAGGCTCAAGCATTCAAGCATATGTGTGTGTGCACACCAGAAATCATACTCATGTATGCAAGTGTGTTTGCAGATGTGTATTCTTGCACATGGAGACACATGTACACATACACACATGCATGCATCCCATATGCGCTGCACAGAGTCCTACAGACACACGCCACATGCACACACGCACACATTCCTGCACACATGCGCAGAGTCCCGTGCCTCTGGCACCTGTGCAGGACAGAGGAGAGGGCTGGGCCAGACACGGTGACTCACGCCTGTAATCCCAGCACTTTGGCAGGCAGAGGCGGGCGGATCACCTGAAGTCAGGAGTTCGAGACCAGTCTGGACAACATGGCCAAACCCCGTCTCTACCAAAAATACAAAAAATTAGCCAGGCATGGTGATGGGGGCCTGTAATCCCAGCTACTCGGGAGGCTGAGGCATGAGAATTGCTTGAACCCGGAAGACGGAGGCTGCAGTGAGTAGAGACTGGGCCATTGCACTCCAGCCTGGGCATCAAGAGCGAAACTCTGTTTAAAAAAAATTAAAAAATAAAAATTAAAAAAATAAACAGAGAAACAGGCTGACGATGCCAGAGCCAGACAAGGTAACACAGTCAGCTCAGAGATTAAGGCCCAAGGAAAGGTGGGAAAGGAGACTCGTTTAGCTGCTAAAGGACATCTTGAAGTAAAAATAGCCCAGCATAGGCCTGCTAGGAGGGGCCTGGGTCACCCTGACACCCTGATGCTCCCTTCCACGCCTCCTCTCTGGAAGTCTTCAGGTGACCTGCCTCTGTAGCCCAGAAGCCCCCGTGAAGGGGTAGCAGTGAAAGGACAAGACACCCTCTGTGCTCTCTCCTCAGGGTCAGGATGAGGGCAGGATGGCTGGAGAGCTGGCAGTGAAGGGAGCCCAGCATTCCTGTCCCCACCACTGCCCATTTAACCCTAGAGCCCTCTGAGGACCTCAGCGTCTAGATGCAGACACTTGTTCCCATGTGGTGACCCACGGTGCCTCACAGTGTGCCTGACTTATCTGCTGTGGTCCTACCGCTATAGGGAGGGGCAGGAAGCCAGGTCCCCAGATGAGACACTTGGCTAGAAGGAGAGTTCTAGGGCTCAGGGATCACCCTGGCTTTCCTGTTAAGAAGAGTGTTCAAACCTTGATAGGCAAAAGGCCCTGCAGGTCCCACTCAGGACAACCTGGGCATTAAGGGAAATTAATACAAGTGCTACTATGTCTAATACAATTGCATGTCATAAACTATATTGCAATCATTGAGTTGTATACTTCAAAGGGTGCATTTTATTGTATATGAATTACACCTCCATAAAGTTGGTTATGTATCTCTTACTCCCTAGCACTTGTGTTGGGCACTCTGCACGCTTTTTAAGTGGATTATCTCATTAAACCTTCCCCCAAACCCACTCCACATGTGAGGAAAGG
This sequence comes from Homo sapiens, assembly GCF_000001405.40. Classification (NCBI taxonomy): domain Eukaryota; kingdom Metazoa; phylum Chordata; class Mammalia; order Primates; family Hominidae; genus Homo; species Homo sapiens. The sequence continues at coordinate 120,563,973 of NC_000002.12, forward strand.
AGGTGGAGACCTGGTTCAAGGCCATGCAGCTGGTCAGCGTGGAGCACTCAGGACCCCACTTGGCAAGACTGGCAGGAAGGCTCATTTCTTCTTCCATTTATTCAGTCAATTTTCACTCAATCAACAAAAAAAGTAGATGTCCAGAACCAAACGGTGCTGGTGGTTCCTGAACTCCTGTATGCAGCAGAAACATCACCAGAAATGCTTATTAAAATGCTGGTTTAGGGACCCACTGCCCAAGTTATGTCTCAGTGGGTGGGGGGCAGAACCTGCACTCCAACCGCCAGCCCAGCGGGCGACCCCTGGGGGCGAGGCGGGCAGAGGGAAGGAGGCGCCGGGCGCCTGAGCACCTGCGCATGAGGAGGCTGAGTCACAATGTGTTTGTGCTAGGGTAGGTATTAATAGAAACATAAAACCCCGGATCAGCCATTTCTTCCCCCTCTGGACAAGCCCGGACGACACGGGGCCACTGTTCTGTGACTCTGACCTTTGCCGTACATTAAACAAGAGGAGGGCGGGTCACATGGACACCTCATTAATTCGCCCTCCCTGTGGCAGGAGGATGGAGGGACAACAGAGGGCAGAACTCTCCACACTGCAGCCTTATCAAGGATAACGAGTGACCGTGTTGGGGGCTCAGGGGAGGGGCGAGTATCCCTAGGGGCGGGGCCTCAGTGAAGGGATAAATTAGTGCATCCTTTGTTTGCCTGCCAATAGGTGCTTCCAGGGGAGCCCTGGGGGCTAGGGAAGTTTGTTTGCCCAAAGCGTTTAAACAATCCCCCTGCAATCCTGTTTGCACTCTTCATTTGCTCAGCAAACCTGCCCCTCGGATATAGCTTTGGAGTAAACTCAGGCCCAGCTGCTGCTGAGCTCAGGGATGTTGTTTGGCCCTCCCAAGCTGGGGCAGGGGCTCCAAATGTACACAATGCCCCCCCAACTACCACCACCACGCAAATAACACCCCATCTGACCTCATCCTGCTGGGCAAGTGAGAGTTAAACATCCTAGTTCAAGTTCATTCTGTCTCTTATAGCTAAGTACCTGACTTTTCAAAGGTCAGAGCTGCTGCAGGGCTGTCTCTGCTCTCAGGAGGACACCCTTCCTCCCACTCCCTCTTTGCCAGGCTGCAGTGGAGGGGCCTGGTGGCCCTGGGGTGTTGGGTCGGGCCATCTTGCTTGCAACACGCCCCGCAGTCCTGGGGCCGGCGGGGTTGGGGCGGGGAGTGGGGGGGTCCTGAGGTCTGTTTACTACACCTAAGCCATGCAGGGGAATTGCTCTGGGCCCTGTGGCTGGGTCCCTATTCTGGGGCTGCCACCTGCTAGAGGGAGGTCTGGCTATGACCCCAGTGACCCTTGGCACGGCTGGCTGCTCTGCAGTTTTGACTATAGGGCACCGGCCACTCTCAGCTCCCTCTGGTCTGCCTTCCACACAGTTGGGAGCCTAGGATCCTGGGGGTGCTAGGCAAGCCCCTCTGGTACTTCCTGAACCTCCCACCACCATCTACTCTGGGTAGCAGCCTGATGTTGTAGAGGTGGGGTCTTTGGCACCAGAAGCACGGGGGGCAGGGGAGGGGTCAGGGTCAGCATTCCCTTGGATCTAGGAAGTTTCTTACCCCCTCCTTGGGTGCAGCCTCACATATCTCCCTTCTGATGTCTTATGCAGTTCCAGTTCACCTTCTTATCACATTCTGTGTCCTCTGCCCGACACGGTCTTAGAGTAAACCTCACGCTCAGACCTGCAGGCATTGCACTTGATATAGAAAGGGCAACGTGCAGACGTAGAAAGCTTTTTCCCCTGCAGGGAAGCCTGGCTTTCAAACCCTTCTTGCTGTGGGCCTGGAGATCCTAGTCTGGCTAGGCGCTCACTTGCTCTTTGTGTCTTGTAACAACCCTGATCCTCCTGGAGGCTTGGGCCTCTGGCAGACTAGTGGGAAGGTCACCAACAGGGAAGAAAAGAAAAACACCAAAGGCATTCCCACATTTTAAATGTACTCTTCCATTATACATGTCAATCTGCCCTGGAGATGTCCCAGTAAGGGCACCGGCTGAACACAGGAGTGTGTGGAGGGGCCCCCATCTGGGCCCAAGGATCTTCTGGCATCAGGGGTAGAGGGCAAAGGGCCCCTGCCGCTTCTTATCAAGTGGTCAAGTGCCTGTGGCATAGGAACAATGACGGCTGTGTCACAAAGGTATGAGGATTAACAGAGTAAACGCCTGGTGTAGCCTCGGCTTCACCACTGGGCACACGTGGAGATGCTCCTCGTCTTATTCCCTCTCGAGCTGCTCTTAATGCCCAGATAGACCGAATTTGCCCCCAGAACAGGAGTTCCCCATGCCTTCCTCTTCCAGGGAGATTTCAGTGAGAGCAGCAAGTCGAAGCCTGATGCAGTTTCCAGGTGTATAGGGCAGAAAGGGATCGTCTCCCCAGCATGGCTTTTTGACAGATAGAAGGCATCGGTGTGACAGAGAAGGAGGCTGGATCCTGGGCTACCCATCAAGCTGCGGGTTACTCAGGGAGGACCGGGGGCTGACAGCCCTTAGACTACCCTGACTCATGCCTGGAGTCAGACATAGGAGCTCCCTTCCCCCCAGGCCACCTCTGCTGGGATGTGCTTGCCCCTCCCCACCCCACCTCAGTTTCCCCACTGCACAGTGGACACCAAGCCGAAGTCATAGGGTGTGGGAGCAGTGAGTCTGAAGAACACCACAGTTAGGAAATCTAAAGCAATCTTTTTCTTGGTGCTGGCAAGGGTAGCTTGCATGAAGGTCAAGATAAAACCCGCGGGGAGAAAGGAGCGGCGGAGTGTTTTGTTTGGCGCAGGCCAGCCGGCTGTTGCCTCGGTAGCTGAGAACATCGGCTCTGGTCACGCTTGCCTCTGCTCCAATCCTATTACTCCATGCGGTTTGGCCTCCAAAAATAGCCTCTGTCAGCTCCATCATCATAGTTCAGCATTTCCACCACCGGTCACTTATTGTTCCGTGGACATAGTCATCGTTAACCCCTCCTCTGCCAGCCGGCCAGGAGCACCTGGGCTAAGATTCCACCTCTGGGGAGAGCGTTTTTCTTTTCACAGCCCCATCAACTCTGCAGGGAGAGCCAAAGGGCGTTTCCATGGGACGGAGCTTCCACCCGGTCCAGACACCACAGACCTACATGGTTTCTTTTTTAACTGCCCTACAAGGTTTAGAGGGGTTATCTGCATTTGGCAGAGGAGGGAAGCAAGACTCAAGGAGGTGAACTGACTTACTCAAGGTCATCAGCCAGTGTGTGGCTCAGCCCAGGTGCAGACCAGGACTGCCCGACTTCAAGGCTGGCCTGTGTCACCTGGTCCTGCAACCATAGCTCTTTTGCCCCAGCTGAGATGAGGCCTCCTCCCCACAGCCTCCTCCAGGCCCCTTTGGTCAACAGACCCTGGACTGAAGGCATAGGGGGAGAGTGCTGCCTGCCTGCAGGGTCACCTGAAGTGTTTGTGTAGAGTGGAGATCGCAATCCCCTGCTCCCAGACAGCCTGACTCAGTAACCCAGGGACACAGCCTGGCAGGGCTCATAAGTCTAAGCACCACGAATGTCCTGAGAGTCTGCAGGTGCCACTGGGAAGGAAGGAAAATTGGTCTTTTTGGAGTCTGGCATGGCATCCAACACATTAGCATATAACAGTGTGTTTCTTTTCAGCAGTCAATTTTTTAGATGAGAAAGTGGAGATTCCCTCCATGGCACCAGATTGTCTCTCAAAAGAAAACAGCCAACAATTTTACAGCAAAGATCAGCCTGGACGATGGACAAATGTGTCACACAGACCTGAGTGTGGAGTAGGCGCCCAACAAGGAGGCAGCTAGGGCAGTGGCTCTGAGCACAGGCCTGTGGACCAGGCAGACCCCAAGTGCTTGGGGCGTATAAATGAGATGATGTGGGTCCAGGGGCAGCACAGAGCCTAGTGCTAATGACAGCGTCTGGGATCACTGAGGCCTCAACATGTGCAAGAACATTGTCCTAAGAACCTGCTATTGATGAGCTTGTTCACACTCGTTAGGCAAATTCTGCTGTTATTCTCATTTTACAGGGGAGAAAACTGAGGAACTGAGAAGTAACTTACTACTGGAAGTAGGATGGGAAACCAGGCATCTACCTTCAGAGCTTTGTGCATTCATCATTACATATGTTCCCTGGGGACAGAGCAGTCCTGGTATAATTGCTGGGGAGCCCTGGCCTGCCACTGAGACTCCCCCACCTCCCCTCTGGCTTCTCTGTCTGCCCCTGCAGGGCCTGGACCAAGTGCTCCCAGGGGCCTTCTGGCCCTGACCCACTGAGGATGCATCCTGCTGTGGCCTCCTTGCAGTAGCCCCAAGACTGGCCACCCTGGCTCCTGCAGGCCAAGCCCCTGGGGCTCCTGGCTCCTCCTGCTGTGTCAGGCCCAGCCTCCTTCCAACCTGCTGAGGTGCTGACCAGCCCCAGTCATTCCTCAGGACAGTCTCTGAGTTTGGACAGCGACCTCTAAACCCTGCCCATGCTGTGATTTTATCCTGGCCAGTCTTTGCTTGCATACCATTGCCATTTAAATCATTCTGCCGGTGGAAGCTGGGTTGAAGAAACCAAGGGTTCTGGGTCCCCCAGTGCTGACCCTGCACCCACAGCGAGGAATGTAGAGGTTGGAACAATCTTCACCTTTCACAGGCTTGGAGTTCACTTGCTCCAGAACAACTTTGCGACTTTTTGGGAGAATGCCAGCAGTAATCTCCATGTGGCCCCGTGGAAAGAACCTGGGCTCTGCCAGGCTTTGGTGCCCTCTCTGCAGCTCTCAGGCTGAGTTTTGGTGAAATGATGCTTGTGGAACGCCTAGCAAAGCACCCCCGCTCACAGTGGCCCCACGAAGCAGTAGGTCCCCTAAACTACCTGCACTTGCCCATCTGAGCCTCCCTCCCACTGCCCCTTCTCTGTGCCCCAGAGCCTGACCACATCAACGAGTCCCTGTGCTCGGGTGCTGGCTGGTTTTGGCCAGTGGGGTTCCCTGGCAGGGGGCATGTAGTGGCCACACTCTGGCTGAGTGTCTTGCCCATCAGGAGGCCCTGGCCCGGCAGGAGGCCCTCCCCACTCAGCCCTCCTGCTGGGATCTGGACTATTTCCCTGCTTCCTCATCCCTTTAGGCCTAGAGGAGGGAGCAGACCCCTCGTGGTGTCCTATACCCTGGCCTCAACTTGTAAATAGTTCCTTTATTAAACTCTCAGGTCCTTCGACTTTGAGTGTGTCATCTGTTTCCTCCAGTTACCCTGACTGGTACAGTGGCTAAAAATATACAAAGCCAAATGAATAAAAACCCTTGTTTTCATGGACCAGCGCTTGCGGCTCTGAGACAGGTGGTGAGCTGCCCAAGGTCTCTGGAGTTAGTGGCACACCTGGGCCTGGGCTCTGCCTCCTGCCTCCTGTGTTGCTCTTCCCTCGCACCCTGGGACCTCAAACAGTTGGGCATTCTTCAGAGAAGAGGGAGCTCAGCCTGCCTCCCAGGGAGGAGACCCCAGACCCAGGGGCTGTGGGCTCTGGGCCCCAGCAGACCTGGCATGTAGGGGATATTCTCACTCCTGGCCAGCTGTCCCCACCCTGGCTAGGGACTGATGGCCTATGTGAAGGGCACTTGTCTTATTCAGTCTTCCAACGCTATTGTAGGGAATTGCCTCTTTGAGTTTTCTGCCCACTCCACCCCATCGTTGGGGTCTGCCCCTTCTGTCCCTTCTGTTAATGATCAGTGGGCTGGCACAGAGCCCAGCATGCCCTGCACCCCTTCTCTCTCTCACCTGTGTGTGGGCACAGTCAAGCTCCCCATCCTGAAACTGACGTCCAGCATCCCCCTCAACTGCTACTGATGGCCCTGAAAATTCACCATTAACTGCATGGCTCAGCCTGAGGCCTCGATCACGTGCAACGTGCAAATGGGGTATGCTGAATGAATTGGCGCCACTATATAAATGAGTTTTTCCGAGCTCAACCTGGGAAAATCTCCCAATAAAAGGAAGAATGTAAGAGTCACAACTCTCAGTGGGAACTGGAAGGGCTCTGACTGGCTCGCTTAGCTGTGAAGCCCAGGGCAGTCCACGCGAAGCCCTGTAGGGTCCTCCGGATCAGCCTCTGCCCATCTCCTGGTTACGAGGGCTGGGTCTCCAGAGTGGCGAGAAAGACGCCCACCTCCTGCTCAGGCTGCTGAGAAGGCCCTGGGGAAGACAATACCCTTAGCCTCAGTGCCTGCCTCCTTCCCTGCCACTGGCCTGTCTTGGATCACGCAATCAAGTGCTCTGCAGCCAAGGGAGTGACAGGGCCTCAGCACGACCATCCTGTCCCAGTGCAATCGCAGGCACCAAGAGTCGGGGAGTATGGGCCCCAAAGGAGGATGGGCTGCTGTTTCCCATGTCCGCCAGTGGGAAAGAAGACAGCAGGAGGCTTTTGGTGCCTGAAAGAAGGAGAGCTAGGAACTGCGGGAGAGAAATGGAGGCGAAATGCCTCTCACCATTCTCCCTTGGCTGGACCTGGTGCTGGGGATAGGTGCTGCCTCCTCCATGGGGCCATCTCTGATTACCTCGCCTTGCATCTGGGCCCAGGGATCTTCAGGCTCCTGTGTCTCCCCCGGCCCACGATGGACTGTTTACTTATCTCTGTTCTGTACCAGATGGAACGCTCCTCCAGGCCAGGATAACTAACAGGATACCTGTTAGTTACAGTGGCAAACACCTCCCCCAGCCCACGTCTTAACTTCATTCAAGAAGTTGACTTCTCTGGCACACAAAGCTCCATGTGGATGTTCCCAGCTGGCGGGTGGCCTTCCACCTGGTCAGTAGGACCCCGGGGCCTTGGAGCAGTGCCTCCAATAGAACTTGCTGCAATTCTGTGCCCATGTGGCTACCGAGCATTTGAAACATGGCCTGTGTGATGGAGGAACTGAACTTTTCATTTCACTCAATATCAGTTAATTTTAATTTAAACAGCCACATGCTGGGGCTGCTGTCTCACTGGGTGCAGGCTTGGTGCTCTCTGCCCAATCTTCAGATTTCAACTGGAAGACAGAAAAAGGGAGAGGATTTTGAGTTGGGCCTGGTGTGCCTCTTGCTTACCTTGTCACTTGACCACCTCTCACTGCAGTGGATGCTGGGAGCTATCACCTCACAAGGAGCCCTGGAAGTGGAGGGATGAATTTGGGGAGGGCAGCACACCTCGCTGAGTCACCTCTCTGCTTCCCAGCCCTGGCAGTGCCTGGCAGGATGCTGGCACTCAGGAAAGGCATTTTGGATGAGGAGATGTGAATAGGAGTAAGAGGATGTGTATAAATATGAATATGGGGAAAAGGCGTGGCAGGAAGACTCCTAAGTGGATCTCTGCTTGAGGCCACTCTGTCTTCCCAGTAGATGCCGTGGGCTCCAGGCTACCTCCCTGAGCCCGGGACCCAAAAGGCAGGGCAAAATGCAGAACCTCAAGAATGGGGAAACAGCATCTTTCAAACAGCCACTATTGACCCTGTGAGGAGAAAAGCAAAGTACAAAGTGCGGAAGCACTGGGCTCAACCCCTGCCAAGTAGGGTAGGAGGCACTTCTCAAAGCTGGGGCCCTGGGGTCAGGGACAGAGTGGGGGCCAACCCTTTATCTGACTCTATACACAAACCAGTCCCACAGCATGGGGTTTGTATATTGCATTCTAGGAAGCGGGATCTCTTTGGAAGGTAGTGACACCACTGAAGGGATCCCAGGGGCAGGGAAGGGGTGTGAGGAGGAGTCCTAGCTAAGGTCCCAATTAGGGGCTGACTTCCCCTCCTGCCTCTATCTCTAACTTGTCGTGGGACTGCAGACAATTTCCCTCCCCGCTCTGGAATTCTGTAGCCTACTTAAAAATAAGAGGTTTGGACATAGGATTTCTAAGGTCCCTAATGCCCAATAGACCTGAGATTAACTTTTGTCTGCAGCCCAACAAGCCACAGAGACTTTAACAAGGTCTTGGACCTTCAGATGCCTCAATTGGGCCAACTATGAAGGGAGAGGAGTGCCACTAACCTGGGACTGTGTGGGAAAGAAGCACAGATCCCTGGATCTATGGTAACAGTTAGCAGCAGACATGGTAACCCATCTCCTCCGCAAACACGGCCCATCTTGTCCCCAGCATTGAGGAACTGACCTGGGGTCTGCGGAGGTGATGCGGTCACCGGAGGTCTGTCTCACAAAGAGATTCAGAGCTCCTTGAGGAAAGGGACCTTGCCCAGTGCTGAGTTGGTTCTGAGGAGGGACAGGAGAAGCCTGAGTTGCAGTGTCTGCCCATTTTGGGGGGGTGGATACCCCCATGGCCAGTGTCAGGTTACCCACAAGATGTCACTGAACATGGAGCTGGAAAGAGGTGCACAGTGCTCTGGGAGCTGTGGGGAGCTGGCTCCAGTGCCCCACCCCCCAAGACAGGCCCTGTTCATCTTGGCACTTCCAGGACCCAAGAAGGGCCTGGCACGGGGCAGTGCTCAGTGCTCTCCAGCTGAATGAATGCTGAACTAATACAGGCTGATGCCAGGGACGGCCCTCCTGCAATTCCTTACACTGAGGCCCTTCTTTGTGGGAGCAAATGGTGACATAAGGAGAAGTTAGAGACCAAGGCATGGGATGCTGAACTCATTACAGCCCCTCATCAGAAAACCTCCCTCCCCAGTTAGCAGCACAGACAAGGGCAAGTCTCTGGATCCCTGGAAGGGTCCCCCTCCTTCGAGTGCTTTGACACCATCCCAGTGGCTGGAGGAAAGCACTAGAGAAACCTTCAGGCCCCCACCCCTTCCGGCAGCACATGGCACACCTCTCCTGGAGACCCTTTTGGCGTCTGCCCCACCCATTTATCCACCGCACCAAGGAGAAGGAGAGGCAGGGCTTAGGTCTGCAATTTGGGGCAACAGTAACTGGCAGAGGCCACTATAGCCTGTGTGGAGGACGCCAGGCTATGAATCATTCTCCTCATCTATTTCTCCCGGGGCACGGGGCTGCCAGTCCCTGGCCTCCTAGCAGGTGAGTCTGTGATGGACAACCCACCCCCAGCCCCTGGCAGGAGCCCCGTGGGAAGCAGCAGGCTGGGGGCAGTCCCAGGGGCATCCCCAGAGGCAGCCCTAAATGAACCTCCCCTTCTGTTCAGGTCAGACCCTGTGTGAGTGCCCTGGAGCCCCTGAGCCTGCCTGGTTACTGACCTCAGCTGACCCTGTGGGCTCCCCCTCTCTTGGGAGATTCAGGCAGGGCTCCACTGGAAAATCATTCCACTCTCCATGGCATCAACTGTGGGTGGGCTGGTCTAGAGGGTCCAGTGTGGCTTCACTGCCATGCAGGCACAGCCGGCACCTGCTCCTGGTCTCCACAATGACAGTCCCGGAGCACTTGGACTTAGGAGGCAGCTGGCTTCCCCAGAGCAAGCATCCCAAGAGAAGCAAGGGGAAGCTCAGTGACCTTTTCGGACCTATGATAAGAATGGAACATGACTTCTGGCCCCAGGTCCAAGGAAGAGGGGAATGACTCCACTTCTTGAAGGGGAATGCAGAGTGCCAATGCAGAAGAGCATGCAAAGTGGGATAGGCTGCTGTGGTCCTCTGTGAAAGTACAATCTGCCACAGACGGGGAACCCGGTTCCTTGCCTCTGGGGCAGCCTAAGGAAGAGTAGGCTTGAAGGATCTGATTCAGAAAGCATTACTAAGAAAATGCCAGGTCACAACTTTCGCATAATACGATAGTTAAGGTTATTTGAGCAACTACTGTGTGCCGGGGACTGTCCTAGGTACATGCGTGAGTAATCTCATTTCATTCCCACAATAATCATGTAAGGTAGGGACTGTTATTCTTCTCCCCAAGATGGGGAAACTGAGGCATGTTGGATGTTTGTCCCTGTAACTTCCCTAGAAGAAGCACAGGCAAGATTCAGACCCCAGCATTGGGGCCCAGGGTACAAGCACTGGTCCTTATGTTTCTTTCATGGGAAAACCACGGGGTCACACAAAGTCAACTGGCCTCCAGCACCACCAGGCTGATTGCAGTCCTGCCTGGACTGGAACGCTGGCACTGCCACCTATGAGCTGTGGCATACATCCCTTAGCCCCTTTGAGTCTCGGCTTCCTTGCCCATGAAATAAGATGCTTGTATCCACTTCCTGGGCTTTCTGGGGGATGATGTGGACTTGTGTGTAGCAGGTGTCAGGCAGGGGGCTGGCACCGAACAAATCTTAAGTCCCTTTCCTCCCCTGAACTCCAGGAAGGAAATGTGAAGACAATGCATATGACAAAACACTATTGTTCCCCAAGAGGGAGGGGACCTGGAATTCTAGTGATGCTGGGATTAAACCCAACAGAGAGCCCTCTGGAGAAGGGAAAAGGGGTGACCACTAATGTTTCCCGAATAGCTAATGTTTCCCGAGTGCCCACTGTGTGCCAGGCTGCCCATAAGGTATGTCATGTCCCTGAGCCCTCCTGACAAAGCTGCAGGGCACAAAAGTCTGAGATTTGGAGAGTGTAAGCAATGGACCCAAGTTCCAAAGCAGTCACAGCAGAAGACAGCTTTGAACCCAGCACCCTCTCATTTCCTGTGTCCCCTGCATCTTCCCTGGCTCCCAGGAGGTACTACTGAAGCACAAGTCAGTGTGCCAAGGAAAAGAGACACTTTGAATGTTACCTCTGGGTGGGGAAGTGCCTGCCTGCTGCCAATAATGCTAAGGATCTCTTGCCCTCTGGCCATTGGTGTCAGATCCAAACTCCTCCAAGCCTACAAGCCCCTGCCAGCTCTGGATCCCTCTGACCTCTCTGATCTCATTTCCTCCCACACTACCCCATCTGCCCCCTACTGCCCTTGCCAGTCACATTCCTGCCTCCAAGCTTTTGTGCCTCATCTTCCCTCAGCCCTGAACACACCGCCCACCTCAGTGTGGCCTGCCCTTCCTTCATCCAGGTGTCTGCTCTGAAGGCCCCTCCTCAGGGAGGCCTTCCCCGATCACTTCGCCACTATGGCTCCCCCAGCTTTATAGCTCCTTACTCGCCTTTTTTTTTTTTTTTTTTTTGGCTACCTAGCATGTAGCACCATCTCACTTTTTACTGCATATTAATCTACTTATTTATCGTCTGTGCTCCCCACTACAATGTGACCCCAAGGAAGGCAGGAACCTCAGTGGCACTGGTCACTGCTCTAGCCCTAGAGTTTAGCGCAGTGCTTGCACATAGTGGGTGCCCAGCAATAAATAGTCACAAGGCTGAGGCGGAAGGATCGCCTGAGCTTGGGAGATTGAGGCTACAGTGAGCCGTGATGGAACCACGGCACTCTAGCCTGGACAGAGCAATACCTTGTCTCTAAATAAATAACAGTCACAGAAACAAAGCCTGATTAACAGGACAAAGGGGAAGCCAGGGAGGCGGAGAAGCTTGTGACTTAAAGATTCACCCTGAAGGAGAATTTACTTAGGGTCCTTTTTGTTTTTAATCAGCGTTTCACTGACCTGTCTGGAAGAATGGCCAAGGCTTTGCCCACTGATTCCAGGATTTTCAGAAGCTTTTTCCTAATAAGAAAAATGTTGCCCTTCAGCTGAGTGTAACCACATTGCAGGCAGTGTCTCAGATGGGGGCAAGAGGCAGTATTTTAATAGTAGACACCTAACCCCCCTGACCTAAAGGCAGGCTGCCTCAGAGATGTGTGATCTGTGAGGTTGTACAGGGCCCCCATGCTGGGTTTAATCCTCTGTTGTCACCGTCTTAAAATTTTTCACTTTTTCACAAGGGACCTGCATTTTCACTTCACCCTGAATCCTGCAAATTATGTAGCCAGTCCTCTCCAAAGAACGAACCAGGGGTGGAGCCTCAGGCTTTCTAGATGTTGGATCTTTGTGGAGAGTGGTTCTTGTGGGTGCTGCTCACGAACACCATTTGCGTTGCCAGTTGAATTCATCTTCTGTGCACCAGGCACTGTGTTAGATGCTGAGAAGTGTAATGAATGAGGCTTGGCACCTGCCCCACAAGCTGCCAATCAAGAGAGCCTGTCAGGTAAAGAGAGAGGTGACACTGAGCTTGAAGGAATAGCAATAGAGAAGATAACAGAGAAAATAACAATGGAGGCCTGCAGTGGGCCAGGTGCTATTCAGACCATCATGCTCAGATCAACTCCAGGTCCCTGGCCCCGAGGCCCACATTCCTACCTCCCTCCATTAAGCCTCTGCAGAGACACAGAGAAGGGCCGGGAATGGGCCCAGCAACATGGTGGGTCCTGGAAGCTCTGGATCTGGACCTGGCTGGGGCCCTGGTAGGTGCCTGGGAAGTTGACAGGCCTGTCAAAGGGGCTTTGTCATCTCAGAAACCTGACCGCTTTGAGGGTAAAGGCACCCCGGAGGAATTTGGACCGAGGGTGGCCTGTGATCAGCTCTTTCGAGAGTCTTCCGTCAGCCACTGTGGCAGCACCTGGAAGAAGAAACAGAAGCAGAGCGGAAAAGGAAGGAACTCCCCAGAGCAGGAAAAGAAATTCCTTTTAAAACATCTTTTTTGCTTCCCCGTCCCTGGAATCTCCATCATTCATTGAGAGATACTATAGCCATTGATATTCATGTGACTCCTTCCATCCTTCTAACCACCCAAGAGTGTAACTCAATTTTTCAGAAAGGGAAGCAGAGAATCTCCGAGGGGGATGGAGAATGATTTGCCCAAGGTCACACCACACAGAGACACAGGATTAGGAAGGCCCAGGCCGGGACTCCCAGAGCCGCAAGGGCCTCCTCCCCCTAGCAAGGGGAAAAGCCTCAGGCAGGCCGCCTGCTCTGGGGCGTTTGCCCCGTGGGGCGTCGGAGGGAGTGGCCTGCGTCCTGGGTCCCCGAAAGACCCTGGGGAGCCCTGGCGGCCACCGAGGGGGCACGAGCTGGGCAGGAAAAGAGCCTCCAGCTCCCCAGCGCTCCACATCTGCGCGGGGGGCTCCCAGCGCCTGCAGCGGTGTCGCAGTGCGCGTTTCCGCGTCCCGGGGGCCGTGCCGAGCGGATGCTGCTGCCTGCGTGTGAACAGGGCTTGTTTTCCCTTCACGCCCTCGGGCTCCGTTTTTATGAAGCACTTCCTTCTGTTGGCGCTTTGGGAATATTCATTCTTGGCTCGCACCGCGCACGGTTGACAGTTGGGCTGGGAAATGTACCCGCGGCTTAATTAGGGCATCGCCAGACCTGCCAAGCTCCAGCTCCTCCCCTTCGCGATTGCCGCGACCCCAGGGACCCCCGGGACCCCCAGGGCATGCCCCACGCTGTGGGAGGGCGCCTCGCTGCTCCTGAGGCTGTACCATCAGTGCTCCACCCGTGTGCCCCGCCTCATAGAAACCTGTCCTGGCCAAGGCATACCTATGACCTGTCCTACAGGTAAGCAGCCCTATTGCACGCCTTTGTTCTTTCTGTTGCTCCCTCTGGAATGCCTTCCGCTGTCCTCTGGGCATAGTCAGAACTCTCCTGCCTGCAGACCACTCCAGATTCCTTCTACTCACCATCCCTAAATCTAATGTCCTGAAGCCTCACTGCTGCAGTGCCCCAAGGACTGCCCTGGACCTACCTACATGGGCCACCTGCTCTGTTTCTAGGCATCCTTACCTGGAATCCAGGAGGAGAGGCTCACCTGTAGGTTTCGTCCTGTTTTTGAGGAAGCTGAAGGTAGCATTAACAGGAAGGCTGGCTTTCCAAGCACTGCAGAGCTGAAAATGGACAGCATCCATCTACACAGCCAAGGGCAAGATCAGGGAAAACCTCGCACCCCAAAAGCCCAGAGGAACACCACGGAAGGAGGCTGGCTAGGTTGACTTTAAATGTCAAGCCAGAAAATAAATATTGAAAATTCAACTGCATGTGATATTAAAATCCCACTATAAAAAAAAAAACTAGAAAAAATATTTGCAACACATATGGCAAAGGGTGAGTTTCCTTAAATGCTAAAGCACTCCTACAGTCAGCGGAAAATCAACAACCCCAGGGGAACACGAGCAAATAGCAACAGGCCGTTCACAGAACACAGCCCCAAATGGCTTCCTCAGAAATGAGGAGATGTGCAACCTGCTGCACGATGACGGGAATGTGGAGGTGAAAAATGACATCCTGCTTTAGATTGGGTAGAGAAACACCTTCAAGAGTGTGGCTCTGTCGGGGGTACCCACCGGCTTGGATGGTGAGGGCCCAGCATGATTTCAGTGACAGCCTGCATGGCAGGGGGAGAGCCTGGGTGAGGTTTCACCACTTCCCAGTGGTGTGTCCGCCAGCAGCTTATATTCTCTGAGCCTCGGTCTTCCCATCTGTAAACGGAGGTCCTGGGAACTGGTGTTTCCTGGGAAGATGAAGGTGTGGTCGGGGAGGGAAGAATCAGGGAGTGCCACAGAGGCTGAGAGGGCCCTGGGGGAAGGACGAAGGGGTCCCAGTGGGGAAGAGTAGGGGCATGAGAGGGTGGGAGAGGAAGTCTTGGTGGGGGCAGACCCAGAATGGCGGAGGGAATGGGATGAAAATGGAGTTGGCCTTGGAGACCACATCTTCAAGATTATTTGGTGGTAGAGGAAAGGAGAGAGCCTGCAGGAGGGATGGGATACAGATGGGAAGGTGACGAGGATGAGGGACATGAGAATATCTGAAGACTGTGAAAATGGCCTAGGGTCCCAGGCCCTGGCTCTGCAGCAGCATCTCAAAGCCTGGCCCACAACGAATTCTTCAGGCTGGCCTTGTTTTATGTGACCCAATCTAGCAGAAGGCCAGGTTGTGCTTGCACAGCTGGAACGTACCCAGAGCCCAATAGAGGGATGGGCCCAACCCAGCTTCCCAGGAATCGACTGGCGATGGTGGCATTTAACTCAGATCCACGAGGACAGCAAGACCAGAGGAACAGCCCAGAGCATGACATGTGAAGGAGGAAGCAGAAACTCTGGCCGAGGAAAGGCCCAGCACCACGGCCAAGCAGCAAGGCTAATAGGAAAACTGATTCCAGGGTCAGAAGCTGGGAGGAAACCTAAAATGTGTGCTCACGAAAAGGTGCCTGACATAAAGAGGGCGTTCCACTAACATTTCACAAATGCGTAAACTGAGAGCAGACTCAAGCTCGAGCCCATGAGTGCAGCGAGGATACAGAGGTACGGTGGCTATGAGGACGGGTGCAGAGCAGGTAGCACATGTGCGGTGGAAATGTCTGCTGCAGGCCTCAGCACTCTCGAGAGTGCATGTGCAATAGGCAAGCACTCTGCTCCCCAGAGAATTGTCATCTCAAAGGGAGGAAGGCCTTCCTTCCTTCAGTTACTGGGGGCCCAGCAGCTGAATGCAGGCTCCCTGGATTCTACAAGATTGCTTTCCTTGGTGCCTTGGGGTACATGACTTTCACCGTGCTGGAAACTCTACTAACCTTGGATAAAGAGAGAGAAAGCTCCTGAGCTCATAGCTTTCAGGGTCTCAAGGAGGGGCAGCGAGGGCAGGGGAGTAAGGGAGAAACCTGGGAAGCTCTGAGCACCTGCAGACTTCCGGCTCATATCCTTCCATCGTGCCTCGGTTCTCCCAGCTCCCTGTGCAGACTTAGGTCAGATCCAGCAGAAGTATCTGATTGGTGGCTGGCCAGCCAAAGGGTAGCACCCTCCAAATCCACTCCTAGTCCAGTGGGCTCCAGACTGAGCTTGTTGGGGCGGGTCACATTTGAAGAGGAAATGGGATTCAGCAGGCCAATGAGCTAATATCTGGGTTGTCTTGGATGATCGGTGGTTGACTCCAGAGGCTGCGTGATAGAGCAACGAAGGCCTGAAACAGCCTCAGCCCACCTGGGCTCTATCTCCTCCCTCCAGAGCTGCAAAATGCAGCTCAATCTCCCTCCCAGCCCCAGGTTCTGAAATTGCAAAATGGAAATAATAATGTGTTTGTCACAGGTTGTTGTGAGAAGAAAATAAGATAATAAAGAGGATAGTGCTCTGCAAACTAGAGATGAGTTGTTTTATTTCACACTCAAGGAAGTGAAAGTCTTGAGTTTTACTTTCCATGAAATCTTGGTCCAGCTCCCAGCCGATGCTGGGCACGGGTCAGACCTTACCCCTTCATCCACAGCTTGTGAGGGAAAATGCACGTAAGTCTTTCTGCAGATGGCACCAGGCTGGACCAGCTCAGCTTCAGTTGTATCGCTGTCCCCAGAGGAAGGTGGGTTAGCCCTCTGGGTCTCACTTTCTCCATCGGCAAAAGGGGCTTGCAGAGGACTGCCTCACTCAGCTCACACACTGCTGGAGGATTACATAATCCCCTTCTCCCTGCTTGCCTTCTTTGCTCCACATTTGCTTTCTTCCCCTGCTCTCTGGGGTTTCTGTGGATGGTGGCAGCTGACAAAGAAGGAGCCCTTTGGAGCATTTCTATGCCCTCAGCAAACTCTCCCTCCTGCCAATTCCTCTGAAACCCAGGCCACCTGCCTGCACAGCCCAATGCCAGATGAGAGTGCACTTTGCGTTCATCTTTAATTGTTTCAAGTATGTCAGTAACATTTTCACAGCTGGATTCTAAACCTCAGAAGTTGTTGATGATCTCTTTTAGGAAGGTCGCAGGTGCCCTCCCTGCAGGAGCAGAGCAGGCACACGGCAGCAAGTTTGTTGAGCGAAAAAGGAACAGAGCAGATCTCAGCACAGTGCTCTTGCTGACTCGACTGGTCCTTCCTTCCAGTTCTCAGCCTCTTGACCTCAACACGTTCCTCACTGTCCCCACAGCTTCAGTTTCCCATACTTTGCATGCTTGGAACAAAGTACTCCTCTCGAGTGGGCCCACCGAGCTCCTTCCTCCTGGACCCCTTCCCACTGGTCCCTGGGATCCTGGGACACCAGCGAGGAGGGGCTGTCGCTCCTGAGCTCGCACCCAACTCTGCAGGCCCGGGTGTTATCTCTTGCAGCAGCTGACAGTGGCGCCGGCACCACTTTGGTGTCACTTTTAACACTGCGCGTTAACACCACTGGCTGACTGTCTGCGCAAGGAGGCCCCGGCAGAGCCGCGTGCAGCCACACCCCACATGTGGAGTTGTTAATCCGGCAGTTGTTCAGCAGGTTCTCTGGGCCTCACCTCCAAATGTGTTACTTCTGGAGGGAAAGACGCCCACAGAACAGCACAAGCTCTCCAGGAAGGAACGACAGAACCGGCCTGTCCTGCGTTGGCCAGGAAGAGAAGAGGAGGCATTTCTGAGCAAGGACATGCAAAGTTTTGGTGCCTGGATCTCTGCCACCTACATACAGTTCCCTAAATTAGAAGAATAAGAGGAAGGAGAGAACGAGGAAGAGGGAAATAGTGTCACCATACAACTTAAAATCTTTTCTTAAATCTGCAGCTTTATCCGTGCCACATGTTTTCGAAGAATATTTTATGATGTAATGGGAAGAGACAAAAGCAGTGAAAAAGCAAAATCACAGACGCGATGTGTCTTCGATTCTGGGAATGTGTGGGGTGGACGTAGTCACGGTGTCCCAGGTCCACTCGCCCATTGCATCCAGGCACCCTGGAAGATTTCCCTTCCTCGCCCCTTGATATCAGGATGGTTGTGTGAGTTGCTTTGGCCAGTGAAATGCGAGAGAAGTAACCTGTGTCACTTCTGGGTGATGGTGTTCAATTGCTGGTGCAACCCTTCCCAGCCCACTCTCCCCTGGCCTAAGCAGTCATGGGAATGTGTATTCATTCTGAAGGCCCAGAAGCTCAAAGGAGCCTCTATCACTGAGCCACAATATGGGAAAGAGCACCTGAGAGTCACCCAGACTCCTGTGATCTGGGTATGAGCAGAAATGAACCTCTGTGCCTTGAAACCACTGAGATTTTGGTACGGTTTTCCCTGGACTATGATCTACACTGACTGATAAAATAAGTATACAAAATAGATGGAAAAATATTATCGAGAAGCATTGCAGTGACTGGTAATTTTTGTTTTTACACTTTACCAGATTTCTCCCATTTTTTACAGTCAGCATGTTTTACTTTTATGATGTTTAAATGTTCCCGGTCTTACGCATAGCTAGCTTTTTTGAGTAAATAAATGTGTCCTTGGTACGGGGCTATGTGTTTCACTGTGTCATCTCACTTAATGCTCTGAAAACCCTAAAAGGATTTTCCCATTTTGCAAATGAGATATTTGAGTTTTAGAGAGATTAGGTGCCAGGTATTCTACACTCATTATCTCATTTATCTCTTCAGAGGCTCAAAATATTTTCTACCAATTTTAAAGGTGAGGCTTGGGGAAGTCGCCCACAGTTAGTCACTTAGGAATTGAAGAAAGTGAAATTAAAACAACTACCATCACAACAGATACCCTTTATTGGATGCTTTTATGTGCCAGGTCTAGGCATGGTCTCATTTAATCCTTTCAGTAACCCTACCATGTAGGTGCTAATATTATCCTTACCTTCTAGGTTAAAAAATGGAGGCTCAGAGAGATTGAGCAACTGGCCTAAGGCCACACAGCTAGCAATCTGTAGAGCTGGGACTGGCACCTTGGTCTGTCTAAATTTTGGTCAGCTCATTTTGCTAAGAACGAGGCTGGTACAAAAGGTGATTTTTAGGTAATACATGCAAGAAAATTTTTAAATTAAACTTCTAATTTTATAAAAAATTGTATGTTCAAAATTTTCAAAGCCAAATGGTGCCCTGAGGCTGACAATGAAATGCAGCAGTCCTGCCTTGCCTCAGAAGAAGCTACTTTAAGTCTTTTAGCTGTTCCTTCTGACATTTCCTTTCATATTTCTAAATATCGTTCTCTAGATGTATTTTTCAAATATTATGTATTGGCTTCCTCCTGTGGAAGATTGCTGGTTCTCCACCAGCCACCATCCACAAACACACACTTTTTCTTCCAAGATAGTCCTATCACAGTTGCTAAATCAACACTCAGTTGTTACCGTATCATATCTACATATAGATTATTCACAGCTAAACAAGGGACTATATTATGGTTACAGTTGCAGTCTTGTACAGCTTTTTGTTTTCCCTGGAGTTAGTAAGTACCTCAGTTTTTAAATTTAATTAGTTTTTGATGTAAGATTACTAATTCTTCCCACAAACCGTGACAATAAAACTCTAAAATTTCTCGTAATATAGTCAAACACATCTGGCAACCTATCAGTTCTGTTTTTTTTCTTTGAGCCCTCCTGCTTCTACCTGGATCAGTTGCTCTCCTGGCCATTGTAGTAGAAGTTGTGAAATTTCTCTTCAACGTTACACTGGGAATTCCCTTTCCCTCTGTCCTGTGTCGGTGCCTTGTTTCTTAGATACTAAGTCATCTTCTTTCTTGCTTTACTCCCTTCATTTTGTTGTAATATACACGCCAGTAGCTTCCTTGGAGGCTGCATATGGGAGTTCAGTTTTTGGATAATTGATTGACAGTTTGGCTGGAGGTATAAATCTCAGTTGGAAATCATCTCCCCTCAGAGTTCTGAAGGCAGTTCTCTATTGGCATGTGGTGTTCTAGGTTGATGTTAAGCAGTCCGATGCCATTCTGATTCTCGATCCTCATGGTGTGACTTTTTCAGTCTCCAAAAGCTTCTAGGATTGTCTGCTTATCTTTTGTTTCTAAAAAAAATTTTCATAACACTTAATACTTATTCTGAAAAAAATGCTTTCAATAAGTTAGACTAGATGGATAATTCCATAAATTAGCATTTATCTATTTTAGCCCAGTCATCTATTTTATATCTAGAATAAGCCAGGGGGCAGATACTTTCCACACTGTCATCACCATCGCCACTACTCTGGAGGATTAGCCAATGCTCCAGGAAAGAGGTATCCGCTTGGAGAGGAGGAGGTAATTTATCCGTGTTTGAAGATTATTTGACCATTTACATGGAAAACCCACAAGAATCAACTGAAAAAGTTATTGAAAATGACTAATTGTGTAAGGTAGCTGGATTCAAAATTAGCGTTCTATTATCAATGGCCTTCAAATACACAGACAACAATCAGAACTAAAATATAATGGATATAAGACTCCATTTGCAAAAGCAACCTAGAAATAAACTTCTTAAAAAATGTGCAAAACCATTTAAATGCTGCCAAAGGATACAAATGTGAACTTACAGCACATTCTTGGGTTAAAAATCTCAACATTATAAGGATGCCAGTTCTCCTAAATTAAGCTACACATCAACACAATCGCAGTGAAAATACTAACAGAATTTCTTGTGGAACTATACCAGCTGATTTTAAAGTTGATATGGAAAAATATACATGCATCCAGGAAAAGTTTGAAAACAGAAATGTAAAAAGCAGAGATAACCCCATCCATTATTTACTTGTATTTTAAATCTATTATAAAGCTAAAACAATTAAAACTATGGCACAAGTACATGAATAGCCATATAATTCAGAAATTACTAGAAGTCATCCAATATATATAGGAAGTTACCATATGATCAAGTTGGCACTTAAAACAGGATTTATCCATATTTGGTATTGGAACAATTGGCTACCCATCTGTAGAAGAAATTAATTTAGATCCTCACTTCACATGTTATACCAAAATAAATTCTACATGAATCAAAGGTTTAAATGAAATTCTTAAAGAACCAGAAGAAAATAGGGGATATGGGAATGACTATCTATTGAGCCTTTACTTCAGCTCAAGGCCTGGTGACAGTAAGCAGGCCCAGCTCATGGACTGTGGGCTGAATAATGGATTGATTGACTATCAGGTCCTTTACTAGATGCTGTAGCAGTGGCTGCCAATTGCACGCACTGGTCTAGATTTGCTACATGTCTTAGTCCATTTTTATTGCTATAAAAGAACACCAGAGGCCGGACGCGGTGGCTCATGCCTGTGATCCCAGCACTTTGGGAGGCCAAGGTGGGCAGATCACGAGGTCAGGAGATCAAGACTACCATGGCTAACATGGTGAAACCCCATCTCTACTAAAAATACAAACAATTAGCTGGGTGTGGTGGTGCGCGCCTGTGGTCCCAGCTACTCGGTAGGCTGAGGCAGGAGAATTACTTGATGCCACTGGGAGGCAGAGGCTGCAGTGAGCCGAGACTGCGCCACTGCACTCCAGCCTGGGAGACAGAGCGAAACTCCGTTTCAAAAAAAAAAAAAAAAACAACAAAAAACAAAAATTAGCTGGGCATGGTGGCACGTGCCTGTAGTCCCAGCTACTCGGGAGGCTGAGGGAGGAGAATCTCTTGAACCCGGGAAGTGGAGGTTGCAGTGAGCCGAGATTGCACCACTGCACTCCAGCCTGGTGACAGTGCAAGACTCCATCTCAAAAAAAAAGAATACCAGCGGCTGGGTAATTTACAAGAAAAAAGAGTTTCTTTGGCTCACAATTCTACTGGCTAGAAGATTGGGCATCTGCATCTGGGGAAGGCCTCATGCTGCTTCCACTCATGGCAGAAGGCGAAGGGGAGCCATGCGTGCAGAGATCACATGGGGAGAGAGGAGGCTAGAAAGATGGGGGAGGGAGGTGCTTGCTGGACCCTTTTGAACAACCAGCTCTCACAGAAGCTAATAGAATGAGAACTCACACTGCTCCCCCGGCTGCCATCCCCCAATCTTCTGAGAGGGAGGGCATTAATCTATTCATAAGAGATCTGCCCCCGTGACCCAAATACCTTTCACTGGGGATCAATTTTCAACATGAGATATGCAGGCTGGGGGCGGCAGGGGAGATGCAAACAACCCAACTCTCACTACATGTCATTTGTCTGGTTCTACCAGTGTTAAAATAGTTTTTATTTTGGTCTGATATTTTACAAGGGAGTTTTCACATCAAAATCTGGATTTCGGGCCTCCCCTGAAAACGTATACCAATCTGGCAGCACTAGACCCTTATTCCTTCATGGACCAAGCAGCTGAGCCACTGCCCTTTAAAGGCCTGAGGATGGGACATATGGTCTGGGAGTCCTGAGGAGCCAACAGGACCCAGTGAACAGGCAGGTAATGGGAGCAGTGGCTGGTGGGCCCAGAGCCCTAGGGTAGGGGGTGAGGGGATGAGGCTGCAGCTGTGGCAGGGTGGGGCAGTTCCTGGGCTGCTGTTGTCACCCAGGCGAGAAGTCGTGGCAGAGGGAATGCGAGGGAGAGGCCTGGCTGGAGGGAATTTGGGACTTGAATCCACAGCCCACAGGGCTTGAGGACAGATGATGTGTGTGTGTGTGTGTGTGTGTGTGTGTGTGTGTGTGTGTGTGTGTGTTGGGGTGTGCAGGGGAGCCTAGCTGTTGGAGGAGGAGGTGAGGAAACACCCCAAGATGCTCACATAGAGAGGTAACTGCTCATGAACACGTAGACCAGATCCAGTCACCCTCCTGCTTAAAACCCAAGCACCCTACCTGAGAGGCCCGGCCCCTGCCCACCCCTTACCCGAGAGGCTGGGCCCCTGCCCACCTGGGTGATCCTTTGCTCTCACTCTGTGCTCCCTTGTACTCCAAGCCACGCAGCCCTTGGGCCATCCTAGAACCAGCCAAGGGCTTTTTTTTGGCCTCAGGGCCCTTGCACTCACTGTTCCCTCTGCCTGAGACACTGTTCCCCTGACTCCTTAGCTGGCCAGTTCCCTCCTCATCCTTCAGGTTTCCTCTTAAATATGCTCTCCTAAAAGAGGTCTGGAATAAGCTCCTAGAGGCCAAGGGACAGCAGGAATGCTGACTCCCACGGGGTCCCCGGGCCCATGGAAAGAGGAGTAGATTTCTGAGTGCAAAGGGAAACCTTTGAAGGGCTGGCGTGGGGGGTGGGGCGATGAAGCAGCTGGGTCTGATTTACCCCCTGAAAGCCTGCCAGTAGCACCCGCATGGGAAACCACAGGGCCGGAGTGGCCACTGGGGAGAGTTGGAGCCCTTGTGCTGGTGACAGGCGCAGAGGTAGTGCAAATGGAGAGAGGACATGGGGTATTCTGGAACCCACAGGACTTGCGGAAATGCGGGAAGGAGTGGGGTGAGAGCCATAGGCAACAGGAAAGAGTCAAGCGGGGTGGCGCTGTTTCCAGCCCCAGCAGGGGGTAGGAGGTGGTGCCAGTTTCCTACGGTGGAAACCCAAGGAAGGCACGAAGCAGGTGTGCTTTGGAAGGAACAGTTCTGGCGCAGCGCCTCTTCCTGTCGGCCCCCTTCTACAGTGCGCCTGGACACAGGGTGACGGCGCAGAGCTGCGCGGGCATCCCCAGCTCCGTGGCTCCGGCTCAGGTCGGCTGAGAGGCCTGGATCGAGGCACGCTGTCCCCGCGCCGCCCGCACTGCCAAGGGCAAGGGCACGGCCGTGACCGGGTAGGAGGCGGATCCCACCTGTGAGCCACTGAGCCACTCAGCCTCCGGGGAAGAGCGAAGATCAAAGCGGCACCCCACGTCGCGGGGCTGGGGAGGGAAGGGCATGAAGGCCTGTCCTCTGCGAGGCTTCAGGCGCCTGGAGGCAGGGTGGGAGGGCAGGGCGCGGGGGCTTTGTCTGCGCGGAAACGCCCTGCCCGGCGCCCGCACAAAGGCCGCTTTGTGCCCGCGGCCGGCGGAGGTGGGGGCCGCGCGTCCCCGGATCCCCCTGCCCCGGCCCGGCCCGCGGCCCCGAGGGGGCGCCCGCCACTTCGCCGCCGCCAGCCCGTGGCCCCGGGCGCCAAAGGGCCTCTTAATTGTTCCCAGAACGGGTGGCATTTAGGTCAATTAATATGCAAAACAGGAGTAAATCATCTCATTCGCGGGCCCCACGCGGGGCGGGGAGCCGAGGCATTTGCTAGGCAGCGAGGTCGCGGCCCCCGCCGCGTGTTTATCTGGGGAAATGGAAATCAGGCGACGCACAAAGCCGCCCCGCGGGCCGGGCCGCGCCCTCGGCCGCCCTCGGAGGGGTAGCCGGCGCCGGTCCCGACCTGCGGCCCGGGCTGGCAAGTCGGCTGCAAGCCTGGGGTCGCCTCTGGCCCTCTCTGGTCCACCGTGCCTAGCTGGTGATAGCAGGAGTTCTGTTATTACATAAATCAGGTATTGGGAGAATAATACGATTCCCTAAGTGCTTCTAATTGGAGCTTGCGTGCTCCTGACCCATTATTATGCTACTGAGCCTTGACTGAAGTCCAAAGCCTACTCGCATTCCTGCATTTAATCCTCAAAATCGCACTAAGAGGCAGGTGATTATTCCTATTGTTCAGCTGAAGAAACCGAGGCAGAGAGGTGAAGATCGTCACCTGGCCCAGACTAAGCCCTTCACCATTAAGGTGTGAGCCCCAGGCCTCTGTTATTTCACTGGGCAGCTCTCTTCGCTGGGGAAAATGGCCCCTGCAGGCAGAGTTCTGTGAGTCTCGCTACTACTGCACCATCCTTACTCATTCTCCCTGAATTCCAGAAATGTAACAGGACCCACTGTGCACCTGCACTCTTCTAGACTCAGACGGTTCCACAGGGAACAAAACAAGAGATTTTGGCCTCTTAGGACACCAGCGAGAGCACCTCCAGGAGAAGCCAGCAGGGCGACAGGAATGGCCCCTCGAAGGAGGTGACACCTGAGCAGAGACCTGAGGGAGGTGAGAGAGACTTCCAGGAAGAGGCAATGGTCTTGAGGCTGCAGCATAAGGAGGCCAGGGAGGGGGGTGTGTGGAGCAAAGCGGGAGGGATGGAGACAAGGCAGAGGTGGCCAGGGCTGGCACTGGGGGTGCCGGCTCTAGTTCCAGCTGGACACCGGAGTCTCTGGCTTCTCTTGGTCTGGGGACAGTCTGTGCATGGGGAATTGTAAAGGCTTCTGCTTGGCTCAGCCTGGTTCAAGTGGCCCCATCCTGGGCTAATTGGCAGTGGCTAGGGGCAGGTCACATACTGGACACACTCCCATCAGCTGGACACCCACCCCAATCGATACCCACTACGCAAGTAGACCCCAAACCTGGGCAGCAGGCAAAGTCAAGAGCAGTCCAGGGAGCCAGGGTCCAAAAGCTGGAGACATTTCTGAAGGTTGTCAATCTGTGAGGACAGACATGAGCCTGGAACTGAAGATTTGGATAACCCACGTGCACTGGGGCCAAGAGATAAGGGGCATCAGGTGTCCAGACGTGATGGAGGGATGGGAGGGAGAGGTAGGTGAACAGGGAGTGCTCAGAGCTAGGTGAGATATTTTAGCAAAATCACCAAACAGGAAAAGTTGAAGATGCTGGTCCCGTGCAGCTGCTTCTGTAGGAGTTCATGGGGACAGGGGTTACCAGAGGAGGGTTTGCAAATTTTTCCTATAGGATGCCCTCTCTATGGTGATGTACTTGGTCGTCAGTCAACTGCCTGGACAGCCCTGACTTTTCCCCTCTCTCCCCACCCTTGCCATGCGCTCATCAAGCCTGCCCATTCTTGCTCCTTAATGCCTCTCTCCCCAATCCCTTCCTTTCCATTTCTGTGGTTCTCTTTTGGTGAAGACTATCAATCATCTTTGGATCATTGCAGCGGCTTCCGCCCTGATCATGCTACTCTCACTCTTGCCTTCAATTCACACTCCAGATAGGGCACCACAGGAATCTTCCAAACACGTAAATCTAAGTTACCACCCTGGTTAAAACCTTCTATAATTAACACAACAACACAACCTGATTAAAAAATGGGGCAAAGGACTTAGGCATTTCTCCAAAGAAGATATACAAATGGCCAGCAAGCACGTGAAAAGACACCCATCACCCATCTTTAGGGAAACGCAAATCAAAACCACAATGAGATACCATTTCACACCCATTAAGATGGCTATTGCACAAATATGGTCCATTGCATAAATATATCTCTTCTCCTGTTGATGAACGTCTGGGCTCTTTCCAGTTTGGAGCTATTATGAATAAAGCTGCTGTATATTGGGAGAC
Organism: Homo sapiens; assembly: GCF_000001405.40. Taxonomy (NCBI): domain Eukaryota; kingdom Metazoa; phylum Chordata; class Mammalia; order Primates; family Hominidae; genus Homo; species Homo sapiens. The sequence continues at coordinate 120,589,693 of NC_000002.12, forward strand.
AATTCCCCATGAGTCTCTCGCATTTCTACACATCTTATGAGTAAGGCACTGATTGACCTATCTTTTCATGGGTGTTTGTATTGCAGACAGCTTTGGAAGATCAAGCGTCTCCCTCTGGAGCAAAGGGCAAGCACGCTTGCTTCCCATTGTAAAAGATCCAGGTTCCCTAAGCTCAGGGTTCCTCTCCTGTAATGCAATTCACTGCAAGTACAGGATCCATCTGGGCCCACTCACATTGTTCTGTGGGACTTGGGGCAAAAGGAACTGACGCAAATATGCTGATACACATGCTGTTTGCTGTGCTGTGAGGAATAACATCCTTTGTCTCTGACTCATGGTTCTGGCATCTTCTGCCAGCCTCTCAAGAGCCTAACTCATTACCTTTCAAGTTGAGTAAAATTTCAGACCCTTTATAGTTCTTGACATTAAGTGTTCTTATACAAGTGTTTCTGGGAACATATATTTTCCCACTTCTTCTTTGTCCTTCTCATCCTGCTGCCTGGAGTGCGGACCTGATGGCTAGAGCCCTGGTTACCATCTTGACCCATGAGGACCAGAGACGTAGTGGGTAGAAGGAGCATGGGTGTCCAAGGCTTTTGCAGGTCAGAGTGATCATATTGGCCCTGGAATTTTACAGGAGGGAAAATGCCTTGCTTACACCACTGTACCGTGGTGTTTTCCAACCCTATCTAATGCAACCCATGTCGTGGCTCATCCTGTCTGGGATGTTTTCCCGCCCTCCCTTCCTTTGTTCACTAATGTATATCATACTAACCTCAAGAATGACTCTTCATATTTCTAGTTCTTCCCACAATGATTGCTTCCTGTATCCTAGGGCCTTGTACAGTGTCTGGCACAGTAGTAGGTGCTCAGGAGGTAGGAGTTGATGAGGTGAACAAATACATAAAAGAAAAACGCAGGTTGGCAGAGATGATGGGAAAGCGGCATTCTCACTCAGAGGAACAGGTAGAGCATTAGGTTGTCGGGGAGGGAGCCCGAGCTATAGTCCTGTACCGGATGACACCACCGCAGCTCTTTCCTCTCTGGGCTCAGTTCTCTGGCTCTGCAGTGTGGGCTTTGGCTAGGATGATGAATGCCCATGGTCCCCACTGATTCTCAAGCCCTGTGCAAACTCTGAAATTTGAATACTGCTTTCCTGGCAATGCCTCCCTGCTTTTCTCTCCTGTAACTTATATTTGACCAGTGGCATCACTTGATGGCTGAGAAAGGTCCTACTCCTTGCTGGGCCCAGGACTGCTCTGCAACCCAAGCTTGGGGAGACATGGGTGCCTGGGCAGCTTAGCAGCTGGGGAGACTGACAGCTTTAGTGAGCCCAGCGGGTGGCATCAAGTTTCTGGGTGCCTGGTCACCATGTTAATCTGCTCTTGGTGCCACTAATACCAATTTGTGAGCAGACAGCCAGGATCAGACAGGCCAGCTGTCAGGCAACTGTGGACAGCTCAGTGTGTGGTTTGATTTTATGGCTTAGGGCTGGAATTATAAATTAATTAGCAAATTTAAGTTTCTGGAGCTGCTTCAGATAGGTAGCTCCCAGGGGCCAGGTGACACTAGTTTGACCCAGTGACCCCAGCCCAGGTCCTGCCACCCACCATTACCACCACCAAGGGAGTCAGAAAGAGTCCATCTTGTTTCCAGCACCACCACCACCCTGCTGGGGGACCCAGGTGGGCCCCTCTCCCTCTCTAGGCCCAGCCTCTTCATCTGTACACAAAGGAGCAGGACTGGATGCTTTTGTCTGTCTTCTCCACGCCAGCATTCTGGGATTCTAATTAGGCACAAGATGTCTAGCGTGTGGTAGAGCCAGCAAAGCTCTCTGTCCATGCTTCTGCCTCCAGGGCAGGTGGGACCACTTCCCCTGCTTTACCCCTGTAACCTTTACTGAGCTCCAGGGATCCTTGTTTCCAGAGAAGACAGGCAATAGAGTGGAGTGATCTAAAATTACACATGCAGCTGAGTCGCCCCTTCAGCCAATCTCCACCCTCCATCAGGGAGGTTTCCCAGTGTCCTGATGGCGGGGCGGGGTCTCCAGATGCCCCACTGGGCTACAGGCCCTGCCTGTCCTAGTGCTGCCTCTCATCCCCTCTCATCGCCCATGAACCCCGGCCACACCAGCTCCTCCCTAGTCCTCCTAAGGGCCAGCCGCCTTCCTGCCTGCCACAGGATCCTAGCATATGCCATTCCCTCTTCCTCCCCAGTGTACCCCCCCTTCCTCCAGCCTGTCGTCCTGCAGGCTAATGCCCCCTCCTTCAAGAAGCCTGACCTGACGCCCTATTCACTGCTCTCTGAGTGCCCTGCACTTTCCCTGGCACCCCTCATCACAGAGGGAAGCACTGACTCTTCGGGTCACTTGTTATTTCATGCTGTCCCCATCCCCCCTTCAGGACTGTGAGATCCATGGCAAAGGAGCACATCTGTTTTATTCACCAATTTTTTCAGAGCCTACTAGTGGTCTCCCAACATTTATTGTCTCCTCCTCTCTCCCAGTAAGAGATCTCTTGATTTTTAGCTTGGCCTGTGTTCACCCGAAATAAAGACCACAGCTCCCAGTACCTTTGCAGCAGGTTGTGACCACGTGATCAAGTTCCAGCCAACGGAGTCCGAATGAGCAGGCTGTGCGTGGCGCCTGGCTGTGCCTTTCCTCTTTCACCTCCTCCCGCTGGTGCAGGAGCATGAGCAGTGTAGGTGTGAGGTGTGCGGACCGTGCAAACAGGAGCTCGCTCCAGAAATGCAGAGCAACAGGTAGAGGGGCCTGAGCAATGCACCAGCTGTGGCTTTGACAAGCAAGGAGCCAGCCTATGTCTGGTTAGAGCCACTGTCATTCTAGCCCAGGTCATATAACTGCATCCTAAACCTAACTTGTATACCCCTACATCTGGTAGGCACCTGGTAAACATTTGCTGACCAAATGAGGGATTGAATGAATGAACGAGCAAAGTATTGGAAAACCAGAACTAATGATCCTAAGCTTCAAGCACATTTTGGATTCCAAGAGCTTTTATGGGCTGACCTGGGACCTAATAAACATTATTTGCTTGAAACATGGCCCAAGTCCTCCACAGATGGGCTTGTGTGTCCACAGACAGTGGCGGGCTTCATTGGCCCTGAGATGGGGCCTGTTGATCTTCTTCTTCCTGACACAGCCATAAGGCTCAGGGAGGCCCTTCCTGTGGCTAGCTGGCCCCCACCAAGTAGAAGGTGTCTCTTTATTTTTCTTTTCTTTTTTTTTTTTTTTTTTTTTGAGATGGAGTCTTGCTCTGTCACCCAGGCTGGAGTGTAGTGGCCCGATCTTGGCTCACTGCAACTTCCACCTCCCGGGTTCAAGTGATTCTCCTGCCTCAGCCTCCCAAGTAGCTGGGATTACAGGCACATGCCACCACACCTGGCTAATTTGTTGTATTTTTAGTATAGACAGGGTTTCACAGTGTTAACCAGGCTGGTCTCGATCTCCTGACCTCGTGATGCGCCCGCCTTGGCCTCCGAAAGTGCTGGAATTGCAGGCGTGAGCCCCCGCGCCTGGCCGAGGGTGTCTCTTTACCAGGGCTCCACCAAGCAGAAGCCCTACTAATGATGGCAAGGACGTGCCAAGGCCCTAAGAGTGAAAGCGAGACCAGATTTCATCCCAAGTTCTTTTTAGAAAGGTAGAAGTATTTTTTTAATGGATGCAAAAGCTTTGAAAACTGGTGATATATGAAGAAGGATAATAATAAATGTTTTGACAAGGGGGCCTGTCAGGACAGGCACTGCAAAAAAGTAGGTAGAAATTGAAAATGTCCCAGAATCTATAGTTGCCAATGCCTGAGATTCCTTCCTTTGGGTAAAGTAACCATAGTTTTTGAAATGCAGATAACCCTTGACAGGGCATGCTGTAAGCCATTCTCAGCGATCTGTGCCTCTGTGTGTGGGCACGCGTTTATGAGATCCTTGCAACTGATTCAGAGCAGGTTTGAATGGAGGGTGGTGGGGAGAGCCGAGAAGGGGGCTAGGCGAGGAGATTAGGGAGGCCAGGCTGCAGTCCACCTACCTCGAAGGTGCCGCTTCCTAAAGATTGGCAGGAGAATGGGGCATTGACACGTACTTTACAAGAAAGAAAGGCACACGCAGTTCTTCCGCCACACCAGTGACCTCAAGGTCCATCCTCTTTCGGGGGTGCAGAACAGTGGCTCTGAGGTCACCCGGGTCGCTGCTGTCCCCAGCTGGAAGGGTTACCTGCGGCCATGGAGGCCAGCTCCCTGCCTCAAGGCACGGATCTACCCAAGCCACATTGGACAGATGTGCTACAGTTTACATTTAGGCTGCAAGTGTCATTAATTACCCGCAGAAGCCATGAGCTCAGGGAGATTCCCTTGGCTTAGGTCTTCCACCTCCTGCCAGAAATGCAATGCAGGTGGGTTGGGCTGCGGAAACTGGATGGATTAAAGTTCAGGCTTAGCAAGAAGATATATTGGTAGGTGATTATGTGCTTTGTGAAAGCTTTGCTGTACAAAAGGGAACTACCCCCCAACCCCAACCACCACCCTTGGATTCCACCCATCCACGTGCCCTGCCGGGAAGATTTAGCCCCATCTGCTGTTGTGGAATTGTGTTGGAAACCTTTGGGGATACAAGGGAAAGAGCAGCTAGCTTGGCTATCCTAGACCTGGAGCTGCCCCACCTGTACCTTGCTTTTGGGTAACTTTAGGCAAATCACTGCCCTGCTCTGAGCCCCACTCTCCAACACCTTTAAGGCTCAGCACAGTCTCTTGGGGCTGCTTACAAGCTGTGTGTTCTTGTGCAAGTGACTCAACCTCTCTGAACCACAGCCTTTTCAGCCATAGAAAGAGGAAAGTCATGACACCTATCTCAGAGGCGTCTTGTGAGAATTAAGCCAGATGCCAATGACAGGTGCCTGGAATGAAGAGGCCGACCTATTCGATGCAGTGAATAGGCCCAGCCTGTTACAAACCTGGGCTCCAGACTCCAGCCCAGTCACCCACCGCCTTCTGAATCGCATCAATTGGTCCCTGGGTGGGTCTCTGTTGCAGAGGGTGGAGGGGCAGCCCGGGGACTCGATGCAGCAAAACTTACTGAGCCTTCAGTCAATATTTGAAAAATCAGGAGACCCCCCACCCCCACTCTCACACATATGCACACACTCTCTCACACATGCACACATAACACACATACACACCCTGCATTTCTGCCTTCTCTAGAAAAAATCAGAAGACCTGGCCACCCTAGGTGCCAATTCCTGCCAGATGTCAAGCAGCTCTTGCTGAATAGAAGCTGCTCCCTTTGGATGGGAGCATGAATGTGTCATTCCTCCACAGTCCCGCCCTTCTGGAAGCCTCTCACCTGCCCCCTTGCTCACATGCCATTTTCTTGCCCCGCCCCGCCCCGCCCCTCTGGGCTTCTGTCACTGATTACTCTCATGGCTGTTCTGTGTCTGTGGGGCTCATGTCTCTTCCATCTTCGCCCTGCACCCTGACTCCCAGAGCCAGCCCAGTGCTGAGCCCAGCATTGGGTGCAGTGGATGCTTGTTGGCTGTGGTCCTTTGTTCTTTGGTGTGCAGGGCCCTGCATGCCCACCCTATGGGGCTGGCCAGGTCTCAGAACCAAGCAGGTGCTCCTGGTGGACTGAACCTTTGAGCTCAATGCAACTGGACAGATGCTTATTTCAAGAAGATCAGAATTTGATTTCTGTGCTCCCTGGGGGTGTGGGGTGGCAAAAACAACCTGACTTGGCTGGGGAGCAGGGTGGCGGCTGGCCCAGGAATGCATAGCCGTGTGCTGGAGGCTGGAGCCCCTGTCTTGTTCTCCTCACAGCCGTGGTGTTTGGTGGAGGCCCAGGGCTCCCCCTCTTTGTTCTGTGAAAAGCAGAGGCCACAGAGAGTTCCTGTCCCTGTCTGTGAGGGCATTAGGGCTAGAGTTCCCTGTTTGAGGGAACAAGGTCTGCAGGTAGGCCCCCACCCATGAGCTGTACAGGTCAACTCTCCATCCCACCTATGAGTGCACACTGAGCCTCAGCCATCCTGAGTCCTGCGCTCAGTGCTCCAGGGATGCCCAGAAACCATTCCTGCCTGTAGGGAGCTCATGGCTGGGATTAGAGTAAAACATGAAGCTGAGGAGTTAGGCCACAGCAGGAGGCTGGGAACTCTTGGGAACAAGTTCTGTGGACACCCCATGGAAAGAGAGGGCCGAGGATTGTAGGCAGGGAGGTGGTCAGGGAGGGCTTCCTGGAAGAGGTGGGGAAGGGACTACAACTCTAGAAGGAATGAGCTGTCTGTGAGTACACTTTGACTATTCTCATCTCTCCCCTTCCTTAGAGCCCAAGTCCTGAAAATGTCCCCTCAAGCATGTATGAGCAGGTAGTTTAGATTTCAGTCTATGCAAAAAAGCAACTGCAGGAGCTATTCTCCATGGAACAGCATCTCTGGTCACCTGGCAGCAGCTCAGAGGCCCGGCCACAGTCCTGGCTGTCGCCTGTGCCTGGCCTCCACTGCCTGTCTCAGGCCCTTGCCCTTCCCATTCCCTGGCCCTCCACATGGTCCACCCTCTGCCCTTCCAGGATGGTGTGGCCCTCCGTGGCTCCTGCTGCTCCCCGGCCACTGCTCACTGCCAGCTCTCTGTGAGTCTCTCTGCTCTCTGGATCCTTCTCTGTGTATTTTGCTGCCCAAAGCCCCAAGAGACAGCATCTGTTTGGCTGGACAGACCCTGGGCGCTGTGCCACACTCGAGCCAGGCTACTGACAACTACCCTGGGTCAAATCTTTGAGGCTGGCCTCCCCAGCTATGGCCAGAGCAGCGGGGTTGCGTGGAGGTGCTGGCCCTCCTCAGGGCAGCAGTGTGGCAGAGTCCTCGGCTGTGTGGGGGGAGCAGTCTAAGAACCCTCACATCCAGGATCATTCCAGCGATTCCCAGCCCTCGGGGCACCCTCAGGCAGCGCCACAGCCAGGCGGGAGGAACAGAGGCTGGCCAGAGCTGAGACACTGCCTCCGACGCAGCTTCCAGTATGCCTTGCACCAGGGCCCCACCGTGGGACCCAGGTGGCAGCTTTGCTGTTCTCGACAAATGCAAACCCCATCCTGTGACACCAGCCAAGGAAGCAGGCACCGCCAACAGCTTGGCGCTCACCAAACCGTAAGACTTTTTGGGCAAAAGATTTTGTTCTCTCTGCCCCACCAAACACTTGTCTCTTTTGATTTTGCCATTGTTCTTTCCAGGGAAATCTAATTTTAAAGCAAAAAAAATATGTTTCCTAACCAACAGGACACATGTGTGTGCCAACAAATATTTGATTTGAAAGCAAGTCTTTGCTCAGTGTAAGCTTTGTTTTTAACGGACAGGACAAAACACCGGGACCAGCTGTGCAGAGCATGTGTTTGGCCCCGGAGGCCCAGTGTTCCTTTCAGCTTGGAAATCTGGCTCGAGGTGTCCAGCTGGGACCCCATCGTAAGGGTCACATAGTTTCCAATCTGGAGGGTGAGGCGGGGCCCGGTGGCAGTAAGATCTTCCCTTTCAATAAAGAACCAAAATATCCCAGTCTGCAACATTATCAACCCCGGATGTGTCTCCACACACAAAGCCGCTTGCAAAATAAAGCCACATTTGAGCTCAGGCCAGGGGTGATGTTGAAAACAATGCAGCTAATAAGTCACCAGTTGCTGGATGGAATCAAACTGTTTTTGTTTTGTGGAGGTTTCTCAGCTTCTGGGGCAGCTCTTCCGCCCCAGGGGGAGAGCCTTGTGTCAGCCTCTCTCTTCCTCCGCTCCAGAGATGCTGCTGTGTCCCCACAGGCCTGGGGCTCCCAGGGCAGACCTCAGTATCCCACACATATACTCAGTCACATCTTCCATAGCGTGTGCTAAATCATACCCTAGACCCAGCCCAAATAAGAAGAAAAAATACCAGTTGCATCCAGTGGCAGGAAACCTCAAAGGTCAGCGGTGACTGTCGGGTGTCTGGATGTCTCTGGGATCAGCACCGTGTTGGTAGCGGGGGTTCATACCATGGAAGCACCAAGCAGGGCTGTGTGGGGGCTCCCGTGTTAGGGACAAATGCGAGTGTGAAATGAATGCCCGCCGCTCAGAGGCTGAGCCTCACACACTACGAAACCTCTCTGGGCTACAGTTTCTCTTTTGTGCAGTGAATGTGTATTTCACAACCTCATGAGGTCGGAGGTGGGGAGAAAAGGGGAGAAATCTGTGAGGCCCAGGCAGAGGCTGCAGAGGGTCCTGCCCATACGCATTCTCCTGGCTGCCCTGGAGACACGGGCCTAGTGTTTCGCGGAGCACAGGGCCGCCCAGTCTCCCTAGTGGCTGGGTGTGGCCATGTGAGTGACCCACTGGCTGTGAGCATAAGTGCTACATGGAGCTTCTGGAAATTTCCTTAAAGGACAGGTAGCAGGCACCTGCACCCACTGCTTGGAATGTAGAAAGCATGGCTGGTGCCGGGGCCCATTGTGGACCACGAGGCCTGGGCTGCGTCTGGAGCAGGGTGCAGCGGGGGTCCCACTGCGTCTGTCTTGGCCTGCCTCCCTCTGCACTGCTTCTCCACAAGAGAGAAGCTTCTTTCTCCTTTCCTAAGGGATTTCCACCCTTTTTGCTAGCACCCATCTCATGGGTACAGGCCTGGCATTGAGTACCTGTGAATGAGCTGAATGTTTGTTCTCCAGGGATGGACGTGTCCTGCAAGACCCTGGGGTGACTGAGTGGGGCCTCTTGGTGGCATGGAGAAGGTGGCCCACTCCCATCTGGACAGGCAGACAGGGGCTACAGGAGGAAAGCGGGCCAGTAGGGAGTGGTAGGGACTGGAGAGCCAGGGCCCTCAGCCACTGCCCAGGGCCACCAACTCTCACCCTGAAGAGAGTCAGACTGGCCTTGCCTGAGTCGCTGGTATTTTAAGGGAAACTGGGAAACTCCTAGTTTTGTACATGCTGATAGCTCATTCAGATTTGCTGGCAACACACGGTGCAGCTGCCGTGGCAGGGGCTCCATGAAGCACATCTGCTGTGCATGAAGCTTCCAGTCTGGTGCCACCCATTCGTGCCCTCTGTCTGTGTGGCTGGGTTAAAACACAGGCTGGCATGGGGCAGGCCACAGGCCAGCTGTTGTGCAGCCTTCTTCTTTTCTTTGTGCCTCTCAGAGGGCTCAGGGGCTCTCCACCTTACCTCTGGGAGACTCCACACACCCCTGAACCCCTCAGTCTGTTCACACCAATGCCAATGCCCCTCTTTGCCTCTCCTGCCATTTCCCCTCACTCAGAGTCACACTGGCATGATGCCTCTACCCCATTACACACTGCCAATGCACAGGCTGTTCCATCTTTCAAAATGAGGTGGGGCACAGTGAACAAGATGCCCTCAATGTCTAGTCTCTCCTTCTTGCTTTATTAAATGCCCTTCTGAGTTTAAGCTGGGCACAGGACCTCCCGGCTAAAGACCGCTTTCTCCAGCCTCCTTGACAGCAAGGTGTGGCCCACGGAATAAGTCTGATTGGTCAGATTTGAACAGCAGCAACTTCTGGGCCATGTTTTCAAAAGAAAAAGGAGTGCCTTCCACTTCCCCTTCCCACTTCCCGCTGGCAGGAATGTGGGCGTGAAGGCAGGAGGGGGAGCAGTCACCTTAGATTGAGTGGTGAAAGCTGGCTCTTGTGATCAGCAGAGCCTGTGTCCACGGTGCCATGGTGATGCCACATAAGCCCATCATGCTTCCATTCAGCCTGCCGTGTGAGGGGCCAGTAGACTCTGATCTGGTTTCATGACAGTTACTTTGTCATTTTTATAGCAAGCCTGTATTTTACAGCAATAGTGAGCTTGTGTTCTAACTGGTTCACGTGGCTTACCATTTTCATCTTACGTAGAATTCATTCATGTCAGTTACCCAACTGGATCCACTTCATTCTTTCATGCATCCATCCAGTTAGCGAGTCCTGAGCATTTTCTGTACAGATCACTGGGGAAAACACAAAGGCAGACAACTCGCAGTTCCCCACACTTGAGCAGAAACTTAGGAGTGATGGTGAGAGGACAAGTGCCATTAGAACCCTGTTCTGTGGCCCAAGGTGGCAGTTCTGCAAACAGTTGATGAACATCTGCCCTGTGCTTCACTCAGAGCCCCTGTGGGCTGGGTAGTTGCTGCAGACGGTGACATCACCTGACTCTCCCAGGGCAGCCCCAGACGTGCAATAAGACTCCAGCCAGGTGAGTGAGCCAGTGTGCTTGTGTGTGCACACGTGTGTGAGCGAGCATGCACACACATGGACGAGGGAGAGGAGAGAGAGGAAGCAGGTCTGTGTTTAGGGACTCATGGACAACGATTCACCTATTCATCAAGATTGCATTACATACCTCCTGTGCATGACTGCTGACAGAGGCCAATAAGCCAAGGCCCTGCCCTGGAGAGGCCCCCCGTAGGCTGCAGACACACCTGCAGACACTGGTGGCTCCAGTCACTCCCTGCCCTTTGTCCCTGCCCTTAGGATGTGCCATTCATGCTTTCCCCCGAATCGTATGACCAAGAGCTAGGGTTAGGTGCTCTGCCTAAAGCCATTGCATAAAAAATCCCGACAACCAGTCTCCTTAGAAATATTCCTAACCATGCTTATCAGCCACCTGTTGGCCAGCAAGCCCAGAAATTTATATACATCGTTGGTATTCATCTTCACGATAACCCTAGAATGAAGGCAGCTTATCCCCCATTTTATAGATAAGAAAACTGAGGTTTGGAGAAAAAGAAATGGAAAAGGAAAAAGCATGGGCACCATCAGGAAGAGAGACTGGCCGGGCATTGCTCGTTTCCCTGCACCCCTCCCCAGGCAGGTGGACTGGGCTAGACGCAAAGAGGCAGGACCACGGTCTGGGTCAGAATGCAAGCTCTGGAGCCTACTGGCTGGGTGACCTTAATTGACCTTCCTGGGCCTCTGTTTCATTGTCTGCAAAATGGAGCCCAAAATACCCAACTCATAGGATCGCTGTAAGACCTAAGTGAAAACCTGTAGAAAAATGTGCATGCAGACACGAGCCTAATATTGGGGCCACTACTGACTGGTGGTTATAAGGCTGAGACTCAAGGTCAGACAGGCCTGGCCTTACCCCTTCCTGGCTGTCTGTGCCCTTAACCCCTATGCAGATGGCAAGAGAGCCCTGGTGCCCATCTTGTGGGGCTATGTAGGCAAAATGAGGAGAAGCAAGTGTCCAGCAGGCAGTAGCCATGGCTTCTCTTGCAGCTCTGGTGTGTGTGCCTCCTTCTCTATACTGGAGCCCCATCCTCAGCTGTGTGAGCAGACAGGGCTGCCCCGTGCTCCAACCCCTGGTCAGCACCCACCCAAGGAGCGGACCGCGGGGCACTGGTCTGCCCACTGTCCCCGGCTGTGTCTCCTCAGTTTCTGCCCTCTAGCAGTTGTTCCCAATTTCCTTCCAACCTTTCAAACCTCCAGCCAATCAGCCTCTGACCCCAAGGACCAAGGTTAGAGGCAGAAATAAAGACAAAACAGTGCTGCTGTCTTAAATCACCAAATTAGCTGTTATGGAGGAGGGCAGTAAAAGAAAATAAAACAAAGATGAGATGTAAAGTCTGAAATAGAAACACCAAGGAGAGTGACTGGTGGAGGTTAGCAAGTTAGGAAGCCAGGCAGACCGAGGTGCTATCTGGGTGGCCTTGGGCAAGTCTCTGCCCTCCTGAGTCTTTGCCCCTTAGAGCTCAGGACTTCAGAGACCATGATTCCTGGGTTATGCTTTCATGGGGGAGCCCAGAACTCTGTGCTGGGCTGTCATTCCTCTCAACACACCCTCCCCGGTGTCGTCACCTGCTCTTGGCTCCAAGTCCCATCCAAGAGTCTGTCTCCAGCTAGGCTTCTCTCCTCCAAAGTGCAGATGTCCAAAGTCATCCATTGGCTTGACATCTGCCCAGAGGCCTCACCCATTGCTATAGCCACATGTCCAGGACTGGTGGAGGCCGCCATAAGGAGACGGCCCTTGTCTCACGGGAAGGGGAGCCTGAAATTCCCAGGGGCCGGAGGAGGCTGCACTGGAACCACACCCCACTCAGGACTGCTGAGCTGAGAGGGTGCTGCCTCAGTGAAAGCTCTGCCACCTCACATTGCCAGGTCCCAAGCGTCTGACCGCACCGGGAGAGGGTCAGAGTGTGCCTGGCATGGTGGGCCCTGGCTCTGTACCTTCCACCCTGCCGAAGAGACTTTGGGTTGCATCTCTCTACATAGCAGAAGAGTGGAGACATAGGAGCCTGCCTCACAGAGTTGTGGGGTGGCCTGGGAGCGGGCTGGCCCCCTTGGGGATTCTGTGGCCCAGTTCCCACCCACCATGCCCCTGCCCAGCAGCCTCCCTGCAGGCTCCTGAGGGTTCAACCTGGTGCACAATCTTCAGGCCTCTCCTGCCTTGACCTGACAGCCCTCCACACCCCAGCCACACCCTTCTTTAGTGCTGTTATTTTTTCATTATTAAAACGTTATAATAGTAATACATTTTAGTTGCTTAAATTCTGCAATAGTGAAACAATAAAGATGGAAATCACTCCTTCAGTTCCATTCCACTGCTCAGAGCTACCTACCATTGACAGTTGTACATTTCACTCCAGAAATATCTATGACTGCACACAGTTACATATGCAGGTGCATGTATATGTCCGTGTGACTGCACACGCAGGATTAACCAGCCCATGCTGCCCATGCTGTCATGCATCTTGCTGTTATTTTCACTGGCTGAGTTGGAAGCATTTCTCAATGCCAGCGGGGCAGCCTTTGTGTTAGCTGCATAGTTTTCTGTTGTGCAACCTCCTCTCTGTTGACGAGCAATTAGTTGGCTCCACTTTCTTCCTTTGCTCGTGCAAACCCTGAGGCACTGAACATCCTAAAAGTGAAATTTCTGGGTCCCAAGGAGTGTGCATTTTTGAATATCACTAAGCTGGCCCAGCTGCCTCCCAGCCTCCACGGGGACCACACCCCGTCTCAGTATAGGAGATCCCGGGAGCCCCACATCCTTGCCAGTGCAGCACTACCTATTCCTTTAAATTTTGCCCCCAGTGTATTCTTGCTGTTTTATTTTGATTTCCCAGGTGACTGGAGAGGTTAAGCATCTATTCAGCCATTCGCTGGCTGTGAGAATTTCTTACCCTACAAGCTACCGGTTTCTTTCCTTTACCCGTTTTTTTCTACCGGGTTATGTGAGTTTCTACTTACTGGCTTATAGAACCCCATTATATGTTATGATATTAATCTGTTGTCTGTGGTACATGGTTTCAGTCTTTTCTCCCAGTCCATCAGATATCTTTTAACTTGGTTTATCATGTATTTGGCTATGCAGAAGCTTTTTATTTATTTTATTTTATTTACTTATTTTTTTGAAACCGAGTTTCATTCTTGTTGCCCAGGCTGGAGTGCAATGGCACGATCACGGTTTACCGCAACCTCCACCTCCTGGGTTCAAGCGATTCTCCTGCTTCAGCCTCCCGAGTAGCTGGGATTACAGGCATCCGCCACCACGCCCGACTAATTTTGTATTTTTAGTAGAGACGGTGTTTCTCCATGTTGGTCAGGCTGGTTTTGAACTCCCAACCTCAGGCGATCCACCCGCCTCAGCCCTCCCAAAGTGCTGGATTGTAAGTATTTTATTTTTTTTGAGATGGGGTCTTACTCTGTCACCTAGGCTGGAGTGCATTGGCACGATCTTGGCTCACTGCAACTTCCGCCTCCTGGACTCAAGCCATCTTCCCATCTCAGCCTCCCAAGTAGCTGAGATCACAGGCACACACCACCCCGCCCGACTGATTTTTTTTTGTATTCTTGGTAGAGACAGAGTTTTGCCATATTGCCCAGGCTGGTCTCAAACTTCAGAGCTCAAGTGATCCGCCTGCCTTGGCCTCCCAAAGTGCTGGGATTATGGGCATGAGCCACCACGCCCTGCCAGAAGCTTTATTTTTATGTAGTCAAATCTGTCAGGCTTTTGTTTTATAGCTTCTGGATTTCGTGTCTTGCTTAGGAAGGTCTTCCCTCCTCCGAGATCATGAAAATATGCTCCTCTCTTTTGCTATTGTGGTGTTAATAGCTTTGTTTTTTCCTTTTACAGACTTCGTCCATCTGAAATGAATTTGGCAGAATGACACTCTCTTTCTTGTGAAATCCAGTCCTGCCTTGGGATCCACAGATGCCCCGACATGTCCTACCTTCCCCGTCCCTTGGTCCCTCATTCAGTCACTCTACAAGTATGTTTTGAGCCTTTGTTAGGCACCAAACACTGGTGATCCTGCTTTGAATAGATCATGTCCCTGTGCTGGGAAAGATGCGTTCAATGGAGGAGACAGGGAGCAAACAAACAAACAAACAAACGGTGCTGTGGCTTGGATGTGTGTCCCCTCCTAATCTCATGTTGAAATGTGACCCCCAGTGTTGGAAGTGGGCTTAGCTGGAGGTGTTGAGTCATGGGGGTGGATCCCTCATGAATGGGTCAGCCCTGCCCCTTGGCCATGAGTGGTAGCGAGATGCCAGAGCTGATTGTTTAAAAGAGCCTGAGGCCGGGTACTGTGGCTCATGCCTGTAATCCCAGCACTTTGGGAGGCCGAGGCGGGCGAATCACGAGGGCAGGAGATCAAGACCATCCTGGCTATGGTGAAACCCCGTCTCTACTAAAAATACAAAAAATTAGCCAGGCGTGGTGGTGGGCACCTGTAGACCCAGCTACTCCAGAGGCTGAGGCAGGAGAATGGCGTGAACCCGGGAGGCGGAGCTTGCAGTGAGCCGAGATCCCGCCGCTGCATTCTAGCCTGGGCGACAGAACGAGACTCTGTCTCAATTAAAAAAAAAAAGAAAAAAAAATTGCCTGGCACTTCCCCCTCTTTTTCTTGCTCCCTCTCTCGCCATGTAACACATCTGTTCGCCCTTTGCCTTCTACCATGAGTAAAAGCTTCCTGAGGCCTCACCAAACCTGAGTAGATGCTGGTGTCATGCTGGTACAGCCTGCAGAACTGTGAACCAAATAAGCCTCTTTTCTTTTTAAATTACCCAGTCTCAGATATTCCTTTACAGCAGTCCACAATGGACTAACATCTGCAGTTAGCGCAATTTCAGGTAGTGTGGGGAAAACTCAAGAGTCCGGGGATGGAGGGCATCACATAGGGCCATATTCACAATGACGAGGTCAGGAAAGGCCCCTCGGAGAAGACAGTCTAAGTCAGAGATGCTAATAGTGTGGGGGAGTGAGCACCATCGCTGCCAGGGTGGTAGTGCTGCGGACAGAGGGACAGCAGGGCCAGGGTCTGGGAGGGGACTGAAACAGCAAGGCAGCCCACGGCTCAAGGTGAACAGGAGTGTGGGCCACATCACAGGCCTTGGAGGCCACAGGGGAGGGTGCCACTTTATTCTGAATCTGACTGGAAGCTTTAGATGAAGGACTTTGGTGCAGTGTGTGTGTGTGTGTGTGTGTGTGTGTGTATGTGCATTTGTGCACACACACACACATAGCTACATCTTCCTTATCAGCCTTTTGATGTGGGTGCCCAGGGGCCACCCCTCACTCTCATTCCTATGGTCTTGACTGCCCCCATGTGCAGTGGTGTAGCTGGTATAGCCAGCACAGTGCTTGGCAGGCAGTAGGCCTTCTGTGTGCATTTGAGAATGACTCAGGTTAACTCCAGCTCAAGACCTGTCCTGGCCTCCAGTGAACCCCAACTCCTGCACCTCCAGGCGCCCCATCGGAGCCTCACTCCAATGTGTCCCGAAGTGAGCTCTTACCCTCTCCCCAGTCTTCTGCTCCTCCTCTGCAGACCCCAGGGGCCATGCTTGACTATTGCCTGCCCCTATCCCCATCACCTGCCTGTGGGTCATTGAGGGCGTGGGTTCTACCCCTGCACAGTTGCGGAAGACACCTTCTCACATCCATCCCCTGACTGTGCGCTTTCTCTCCTGGACGCTGAAATCAGCTGCAACCTGGGCCACTCCCCTCAGCCTGGCTCCTCCAATCCATCTCCAAATGGCAGCAAGGTCAACTGCTCTGAAGAGCACTCCTGCCCGCCACCCCACCTCCTCCTCAGGTCAATTCATCCAGCTGCACCTGCACACACACACACACACACACACACACACACTCACACACTCATCCGGCAGCTATGAGCTTAGCAGGGAGAATGCAGAGTGAGGTGGAAGGGGGTGGGGAGAGAAGTGAGAAAAGGAGAAGGAAGGGAAGGAGACAGGAGGACACGGAAATGGAAGGGAGGGGAGAGGAAGCTGGGACAGATGGGGCCGGTGACGGGACCAGGGAACAATAAATAGCATCAAACAACAGTCAGGGTATGAGGCCCCCAGGAAAGAGGCTGAGGGATAGGGAAAGAGAAGCTGGAGAGATGGGACCTCTGAATTCTAGGGACAAGAAGATCTTTAATAAGCAAGAAGGAACAGATAAAAGAGGAACAACAGCATCAAGGGCAGCTGGGGTGAATGAAACAGGGCAAGGCTGAAAATGCCGTTGGGTCTGTCCCTCTGAGCTCAGCGACCTCCACCCCACTGTTTACTAAACATACAGCATCTTCTGGATTCTCCCTGCTGCACTTCCTGTGCCTGGTGATGAACCTGTCTGTGGATGGGGGACCCTCGCTGACCTATGGCAGCTGTTGATCACCAGCGTTTCTGTTCCTAAGACCCTTGGTGCTGCCTGATCCTGTCAGCTCTCCAGGTGGGCAGAGGCTGCTTGCAGAGCCTGAAAGGGATGCGGACACCGAGCCAGGGCCGGATGCCGGCCTGTCACTTGCTTCTGGCACACCTGATGATCTGCCACACTCACACATCTGTGCCACAGACCACGCTCTCCTGATTCGGGGATGATGGCGTGAGGTTCAGTGACCTGCCTATGCCACACGGCCAGGAGAGGTGGAGCCTGGACAGACACCCAGGTCTGCTGCCTGGGTCTGGTGCCACCAGAACGGGATACACAGAATCCGCCCCCTCACCCAACTCAACACTACAAGGGGCATCAGGTGCCACCAGGGCAGTGAGGATACAGCTGCCACTCCAGGGCATGAGGGAGGGGGTGAGGTCAGGCTGTCCCTTGTGAAGCCTGCCAGGAGAGTTTTCAGCTACGAGTAGCAGACGACCCTACCCACAGTGACCCTAGCAAGCAGGGCCTGCGGACAGAGGCACCCTCATGTTCCAAAGGCCATCTGTACCCTCATCCTCTAGCACCAGGTCATACCTTCCCCAGGACCCACCCACTGCAGACATCTCTTTCCTCCCTACCACCCACCAGGACTGAGGCTGTGAGCCCTGTGTTAGCAGGAGGCCAGGAGTGCATGTTTCCCTCCCAGTCTCTGGAGAAGGTTGGTCCCCCGCCACCACATGAGCTGTGCAGAGGGGCAGCAAGTGTGCCCCACCCAGATAAGAGCAGGCTGAGCCAGAGGAGGCTGGGCACCAGCCTCATGGTTCCCCTTATGTGGGAGACTGTGAGAGCGTGTCAGCCAAAAACAGTTGTCACCAACGCCTTGAGGCAGTCCGGGAGGCGTGCAGAGCTGGCCCAGGGTGAAGAGCCCAGAGCCAAACCAAGAGATGGAGGGCGTGGCAGGGCTGGCCCCAGGATGGATGCCTGAGCTGATCCCCAAGGGGCAGCCAGGGCATAGAGCAGGAGGATGGAGAAAAGTGCTATGGTTCTCTTTTGGAACTTCAGTGGGGATGGGTAATGCATTGAATTCAAGCTCAGGAAAGAGAAGAGGTAATTGGGGGGATGCGCCACTGAGTGTCAGACCCAGCACAGGCAGGTTACCCAGGGCTTAGCTCACTTTTGTTCACTATCCCATCAGAGAGTTGCTATTATTGAGATTTTACAGGTGACAAAACTGAGGCTCAGAGTGGCTCCCTGGCTTGCCTGCAATCACGGAGCTAAATGCCCATGCTGGCTTCTATCCACAGCCCTCTCTTCTGACCGTGTGGTCCACCTCATAGCGACAGCCCTGCAGACAGACAGGCAGCTGCACCAAGCCCTTCACCATGCCTCCAGCACAGCTCAGCTAGTCCTCCCAGCCACTCTGCCTTGAGATATCACGGCCCCACCCCGTGGGCAGAGCTCAGAGGGTCGGGGAAGGTGTCCAAGTTTGCCCGGGCCTAAGGACCGAGGTCCCACCCAGGGCCCCTGCCCTCTCCCCTGTGTCCCTTTCATTTCTTTACTGATTGTTTTCTTAAGAAGTGTCAAGTGAAGCCTCCCAGAATCATCTTTATCAGTCCTCTTGGAGCCGGCAGCAAAGACAAACAGGTCAGCCCATTCTTGGGGAACCTGGGCCAGGGAACCTTGTGAGTAAAGGGAGCCAGGCCAGGTGCCCAAGGTCAGGGAACCCAGGGGGGCTCAGGATGTCAGGGGCACTGGCAAGCAAAGATAGGCTGGCAGGAGCTGAGGCATAGAGGGGGAGCAGGGGAGGTCCCAGGCCAAGTTCCCTCAGTCATGCCTCCCCTGGAGGGAACAGGTGCTGTCCCAGGCCTGGGGCCTGCCATCTTTCCCCCATCAGGAGGGGCCATGTGGAGGGGCACACTCAGGAGTGAGGTGGGCGACAGGTCCTCCGAGGGTAGAGGCGGGTGGGAGAGGGAAGCAGGGTGGGTGTGGGAAGGGGCCCCAGCCCTGGATGCGAGAGATCACAAGTGCAGTCCTATGTCTGGCATGTTGAATGAATGAATGAGTATACCCATGGGACACCCATCCTAAGCCATGTCAGACATGGGACAGCTTGGAGAGAAGGATGGGGTTCCCAACCCCAAGGAGCTCCCAGTGCAGCGGTCACCCCTGTTGCTGGCTTGTCCCCCACCAGAACCTCAGCCCTGACCACAGCTTTCTTCCTTGCTTCTAAGCTTCCCCCTAGCACTCCCACCCCTGAGGGAGCTCCTGGGAGCTAGAGCCACAGAAGGCTGCCTCTGCACTCTGCCATCCCTGAGGCTTTCCTGAGACCATGACCCCTGGTTCTCCCAGAAGCCTTGCTTGTTCCCTGGTTGGAGGAGATCCTGGGTGAATCCAACCTCTGGCTGAATGGTGGGGAGACAGGCCCACTTGCTTGCTGTGGCAGAGATAGAAAAGCCCTGGTCCCTGGGGGTGAGGGGTGTGAGCAACAGCTGCAATGCCCCTTGGAAGACGGAAGCCCTTGGAGCAGGGAGGCTCACAGTGGAGCCAACTACAGAGGGATGATCCCAACACTCAGGTGGGGATGAGCCTGAGGATCCCCCAGGTCTCACTCCTGGCTGGGGGTGGAAAACAGTGGGGTGGCCAGGGAGTGGGAGGGTCCTGAGGCCCTCTTTCCCTCTGGAGAAGGCCTTTGGGGGTGCAGGGGCTTCATGCTACCAGCATCCAAATCACCAAACCACACATCTTTGGGGCAATTCCACGCAATATAACCACAGCGCTGAGATTGTCATTGTTTTTAATGGAGTATGAGGCTACCTGACAGATCTCTGTGGCTCCTAAAGAGGAGGAAAGGGGCTGCGAGCAGGTGGAGACAGGGATTGAGGCAGTGTGGAGGCTTCCACTGCAGGGAGCAGAAAACTCAACCCCAATGTCACCAAGGAAAATGTCACATGACAAGAACTCTTGAGGAAGCGCAGCACCAAGGTTGATTAATTTAGCAATTCAGTGACATCATGGTGGGCCCAGGCTCCTTCCATGTTTCAAGTCTGTCCCCCACTCAGTGTGTTAGCTTTGTCCTCGGACTCACACCCCTCATGGTGTGGGTATGGCTGCCAGTGTTCCAAGCATCACATACAAATGACACCATTGAGGGAGAGAGAGAACACCTCTCCCTATGTGTCTTTTTTATCAGTGAGAAACCTTTCCCAAAGCATGCTTCCCCTCACATCTTATTGGCCAGAATTGTGTCACAGGCCTACCTCTAGACCAATCACTGATGAAGAGCCATGTTTGGCTTAGAATAATTAGGATTTACCCTTGAGTCATGGAGTGAGTGTGGACAACAGCAAAACCAAGTCTCACCAGGGAGGAAGACTGACTGGGGGCTGTTGAAGAAGTGGCCAGCCTCCAGGGCAACATAGGTTGGGTCCTTCAGAACCACAGTGTCCCAGGGCCTATGGGACCCAAGCACACTGGATGCAAACAAGGCTGGAAGGCCAACCCTTGTCTGGGTCCTCAGGGTTACATAGCAACACACACCTGAGAACGACTGTTGCTGGGGGAGGGGACCCTGGCTGGGGCCAGGGCTGCAAAGATGAGGGCCAAGGAAGCTATGTGAATCTGGAGTCAGACAGGCTAGGCCCCTGGGGCCCTTTTGGTCTAATGCTGTCCAGCACTGAGTGATGCCTGCTCCTCATTGTGGGCTCTGCAGACATCTGTCAGATGAGGCCCTGCAGGAAAGAATAAATACAGCCCGGCGGG
This sequence comes from Homo sapiens, assembly GCF_000001405.40. NCBI lineage: Eukaryota > Metazoa > Chordata > Mammalia > Primates > Hominidae > Homo > Homo sapiens. The sequence goes on from NC_000002.12 coordinate 120,610,046, forward strand.
GTTGGCCTCAGCTCAGATGCCTCTCTAGAAAAGCCCAGCTCCACAGGCGTCGGCCTCCTCCCATGCTCGCAGTAAAGACAGGATCTTCATGGGATGGTCAATGAGGGAAAAGTCTGCACCCTCTGGGACAGCATCCACTTCCTGCCAAGGAATCGTCTCATTGTTTTACAGCCCAGAGGCTTCCCTGGGACTTCCCCCAACTATGAGCGAGGCCACATGGGAAGGGGCAGGAATGGGCCCCACCAGGGTTATGTCTCCTCATGTCATTAGCCGCTGCTGATAGAAAGTCAAATGACCCTCGGTAGGAGGTGGCGTGCGGAGGAATATATACGCTGCTTACCTGGGCTGAAATGGGGCTGTTCCTTCCAACCCCTGGCTGCAGCGTCATTTGCTTTTTAAGAGGAGCCCAGGAGGGCCACAGAACCGGCCCCAGACAGGAAATGAACACTGTGGCTTTCAGAGATTTCAGGGTCAGCTCAGGCGGAGGAGTTGTGGAAAGACCTTTTTAACTTTCAAATTAGTTTTCTCATCTATGGGCTCATTTGATTCTCTTCACAGCCCTGGAAGACAGTGGACCCAAAGATATTTACTCATTTGACAGATGAGAGAGCTGAGTGACTTGCTCAAGGTCCCACTTTGGAAGAGTCATAGCTCTGAGATTAGAATCCTCAGAGATCCCTAGGCTGTTCCACTGGACCATTCGTGATGCTCCTTGAGGGGTGAGCAGGCCTCAAAACGGGAGGGGGCTTTCGGAGACCCAGCCCTCCCAAACGAATGCCCAGAAGTCATGAGACCCTTTCTGGAGGCATCCAGCTGTCCTGTAATTGGCTGAAGCTTCATCCGAAAAGCTGGCAGACACGTGTCGGTTGTGACGTGGTGCTTTGAACTTAGTTCCCAATGCCATGTTTGGTATGCTGCAATATTGTGACTGATCTTTAGCAATATAATTGTAGAGGATTGGTGGGGACATGGAGTCACTTGTGCCTGGCAGAGCTGCCCAAACCTTTTCATCAAAAGTGAGGCAGGACTCCACCCAGCTGACCCCATGAATAGAAAGGGCACATTGCCTAACTCTCTGAAACACCCAGAGCCATGAGCCACCCCGCCTGGCCCAGTGGCAGCTGTGTGTCTGCTGAGCCCTCCTGAAGGACGTGTATTTCCCTTGACCACAGAAGGCAAGCCTGTTTCCAGGCATCCTTGGTGCCCAGTTGCTGGAGGCTGCCCCAGTTCCTGACAGAGCTGAGCCAGCCTCGGTTCTGCCATAGGCATGTGCTGGCCACGTCTGGGTGGGTGAGGAAGGCGGCCCTTTGCTTCCTTACTCAGAAACCACTTGCTTCCCCTCCCGACCCCCAGGTCCACATGCCTGGGAAGCTGTGCTGAAGCTGTCCTGGCTTCACTCCCCTCTAAGCCTTTGACTTTGGGAAAGGCTCATCATTCCAAATGGACATAACCTGCTTCTGGTTCCACCTTGAAGCTAGAAATCGAGGCTTCAATTGGCTGTTGTAGCACCTGCAACCAGGAGTCTCCCTGTCCTAGATCCCTCCCTCCAAGGGGCAGGAGGTAGCCCCCAAGGTGCTACGCAAGTAGAGGGTGTGGCTGTCAGACACGGAGGCCCTCCCATGGGCCTGCCGAGAGGAGTTGTATGTACTAGGACACCTTCCAGCTCTTGCCTTCATGGGAGGAGCAGAAATGACTGCTGAAGCCTCCCTTCTCTCCTCCCCTTCCTTTCCCTTTCTTTCTGCAAATGTTCACTTGGCTGTGCCATGCTCACAGCTAGGCTGGGAGGGGAGCAGGGGAGATAGGGGTGTCTCTCAAGGGCTTTGGTCTTCCCTCAATTTCAAGCCCCTTTTTTAAGGCTTGAAAGCTCATCCAAAGCTCACCCCAACCCCATCCTGAGCCTCCTCTGAGGACATGGACCTCCCTGAGCTCTTCAGCTCTTCTGGACCACACCAGAAAAGCCGCTCCCGAGGGGCCTCAGGGGCCTCTCCAGTGCTCCAGCCCAAAGTGCACAAAACCAGCCATGCTGGGCTCCCAGCCCGCTTCACCTGGATCTCCATCCGGGCTCATCCTGGAACCCCGCTTCCCCCACCAACAATCTTCACATCCTGCCGGTTACACCCGGGCGTAGCTCCTGAGCGTGTCCTGTCTCTCTGCTCCCGTGCACCCTCTCCTCTCCAGGATCCCTTTCGCAGCCCCCTCACTGGTGTCTTGCCTCAGCCCTTCCGCTTCCCAGCCCGCTTTTCCCCAGGAGGGAAGATCATTCTGGATGCACACTTGTCTGTCTCTAAGGCCTGTAAGACAAAGTGCAGACACTCCAGCAGGGCTCAGAAGGCCCCGCTTTCCCAGGGAAGAAGCTGATTCATCCCCCCGGCTTCCCTGGTCACAACTGTCCACTCCCTGCACCAAGCCCCACTTTGCACTTCACTTTCCTAACACCTGTAACCTCCTTCTGGCTCCCCTCTCCTCTTCCTGCTCCCCTTTCTCCTTTAACTCAGGCCTCACCTCCTACAGGAAGCCTTCCCAGAACACCTTCCCATATTCTTCCCCCAGCCTGGGTTCGGGGACCCTGCATGGGGTCGCCTCTCTTCTTGCATCTATCACACCACGTTACCTGCATCTGTTTCTGTGTCTGTCCCCCACCTGAGAGTGGGCTCCTAAGGACAGGAGCCATCGAGCTGGTCTTCATAGGTGGGCTCCGCATGCAGACCTGTCAGGTGCCCCCCACCACTGCCCCCGCCCCAGAGAAACAGAGCCAGCAGGAGCCCAGGGAAGATGCAGCAGCAACGAGCTCTGGGAGATGTGGTTCTGGGACAGAAGCCTCTGGCTTGCTGTGTGACCCTAGGCAAACCATATCATCTCTCCAATCCTCTATTGCTTCATCTACCATGCAAGGAAAGGGACAAAACTCTCTGCCCCCTGTCCCCATCTTCAGGTGGGGTGGCAGTGGGGAGCTGGAGACGCATGGGGTCACAGGATTACCAACATTCCCAAACAGGGTGTGTCCCGGAGACACAGAGCAGGGTGGCTTTGCCAGCTGAGGATGAAAACCAGGCGGAAATGAGCTAAAGTAATTCCAGGTGTCGGTTTTCTGTGCAACAGGTGTGACCCGCCTCCGTGGCACCAGGACACACAGTTCTGTTAGCTGAAGCACAGAACACCTTCTCCACTGCATAAGCCACCCCCAAAACACCTATTGCACATCTCTGAGTCTCCTTTTCCTCCCCCTTCTCGTTCTTCACCCCTGTATCCCCAGAGAACCCCTACATCTCCAAACTTCAGACCAAAACTCTCTCTTCTCTGACAGCCTTCCCTGCTCCCTCTTCAAAGTAGATTCTTGGTGCCACTCTGGGCCCCAGCATTTAACAGCTGCCATCCTCCCCAGGGTCAAAGTGCTAATTGGCTACTAAAAGTGACTTCAGTCCATACTCAAAGCTCAGGAAAACGCCCTCTACCCCAGCACACGCGTGCGTGCACACACACGGACCCCAGGCTTGTCTTCTCTTCTGAGCATGGCCACTCTAGTTTGGAGGCTCTATCTTCTGCAACCTGAGTTGGTCCTACCCTCACCCCCACCCCCACCCCGATTCCCAGGCCCAGTCCAGACCCCCAAAATCCCAGGGCCAGCTAGGGGTCCTAGAACTGGCTTTCAGCCTCCAGCGTTCTCTTTCCCCTCTCCAACGCCCTTCTTCTCAGCAGGGACTCCTGTCCTCTCATGGAAATTTGCCGTCCTGTGTCCCATTGCCCAAGAACTTCTCCCAGCTGAAAAAGGAGCCCGTAATAAGTGTTCGGGGTTGAGCAGATCATACATATTTGCAATGCTACCGGAGATGGGGGGAGAAAATGCGTTAGCCCAATGGAATGAATGGCATGGGTGATGTGGCTGAAGGCAGAGAGACTGGGGCAGGGAGGGCAAGGGCCAGCTCCTTCCTTCACCGCCCTCACACCGCCTGTGCCCAGGGCTGGCAGCACCCTGAAGGTGAGGAGAAAGGCCCAGAGCTTTGCCCCCTGATTCCTCCGGCTCCGCCTCACCCCGCCTGCCATCCGTGCATGCAAAGCCAGGCCTCTGGAATTGTGCCGCCAGGCCCCGGGCTGGAAGGGAAAGGGCTGCCAGGGCTCGAGTCCAAGGGAAGCCCACGAGCTTCAAATTTAGAACTTGAGTCTCTCAAGGTCTGAGTCTATTTAGACTCTTAGAAACACAACCTCCGTTCCTCAAACATAACCGGCGAGTGGTGGGTGGGGAGTGCAGGGAGAGAGCATAAAACATCTCATAAAAAGGCTGTGCGTCCTGCTGGACATCAAAGGGCTCTTAAGGAGCGCATGCGGATGAGTTCAGGGTAGAGGAGTCATCAGCATATGGATTAAATTCCCTATTCATTATGCATCCGTCAGAGCGTCAGGAGAAAACTTCACACAGCATGGCCCCAGTTCAACAAGCTGGAAAACGCTCTGAGTCACGGAGGGACCCCAAAGGCAATCAGCCGCTCCCCGCCATCCTGAATCTTCTTCCGCTGTGGAAAAACCTGCGCTAGAGGAAACCGGCTGTGCTAATTCAGACAGGCTGGCCCCACTCACC